>NC_000015.10:59526874-60151874 GCF_000001405.40 Homo sapiens
GCCCTATCTACAGCTCTGCACCATCATCTGTCAGCCTAAAATGAGCTTTGGAGCTGGAAATCCTCTCCAGTCTCATTCCTACAATATTATGTCAGTTGTCCCTGTTAGAATAATTTCCTAGGTCTTTATTTTTAAGATTTTATCTTTAAGCAAGATGAATAAACTCTAGAGATCTGGCCAGACATGGTGGCCCAAGCCTGTAATCCCAGCACTTTGGGAGGCCAAGTCAGGTAGATCACCTGAGGTCAGGAGTTTGAGACCAGCCTGGCCAACATGGTGAAACTCTGTCTCTACTAAAAATAAAAAAATTAGCCAGGCGTGGTGGCATGCACCTGTAATCCCAGCTACTCGGGAGGCTGAGGCAGGAGAATCACTTTAACCTGGGAGGCAGAGGTTGCAGTGAGCTGAGATCATGCCATTGCACTCCAGCCTGAGCGACAGAGCAAGACTCCATCTCAAAAAAACAAAACAAAACAAAACAAAACAAAACACAACTCTAGAGATCTGCCGTATAACATTGCACCTATAGTCAACAGCCATGTGTTATACACTTAAAACTTCGTTAAGAGGGTAGATCTCATGTTACATGTCCTTACCACAATAAATTTTTTAAAAAAGATTTTTATCTCATCTGTCAGTTCTGATCAGTAGATAGAGGTGCCTGGAGCACTGTGTTGGGAAGGATTTGGTGGCTGGCACCGGATGCAGGGGGAAGAGCCAGCCCAAGGCCGATGGGGTGGTGTCTTGTGAACTGTGGGTCTGCCAGGCTTGCCCTAGGGCATCCTGGGCATGTGGGATGCCTGGCAAGGGCTTGTTGGCCAGGGGAGTCCAGGGATTCTGATGCTCCCTAGTGAGGGGCCCCTCGCAGGTCTGGGATGAAGGTGAGTCACAGTGAGGCATTCACCTTGATAAATTTAGAGGGGCACCAAATACTCTAAGATTACAATATTTTAATGTAATATTTTAAAAGATCACCATTAATACTAAAAAATTCCAGATGAACAGGGCCAGGCGCGGTGGCTCACACCTGTAATCCTAGCACTTTGGGAGGCCAAGGCGGGCGGATCACGAGGTCAGGAGGTCAAGACCATCTGGCTAACACGGTGAAACCCCATCTCTACTAAAAAATACAAAAAATTAGCCGGGCGTGGTGGTGGGCGCCTGTAGTCCCAGCTACTCGGGAGGCTGAGGCAGGAGAATGATGCGAACCCGGGAGGCGGAGCTTGCAGTGAGCTGAGATCGTGCCACTGCACTCCAGCCTGGGCAACAGAGCGAGACTCTGTCTAAAAAAAAAAAAATTCCAGGTGAACAAAATATCAAATCTTAACTAAAGACCAGATCTGACTGTGCTATGTGGTGTCATTTTGGAATTGAGGCAAAAGACAAAGTATTTCTCTCTATATACATGTTTTTATGCAAAAATTGGACATATTTTTTGTGAGGGTTTTTTAATTTTGATTTTTAGAAATATTACATTAAAATATGATTTACTTGGTTATTGAGGTTTTGGTCTTCCCCTCTCCTTATCACTTTTTTTTTTTTTTTTTTTTAAAACAGGGTCTCCCTCTGTCACCCAGGCTGGAAGCTGTGGTGTGATCATAGCTCATAGCTCATTACAGCCTCAGTCTCCTGAGTAGCTAGGATTACAGGTGTGCACCACCATGCCTGGCTAATTAAAATTAAAAAAAAAATTTGTAGATATGGGGTCTTACTATGTTGCCCAGGCAGGTCTTAACTCCTGGCCTCCAGGAATCCTCCCAACTCAGCCTCCCAAAATGCTGGGATTACTGGTGTGAGCCACCACACCCGGCCTCTCCTTACCTTTTGCATTTGAGGCTGCTTTACCCTAATCCTGACCCTGCCCTGATATCTAGAAATTTGGAGCTAAATTCAGTGCTTAGTTTTTATAATTAGCTTATCTTGGGGGTATCTGATTGCTTTAGATGGTCTCTGGTCTGTTTTTATTTCTAATTACCATGCTTTGTTTAATTTTCAAACTTGTAGTTTAATTATTCTTTAAACCGACTTGGGCCACAGGTAAAGCAATGATCTGACTCTGAGCAGGTGTGACTCCTCTGAGACATGGAGGAAGAGAGGGCGGGGAGCGAAGATGTTTGCAGATTTCCAGCACTTAACTGCCAGCCGCCAGAGAAGTGCGAGGAGCTCTCCACAGCACTACCAGGCCCGCCCATGGGATTCACTGTCCTTTGCTGCCCCCACCTGGAGAGAATGAAAACTCCTAGGGAATCTGTTTCACTAGGGAGAACCCAGAACCAAGGAATGCCTCGGGAAAAGAGCCCTTGGAGATCATGAAACCGCTAGTGCAAAATTATAGCTGAGACAGCAAAAAAGATCTGACCTAGCCAACTCCATCTTGCTTCTAAGCTCCAAGCTGTCTTTGTTCATTCCTGGGCATAGGCTGAACTAAGTTTGGGAGGAACTTAGTTTCTTAAAACAAGGTGATTAACAGCCCTTTCCCAAAACAAACCGCCTTCTTGCCTGTATTTAATGATAAAATACAAGTTAAAGAAGATTTTTTTTTTTTTTTGAGACGGAGTCTCACTCTGTCACCCAGGCTGGAGTGCAGTAGTGCAATCTCGGCTCACTGTAGTCTCCACCTCCCAGGTTTCAGCCATTCTCCTGTCTCACCCTCCCCAATAGCCGGGACTACAGGCATGAGCCACCACTCCTAGCTAATTTTTGCATTTTTAGCAGAGAGGGAGTTTTGCCATGTTGGCCAGGCTGGTCTGGAACTCCTGACCTCAAGTGATCTGCCTGCCTTAGCCTCTCAAAGTGCTGGGAATGCGGGTGTAAGCTACTGTGCCCGGCCAAAGATATATTTTTAAGCAAAAATTGTTTAAAGCTGATTTTAATGTTTAAAATGTACCTACATCTTGGCCTGGTGCTGTGGCTGACACCTGTAATCCCAGCACTTTGGGAGGCTAAGGCAAGCAGATCACTTGAACTCAGGAGTTCAATACCAGCCTGTGCAACAAGGTGAGATTTAGTCTTAGCTACTCTGGGGACTCAGGTGGGAGGCTCACTGAGCCCAGGAGGTCGAGGCTGCAGTAAGCTGAGACTACCCCAATGCACTCCAGCGTGGGTGGCAAAGTGAGACCTAGTTTCAAAAAATAAATAAATAAAAATAAAAGTTTACCTACATCTTATTAAATATGGTTTGTTTTTGGGTTTTTTTTGTTGTTGTTGCTTTTTGTTTGCTTGTTTGTTTGTTTTTTGAGATGGAGTCTTGCTCTGTTGCCAGGCTGGAGTGCAGTGGTGTGATCTCGGCTCACTGCAATCTCTGACTCCCTGGTTCAAGCTATTCTCCTGCCTCAGCCTCCTGAGTAGCTGGGATTACAGGCATGTGCCAGTACGCCCAGATAATTTTTGTATTTTTAGTAGAGACAGGGTTTCACTATGTTGGCTAGGATGATCTTGATCTCCTGATCTTGTGATTTGCCAGCCTCGGCCTCCCAAAGTGCTGGGATTACAGGCGTAAGCCACCACGCCTGGCCATCTTATTATTATTATTTTGAGACTGAGTCTCTCTCTGTCACCTAGGCTGGAGTGCAGTGGCGCGACCTCGGCTCTCTGCAACCTCCGCCTCCCGGGTTCAAGCGATTCTCCTGCCTCAGCCTCCTGAGTAGCTGGGATTACAGGTGAGTGCCACCATGCCCGGCTAATTTTTGTATTTTTAGTAGAGACAGGGTTTCACCATGTTGGTCAGGTTGGTCTCAAACTCCTGACCTCGTGATCCCCCCACCTCGGCCTCCCAAAGTGCTGGGATTACAGGCGTGAGCCACCACACCTGGCCATCTTATTAAATATTTTTTATAAAAATAAGCCTATTTATGATTCAGGCATTCAATGTCCATCTAGTTGCCAATGTGTTGTCCTTTCAGCCACGTGGCTAATAGGGGCTTCCTGCTCTTATAATCTCTGGATGACTCATTATCTCCTGGTTGGCTTCTCAGTTTCCATAATGTGGGTGACCAATTCCCTTTATTAAATTATCTGTGTTTGGAATACCTAGGGAGGATTCTGTTTTCTTGAATGGACCCTAACTGACGTAATGCTTAAGGAGAGTAATTTGCTTCTGTAGCTATCACACTGTTTCTCCATAGCACCTATCTGCTTTTCCTTTGGTGCTGTGTGGCTCTCGTGTTCTAATAAACCAATACCCTCTAGGGCTAGCTAAGGCTTTTTGAGTACCCGACATTGTGCTAGGTGCTCATCCCTGTGTCCGCGAACAAGTCCTGGACAGAGCAGACCCTTGTCCTTGCCACAGGCACCTGCTGGTCCATCACTTCCTCTGGCCTCACCCAGGAACCCTCTGGCCTAGAGTTTACCTGTCTAGCAGCTGCTGTGCTGCTGCCCAAACCATGTTGGGCGGGACCAAATGCCGGGTGTCTTTAGTAAGTCTTCACCTTCCCTCTTCCTCCTACAAGGTTCTCAGCTACCTCCAGCCTACCTGGGCATTTTTACCAGTTTGTCCACTGCAGAGTTTCACCTCAAGAGGAAGAAAAGGGAGAACACGTTTGTCAACGTTCCTTTCTCCTCCCCACACTCCACTTGTGTGAAAAAGAGAACCGGCTTTCTATTTCTGCTTCCTCTCTAGGGTGGCCTTCTCGCTGTCATTTCTTCCTTTCTAGGGGGATGAGGGAGCCTTAAGTCCCTTAATGGTAGCAGGAGTATTCCTTCTGCATCATGGAAGTGAGTTTGTCATCTGACTTAGGCTTAGAGTTAGTGACTCTGACACAGTTCTAGGAGCCAAAGGAACTTAGAAAATTCTTTCATGACAAAGCCTGGCTTTTAAGACTATCGTCTTTCTGTGCTTTCCAGGTATCTATTCTGAATTTCAAAACTGAATATGGACTGCGTCCTCTTTGAGTTCCTGTTGTAACAGTCCTAGTTCCCTCTTGGGCAAATGGATGCCTCTGCAGAAGACGGGGCAAGTCAGGGGGAGGACAAGGAAATGCAAGGGACACCAGCAAATTAGTAAATTTCAAAACTATTGTTTCCATTAACTACACATGGGTGTCTTCTCCCTAAACTGTGATCTACTTGAAGGCAGGATTACATTTTCCCCAATATTTAAAAAAATATCTATGAGAAGTCAGGTGCTAATCGTGAAAGCACTTGCAGGTTAACTAAGGTCTCAGGTGTCCTTATGTTGTCTCATATTATGACAGCTCTTTATAGTGCGTCCCACACCCATTAGATCACTTAACGATAGTTCCAGATGGGTTAAAGTCTCTGATTAATGAGAAATAGAGGCCGGGTGTGGTGGCTTATGCCTGTAATCCCAGCACTTTGGAAGGGCAGATCAGTTGAGTTCAGGAGTTCACGACCACCCTGGCCAACATGGTGAAACCCCGTCTCTACTAAAAATACAAAAATTAGCTGGGTGTGGCAGAGGGCGCTGGTAATCCCAGCTACTTGGCAGGCTGAGGCAGGAAAATTGTTTGAACCTGGGAGGTGGAGGTTGCCGTGAGCCAGGATCGTGCCACTGCACTCCAGCCTGGGTGACAGAGTGAGACCCTATTTCAAAAAAAAGGAGAAATAGAATAAATTGATAAATCGATTAATGCGCTGTTATTAACTGATCTTTGTAAAACGTCTATGTTTGGGGGTAAAACACTAAAAAAAAGGCAGGGGGACAGGGTGTAGTGGCTCACGCCTGTAATCCCAGCACTTTGGGAGGGTGAGGTGGGAGGAGGATTGCTTGAGGGAGGAGACCAGCCTGGGAAACATAGTGAGACCCTGTCTCTAAAAAAAGAAAGAAAGAAAAAAATCTCTGAGAAAGAAAAAGAAACAAAAGAAAGGTAAAAATATGGGGGACCACTGAATTAATCATTTATTGAGAATGTCTCCACGCAAAGTGCTCTCATGCACATTTTTTCTTCCACATGTCGTTTCTGGGCAACGTGAAAGATAAATTTTGTTACAGACCTCTTTTAAACAGGTGTTTTGAAAGCTAGAGGGTCTAGATATGCCTGACTTCATAAAATTCAGGAAGCAGAAATCATTTCAGTTTCACCTCATTTCAGCTTTTTCTAAAACTAATGCAGAACTGTAGTCTATCCCTAGGTGGCGCATTAAGCTAAATTTTTGAGAACCTGCTGCCCCGCACCGACCCCTGCCAACCTCCCATGTCTTAAATAATGATGACCTGATACATGTACGGGACTTTGTAATTGATAAACCACTTTACCTCCCTTATAATAACCCTGTGTTACCATTACTATTCTCATCCTCCGATGAAGAAACTGAAGTTATGAATTTTAATTGAATATGTGAATAAGCGTAAATATTTTGCTTAATATTTATGTGTCAGACACTTTCCTACCCACTGGGTAGGAAATTACTATTTCTTAGCAGCCATCTTAGACCTTAGGGAAACAAAAAGAAATTAAAGAAAAAAGAGAAATTACAGCTTCCATTTTACAAATAGAAAAATGAAATATCAAGAAAGTTTGGTCAAGGTCACATAGCCAGTGAAGCAAGGCTGAATACCCAGCTCCTTTGGCTCCAGGTCTGGTGAGTTTCCTAGCACAGCCTTACTCTAGTCCTAAAATTTCTGGGAAGGAAGTCCTGTGTCAAACCTTTGCTTTCTTTGCATACTCTCTTAGGTCTGCATTTCATTGACCTTTAGAGCTGCAAAGAAGAAAGACAGACAGTAAGAAGGGAATGGGAGTTAACATTATTGCATTCGTGTGTAAAGTCATTCATTTCAGGTCGGGCCCAATGGCTCACATCTGTAATCCCAGAACTTTAGGAGGCAGATGCGGGCGGATCACTTGAGGTCAGGAATTCAAGATAGGCCTGGCCAACATGGTGAAGCCCCATCTCTACTAAAAATACAAAAATTAGCTGGACACGGTGATGTGCACCTGTAATCCCAGCTACTCAGAAGGCTAAGGCAGAAGAATCACTTGAATCCAGGAGGCAGAGGTTGCAGTGAGCTGAGATTGGGCCACTGCACTCCAGCCTGGGCGACAGAGCAAGACTCTGTCTCAAAACAAAAAAACAAACAAAAAAAAGTCTTTCATTTCAACCTGAAAATCCCTCCTCTCTTTCATCATCCCTCCTGCCATGTTTCTAAGGTGTCTCTGTGACACCTTTTTCTAGTAGATCCCCACTGCCCATTGTAATTTTAGGTAGCTTGGCCCTTTGGATCAAGCCTCCTCATTATTTTCAGATTTTCCTCATTGAAAATGCTTGGTTGTGGTAAGCAGTTTCCCTCTTTACAATGTGAGTTCCCCGACTCTGGGCCCTTAATCCCTCTCAGAATATAAACTGTATTCTAATATCTAGAAAGAAACCAATAGTTAATAGGAAATTAATATGTATTGTTGAATAAATATTATTACTGAAAATGTATTAAAACATAGAGGTAGGTGGTATTGTTTCTATTTGAGGATGTTCTCTCTTTCTTTCTTTCTTTTCTGTCTTTTTTTTTTGAGACAGAATTTCATTCTTGTTGCCCAGGCTGAAGTGAATGGCATGATCTTGGTTCACTGCAACCTCTACCTCCTGGATTCAAGCGATTCTCCTGCCTCAGCCTCCCTAGTAGCTCGGATTACAGGCATGCGCCACCATGCCTGGCTAGTTTTGTATTTTTAGTAGAGATGGGGGTTTCACCATGTTGGTCAGGCTGGTCTCGAACTCCTGACCTCAGGTGATCTGCCTGCCTTGGCTTCCCAAAACGCTGGGATTACAGGCATAAACTACAGCAACTGGCTGACGGTGTTGTTTCTACTTGAAACATCAGTGAATCCGCAAATGGTATGAAACTATATGGAATGCTAGTTTTCATACGCGTCCATGTGAAGAGACCACCAAACAGGCTTTGTGTGAGCAACATGGCTGTTTATTTCACCTGGGTGCAGGCGGGCTGAGTCCGAAAAGAGAGTCAGCGAAGGGAGATAGGGGTGGGGCCATTTTATAGGATTTGGGAAGGTAATGGAAAATTACAGTCAAAGGGAGTTGTTCTCTGGCGGGCAGGGGTGGATCTCACAAAGTACATTCTCAAGGGTGGGGAGAATTACAAAGAACCTTCTTAAGGGTGGGGGAGACTACAAAGTACCTTCTTAAGGGTGGGGGAGATTACAAAGTACATTGATCAGTTAGGGTGGGGCAGGAACAAATCACAACGGTGGAATGTCATCAGTTAAGGCTGTTTTTACTTCTTTTGTGGATCTTCAGTTACTTTAGGCCATCTGGATGTATACGTGCAAGTCACAAGGGATGCGATGGCTTGGCTTGGGCTCAGAGGCCTGACACTAGTTATTATAAAATGTACTTTCAGCAGTCTTCTGGGACTTGACTACCTTGTGGATTGTACTAGAAATGTCAGGTATGGTGACTGCTCTGCCCACCACTCTAAATGAAACTGTCCCCCCACAGTCTCTGTTGCCCAGGTGTCCTATGTCCCTCGTCACAGCTGAATGGACCAAGGCAGATGTGCTATCAAGGACAGCCAATCACAAGTGAGCAGTAATCTCTGATATGCTTTGGTGCAAAAAGCTGAGTTGAGTCAACAGTTATTTAAATTTGTGTGCAGTCACTTCCGTTTGCTGGGGAATGGCGTGGTGAGGGAAGATTGATATAAGTTACCTCATATCTGGGTTACATGGATATATATCCTACAGTTGCTTAAAATACATTTCAGGATTCTTTGGTTTGCAGCATGTGTTTTGGAAAGGACAGGGAGAGGAAATTTAAGAGGTGGAGTGAAATCCAGGGACCCTTCACCTGCCACAAAAAGTGACGGGGCTTTCTGGTGTCAAGCAGGTGACAGGCTGTGCAGGGCTTTGCCCCTGAGGGTTCGACAGACAAAAGCAAGGCAGCTGTCACATAGGGGAAGGAACACAAGGCAAAGGGTTTGAGTCTTCACTCTGCCGATTATGAGATGTCTGCCATTGGACAAAAATGTGTGTGTGTGTGTGTGTGTGTGTGTGTGTGTGTGTTAATTTGTGGAGATGGGGTCTCACTATGTTGTCTAGGCTGGTGTCAAACTCCTGGCCTCAGTCAAGTGATCTTCCTGCTTCAGGCTCCCAAAGCATTGGTATTACAGGTGTGAGCCACTGCACCTGGCCAAAAATATAAGTTTTCAAAGAGTCATCTAAATATCTGTGTCAATTAGCAATAAATTGATAATACTAGGTTGGCACAATAGTAATGGCAAAAACTGCAACTACTTTTGCAGCAAGCTAATAATACCTCTAGGTGTCTGTTTTATATGTTTTATTATGCAGAATAATTCTTAAGGAGCTTCTTCCAAATGTAGGTTTTGTTTAGAATCTACCCCATGAAGATTCTGCTTCAGTGGTTGTGGACATTCACCTAGACCTGGGGTGAGTCTGACTCAGGTCGTCCTTGGACCACATCTTGAAAAATTCCGCTCTGGATGAAGAAACTAGAAACAGGAGACAAACTCCATTCCAATTGATGAGCTTCTTTCTGGCTGCTCAACTAGACCATGGCCACCCTGCAGGATGCTAGAAAGTCTGCAGATTTGGGAGTCCCAGTCGCTTAAAGGAGCAAACACCAGCCTGGGTCTTCTCCAAGATGGCAGGATCATCCCGCTTTAAGGCAAGAACCGAGCAGCATCTTCTCACCTGCTCATTCTTAGGTGTGACAGCGTGAACCTAGGAAGGAGGAAGCCAGTCAAGCAGGAGCGATGTTGAGTATTTCTTGAGAAAGGAGACATGGTTTCTTCTACATGGATGTGTTCTTGAGGCTAGTTTGGGGGCTAAGCTGGCAAATGTGAGGAAGAGACTCAGATGGCTGAAAGAGCAGCTGCTTAAAGTGCAAAGTGGCTGGTTGAACCAGCCCCTGGGCAGATGCTGATTAGAGAGAGCCCCGTAATGAAAGTGGGATTAGGGGCCAGGCGCGGTGACTCATACCTGAAATCCCAGCACTTTGGGAGGCTGAGACAGGTGGGTCACGAGGTCGGGGTTCAAGACCAGCTTGGTCCAAGATGCTGAAACCCCATCCCTACTAAAACTACAAAAATTAGCCTCATGTGGTGGTACATGCCTGTAATCCCAGCTACTCAGGAGGCTGAGGCAGGATAATCACTTGAACCCAGGAGGCAGAGGTTGCACTGAGCCCAGATCACACCACTGCACTCCAGCCTGGGTGACAGAGCAAGATTCTGTCTCAAAAAAAAAAGAAAGAAAGAAAGAAAGAAAGAAGGAGGGATTAGGTTAGAGCTATGAAGAGAAGACTCCACTCTTTGTGTGTGTGTGTGTGTGTGTGTGTGTGTGTATGTGGGTTTTTTAAATTTAATTTTATTTTTTGAGACAGAGTCTCCCTCTGTCACCCAGGCTGGAGTGCAGTGGCATGAACATGGCTTTGCTCACTGCTGCCTTGACCTCTTGGGCTCAAAAGATCCTCCCACCTCAGCCTCCCAAGTAGCTGGACTCACAAGCGTGTGCCACCTCGCCCAACTAATTTTTAATTTTTTTTGTAGACACAGGGTCTATGTTGCCCAGGCTGGTCTCTAACTCCTGGGCTCAAGCAATCCTCCCACCTTGGCCTCCCAAAGTGCTGGGATTATAGGTGTGAGCCACTGCACCTGACTGAAGAATCCACTCTTTCTCAGCGATGGCTACATAAGCTTCAATGTCAACTTAAACTGGTTCCTTATGCAAACTGCAGTGTTCTTTCACCAGCTCAACATGCTCAGTTGTTTTCATTTTTCAGCAAACAGGCTATAGCTAGGCCACTCCCTTGATATTTGCATTTGACTGGGAACTGAAAAAAGTGAAAACTGATGCAAATGTGATCAGTTGAAATAATGGGTTGAATCTAATAGAATAAAATGTAACACGGAATAGGCATATTAAAAAATGCTCACTATTATTAGTCATCAGGGAAATGCAAATTGGAAAAGCATTTGAAGGTCTGGCATGAAAAGCACATTGAGGGTCGGGTGCGGTGGCTCATGCCTTTGTAATCCCAGCACTTTGGGAGGCTGAGGCAGGTGGATCACCTGAGGTTGGGAGTTCGAGACCAGCCTGAGCAATATGGAGAAACCCCATCTCTACTAAAAATACAAAATTAGCCGGGCGTGGTGGCGCATGCCTATAATCCCAGCTACCCGGGAGGCTGAGGCAGGAGAATCACTTGAACCTGGGAGGTGGAGGTTGTGGTGAGCAGAGATCACACTATTGCACTCCAGCCTGGGCAACAAGAGCAAAACTCTGTCTCAAAAAACAAAAACAAAAACAAAAACAAAAAACGAAAGAAAAGCACGTTGAAGTTCTGGTATGGTGGCTCATGCATGTTATCCCAGCATTTTGGGAGACTGAGGCAGGAGGATGGCTTGAGGCCAGGAGTTTGAGACAATCCTGGGCAACATATTGAGACCCCATCTATACAAAAACATTTTTTTTTTAAATTAGCCAAGGATGGTGGCATGCACCTATAGTCTTACCTAGTTGGGATGCTGAGGTGGGAGGATCGCTTGAGCCTAGGAGGTCAAGGCTGTATTAAGTTATGATTGTGCCACTGCACTCCAGCTTGGATGACAGAGCAAGACTCTGTCTCAAACCCCCCACCCCCCGCAAAAAAAACAAACAGCAACACACAATGAAATACCATTTCAATCTTATTAAGAATAAAAAAAGACAGGCAATAACAAGTTTTGTGTGCTTTTGTTTTTTTTGTCTGTTTGTTTGTTTGGAAAGAGTCTCACTCTGTTGTCCAGGCTGGAATGCAGAGGCATGAACATGGCTCGCTGCAGCCTTGACTTCCTGGGCTCGAGAGATCCTCCTGCATCAGCCTCCCCACCTGGGACCACAGGTGCATGCCATCACACCCAGCTAATCAATTTTTTTTTTTTGAGACAGGGTCTTACTGTGTTGCCCAGGCTGGTCTGAAACTCTTGGTCTCCAGCAATCCTTCCACCTCAGCCTCCCAAAATGCCGGAATGACAGACATCAGGCTCTGTGCCTGGCTAGTAACAAGTTTTGATGAAGATGTGAAGAAATTTGGAAACCTCATATATTGCCAGTGAAAATGCAAACTGGTGCAGCCCCTTTGGTTTCATTTACTTATTTATTTTTGAGATAAGTTTTCACTCTGTTGCTCAGGCTAGAGTGCAGTGATACAATTATAGCTCACTGTAGCCTCAACCTCCTGGCTCAAGTGATCCTACCCACTCGGCCTCCTGAGTATTTAAGAGTATCAGTGCAGGCCACCACACCCAGCTATATATTTTTTATATATATGTATGTGTATATATACACATATATATGTGTGTGTGTATATATATGTGTGTGTGTATGTATATGTACGTATATATGTGTGTATATATGTACATATATATATACGTGTATATGTGTGTATATACATACGTATATGTGTATATATACGTATATACGTGTATATATATGTGTATATATACGTGTATATATACGTGTGTATATATACGTGTATATATACGTGTGTATATATACGTGTATATATACGTGTGTATATATACGTGTATATATACGTGTGTATATATACGTGTATATATACGTGTGTATATATACGTGTATATATACGTGTGTATATATACGTGTATATATACGTGTGTATATATACGTGTATATATACGTGTGTATATATACGTGTATATATACGTGTGTATATATACGTGTATATATACGTGTGTATATATACGTGTATATATACGTGTGTATATATACGTGTATATATACGTGTGTATATATACGTGTATATATACGTGTGTATATATACGTGTATATATACGTGTGTATATATACGTGTATATATACGTGTGTATATATACGTGTATATATGTGTGTATATATACGTGTATATATATGTGTGTATATATACGTGTATATATATACGTGTGTATATATACGTGTATATATATACGTGTGTATATGTGTATATATATACGTGTATATATATACGCGTATATATATACGTGTATATATATATATATATATTTTTTTTTTCTTGGTAGAGGCAGGGTCTTATTATGTTGCTCAGGCTGACCTTGAACTCCTCAAGTGATCCTTCTGCCTTGGCCTCCCAAAGTGCTAGGATTACAGATGTGAGTCACCATGCCACACCCTGGAAAAGAGTGTGGTAAACAGGCAGTTCTTCAAAATGTTGAGTATAGAGTTCCCATATGACCCAGCAGTTTTACTGCTAAGTGTGTACACCAAAGAACTGAAAACCTAGGTCCACACAAAGACCTGTACAAGAATATTCATAACATGACAAAAAGGAATTTGAGGAAATCTAAAAAAAAAAAAAGAATATTCATAGAAGCATTTTCATAGTAGACAAAAGGTGGGAACAACACAAATATTCATCAACTGATGAATGGATAAATAAAATGTGGCACATAATACAATGTAATATTATTCAGCCGTAAAAAGGAATGGAATTGTGATCCATGCTACATCATGGATGACCCTTGGAAAGATTCTTTTTTTTTAAAATTAAATGTTTTGAGACAGTATCTCACTCTGTTGCCCAGGCTGGAGTGCAGCGGCCTGATCACGGCTCACTGCAGCCTGGATCTCCCAAGGTTCAGGTGATCCTCGTGCCTCAGCCCCCAAAACAGCTGGGAATGCAGGTGCTCACCACCATGCCTGACTGATTTTTGTATTTTTAGTAGAGATGGGGTTTCGCCATGTTGCCCAGGCTGTTCTCAAACTCCTGGGCTCAAACGATCTACCCACCTCGGTCTCACAAAGTACTGTGATTATAGGTGTGAGACACCACGACCAGCCTGGAAATATATCTGAAGTGAAGGAAGCCAGTCACAAAAGACCACATAGGGTAAAATTTCATGCATTATAAAATGTTCAGAACAGGCCAATCTATAAACACAGAAAGTGGCTTGGTGGTTTCCAGAAACTGGGGTGAAGGTGGAATGATAAGTGACTGCTAATGCGGACAAGGTTTCTTTTTGGAGTGATAAAAATATTAAAACACTCTCTACCAATAACCTGGAGGAAAATAAACACTCAACATCCATTTAAAAATGTAATAAAGATAAAGACGTGGTTGTGCCTTTGGGTTCAAAATATAACTGGGTTGAAGTGGATGTCTCCTGCTGCCTGGCCAGCCTGTGCCTTCTTTTACTAGGGTGACAGCCTCTGGCTTCTCTTGAAGAACAAGCCCCGGTTCTGTGTGGTTCTGGTGGAAATGTTATTGAAAGGACTCCTTACCTCCCACTAAGGGGCAAATACTTTGGCTTGGAAATTTGAACTGAATTAAATGGCCTAAGGAAACTGTTGAGATGGAATCATTCTCAGGATAGCACTTGAAATCTTTCCCTCCTTCCTTCCTTCTTTCCTTCCTTCCTTCCCTTCCTCCCTCCCTCCCTCCCTCCTTCCCTTCCCTCCCTCCCTTCCTCCTTCCTTCCTTCCCTCCCTTTCTTTTTTTTGAAACAGAGTTTCACTTTTGTCATCCAGGCTGGAGTGCAATAGCATGATCTCGGCACACTGCAACCTCCACCTCCTGGGCTCAAGTGATTCTCCTGCCTCAGCCTCCCAAGTAGCGGGGATTACAGGTGCCCGCCACCATGCCCAGCTAAGTTTTGTATTTTTAGTAGAGATGGGGTTTTGCCGTGTTGGCCAGGCTGGTCTCGAACTCCAGACCTCCCAGTCCTGCTGCCTGGACTCTCCTGGAGATTGTTAGAAGCCCTAGCCCAGACCTCCTGCATCAAATTCTGCAGTTCAACAAGATCCACAGGTGCACTGTATACTCTTTAATGTTTGAAAAACTAGAGCAGAGGTTGGCAACCACAGCCGCACATTAGAATCACCTGAGACACTGGAAAACCCTCCCAGTGCCCAGCAGCACCCCAGATCAATTACATCAGCAAGTATGGTCTAGGCATCAGCATCATCGTAAAGCTCCCCAGCTGATTCCAGTGCGCAACCAGGGCTGAGAGCACCTGGGGATCCAGCCGCCTTGGGCTCCAAAAGGGCTGGGATTATAGCTGTGAGCCACCGTGCCCAGCCACACTTGTAATTTTCTAGCTGAGATACTTGGAGCTGGCCTCATCCCTGTCCTTAGGTTTGGGTACAGTCACGTGATACACTTCTTTTCTGCCTTCGTTAGCCAGAATTGGTTAAACATGAGCCTTGCAAAGGGAAACCTCAACTGATACAATGAGCCAATGTGGCTTAGCGGCAGCACAAATAGATCACACACAGGCACAGGGGTTTTAACATTAATATAAATAAACAGCAACTGGCTGGGTGCGGTGGCTCACACCTGTAATCCCAGCACTTTAGGAGGCTGAGGTGTGGATCACCTGAGGTCAGGGGTTCGAGACCAGCCTGGCTAACATGGTGAAACCCCGTCTCTATTAAAAATACAAAAATTAGCCAGGCGTGGTGGTGCATGCCTGTAGTCCCAGCTACTCGGGAGGCCGAAGCAGCAGAATCATTTGAACCCAGGAGGCGGAGGTTTTAGTGAGCCGAGATCGTGTCACTACACTCCGGCCTGAGTGACGCAGTGAGATTCTGTCTCAAAAGTAATAATAATAATGACAGTAAAAACATAACAGCAACTAACCATCAATGAGCCCTAGGCAGGCAGGGCTGTAACACTGTTCTACACACTGTATATGTTTTCCTCATTTGATTCAACCCTTTCAGTAACTTTAAGAGATGTTACTATATCTTTGCTCCATTTTACACATGACGGAACTGAGGCACAGAGAAATTCGGGAAATTTTCTGAGATCACACAGTTAATAAATGCTGGAATTAAGACTCAGATCCAGGTCTACCTGACTCAAGAATAGAGCTCCTAACTGCTATTCAGTAATGCCTCAAAAAAGCCGGAAATGCGGATAGCTGCCCAGAGCTGTTGGGACTTAAGGCTATGACTGGAGAAGCTTGAGGGAGTAGACCATGTCCTGTCTTTCTAAGACCGTGGTCTCAAAGGTAGAGCCTGCATGTTAGGGCTCTGCAGCAGAGCTCTCAGCCCTGGTTGTGCACTGGAATCACCTGAGGAGCTTTATAATGATGCTGATGCCTAGACCATACTTGCTGATGTAATTGGTCTGGGGTGCTGCTGGGCATTGGGATGGTTTTCCAATCTCCCAGGTGATTCTAATGTGCAGCCGTGGTTGCCAACATCTGTTCTAGTTGTTCATACATTAAAGAGTATACGGTGCATCTGTGGATCTTGTTGAACTGCAGAATCTGATGCAGGTGGTCTGGGCTGGGACTTCTAACAAGCTCCAGAAGATTCCAGGTCAAAGGGCGATCCCAAGTGGAAGCTTTGCTGCTCACAGTGGCAGACCTGCAGCACCCGCCTCACCTGGGAGCTGTCAGAAACTGACTGCCAGGCCCCACCGCAGACCTACGGAATCCAAAAGTGAGAACTGATGAGAGCCCAGGTGATTTGGAGGCATGTTAAAGCCTGAGAAGCACTGTGAGCCTAGCACATGATTAGAGAGGAGTGAGTAGGTTAGTGAGGGGATTGAACACGGACGCGTCTGAGCAGAGATGAGAGGAACTGGACATGGTTAGCCCGGAAGAGACAGGAAAGAACAGAGGAGCTCTGCCCAAGTGCCTTAACCCTGGAGGGGCTGCGCCGAGGAAGAGGGAGGGGACCAACTGTGCGGTTCCAAGGGCAGGACAGGAAGGTAAGCAGGACTCACTTCGGTGCCTGGGAGCTGTGGTGGGGTCTCCCTCGGGCTGCGGGAGCTGCACTGCCTGTCTAGTCAGAAAGGACAGACTCCACTAATGATGGCAGAGGGGATTTGAGCGTTGTGAGGATTCAATGACACGTATGCTTCCTCCTGACTCTGAAATTCTGAGGGTATAAGGCTGAAGGGGGAGGATGCTGGGGCCACTGGAGACGCTGTCAGTGGCTGTGGAGCTGGGGTGAGATGAGATGCAGCTGAACTTGGGTTTGAGGTCTGGAAAAGTGCAGTGTCTAGAATTGAAACTGATAAAAACTGAGTGTTGAGACACCCACAGAGGAGAGTCAAGTACCTTACCCAAACGTGCATGGGAGGAGACTCTGGACGCCCCGAAGTTCGGTAAAGGTGACCCCAAAGACCTCTCAGCCGTTGTGCTGCTGATATCTAAGGTAATGACTCAGCAGAACACCTATGGGGCATAATGAGTGAGAAAGGAGAAGTCAGGAGGCCAAGAACTGGGTGGGGTATTCATCCCACACAGGCAGAGGAAGTCAGGTGGCCTGCTGTTCCAGACAGAAACTGGAACTGAGAGGGTGAACTGTGGCACCAGGACTTCCTTGGGTGGAAGGACTAGAGTCAAGTTATTTCAAGCAATGCAGGATCATTATGAGGGAACGCTGAGGAGACGTCTGGGCCCTAGGTGGCTCCACAGATGTCAGTGGCTTGACTTAAAAATTTTTCTTTTTTTTTTTTTTTTCTAAATACAGACAGGGTCTTGCTCTGTTGCCCAGGCTGATCTCAAATTCCTGGCCTCAAGTATCCTCCCTCCTCGGCCTCCCAAAGTGCTGGGATAACAGGCATGAGCCACTGTGCCTGGGCAATAGCCTGACTTTCTAGATCCTTCTTGGCTTTGTCTTTGGTGTGACTCAGTTTCTCTCTGTGGCTCTCTGGTCTCTGCCAGTTGGTTCCCCAGCCTCTTTCCAGCTTTCACAGCCCTGGGAGGTGGCTGGGAGAGAGTGGGGGAGTCGGCAAAGGTCCCCCACAGCAGCGTGTCAAAATCCTCTTTGTACAGGGAAAGGTGACCTAATTCCTAGCTCTCCTAAACTAGACGGAGACCTTGGGCAAGTCACATTCTTTAAACCCAGAGGAATTGCCTGCATATTAAACACCCAGGACTACTGTTCTCTTCCACAAAGGAATTTCCTCTTTATTTTTCTTGAAACATGGAGCACTCTTGGGAAACCATGCGCTTTCTTTATTTGGTGGAGAGAGAAATTCGAACTTTTACCAAGTTTCCAGGCACCTGTGTCCTCCTCATGGGCGCTCAGCCAGGCCTGGGCCTCTTTCTGGAGCTTTCTGCCCCTTCCTGCTATGGAGGCTCATCAGGGCCTTCTCCTTGGTTGGGGGTATATTTGGGTGAGGGCAGGGCACTGAGGGGTGTGGGGGGCAGGGATGCAGTTGACCTTCCTTAGAAACAAATGAATGGAGCCATGGAATAGGTTTCACTGGCCTTGTTCACGGACAGAGACGTTTTGGACTTCCTCAGGCAGTACCTTTGGACTGACAGGCAAGTCAGAAAGCACAGCAGTCAAGTGTGCTGGAGAGACAGTGGGGTGCCCACATGGGTCCTTGGTCAACTCATATGGAGCAGGGCAAAGGCAACCAACACGAATTGAGTGAGTCCCCATTATAAACTGCACTGTGTTCCTCACTTAATAATTTCATTGACTCCTCATAAAACCCTCAACTGAAGGCCGGGCACGGTGGCTCACGCCTGTAATCCCAGCACTTTTGGTGGCCAACGTGGGTGGATCACCTGAGGTAAGGAGTTCGAGACCAGGCTGGCCAACATGGTGAAACCCCGTCTCTACTAAAAATACAAAAAATTAGCCGGGTGTGGTGGCACGTGCCTGTAATCCCAGCTACTTGGGAGGCTGAGGCAAGAGAATTGCTTGAACCTGGGAGGCGGAGGTTGTAATGAGGTTGTCTCTCATGCCATTGCATTCCAGCCTGGGCAACGCAGTGAGACTCTCTCAAAAACAAAACAAAACCCTCAATTGAGAGATGAGTAACTGTGGCTCACAGAGGAATGACTTGCCCCGGGTTACCCACCCAGTGGGTGGCAGCGCTGGGGTGCCTGGGGCCCTCTTCCATTCTGTGCAAGTTCTTCTTAGAGACTTGGGCCACCTGTTGGGCACTGCTTGTAGAGGTGCCCTAACTGCTGGGACGTGGAAACACTCACTTTAGGGCCCGAAGAAAGGGCTATTGTTCTCCAGGATCCCCTGGCTCTTAACCGTTTTTTCAGCGGATTATGATAATCCCAGGAAGGCAGTCATTGGTTTAGCTACTTTCTGGAACTAGCCTTGCAGCTAATTTATCTTGGAGGGCTCACGAGGAAGTGTCTGTGCTCAGAGCTGTGTGTTCGGTGCACAGCTGAAAAGGAATGGGGTGATAGTTCTGCACCTGCTGCTTGAATGTTTTCCGGCCAACAGTTGCTGTAGCCCTGCTCAGGGGATGCCCTGTCCAGGTTTTACTTATTTTTCTTATGTTCATTGCAACACTCTTCATGCCTTTGCTTATATTTTAGAGAGGGCTAGGGGAGGGGTGGCTGTGTCCTCAGGCACCGGTCATGGCGCCTTTCTGAGCAAAAGTAACTTGTAAAAGATTCCAAACAGGCATGCTTTCGACATGCCCTCCTGGTGGATGAAAGTTCCAGGGCAACCCCTATAGAGTGGAAGTTCTGAGGCCATCCCCAGAAGGTGAAAGTTCTGAGGCCACGTCCTAGAGGTGAAAGTTCCGTGGCAGGTATGCCTTGGTGGTCTGCCCATTGACTGTCAGCTCTCAAGGAGAGATCTGTTTTGGAGCACAAGGTTAGAAGAACTTGCTCTGTAGGGAATGTTTGGTGAGGCGGAAGGTGAAAGGTTATATTTGCACTTCTGAAGGGCTAGGTAGGAGATGGGGAGCCAGGGACGGTAAAGAAGACAGAAAAAAACCCACCTCTTAGATAAATTGGGGTACTTGGTTACCGTTCCCTAACCCCAAGTTCGCTCCCATTTCTATGGGATCTAGGTGCCATATTCATTCTGGCTGCTTTCTGCTGAAAGGTGGGTGTAGTCATTGGACCTCAGAATGGAACTGATCTACTTGGAGTTGGGAATATTCACAAGTACGTGGACTTACAGATGATACTGGTTGGAGCATTATGGTGTGAGGTTTAGAACAGGGGTCCCCAGCCCTCGGGTCGCAGATCAGTACCAGTCCCTGAGCTGTTGGAAACCAGGCCGCACAGCAGGAGGTGAGCAGCAGGCTAGAGAGCATTACCGCCTGGGCTGTGCTTCCTGTCAGATCAGCTGCAACATTAGAGTCTCATAGGAGCGCAAAACCTGTTGTGAACTACACAACCAAGGGAATGAGGCTGTCCATTCCTTGTGAGAATCTAATGCCTGATCTGAGGTGGAACAGTTTCAACTCAAAACCATCCTTCCCTCCCCTTCACCCCATCCTGTGGAAAAATTGTCTTCCATGAAACTGGTCCCTGGTTCCACAAAGGTTGCAGACTGCTTGTCTAGGTCTCTGAAAGAGCTTGCCTTGTTTTCCCGTATAGAGGATACAACAGCAGTAAGCTCCACAATGGAGGGATATGCCCATCCCTGCAATTGGGGCCACTGTTAAAAGTAGCTTTGCCACCAGAATGGTCCTGTCCTGAATCAGGTTGCTAACCATTGGTCTAGTGACAATGTAGGGTCAGACATAACTTTAAGTTGTTTGTACATGTCTTTCAGGGCTATTAGAGGCATTTCCCAAATTCTTAGTTATCATGCAAGTTCCCCACTGACAATCATAACCAGATATCATGTCAGGTTGGCTAAGTATATATGTTTAACGGGCTACAGAAGGAGCTATGAATACTCATGAAGGTGGTCATAGCCCTGTCCAATTTTTGAGAATGGATCAGCTTAAATAGTAATAGCTGTGTCTCATTCAGGAGGTGGCGTTGCGTATGGGCTAGACTTTTGCCTGGGATGAGCCTCAGCACCCCAGGTCTCCGTGGTGTGGAATGGGTTCCTCTCACCTCTGCAAGCCACCAGTAAAGGTGAATTTTTTCCAGCCAGAGGGAGCTAGGGGTGCCTGCTGCCGAGAGGAGTAAAGCTGTAAGTGGCTGTTAGTGTAAGTAAAGCTGATAGTGTGAACGGAAAATATCTTGGGCCCTTTCAAGCTGGGAACTGCTTCAGGCAAGTCTGTCTTTCATTCTATTTGAAGTCATCCCTCTGCTCACTGAGAGAGGTGCATATTCTGATTGCCTCCTTTGGAATGGCTAATCAGAAACTCAAAAAATGCAGCCATTTGTCACAGGTACCTGAGACCTGGAAGCCCCCTCCCTGCCTTTCTGGATGGAACCAGTGTACTTCTTACATGTACTTCTTGATTGATGTCTCACGTCTCCCTAAAATGCATAAAACCAAGCTGTGCCCCGACCATCTTGGGCACATGTTGTCAGGACTTCCTGAGGCTGTGTCACAGGCCCGTGTCCTAAACTTCGGCAAATCTCCTGAAATGATTGAGACTTGTCTCATTTTTCTCGAATGACAGTAATTACAAGGGTGAAGTTGGAGACAGAAAGGAAAAGAAATCGGGGCCCATACACAAAGCCATACGTTCACACAAACAAATGGTGCACTTCCAAACAAAATCCCTGGTGGAGGCTGGGTGAGAGCCTGAATCCTCCACCCCAGTTCCGAAATGGCTCCATGGACATCTGAGTCCCATCTGAGCAGAGCTGCTATGGTGTTACAGGACAGAGCAGGAGCATCACCATCTTGGACAAACACCGCCATTTTAAGTTCCCCTTGATTAAAAACCACCTAAATCCAGCCCCCAGAAGTCAACCTAATGGCTAATGCCAGCATGACCATAAACCACAAATGGTACCTCCGACTGGAAACATTCCAACCCCTAGATAAACCCCCCTCCGACCAGAAACATGCCAACTCTGCAATAAAACTTTCCTCTGCCCAGAACCATTCTGAACCTAAGACAAGCTCTCCCTCCCTAAACCCTTAAATACCCTTAGTCTGTAAGAGAGAACACTCCTGACCTAAATTGGCCAGAAGCCCCTCTCCGGTTTATTCTCCAAAATAAACCTGTCTTTGACTGTTGAGCCACTTTTTGTGTTTGTCTCCTTTCTTTAACCCTTACTCTGTACATACAAACAAAAATGCTCAAATGATACCACTAGCAGCCAGGTCCTATGCACGGCAGGGCTTCAGTGACACCTCAAAAGAGGCAGAGGGTAGTCAGGGGTACTCCTGACCAACTTAGTTCTGAAGTTTACTGGGTTTCTGTTTTTCTTTTTTTGAGTTCACTTGCTTTGTATCAGCAAAGTGTTGAAGGCAGCAAACATCATGCAGGGAGGCAATAGGGAGGTGCCTCCAAAACAAAAGCATTTTTGGCAGCCGCTGGGAAATTCCCTAATGTTCCCATCTTGGGGTTCGCTAGCCACCAGCAGCTGCTACTCCCAGGCAACCTCATACCTTGCCCAGTAGCTCAGGCACAGGCCTACCCGTAGCGCACAGTGCTTCCCCGTACAGGCCACCAACATCATAACTGAAAGGTGGGTTAGTTGTTCACATGCCGAGTCCAATTAACAAGAACGAGGCCTGATACAAAGCAAGTGAATTGATTCTGAAGCTATTATAGCTTGGGGAAGATGTACAGATGTCCTGCTGTGTGGCTTTACTTGTGGAGCAGAAAACAGGCATTTTTATAAGGTAAGGGAAGAAATGAGCAAGGGCGGGGGTTCCCTGCTAGCTTGCTGTTTTAGCCATGGGGCAGTTGGCGCTTTCCTAGGCAGAAGTAAGTTGTAAAAGTGGCCACTGCCCATACGCTTTCAAACGCCTGCCTGGAGGGTGGAAGTTACCTGGGGAGCATGCTTTGGTTTGCAAATCTACCGTCAGCTCTCTAGGAAAGATCTGTCTTGGGGCATAAAGTTAGAAGAATTTGCCATGTAGGGAATGTCTGGTGAGACAGGAGGTGAAAGGTTATATTTGTACTTCTGAAGGGCTAATTAGGAAACAGGGAGCCACAGAAACAAGAGGGAAGGTGTGGGGTGGGGATGGGTGGGGGGGTGGTGGGGTGGGGGTGGGTGTGGAGGAAGTAATTAAATCGTTGTGAACCATTGTGAAGTATCTGAGACAGATCTCAATTTAGAATGTTTACTTTGCCAAGGTTAAGGACGCACTGTGACAGCCTCAGGAGATTCTGATGACCGGTGCCCAAGGTGGTCAGAATACAGCTTACTTTTATACATTTTAGGGAGACATAATGTATCAGTCAATATGTGTAAGATCTACATTGGCTGGATCTGAAAGGGTCATAGGTAGATTTAAATTTTTTCTGATTGGCAATTGGTTGAAAGAGTTATCAGTAGAAAGGAATGTCTGGGTTCTGCTGAGGGATTGTGAAGCCCTAGGTTTTATGTAGATGAGCCTCCAAGTAGCAGGCTTACAATGGACTGTAAATGTTTCTTATCAGACTTAAGGTCCCTATTGGTGTTAATGCTGGAGGGGTATAATGAGGCATATCCTGCCCCCCTCTTCCATCGTGGCCTGAACTAGATTTCCAGGTTAACTCTAGAATGCCCTTGGTTGAGAGGAAGGGTCCATTCAAATGTTTGGAGCAGGGGAGCCTTAGAATTTGTTTTGGTTTAACCACTCTAGAAAAATGGGGCTACTTGGAGACGGGGCGTAGTGGCTAACGCCTATAATCCCAGCACTTTGGGAGGCCAAGGCAGGCGGATCACCTGAGGTCAGGAGTTCAAAACCAGCCTGGCCAACGTGGTAAAACCCTGTCTCTACTAATGATACAAAAATAAGCCGGGCATGGTGGTGGGTGCCTGTAATCCCAGCTACTTGGGAGGCTGAGGCGGGAGAATCGCTTGAACCCAGGAGGCAGAGGTTGCAGTGAGCCGAGATCATGCCATTGCACTCCAGCCTGGGCAACAGGAGCAAAACTCCATCTCAGAAAAAAAAAAAAAAAAAAAAAAGTGGGGGTGCTTGGTTACACTCTGAAGTTCCTACAGTGACCCTACCAGGGTCCATGTGATCTGTCTTGCCCCCTCTACCATTTCCTCTTTTTCTTAGCACTTCTCCACTCCTCCTTGCTTTTTGCTCTGGGGAAGTTAACTTCCCAGCAAGCCAAACCACTCCCTACCCCAGTGCCTCTGTTCTTGCTGTTTCTTCAGATATCTACAGTTCCCTGAACTTTCAGGTCATTACTCAAACGTGACCTTCTCAGTGAGGACTTTCCTGACTCCATAAAAATTTCCTTCCTCTAGCACTCTCTTGCCTTTTCTTGCTTTATTTTCTGTAACACTTACCCATCTGATATACCATATAATTTTACTTATATATTGCCAGTTTCATTCCCCTAGAATTTAAGCTCGTGAAGTAGGACATGTTGTTTGTTTATGTAGAAGAGTGCAATAAAAGGTGCTCAGAATTATCCATTGAATAAACAGATGAATGGCTGGGGTCTCCAGGGCAATGCCTTTAGGGCCCAGTTATGCAACATTAATGTATGAAGCCACAGTATTAAAAACAATAGAGGAGGAAAACGGAAGCATGCATTCCCCTCTTAAGTGCATTGACTTTAAAATAACAGCAGTGGCAATCACAAACACAGTCCCAGCTAAACAAACGTTGCCTATGATTTGCAAGTTTGCATAGGATGTACCAGAGCAGCAGATGTCTGAGGCCTGGACCTACTAGAACTGCTGACAATAAATGGCTCTGACAAGATGTGGTGGCTCTTGCCTGTAATCCTAGCACTTTGGGTGGCCGAGGTGGGAAGATCGCTTGAGCTCAGGAGTTAAAGCCCAGCCTGGACAATAAAGTGAGACCCTATCTCTATAGAAAATAAAAAATTAGCCAGGCCTGGTGGCATGTGCCTGAAGACCCAACTTTCCAGAGGCTGAGGCAGGAGGATCGTTTGAGCCCAGAAAGTTGAAGCTGCAGTGAGTTACGATCATCATGCCACTGTACTCCTCCCTGGGCAACAGAGCAAGACTCTGTCTCAAAATAAGAGGCTCTATGGAGATACGCCTATGGTTTTCCTTGAGGAATCTTCTAAGAATTTCTGTGATTACCCATTCTAAAGACATTGATTGTTGAGATAATCGTTCATTTTATTTAAAAAAAAAAACTTTCTTTCAGGTCACGTATGTGTTTCAGTTTTTTTTTTTTCTTTTGAATCAGACCCTCAGAGTTACGTTACTCATAGTTTGAAGCTAGAAAATTTAGAGTTGAGTTTGTGGCCCAATTTCTTAACCCATTTAGGCTGGAGGTTGCGATTTTTTGAATTGCAGACGTGTGAAAAATCAGACCTTGGTGGTGACCTGGAGCAGTAGGATATAAACAACTCCCACATGCTTAGTGTTCCAATAATGGAACACCAGGCATACATGGGTTAAGGGAATAAGACTTCTTGGTATGTGTTTTTGTATTAGCCACGTTTTTTATTCCGTTTTGTATTCTGTCCATATTGATGAAAACTTCAGCCGAATTAAATTTAAAGGAGTTGAATTGATCAATGAAAAATGTGCGAATCGAGCAGCCCCCAGAATCACAGGAGATTCACAGAGACCCCAGGGCTTCCACGTGGTGGAAGATTTATTGACAAAGAGAAATGGCATACAGAAATTGGAAGTGAGGTACAGAATGGCTGGATTGATTACAGTTCGGCGTATGCTTTATTCGAACACAGTTTGAACCCTCAGCAGTGTATGAATGGTTGAAGTATGGCCACTTCTTGTCATACTTGGATTGGCCAAGACATAGCTATTGTTACAGGCTCAGACTCCTAAGTTAGGTTTTCAATTTTGTCTGTTAAGCTAGGTTACAGTTCATTCACAAGGACTCAAATACAGAAGTACGGTGTCCTTGGGCCATATTTAGTTTGCTTTAACACTTTTGTTCCTTTGTTTCATCTTTCCTCTGGCTTTTGTTGCCTTAGTATGTTTTATTTTATTATTTATTTGTTTATTTATTTTTTACAGCCCAGAGGTCCTTTATTTATTATTATTTTTAACACCTCTTATGCCATGAATTCATAGGGAAGAGGTTCCAGCAGCTCAGGCTCCTTCCCATTGGTTCTCACAAAGTGTGCTTCTCTGGGTGGAGCAGGCTGGTGCTTCAGTTGAACCCAGGTAGCTTTCTCTTTGGCTTCTTTGTTTTTCTGATCATTTTTCTTCACATGTTTCAGGAAGCTATCTTGGCTCTTAGAGTGCTCAATGTGCTCAATACACACATTAATTCTCTTGGCAAGAATCTTGCCCTTAACTGTTTGTTTACAACAATGCCAACAGCATGCTGGGGGACACGGCAGACTCTTCCAGTTTAGCCGTGGTAACACTTGTGGGGCGTTCCTTTTTGAACAGTACCCATTCCCTTGATGTCTACAATATCACCTTTCTTATAGATTCACATATATGTGGCCAAAGGAACGACTCCATGTTTTCTAAAAGGACTAGAGAACATATATCGGATGCCTCTCCTCTTTCCCTTTGTGTTGGTCATTTTGGCGAATTACTGGAAGATGGCGGTTCCCGCCGAAAGGCGCCTTAGTATATTTTATGTATATTTTAGTTAAATCTTCTTTTTAGATAAGCTTGGATTCAAGTAAATTAATTAACTGAATGAATACTAACTTGCTCAGACTCCAGAAATGGAAGACACCCAGAGGAAATAGTTTCCTTTCTTCTTCCCCGTTCCCTCTCTTGCCCTCCCTCTGTCCCATCCCCCCTCCCTCTCGTCTCTCTCTCTCTTGTCTCTCTTTTAATTAATGTTTTCCAACTCAAAGGTGTCACATGCTTTGATCATTACTGGAAATTGAGAGAGAATTAGAAGTGAGAGAGGAATATGACGGGGGTCTGAGAGGGAGGAGAGGAGATGGAAGAGGCCAAAGAGGAAGGTGGGCCTAATGGTGAGAAAGGGGGTGTGCATGACAGTTTTTTCTTTTTTCTTTTTTTCTGAGACGGAGTCTCACTCTGTCGCCCAGGCTGGAGTGCAGAGTGCAATGGCATGATCTCAGCTCACTGCAACCTCCACCTCCCAGGTTCAAGTGATTCTTCTGCCCCAGCCTCCCAAGTAGCTGGGATTACAGGCACCCGCCACCAAGCCCGGCTAATTTTTGTATTTTTAGTGGAGGCGGGGTTTCACCATGTTAGCCAGGCTGGTCTTGAACTCCTGACCTCAAGTGATCCACCCTCCTCGGCCTCCCAAAGTGCTGGGGTTAAAGGCATGAGCCACCACACCTGGCCAGACATAGCTTTTTCCAAAGCAGACCCCGAGCAATACAAAAACTATTCCCACAGTGACCTGGCTGTGACCATAGGTGCCGTGTGCGCGTGTGTTGAAGGAAGGGTAGCTTCCTATTGGGTTGTTTAGGAGTGTTTGATATGCTTTTCCTCATGATGCACATGGGTGCGGGGCCTGTGCAGCAGTGACCAATTACACCATCCCAGGAAGACACCTACTCATTAAAGACTCCCATATGCCCTCCCATTGTTCATTTCTCAGGAACTTCAATGTGAGTTCACTGGACTCCCATTGTTCCTTTCTCAGGAACTTCATATTTGTGGTCAGAGCAAATTCAACTGCATGTCCTGCCATGAGCTAGGCAAACACAGTTGTGAAACTGATAGCAACCCTGACACCAGGGATAAAGAGTCCAGTGGAGTTAACAGAAGAGAGACAATAATTGCTTGCAGTCTGTAATCCATGTGTACACAGCAAAATACCTAGTGTCTCCCCAACTTCTGTGCTCTACTAATGCATTTATTGTGAGCACAAGGTAAATATTTAATCTTGCCTACTTTATCTTCCTCAATATCTGTGTTTATTCTAATTCTTATATTGATTCCAGGTTCACTGAAATCAACAAGTGTTCCTCCATTCGGGGATATAGCCCTGAACTTTCCTGACAGCTGGAAGCTCCCCCCCGCTTTTTTTTTTTTTTTTTTTTTTTGAGGTAGAGTCTCGCTTTGTCACCCAGGCTGGAGTGCAATGACGCGATCTCGGCTCACTGCATCCTCTGCCTCCCGGGTTCAAGCAATTCTCTTGCCTCAGCCTCCCGAGTAGCTGGTGCCACCAAGCCTGACTAATTTTTGTAGTTTTAGTAGAAACAGTGTTTCACCATGTTGGCCAGGCTGGTCACAAACTGCTGACCTCAAGTAATCCACCTGCCTTGGCCTCCCAAAGTGCTGGGATTACAGGTGTGAGCCACCACGCCAGGTCTGGAAGCCCTTTATCACACTTAATGGCAATTGTATGGCTCATAGATGCCCATAAACTCTTCTCAGCTTAGGTGAATGATTATATTTCCTTTTCTGTCTGGGTTCTCTTCCTGCTTTCATTAAACATGTGTGTGCGTGCACACACCCCTCTCTGATTTCACATAGCAGCCCCCAGAGTGTGGTGTCACACCAACCTACTCAAGTTCTTACTGTCTTTCCTTTGGGCAGGTAGCTAAGTAAACTAGTTCAGTTGTGTTATTCAACTTCCTTGTGACCAGAATTTAGTCAAAAAAATAATTTTTTTGAGATAGAGTCTCATACTGTCACCCAGGCTAGAGTGCAGTGGCATGATGACGGCTCACTGCAGCCTCAGTCTTCCAGGTTCAAGTGATTATCCCACCTCAGCTTCCCAAATATCTGGGACTACAGGTGTGGGACCCCATGTCTGGCTATTTTTAAACATTTTTTTCGTAGAGATGGGGGTCTCACCATGTTGCCCAGGGTCGTCTTGAACTTCTGACCTCAAGTGATCCTCCTGCTTCCATCTCCCAAAGTGCTAGGATTACAGGAGAGTAATCTGCACCCAGCCCAGTAACAAATAATTGTCAAGTACCTACTATATGCTACATACTGTTCTAGGCACTGGGGATACAGCAGCAAACAAAACCGACCATCCCTGCCCTCATGGAGCAAATTTTGCAGTGAAGCGAGACAGGCAATAAACAAGGAAAATATAAGTGTTGCGGAGGTAAATGATAAACTAGTAAAAGGGATAAGGGGTCTGTGTGTTGTGTGTAGGGATGTAATTTTGAATTGAGTAATCAGGCCGGGCACGGTCGTTCACGCTTGTAATCCCAGCACTTTGGGAGGCCAAGGTGAGTTGATGACTCTGAGCTCAAGAGTTCAAGACCAGCCTGGGCAATAGAGCTAAACCCCGTCTTTACTAAAAATACAAAAAAATTACCTGGGTGTGGTGGTGCATGCCTGCAATCCCAGCTATTCGGTGGCTGAGGCACAAGAATAACTTGAAGTCAGGAGGCAGAGGTCACAGTGAGCCAAGATTGTGCCACTGCACTCCTGGCTGACAGGGCAAGACTGTCTTATAAATAAATAAAATTGCAGTGAGTAATCAGAGCTGGGTGTGGTGGTATGATGCACCAGTGTTCCCAGCTGCTCTGAAGGCTGAGGTGGGAGGATTACTTGAACCCAAGAGTTTAAGGCTGCAGGGAGCTCTGAACGTGCCATTGCGCTCTAATCTGGGGAACAGAGCAAGACCCTATCTTAAAAACAACAAAAGTCGTGAGTGATCAGTGAAAGCTCTGCTGTGAAGGTGACATTTGATAACTGGGGAAGACTGTTCAGGTAATGGGGGCACATGTGTGTGCAGAGGCCTGAAGAAGGTGCTGGTGTGGCAAGAATAGCCAAGAGACTCATCACTGGACCCGATGGGGAGAGGAGTAAAAGAAAAGGTCCAAGAATTGGAAGAGATGGCGGGCAGGTCATGTAGGGCCTTACAAAGAATTTGACTTTGGCTGAGAGGGGAGCCGTTAGAAGGTTGTGAACAGAGGAGCAATGTGATCTGACTTCTCTTTTAGCTTTTAGTTCCCTGTAGCTGCCTTGTGGAGAACAGCCAGAGACAAGGCTAGAAGCAGGGAGTCCAGTTAGATGGTGGCATGGCCTCAGGGCAGTGAGGTTTGGTAGTAGTTGTAATGTCTTCAGTGTCAAGAAACTTGAATTTGACTTGGTCCAAAGGCATGAGAAGTCATGGAAGATGAGGGTGGGGTTGGAAATTTACATAATCAGAAACACCTGTTCTGTTCCCTGTGGTAATAGGAGTGTGTGTGTATGTGTGAGTGTGTGTATGTTTGCAAATTAGCCTTAAGATAATATTTTAGGATATTGCCTGAAAGGCACATAGAGCCCATCTTTCCCAACCCTTTAAGTTTGATAAAAAACCAGAGCTGCGCGCAGTGACTCATGCCTATAATCCCAGCACTTTGGGAGGCCAAGGTTGGTGGATCACCTGAGGTCAGGAGTTCAAGACAAGCCTGGCTAACATGGTGAAACCCTGTCTCTACTAAAAATACAAAAATTAGCCAAGAGTTATGGCAGACACCTGTAATCCCAGCTACTTGGGAGGCTAAGGCATGAGAATTGCTTGAACCTGGGAGGTGGAGGTTGCAGTGAGCCAAGATTATAACCACTATACTCCAGCCTGGGTGACAGGGCAAGACTCCATCTCAAAAAACAAAAAAAAACAACAACAACAAAAAAAGGGAAACCAGGGCCCAGAGGGAGGAGAGGGACCATCTTGCCTTAGGTTACATCAGTGGCACACAGAGCTGTGGACTGGACCTCTGGTCTGAGCCCAACTGTGGCCCGGGCCATGCCACACCGGTGACTGTCTGAGCAATGCTCTTGCCTCACTGCCAACTTTCCAGTGGCCTCTAACATGGCAGCTTGGGAAGAGCAGTGAGTTCCACATCAGGAGCTCAGAGTTCTAATTCCATCCTGCCCCTGCCTGAGGCTCCCAGACCCTCCCAGACTGGCAGTTTTCATATAGTGAAATGAAGACATTCACTTAGAGCCTATGGGTTTCTCCCCTACCTTGACAGTCTGAATTGTATTTTTGTATATTTTTGAAAAGCCCTCTTGTACATATTAACTCATTGAATCCTTAACTGTGAGTGTAGATGGACAAAGATGTTCCTTGATGTTATAGATGAGGGAATTCATCTGAAAAAGAATTAAATGACTTTTCCTGGCATGTTCAATGAGTAAAAAGCAGGACCCGAATTTTTGAATTCTTCTTCCAGTATATTTCCACTATCCTATACCACTGAAATAAAATAATTTCCCTTTAGCTGTCTGCTTATTAATTGAAAATTCTTCCAAATGAGATCCACCTACACTTCAGTAGGGGTTAGCATGGGCTTGACTGATAGGAGGGACTCAACAATGGGGTTAAATGAAAAAGAGGAAGTTAAGTGAAAAAGACCTTTTGGAGAAAATTAGCCACTTGGCTCTCTGGCTTTACGATTGATGTTCTTCCTGTGTTCCTTTCCAGTCTGTGCATCTGACCCCGTTTATGTGCCATCATTTGTTACTCTGCTTGTGGCCATTAAATTCAATGGAAAAATATATTTGTACTGTCATCACAACCTTGTTTAATAATACGTCTCTCCCATTGAAATACACTTTCATTGCCTTTGGATGGGGCAAAGTAATTGAGTGGGAGAAAAATACAGTGCAAGAATAAATTGAAGGCCGGGTGCGGTGGCTCACACCTGTAATCCCAGCACTTTGGGAGGCTGAGGCGGGTGGATCACCTGAGGTCAGGAGTTCAAGACCAGCCTGGCCAACATGGTGAAACCCCGTCTCTACTAAAAATACAAAAATGACGCGGGTGTGGTGGCGCAGCGCCTATAGTCCCAGCTACTTGGGAGGCTGAGGCAGGAGAATCGCTTGAACCCGGGAGGCAGAGGTTGCAGTGAGCCAAGATCGTGTCACTGCCCTCCAGCCTGGGCGACAGAGTGAGACTCAGTTTCGAAAAAAAAAAAAGAATAAATTGAAAGTGTTATTACTTGCAAGTCAACTTCTTGGTTCAACTAATTTTAGAATTTAGTAGAACTTCACAACCAGGACTTTTTGGTACAAGAAACATGCAACTTTAGTTGACTAATCTGGAAGCCAAAGAGCACAGTACTGACCTGGGGCCTCTTAGAGATTTGGAGGCTGGTCTATTACTTGGGCTACACATTTCCTGTTCTTCAGCAGGGAAATTAGGCTCTCCTTTCTTTCACTTAGGGCAGAATTCATTGCAGAAAGAGAAATACTGTTTATATTTTTGGCATTTTGAGGGCAGGACACAGAATGAGGTTAACTTGAAATAATATCCTCTGGGCAGTAAATTACTAATCTTGCTGTTGGAAAATTCAAATTGAAATGCAAAGCAAAACTAGCAGGTAACCAACAATCGACTATCAAATCAATGGTCAGGAAACAGGGTTATACTCAGGGAGAGTATTAAGTTGTATCTACATCTTACATTGTTGACCAAGATAAATTCCAAATGGATTGATGATTTACGTGTAAAAACTAAAGTTATAAATGAGTTTTTATTTATATAAGTGAGAATATCTTCCTCCCACTATCCCTTCTTTCCTACAGAGTTACTTGCCAAGGGAGAATTCCTGTATATGCTTAGAATGGGGAAGATCTTTGTAGCTATGACTCAAAAGCTGGAATCTAAAAGTGAAAGTATATAAATTTGACAACATTGCAAACAAACCAAAATCCCTCCACTTGGTAAAACAAAATATTCACCATAAGGTAAAAACCAAATGGCATAGCTGGGTGTGGTGGCTCACACCTGTGATCCCAGCACTTTGGGAGGCTGAGGATTGCTTGAGACCAGGAGTTTGAGACCAGCCTGAGCAACATGGTGAGACCCCATTTCTACCAAAAAAAAAGCGAATGGCATCCTGGGGAAGAATAGCTGCAACTCATCACAGAGTAAGGAAGAAGAGCTAAACTTCCAAATACAGAAAAGAGCTAGAAACAAGAAAAGAACCAAAACTCCAAAGAAAGATGTGCAAATAATGTGAACAAGGCCAGGAATGGTGGCTCACGCTTGTAATCCGAGCACTTTGGGAGGCTGAGATGGGAGGATCACTTGAGACCAGGCATTTAAGACCAGCCTGCGTAGCATTACAAGACCTTGTCTCTACCAAAAATAAAAAAAAAGATTAGTCCCAGCTACTCAAAATGCCAAGGAGGGAGGATAGCTTGAGCCCAGGAGGTCAAGGCTGCAGTGAGCTATTATCAGAACACTATACTCCAGCCTGGCTGGCAGAGTGAGACCCTGGCCTCAAGAGATCCTCTTTCCGTGGGCTGTCCAAGATGCTAGGATTATAGGGATGAGCCACTGTGGCTAGCCTGGTGTTGCCTTATTTGATCATGATTTGAAAAATTGGCCATCTTTGATTAGCTGAAACTTGGTGATTGGCACAAGACCAGATTGTAGTCTGTTTATACACCCAGTTAGGTTACAGTTCACTATGAAGGAGGCAGCTTTAAGCTAAACATTTCATTATTATTATTTTGAAATAAGGTCTTGCTCCATCTCCCATGCTGGAGTGCAGTGGCACGATCTCAGCTCACTGCAACCTCCACCTCCTGGGCTTAAGCGATCCCCCCACCTCAGCCTCCTGAGTAGCTGAGACTACAGGCATGTGCCACCACAACTGGTTAACTTTGTATTATTTGTAGTGGTGAGGTCTCACCATGTTGCCCAGTTCCCAGGGTCACCAACTCCTAGACTCAAGTGATCCTCCCACCTCAGCCTCCTAGGTATCTGGGACTACAGGTGCATGCCACCATGCCTGGCTAATTTTTTGTATTTTTAGTAGAGATGGGGCTTCACTATGTTGTTCAGGCTGGTCTTGAATTCCTGGACTCAAGCAATTCACCTGCCTCAGCGTTCCAGAGTGCTGGGATTACAGGCATGAGCCACTCCGTCCAGCCTGACGATATCTTACAAATGTACCTATGTTTTGTCACAGTAGTTTCATTTCTGGGGGCTTATTCTACAGATATATGTGCTTTCATATGAAATTATGTATATGAAAACTTATTCATTGTATCTTTGCAATAATGAAAGATGAGATACAACCCAAATGTCCATTAATAGAAGAGGTCTAGCCATGGTAGATACAATGGAAAACTATGCAGCTGTAGATGTGTAAAGATGTCCAAGATCTGTTGTTAACTAAAAGACAAACCAAAAAAACCCAACCAACCCTCATCAAGGTGGAGAAAAACAATATCCATATATCTTAGGTACAAGAAAAGATGGGGGGTGGCAGTGGTAAGAATATATTTGCTTGAGCCCAGGAGTTTGAGGTTATATAGTAAGCTATGATTGTGCCACTGTACTCCAGCCAGGATGACAGAGCAAAACCTGTCAATTAATCAATAATAAATAATTTTAAAAATAGTAAATATAGATAAATACCTATAAATATAAAATTTTTAAAAAATTGGCCTGGAGCAGTGGCTCAAGCCTGTAATCCCAGCATTTTGAGAGGCCGAGGTGGACAGATCCCTTGAGGTGAGGAGTTTAAGACCAGCCTGGCTAACATGGTGAAACCCCGTCTCTACTAAAAATACAAAAATTAGCTGGGCGTGGTGTGTGTGCCTGTAATCCCAGCCACTTGGGAGGCTGAGGCAAGAGAATTGCTTGAACCTGGGAGATGGAGGTTGCAGTGAGCCGAGATCACGCCATTGCACTCCAGCCTGGGAGATAGAGCGAGACTCTGTCTCAATCAATCGATCAATCAATCAATCCCTTATGTGTGTTTAAAACATTTTGGAAGGATATATAGCAAACCAATAAAAGCGGTTTTATGTCAAGGAGGATGTAGGATATGGATGGTAAAAGAAAAGGGTAAGTGGTAGCAGGATTTTTCACTGTATACCTTAATACAACACCTTTTGGTGAAATAGACATATGGGAAAGAATAGAATATCAGTGCTTTGCAAAATAAATTATTAAGTGAACACTATAAAGCCATTATCCAGATCAAGAAATAGAATGCTGCATGGTTGGGCATGGTGACTTATGTTTGTAATTCCCAGCACTTTGGAGGGCTGAGGCAGGAGGATCACTTGAGGCCAGGAGTTTGATAATAGCCTGGGCAACACAGTGAGACCACATTTCTACATATTAGCTTGGTGTGGTGGTGCCCAGTTGTGCCTGTAGTCTCAGCTACTTGGGAGGCTGAGGTGGGAGGATCGCTTAAGTCTGGAGTTGGAGGTTGCAGTGAGCTATGATCACACCACTGAAATCTAGCCTGTACTACAGAGTGAGAACCTGTCTCGAAAAATAAAAAGGAACACTGTATCACCCCATAAACCCTGTCTTCTCTATCACAACCTCTCCCCAAAGGTAAGCACTATCCTGATTTATGGTCATCACCTCCTTGCTTTATAGTTCTGTCACCTAGATGTGCAAATCCAAAGACCATTTGTTTCGTTCACGTTACTAGCCTCATATTCCATGTCCTTTTGTAATGGTTTCTTTTTGCTTAACATTTTTTGGGTTAGATTCATCCATGTTGTGTATAGCTGTAGTTCATTCATTTTTATTGCTGGGTACACTGTTAAATGAATATTCTATAATGTATATATCTGTTCTACTGGTTTTTTTTTTTTTTTTTTTTTTTTTCCCCGAGGCGGAGTTTTGCTCTTGTTGCCCAGGCTGGAATGCACTGGCGTGATCTCAGCTCACGGCAACCTCCACCTCCTGGGTTCAAGCGATTCTCCTGCCTCAGCCTCCCGAGTAGTTGGGATTACAGGCATGCGCCACCATGCCTGGCTATTTTTGTGTTTTTAGTAGAGATGGGGTTTCTCCATGTTGGTCAGGCTGGTCTCGAACTCCCAACCTCAGGTGATCCGCCCACCTCGGCCTCCCAAAGTGGTGGGATTACAGGCATGAGCCCCCGTGCCCCGCCCTTTTTCTACTGTTGATGAACGTTTGGGTTGTTTCTAGTTTTGGGCTATTAATGATAAGGGTGCTTGAAACATATTTTTTTTACATGTATCTTGGAGAATAAGCACACGCATTTCTGGTGGTTATATACCTAGGAGTGGAATTGCTGGGTCTCAGAGTGTGAATCTCTTTCATTTCAGTAGATGCTGCCAACCTGTTTCAAACTGGCTGTACTAATTTATACTCACAGCAGCAGTGTGCTGGAGTTTCTATTAATACACATCCTCTCTAACACTTGGTTTTATTGGGTTTTTATACTTTTACCCTGGCTGGTCTGTAATGGTAGTTGGTGATGGGAGGTTGTAATTCACATTTTCTTGATGACTAATGAGGTTGAGCACATTTTTATGTTTATTGGGCATTTGAATTTTCTCTTGTAAATGCCTGTCTCTTTCCATATTTTTTTAGTTTCTTTTTTGCATTGCAAAAGGGAGTGTTTCTTTTCCTTCCATGGGTCTCTGCTTGATAGTGTTTTGTGATATGTGTTGCAAACACCATCTCCGCCTCTGGCTAGTCTTTTTATTTTCATTATTTTACTCTCACTTTCTTTACCTAGTGACATTTACCTGCTGTTATTTAAAAATATATCCTGACAATCTTTTCATTATCTGTACATAAAGAGCTCCCCCTGCCTTTTAAAAAATAATTGCATTGCATGAATTTCCTATAATTTTAATTAACTTTCCCTATTGGTGGATGTTAAAGTTTCTAGTACTTCGCTATTGCAAACCATGCTTCAATAAATAATCATTATACTAACATAGTTTTAAATACATTCAAGTACTTTTATAGGAAAAAATTCCTAGAAATGGTATTGTAGGTCAGAGAGTAGGTACATTTGTTTTTTTGATCGCAAGGGTCAAATTATTCTCCATAGATGCTCTCTCCTTGCCTGAGCACCTGTTTCTGCATAGTCGCATGTGTGTGGCTCTGTCAGACTTCTGTTTTTTCTTTTCTTTTCTTTTTTTCCTTTTTTGGAGACAGAATCTCGCTCTGTTGCCCGGGGTGGAGTGCAGTGGTACGATCTTGGCTCACTGCAACCTCTGCCTCCCAGGTTCAAGTGATTCTGGTGCCTCAGCCTTTGGAGTAGCTGGGATTACAGGTACCCGCCATCATGCCCAGCTAATTTTTGTATTTTTAGTGGAGGCAGGGTTTCACCATGTTGGCCAGACTGGTCTCGAAGTCCTTACCTCAAGTGATCCACCCTCCTCGGCCTCCCAAAGTGCTGGGATTACAGGCGTGACCCACCACGTCCAGCCTAGGAGACTTAATTTTGATAAAGTCCAATTTATCTATTTTTTAATGTATTGTGTCTTTGATGCCATACTTAAATTTTTGCCCAACCCAAGGTCACAAGTATTCTTCTGTGATTTCTTCTAGATATGATAGTTTAGATTTTCAATTTAGTTCTATAATTCATTTTGAATTAATTTGAGGTAGTGTCCAAGTTTTATTTTCCTTTTTTTGCTTATGGAATTCCAGTTGTTCCAGGATTGTTTGTTGAAAAGACTTTCCTTTTTCCAATGCATTGACTTGTGTTAACTGACATGTATAAAAAACATCAGCTTCTCATATGTATATGGGTTTATTTCTTGATGCCATTCTATTTCATTGATTTATTTGCCTATGTTTATACTGACGCTATGTTGTCTGGATTACTCTAACTTCATAATCTTGTAATCAGGTACTGTTAGCCCTTCAACTTTCTTCTTTTTCAAAGTTGTTTTGGGTAATATAGGTCCTTTAAATGCTTTTTATGAATTTTAGAGTAAATTTTAGAATCAGCTTGAAAATTTCTACAGAAAAGGCAGCTGAGATGTGGATTCAGACTGATTGCATTGAATCTATGTGTTAATTTGGAAAACAAATTTTAATTGATGCTTTTATTCTTTTGCTGATAATCTTAGGATCTTAAAACACTTTGAGTTCATTTTATATCCCACTCAACTTATATGCTATTGTTGTCAAGTATTTACTTCTGTGTGCATTTTAAACACCACAAGACATTGCTATTCTTGTTTGATATTCATTTAGATTACTGCTTTTGTTTCTCTTTGTTCCTTCCTTTATTTCTGTGCTTCTACCTGGGATCTACCTGGGATCAGTTTTGCCTACCTGAAGATTACTCTTTTTATTTTATTTATTTATTTATTTATTATTATTTTTTTTAGATGGAGTCTTGCTCTGTCGCCCAGGCTGGAATGCGGTGGCATGATCTCGGTTCACTGCAAGCTCCGCCTCCTGGGTTCATGCCATTCTCCTGCCTCAGCCTCCCCAGCAGCTGGGACTACAGGCCCATGCCATCATGCCTGGCTAATTTTTGTATTTTTAGTAGAAATGGGGTTTCACCGTATTAGCTAAGATGGTCTCGATCTCCTGACCTTGTGATCTGCCCGCCTCAGCCTCCCAAAGTGCTGGGATTACAGCTGTGAGCAACCGCGCCTGGCTGAGATGACGCTTTAGAGTTTCCTTTAGTACAGTTTGCCAATAACATTCCTTTAATTTTTGCCTAGAAGTTATTTTACTTCCATTCTTGAAGGAAAATTTTATTATAGAATTCTAGTTGGGCAGTTATTTTCTTTCAGAAGTGTGGTGATATTTTTCCACTATTTTCTAGTTTCTATCATTTAGGTTGAAATGTGAGCTCTTGGTCTAATTGTTTTGAAAGCAGTACTTTTTTTTCCCTCTGGTTGCTTCTAGATCTTAAGATTTTTCTCTTTGCCTTTGGTTTTCTGCAGTTTTCTTTTTTCCTTTATTTTTTATTTATTTTTATTTTTTTGAGACAGAGTCTCACTTTGTCGTCCAGGCTGGAGTGCAGGGGCATGATCTTGGCTCACTGCAACCTCTGCCTCCTGGATTCAAGTTGATTCTATTGCCTCAGCCTCCCAAGTAGTTGGGATTATAGGTGCCTGCCACCACTCCTGGCTAATATTTGTATTTTTAGTAGAGACGGGGTTTTACCATGTTACCCAGGCTGGTCTCGAACTCCTGACCTTAGGTGATCCACCTACCTTGGTCTCCCAAAGTGCTGGGATTACAGGCATAAGCCATTGCACCCCAACTGCATTTCTGCGGTTTTCCTATGTATCTTGATAAAAGTCTATTCTGCTTGGAGTTTATTAGACTTCTTAAATCTGTAGATTAATGTCTTTCATCAGTATTGGAGGATTTTAGGTAATATCGTTCTGAAGGTTGTCTCTATTCCATTCTCCCTCTCCTCTCCTTCTAGGACTACAGTTAAACATGTGACATCTTTTCACTGCATCCTTTATTTCTCTTACCTCTCATCTGCATTTTCTATCCTTTGACTCTCTGTGCTTCAATATAGATATTTTCAGAACAAGTGGTGTTCTGTAGCTTGATTACACAAGTTTGTGAGAGCCTATTACTAAATTTTTTATAAAGAAAATTTATGAGATCATTGTTAAACCATTGGTAACTTGAAATGGAGGCGTGATAGGAGTATTCATACCATGGAAGCTGGCAAATAGTATAAATTAGGGGTTCTACCCCTTAGAGCTGCTTTACCAGCAGCATACCATTACTTCATACTAACTTCTGATTTACAAATTTTCTCTTCACCTATGCCTGATCTAATGGTGAATCTATTCATAAGTTTTTTTATTTTTTATTTTTTGAGATGGAGTCTCACTGTGTTGCCCAGGCTGGCATGCAGTGGCACAATCTCAGCTCGCTGCAACCTCCGCCTCCTGGGTTCAAGTGATTCTCCTGCCTCAGCCTCCCAAGTAGCTGGGATTACAGGTGTGTGCAACCAAAAATTAGCCCTGCTAATTTATTGTATTTTTAGTAGAGACGGGTTTCACTGTATTAGCCAGGATGGTCTCAATCTCCTGACCTCATGATCTGCCTGCCTTGGCCTCTGAAAGTCTTGGCATTACAGGTATGAGCCACTGTGCCTGGCCCCATAAGTTCTTAATTTTAACTGTTACATTTTTCAGTCTTAGAATTTCTAATTCTAATTTTTTAAGTAACAGGTGTTTTTGTTTCAGTTTCCAGGTCTCTGCCAATGTGTTTAATTTGTCTTTTATCTCCATGGCCAAGATAAGCAAAGCAACTTTACAGTCAGTATTTGATAGTTCCAATATTTGGAGTCCTTTGTACATTGTTTTTAATTATTTGTAACTTCTGCTAATTTTTAAAAAATGTTTATTTTTTGAGATGGCATCTGGCTATGTTGCCCAGGCTGGAGTGCTGTGGCTATTCATAGGAGCAATTATAGTGCACTACAGTCTTGAACTCCTGACCTCAAATGATTCTCCCACCTCAGCCTCCTGAGTAGCTTGGAATATAGGTGCATGCCACCATGCCTGGCTTCACCTTCTGCTACTTTTTGTGTATGTGTTCTTGGCTCCTTGTATGCCTGGTCATCTTCGATTGTGCCACTGGGCTTTATTTGTTAAAACAACTTGAAGCCTAGCAAAATGTTATTTTTCCCAGGCAGAATTTTAATTTGCCTCAGACATCTGCCTGGGGCTTTACCTTTTCTAATTCCAGAGAGTTTCATTGTCTGGGTCACTTAAATGACTCAAAGACAGCCTGCAACGTGTTAACTCTTACAGTTAAGATGCAGCTCTGAAGGGCCACAACCAAAATCACATAAGAAACATTGATCAGAGTCTCTACTTTTGTCATATTCTGTTCCCCGGTCCTGGAAGCTTATCTCTGGTGTCTCTTCCAGATTCTGCAGAAGCCACCTGGGTGGAAGCTGTCCTAAATGATAGGCTCACCTTGTAGGCTATTCATCCATTCCTGAATCCTGGTCCAGTAATTCTTCACTATCTCTTTAGCTATTAGATGTTTTAAGCAGATTGAAAAAAAAATTGTGTTGACCTTTTCTAGTTGTTCTGAACAGGAGGGTTAGTTCAAATGGTCGAATTTGCCATTACTGAAAATGAGAGTGTTTGTAGGCTTTTTGTATTATTAAAATTTTGAACTGTGTGAATTATTTTTTAAATTAAATTTAAAAATTCTTTTAAAAAGAAAACTAATTTTCTCAGTGAATTCAGTTGTATTTCTCTGAATTATGAGCCTTCAGCAAAAGTTCTTGATTGCATTAAATGGCTGTTTCAAGTCCAGAAATTCTAAAGAGAATTAGTCATGTATTGCTTTATGATGGAGATACATTCCGAGAAATGTATTTTTAGGTGATTTAATCATTGTGCAAACATCACAGCATGCACTTACCCAAACTTAGATGGCATAACCTACTACACACCTAGACTTTATGGTATGGCCTATTGCTCCTAGGCCTGTTGCTTCTGGTGGTGCATACCTGTAGTTCCAGCTACTTGGGAGGCTGAGGCAGGAGGATTGCTTGAGCCTAGGAGTTCAAGGCTGCAGTGAGCTAGGATTGAGCCACTGTACTCCAGCCTAGGAGACAATGAGACCCTGTCTCAACTGAAAAAAAAATGAAAATGGTACACCTGTATTACAGGGTACTTACCATAAATAGAGCTTATAGGACTGGAAGTTCTTTTTTTTTTTTTTTTTTCAACAATAACATTTTTCTTTCTTTATTTTATTTTATTTATTTATTTATTTTTGAGACGGAGTCTTGCTCTGTCACCCAGGCTAGAGTGCAGTGGTGCGATCTCAGCCCACCTGGGTTCAAGCGATTCTCGTGCCTAAGTTTCCCGAGTAGCTGCGATTACAGATGCCCACCACCATGCCCGGCTAATTTTTGTATTTTTAGTAGAGATGGGGTTTCACCATCTTGGCCAGGCTGGTGTTGCACTCCTGACCTCCTGATCCACCCGCCTTAGCCTCCCAAAGTGCTGGGATTACAGGTGTGAGCCTATCCGCACCTGGCCAGAACTGGAAGTTCTTTGGGTGAGTTAGTGTGTGAGTGAGTGGTGAGTGAATGTGAAGGTCTAGGACATTGCTGTACACTACTGTAGGCTTTGTAAACACTGTACACTTAGGCAACACTAAATTTATAAAATTTGTCTCATTAATTAACCTTAGCATACTATAACTTTTAAATAAAAAACTTTTTAGGCTGGGCGCAGTGGCTCACGCCTGTAATCCCAGCGCTTTGGGAGGCTGAGGTGGGTAGATCACGAGGTCAGGAGATCAAGACCATCCTGGCTAACACGGTGAAACCCCATCTGTGCTAAAAATACAAAAAATTAGCTGGGCATGGTGGCATGCGCCTGTGGTCGCGGCTACTCAGGTGGCTGAGGCAAGAGAATCGCTTGAACCCGGGAGGCTGAGGTTACAGTGAGCCGAGATTGCGCCACTGCACTCTGGCCTGGGCGACAGAGCAAGACTCGATCTAAGAAAAAAATTAGATAGTCTAATCTGCAGTAAATTCTTATCTACAGTAAAAATTAGCCATTCTTATGTACAGTAAAATATTCTTATCTGTCAATGACCTTTGCCTTTTATTTCCCCAACCCAAGTTGTTAGAGCTTGATTTTTTTCTCTTTTTCTTCCTTCTTCCTGCCTTCAATTAACTGAAAGTCAATATAGGTGATAATTAATAGCTGTACTTTCCCGGTGACAAATGGAACTATAGTGTGTGCACACATAAACAAAAGTGCAATCTGAGAAATAAGATGGCAAAATATCAATCTGGACTAATGGTTACATACTAAGAAAGGAGTGGGGCAGGAGCACCAGTCGAGAACGTGCATTTTACTCAGTGCCCGGTGTCATCCCTTACAGCAGGCTTTTAATTTTCACTCTGAGAAAGGTTTCAGGAGATGATGCACTTACATTATGATTCCAGATCCTTCCTCTTGGGGGTGTGTTATTCAGAGAGGTACTGTGGTGCATGCAGTAGAACACCTCCAATTATTACTTAGGGGGAAGCCCATTCTTTATCGGACAGTTGCAAGTACTTCAAAGCTCTTCTGTAGAGTTCATGTCTGTTACTTCGACTCAGAAAATGGGCCCTGAAGGCCCTTTGGGTAGGGAGCATAATGCCACCACTGAAATCCTGTAACTTGAGGAAAACCTGAGGAAGAAATCCTATGATTTAAAGAAGGTTCAGTGATTAGCTGAGGGCTGATGGGAGAGGGGATGCCACGAGGCCTGCTGGTCTTCAAGGAAAAGGCCTTTGCTGGAGTGGCCTGGCTCCCTCACCTAATCTGACCTCCTATCTCTTGCACGGAGAAAACCTTGCTGTTATTATTGTCCTCATCCTCCTGTGTGGGCTCGCTCCTCCTCCCCCCATTTTTTAAAAGCACCCCACCCTACAACCTCATAGTCCCTGCACGCTCGAGTCAGGAGGATGGCATCGTCTCTGTGCTCTCCACGTCTGCTTTCAGTGGTTTGATCGCTTCCTCTCAAGCCACCACCAGGCAGCCCTGTTGCCTGCTGTGTATACTTACTGCCACCGCCTCCAGGTCTCTTCCAGATGCCCTGGGCATATTGGTCCCTGGATCTCAGGCTTGCCCAGCACTCAGTCCCTGGCAGTCATCTGGAGCATCTCCAGTGTCCAGATGAGTGACTTATCCAGCATCTGGCCTTATGGTGTCTTGACACCCCCCTTCACGTTAGTAACTCCTGGACAGGTCCTCTTGTAGAACCTGAAATTATAAACCCTGGAGTCTTCCTTTCTCCAACATTGACCTGAAATTACAATCCGTGAAGCTTCTTTCTCTGACATTGACATTTTATCTTTTCTGTATCCTTATTTCTACTAAACCTGCCTTACGATAGCATCTCAACCTCTGGTTCTAACCTTTCCTTATTCTCTCAGCCCCTTAGTCACCTCTGCCTTCATTTGTTTCCCTATCCCACCTGGACCTTAGGGTCAACCATTTGTGTGCTGTCATAAACTTCCTCCTTTCTTCTCACCCTTGATTTTCAAGAGCCAGTCAATCTTCAACCTCATGTAAACTTAGCTGCAAATTTTCGTACATGTGTACCCAAGCTGTCTAAATAGTGCTAGCAAAAACAGTAACCAAAAAGCAGAACCATGTTGCTTGACTTCATTCCAAAATTGTGTGATCAACCTTTATGTGGATCCTAAAGGCTGCTTGATTATTATTCATCCCTGGTCTCTCTCTTATTCTCTCCTGCTGTTTGGAATTATATTGATTTGCATCCTGATTCTTGTAACATGACTCTTTCGATCTCATTCTTCCTTGTGCCATCACTCTCACTCAGTGACGTAGCCTTCCACCTCTGTGAGAAGATTGTGGCATAAACTTGCCTGTGGCTCATTGAAATGTCACCACACCCTCATGCATTCTTTTCAACCACCTCCGTGTCCTCAAAGGAGGAAATAACAATCCTCTTTCCCAAGACTGTCCTATTTACCCAAGCACTTGTTATCCTACCTGTCCTCAGTAATCACCCCTTCTTTATTGTACCTTAAATTAATCCCTGTTCCTCCAAGTCTACCATATGAACCCAAGCACCCTCATCTTTTTTCTTCTTTCTTTTTTTTTTTTTTTCTTTTGAGACAGAGTCTCACTCTGTCTCCCAGGCTGGAGTGCAGTGGTGCCATCTCAGCTCACTGAAACCTCTGCCTCCTGGATTTAAGCGATTCTCCTGCCTCAGCCTCCCAAGTAGCTGGGACTACAGGCACCTACCACCATGCCTGGCTAATTTTTGTATTTTTTGTAGAGATGGGTTTTGCCATGTTGGCCAGGCTGGTCTTGAACTCTTGAGCTCAAGCAATCTGCCTGCCTCAGCCTCCCAATGTGCTGGGATTATAGGTGTGAGCCACTGTGCCTGGCCCATCTTCATTCTTAAACACAAATAAATCTCTCTCTCTATCTCCATTCAGGTTGTTTTTCCAGAGCACATTGCTTGGACTTTTATTTAGCATATATTTTCATTCTGACTTTATTATAATAAGCTGCTTTCATTACCTGGATCCCCTATTATATTTTAACTTCTTTTTTTTTTTAGTTTTTTTTTTTTTTTTTTTTTTTCCCAGAGTCTTGCTCTGTCACCCAGGCTGGAGTGCAGTGGTGCAATGTTGGCTCACTGCAACCTCTGCCTCTTGGGTTCAAGCAATTCTCCTGCCTCAGCCTCCCAAGTAGCTGGAATTATAGGCCCGTGCCACCACGCCCAGCTCATTTTTATATTTTTAATAGACATGGGGTTTCACCATGTTGGCCAGGCTGGTCTCGAACTTCTGACCTCAGGTGATCTACCCGCCTTGACCTCCCAAAATGCTGGGATTACAGGCATGAGCCACCATGCCTGGTCATGTTTTAACTTGTTGAATACAAAGATTTTATCAATTTTGTATATTTACCTTCTCCCTACCTTAGACTAGATCACGGGAACGGCATTTATATTTTCTATGAAGTGCTGGTGCTCTGAGTGTGGCCATGATATAAAACAATCCAAGGTCACCATGTTGCACTGGAAGGTGCTGAGGTTTGTCTTGAGACCTGCCTGTTGTGTGACAGCAAGTCTCGCAGGGAGAGAGGCAGTACAGCTTATCGTTCAGTGGACATTATTGCAAGAAACAGTAATATCATTTTTATCCTGGAATCATCATGGAACAGGAATGCTAACAAGGAACTTGATAAAAGTTTTCAAATATTTAAACTTACTGAGTTTGTATACTGGCCACTTTTTTTTTTTTTTTTTTTTGAGACAGATTTTTGCTCTTATTGCCCAGGCTGGAGTGCAATGGCGCAATCTCGGCTCACTGCAACCTCCATCTCCAGGGTTCAAGCGATTCTCCTGCCTCAGCGTCCCTAGTAGCTGGGATTACAGGCACGTGCCACCATGAACGGCTAATTTTGTATTTTTAGTAGAGACAGGGTTTCTCCATGTTGTTCAGGCTGGTCTTGAACTCCTGACCTCAGGTGATCTGCCCACCTCGGCCTCCCAGAGTGTTGGGATTACGGGCGTGAGCCACCATGCCTGGCCTACTTTTTATCTTCAAGCAGAGGAAAGAATGGGTCATATTGCAGTGGTATTCACTGCGGGCATTTGTTTCACAGGGACAATTGATTGATTGATTGATGAGACAGAGTCTCGCTCTGTTGCCCACACTGGAGTGTAGTGGGTGCTATCATAGCTCACTGCAGCCCCAAACTCCTGGGCTTAAGTGATCCTCCCAAGTTGACCTCTCAAAATTCTGGGGCCAGACAACAAGGAATGTTTATTTAGACAGAGGAATCTGAGTAGGGAGAATAATTCACGTTAGCACATTTGGAAAGGATGGGCTTTGAAATGCTTCAGGGAGGCAGCTGTGTTGAGCTGGAGGGATGTAAGAAAATGCAATAGGTCAAGTATTCTATTCGACGAAGAAATGTAAATATCTGGCCAGGTGTGGTGGCTCATGCCTGTAATCCCAGCACTTTGGGAGGCCAAGGCAGGTGGATTACCTGAGGTCAGCAGTTCGAGACCAGCCTAGCCAACATGGTGAAACATGTCTCTACTAAAAAAAAAAACACAAAAAATTAGCCGGTTGTTGTGGCAGGCGCCTGTAATCCCAGCTACTTGGGAGGCTGAGGCAGGAGAATTGCTTGAACCTGGAGGCGGAGGTTGCAGTGAGCCGAGATCACACCATCGCACTCCAGCCTGGGGGACAAGAGTGAGACTCCGTCTCCAAAAAACAAAACTAAACAACAACAACAAAAGAAATGTAAATATCCCGGATAAACAGGTCTTTTTATTGTGAAGATTAAATTACATGAAGTAGGCTGGGCATGGTGGCTGACACCTGTAATTTCAGCACTTTGGCAGACTGAGGCAGGGAGGATTCATTGAGGCAAGAAGTTCAAGATGCTTCTGGGCAACATAACGAGACTCTGTTGCTACAAAAAGTATAAAAATTAGGTGCAGTGGCACACGCTTGCATTCCTAGCTACTCAGAAAGCTGAGGCAGGAGGATCACTTGAGCCCCAGAAATCAAGACTGTATTGAGTTACGATTGTGCCACTGTCCTCCAACCTGGGTGACGGGAAGATCTTGACTCAGAAGAAAAACAAATTTCATGAAGTAATTGATTAATAAATGAATCCTATGATTCAACAAGGTTTTGCATTCCTATTATAGAGAGGGCTCTGCTCTAGTCTCTAGGGACACAGCAGACTCAAAACAGAGTCCCTGACCATAAGGCCTGTGTACAGAGGGGGCGTTTGATGAGAGACCTCAGTGAAATGAGGAATCAAGCACAAGCGTATGTGAGGCAAGAGCGTCCAAAGGAAGGAAACTGCATGTACAAAGGTTCTGAGGCAGGAGATGTTAGTTTTTGAGTAGCAAGGAGGCTAATGAACAAGGAAGAGGAAGAGGGTCACTGGAGATGTAGATGGAGACAGGTGGGGGCAGCCAGGCCCGCAGGCCAGGCTGAGCAAGTTACATGTGTGAAAGCACTTTGTAAGTCCCAGTTGCTGCTAAAGGCATTTAAATAGAATTAACTTGTTAAGTTGTCCAATCATTAATTAAAATTGAACTGATTTATTCTGTTTATCTTATATATCCACTAAATGACCGTCTCACAACCCTGGTACCCAAACACCTGTACCCACCTGAAGACAACAGCATAAGCAGGTCATGAGACATATCCCTGTAGGTTTCAGCAGGGCATGACAAGCTCTAATTGTCATATAGAAGTTCTGTTTATTATGAATAGTAAGTGAACATTTTCTCCCTGGGTTACTGTTTATCATTTGAATCTACTTGGGTTTTTGCCATATTGAAACATCTAATTTTTATGCTGTCAAATCTCAGGGTTTATTTTGTGTTTACAGCATCTGTGTGTCTTGTCTTGCTTTATTTCTATTCTTATTTTCTTTAAGCCTATAGCACCCAGTATTCCCAGGCAGTATCCCACTGAAGTACTAACCAGGCTCAATCCTGCTTAGTTTCGGAGATTAGACAGAGATTGAGTGCGTTCAGGGTGGTATGGCTGTAGGCTCTTGTCTTGCTTTGAAAGGTCACCTCTACCCTTAAGCAATACGAACATTCTCCATTTTCCCTAACATTTTTATAACAAAACTATAATAGATTCTAAATTTATTTTCACCATGGCATGAGGTGGGGACCTAACTTTATTTCTTCAAGAAAAACTATTTATTGGTTTAATAAGTAGCTATTTATTAGACAAGTCTCTTGCTGGATATATCAGTATGTATTATTTAAAAAGAAAAAAAAAATAAAGTTTCAGTTTACTTAAAGGCCAGCTAACCACACACTAATAAATACATCACTCCAAAAATACTTTTGAGAGCCTTCTATTATTTTTAAGTTTTATTTATTTTGAGACAGAGTCTCACTCTGTTGCCCAGGCTGGAGTGCTCAGCTCAACTGAAGCTTCTGCCTTCCGGGTACAAGCGATTCTCCTGCCTCAGCCTTCTGAGCACTTGGGACTATAGGCATGCACCACCGTACCCAGCTGATTTTTTGTATTTTTAGTAGAGATGGGGTTTCACCATGTTGGCCAGGCTGGTGATGAACTCCTGACCTCTAGTGATCCGCCCCCACCCCTCCTCGGCCTCCCAGAGTGTTGGGATTACAGGCATGAGCCACTGCACCCGGCTGAGAGCCTTCTAGATGTAAGCCTCTGTGAATGATACAGTAGTCTCCCTTTATCCACCAGGGGCTACGTTTCAGAACCCCCCAACCACTGCCCAGCGGATGCCTGAAACTGCAGTTAGTTCTGAGCCCTATATAAAAAAAAATATGCTATGTTTTTCCTTGACCTGTGGTCAAGTTTAGTTTACAAATTAGGTACAGCAAGGTATCAACAACAATAACTAACAATAGAAGAACTATAACGATATGCTGTAATAAAAGCTGTGTGAGTGTGGGCTCTCTCTCTCATGCAATCTCTCTTACAAAATCTTATTGTACTGATTCACCTATTTTCAGACCTCAGTTGACCAAGTGTAACTGAAATCATAGAAAGCCAGACCATGAATGAGCTGTGCCTCCTTGTGCTAAGGAACTTACCCTGTCTTTGGAAATGGGGCACGCATTTAAATGGCTCTTCCTTGCCTCTTTTGCTGGACCCTCAACTGGGTCCAGGGATTCCTTTCTCGGCCTTTGTGCTTCAGAAACTCTGTGGACCATTAATCATGGCCTCTATTCCCCATCTCTGCAGATAAAACCCCAAACCATTCCTTTCCTAGGCCTGCCTGCATGTTCCACAAGCACTTCATACTCAAGAGGGAGCATATCACCTACCCTCCTCTCCTCAATGCCTCCCCCATGCCTGTTACTCCTCTTGTATTTCCTTATGTCTTAGCCCATTTTGAATGTCAAAATACCATAGACTAAGTAGCTTATACAAGACATTTCTCTTTCTTTTCTTTTTTATTCTAAAAAACCAGTCAAATTTAGCAGTAGGGGGTTGTATAGCAACTTCAGTGACACTAATATTAATATGTTCTGATAACCCATTACCAGTGGACTGGGCAAGAAATGTATTTCTCATAGCTCTGAAGGCTGGGAAGTCCAAGATGAAGGTGCAGCAGATTCAGTATTTAGGGAGAGCCCACTCTCTGGCTTCTAGATGGCACCTTCTTACTGTGTCCTCACGTGGGGGAATGGATGAGCTAATGCTCTGAGGCCTTTGATAAGGGCACTGACCCTAATCATGGTGGTTCCACCTCACAAAGGCCCAACCTCCTAATACTATCACCTTGAGGTTGGAATTCCAACATGTGAACTGTCAATTTATATAGATTATATGTGCCTTATTTCTCTACCAATCATCCAAGTAGTTAATACTGGACTTGGTCTATCCAACATGATTAAATTCAATCCCTACCAGAACTGTGAGTTATAGATAGTCCCACATTGAAATAAAAAGGGGGAGGTAAACACTTCTTGCATTTTTTTTCTCACCTATCCACATGGGCCCCATGTGTCAATCTCTCAAGCAAGTGCTTAACACACAGTACTTAGACATCTGAACACTGAAGTTAGAAAACCAGAATTCAGATACCAGGTCTGTACAGTTTAATAATTCTAAGCCTCCATTTTTCTCATCTTTAAAATGGGAATAAAAATAATAACTTCATAAGATTGCTATGGAGCTAAATGAGAAAAGCATTTAGCAACAATGTTTAGTCCATAATAAGCACACAGGAATATTTAGTTAACACACAGATTTATGTATTTATTAGTGGGATAGTAGTCTATAGCCTGCTAATAGCCCCTCAGATTCTGAGAACACTTGGTCAACAATCAGAAATGATTTGTAAATGATGAAATGAATGGTGGTTTCTCCCGGATCACTAATTCTTCCCCAGCCTCAGAAATTTCTTTGAAGAGAAAGAAGAGTTGGCCAGGTACAGTGGTTCATGCCTGTAATCCCAGCACTTTGGGAGGCTGAAGCAGGAGGGTCACTTGAGCCCAGGAGTTTGAGACCAGCCTGGGCAACACTGCAAGACCTCATCTCTACAAATTAAAAAAAGAAAAGAAAAAAACTAAAAGTTCAGTTAGACTTCAAAACAGTATCTGCTTAATAAGGATCAACATTTATAGAGCTGTTACTTTTGTCCAGGGACTGATTATGTTACATATATATATTATTTGATTTTATTTTTGAGGCAGAGACTTGCTCCATTGCATTGGCTGGAGTACAGTGGCATGATCTCAGCTCACTGCAACCTCCGCCTCCTGGGTTCAAGTGATTCTCCTGCCTCAGCCTCCTGAGCAGTGGGGATTACAGGTGCATGCTACTGCAAGCACCTGCCTAATTTTTGTATTTTTAGTAGAGACAGGGTTTCGCCACATTTGCCAGGCTGGTCTTGAACTCCTGATTTCAACTGATCTACCTGCCTTGGCCTCTCAAACTACTGGGATTACAGGCGTGAGCCACTGTGCCTGGCCATATCTTTATTTTTTAATTTTAACTCACAAGTAAGAACTCATTCTTTTTTATTTTTAGGCTTTGTTTGTTTTCAAATTATTAAAATTTTTTTGTAGAGATGGGATCTCACTATGTTGCCCAGACTTGTCTTGAACTCCTGACTTCAAGCTATCCTCCTGCCTCTACCTCTGGAAGTGCTAATATTACAGGCATGAGACACCAGGCCTGGCAGGGAAATCTTTTTTTTTTTTTTTTTTTTTGAGTTGGAGTCTTGCTCTGCGCCCAGGCTGGAGTGCAGTGGCACGATCTTGGCTCACCAAAACCTTCGCCTCCAGGGTTCAAGTGATTCTCCTGTCTCAGCCTCCTGTGTAGCTGGGACTACAAGTGTGCACCACCATGCCCGGCTAATTTTTGTAATTTTAGTAGAGATAGAGTTTCACCATGTTGGCCAGGCTGGTCTCGAACTCCTGACCTCGTGATTCGCCTGCCTCAGCCTCCCAAAGTTCTGGGATTACAGGCATGAGCCACTGTGCCTGGACTTTTTTTTTTTTTTTTTTTTTTTTTTTTGGAGACAGAGTCTTGCTCTGTCACTCAGGCTGAAATGCTGTGGCAGAATTATAGCTCACTGCAGCTTCAACCTCTTGGGCTCAAGCGATCCTTCTGCCTCAGCCTCCCAAGTAGCTGGGACCACTGGCAAGTACCCACCATACCCAGCTAATTGTCTTTAGTAGAGATGAGATCTCACGATGTTGTCCAGGTTGGTCCCAAACTCCTGAGCTCAAGCAATCCTCCTGCCTTGGCCTCCCAAGATGCTGGGATTACAGGCATGAGCTACTGTGCCTGGTGGAATTCATTCTTGGTAAGGAAATTGAGGCACAGAGAAGTTAAGTCACTCATCGAATTAAGTTATACTGCTAAGAAGTAGCAAAGTTGGGATTTGAGCCCCCGGCCTATGGTCCCCTGTGCCTGTGACACCACATTGTATTGAATAAGCCTGCAGTGTCCCCACTGTGGCCAGGGCTCTGAATCTTCAGAAGGTGCTGCATCAGAAATGATGACTTGGCTGGGCGTGGTGGCTCACGCCTGTAATCCCAACACTTTGGGAGGCTGAGGTGGGTGGATCATGAGGTCAGGAGTTCGAGACCAGCCTGACCAACATGGTGGAACTCAGTCTCTACTACAAATGTAAAAATGAGCTGGGCGTGGTGGCATGTGCCTATAATCCCAGCTAGTCCGGAAGCTGAGGCAGGAGAATCACTTGAACCTGGGAGGCAGAGATCGCACCACTGCACTCCAGCCTGGGCGGCAGAGAGAGACTCCATCTCAAAAAAAAAAAAAAAAAAAAAAAAAAAAAAAAATCAGATGTCATTTTGGACTGGGGAAACTCCATTGGAAAGGCTTAAACTGGACTTGAAGGAAGTACACAGTGTGGGAAGCCAGTAAGGGAAGGAGGGTCAGCCGAGTTCATCCCAGGCCTGGTGCTGGGATCATCTGCCAGACTGACTTAGAATGGAATAAGCAACATTTTTTGTCGGGGGTGGGGAGGCAGGGGGCAGGTCGATGAGGAAGAATTCCTGCTTTGTATTTATAATTTCTCATCTGACTGGGAGATGCCCTGATTAGCCATCAACCACAGAACATTAAGCCCTATCAACATATTTGCTTGAGTTTGTGAAGTACGACATCTTAGTTTGTCCAAAACTCTTAGCCAGGGCCAAACCCACGGTTTATAAGGGAATATAGACAATTATTGGCTCTACTGAGAAACCTGGAAATAGAATAAATAGATAAATTATAATCCTTGAGTAATCAAACTTGTCTTTTTCTGCTGGTTGATTTTTCTGCATTAGTGCAGTAAAATTTAAGACCAGCTATCCAAAGGAATAAAGCAATTGTATTGTCCAGAGGATGAGGTCCTCATTCCTCTTAGCTCCAACTCCTGGTCCCTGCCTGACTATGCAAACAAGCATGTAGTAAGGAAATACTGCCCAAGAGTGGGTCTGTGAATGAGTCCTCTGGGCCATAGGATATGTTTGGGCTGGAATCCTCATGTTTCCATTCAAATGATGTTTACAAGGAACTCTTCATGGCACGAGTAATTGCCTAGTATGTATTACAAAGTGAAAACAACAGGCTACATAATAATGTATATAATATGACTTCTTTTTTTATTATACTTTAAGTTCTAGGGTACACGTACAGAACGTGCAGTTTTGTTACATAGGTATACACGTGCCATGGTGGTTTGCTGTACCCATCAACCCATCACCTACATTAGGTATTTTTCCTAATGTTATCCCTCCCCTAGCCCCCCACCCCTCCCACAGGCCCCAGTGTGTGATGTTCCCCTCCCTGTATCCATGTGTTCTCATTGTTCAACTCCCACTTATGAGTGAGAACATGCAGTGTTTGGTTTTCTGTTTTTGTGATAGTTTGTTGAGAATGATGGTTTCTAGCTTCATCCATGTCCCTGCAAAGGACATGAACTCATCCTTTTTTATGGCTGCATAGTATTCCATGGTATATATGTACCACATTTTCTTTATCCAGTCTATCACTGATGGACATTTGGGTTGGTTCCAAGTCTTTCCTATTGTGAATAGTGCCGCAATAAACATAGTGTGCATGTGTCTTTATAGTAGAATGATTTATAATCCTTTGGGTATGACTTCTTATGCATTAAAGATTGAAGCCTGTCTGTAGTCCCAGCACTTCGGGAGGCCAGTGGTGGGACTACAAGCAGGATCCAGTGGGAGAATTGCTTGAGCGCAGGAGTTTGAGACCAGCCTGGGCAACATAGATCCCCATCTCTATGATTTTAAAAACAAGACTGGAAGGAGACCGAGTACGATTTTGAGTTATAAAAAAAAAAGGGTGAAAATTTTCTATTCCTTTGTCCTTAATTCCAAGTTTTTACAATAAGATCATCCACAAACCTTTCAAGCTCTTTCTTTTGTGAACTTCTAGCAGCATTAGCCACTCCTTTTTCTTGAAGTGCCTTCTCTAGGCTTCCATGACATCACATTACCTTGACTTTTTATTTTTATTTATTTTTTTGAGACAAGGTCTTGCTCTCCCTCCCAGGCTGGAGTGCAGTGGCACAATCTCAGCTCACTGCAATCTCTACTTCCCAGGCTCAAGAGATCCTCCAACCACAGCCTCCAGAGTAGCTGGGACTACAGACATGAGCCACCATGATCGGCTAATTTTTTGTATTTTTGTTGTTGTTGTTGTTGTTGTTGTAGAGATGGGGTTTTGCCATGTTACCCAGGCAGGTCTTGAACTCTTGAGATCAAAGTTACCCACCCGCCTTGGCCTCCCAAAGTGCTAGAATGACAGGCATGTGCCACCATGCCTGGCTTACATTTTCTTGACTTCTAAGAAAATCTTCTCAAAAGCATCTTTCAAAGGTCTCCCTAGAGTCCTCTTTGTCTGCTCTTCTTCAAATATCAGTTTTGCTCAGGGTTCTAGCTAATGCTATTCTCTCTCTCTTACCCATGCTCTCCATGGGCTTTCTTACCCAGTGGCTCTTATTTCGACAACTCCTGTCAAGGTCTGTCTCCTGGGCTCCAAAACTGTATGTTCAACCCCTTACTGAACTTCTCTACTTGGATTTTCTACAGTCCTCTCAAACTCAGCAAGTCCAAAACTCTGCTCGTCATTTTGCCCACACAGATACTAACCATCTTCTGTGTACCTTTGCTCAGTGAAAGGCATTGTCATCCATCCAGTTCCCCAAGCTAGATATTTAGGAGTCATTCTTTGTTGTTCTTGCTGTCATACCCAATCAAGCACAAAGTCCTATAGGTTCTGCCTCCTAACTGTCTTCAGAATCTGTTGTCCATTTTTGCCACCTTCAGGAGAGGGCATATACTGGTTAAGAGCGCAGTGGGTGAATGTGACTCGGTCCTCACTGCTGTGTGGCCTCAGGCAAATTGTTTAACTTTTCTCTGCCTCACACATAGAATGTCATAGTGCCTTTCTCATGGGCTTCTTTTTTTTTTTTTTTGGAGACGGAGTTTTGCTCTGTTGACCAGGCTGGAGTGCAGTGGAATGATCTCGGCCCACTGCAACCTCTGCCCCCTAGGTTCAAGCGAGTCTCCTGCCTCAGCCTCCCATGTAGCTGGGATTATAGGTGACTGCCACCATGCCCGGCTAATTTTTGTAGTTTTAGTAGAGATGGGGTTTCACCATGTTGGCCAGGCTGGTCTCGATCTCCTGACCTCAGGTGATCCACCCGCTTCGGCCTCCCAAAGTGCTAGATTACAGGCATGGACTATCAGGCCCAGCTCCTCATAGGCTTCTGTGAGGGTGAAGGATCAATACATGTAGAGTGCTTAGATCTGTGCCTTCCCATGCAAGCGAAGTGTTAGGCAAATGCTGACAGTGTTACTCTCGCAGGTGGTTTTATTTCAGTGTGAGCTAGTTCATGACATGACCGCTTGGTCTCCTTGCTTCTAGTCTTACCCCAGTCTATACCCAACCCAGCAAATGGGTGGATAGTTCTAAAGCTTGTATTCTGTCCTCTCCTGCTAACTGCGCTCTGGGAAAAAATGTCCAACTCCCTAGCTTATAAAGGTTTTTCGTACACTGGCCACCCATTCACCTTTTCAGCCTTATCCCTTGCTGTTGTCCCAACTTGAAGTCTGTACTGTATGATGTACTGGAGTGTAGTGGCACAATCTTGGCTCATTGCAACCTCTGCCCCGTAGGTTCAAGTGAGTCTCCTGCCTCAGCCTCCTGAGTAGCTGGGATTATAGGTGCCCGATTGCACCACTGCACTCTACTATAACCTACAGTCTGTCCTATTTTAAGCTTCCATCTCTCCTTTCACCTTCAAAGCTTTCTACATCCTCTCCCTTTGTCTAGAAAATTTTTGTTTTTTTTTCCCCTTTGAGACAGGGTCTTGCTCTGTCACCCAAGCTGGAGTGCAGTGGGGCAATCTTGGCACACTGCAGCTTCGACCTCCCTGGGCTCAAGTGATCGTCCTGCCTCAGCATCCTGAGTAGCTGGGACTACAGGCATATGCCACCACACCTAGTTAATTCATTTTTATTTTTAGTAGAGATGAGGTCTCACTATATTGCTCAGGCTGGTCTTGAACACCTGGCTTCAAGCCGTCTTCCCACCTGGGCCTCCCAAAGTGCTGGGATTACAGGTGTGAAACACTACACCCAGCATTCTTTCCTCCTTTACCCAGTCAGTGCCCCTTTTCCCTGGAATGCTTCAGTTCTCAGTTTATGTCATTTTCCTGGGAAGACTTCCCAGATTCCCACCTCCTTACCCCCTCCTACCTCCATTCTTCCAAATAAAACTTAGCATGCTTACGAAGTTTCTGTGAGGAACACAGGTTCCTTGTCTGTCCAGGAAAGTGCCACCTTCTTACCCCCATCCCATGTTGCACCTGAAGGGGTGATAATAGGACAGGTATACCTTGTGGGGAGAGCTATTTTAGGGATTTTGACCTCCATACTCTGTTTGTTTTTTTTTTTTTTTTTTTTGTTCTTATAGAACTTCTCAGTGGTGCCATGGTATTTCTCTGTGACTAACTGGACGTGACTTGGACACCCACTCTGTTATGTGAGGCATTTTGGGGTTCCCTTCCAGCCAGACACACAGCAGTGCAGCACAAATCTTGATCTTGTGCTGCTGCAGGGGATCCATTCTGTAACTAGCCTGGTGATCCAATCTGGGGCAGGAGTTCAGACAATTTGGGGTTGTCTCTTCCTTCTGCCAGTTTCTTGAGCCCAAATTCAGCTTGGTCTAGGGGTTGACCTAGTCCAGCTCTTCCCAAATATAGGGGCAGATCTGCTCACATGTGGTAGATTGCGTTCTCCATTCCTGAGTTAGAGATTGTGTATGTAGATCCATTGATAGAGGCCAGGCAGGGGAAAACTGAGGGCACCAACTGTGCATATCAAACCCATGAGCTCTAATGGGGCCCATGCCATCCTCTGTCTAGGTACCCCAGAACCATGGCTTGAAGTTGGTGTTCATTCCCTGACTTAGGCATTGGGAAGGGCCAAGGTTGAGCACTGGAAGCAGCACGGGCAATGTCCCTGAGTCTCTGCTTGTTCTGAGGGAAGCACTCCCAGGTGCCCAGTGGGCATTTTTATCATAGTCATTGCAGAAAATAGCACCAGAGCACAGAACTGCTGACACCCAAGAGCACAAAGTACATCTCCTGGCGTGGCCCATTCCACCTGTGGGTTGGCCAGCACCCACTGAGGTTGTGGCTGGTACCTGCAAGCACTGCAGACAGGTCTTAGAGATATTTCCCAGGTAAGAGAAGGGGCCAGAGTCAGGGCCGAGTCTTACTCCATGCCCATGTCACTGCCATCCTCATCCTCAATCAAATAGCCATATTCAGTAAAAAGTTAAAAATGTGATTCCTTTGCAGAATAATGTCTGCATTTATTATATTGCTGTGTAGTGTTTTACAGTTTAACTTATGGCTATTAAAGAGTTTAAAGTTTGGCTATATGTTACTTAATTGACTTATCAAAATGGCTGTTTAGTTATTGATAATATTCCTGAATATACCATCCATGTTCCTGCAGAGGACACTCTCTCTTTCCTTTTTATGACTGCATTAGTATTCATGGTGTATATGTACCACATTTTCTTTATCCAGTCTATCACTGATGGGCATTTGGGTTGACTCCATGTCTTTGCTATAGTGAACAGTGCTGCAGTGAACATTTGCCTGCATGTGTCTTTATGGTAGAATGACTTTATAGTCCTCTGGGTATATACCCAGTAATGGGATTTCTGGGTTGAATGGTAGTTCTGTTTTTAGCTTTTTGAGGAATGGCTATACTGTTTTCCACAATAGTTGAACTAATTTACACTCCCACCCACAGTGTATAAGTGTTTTTTTCTCTACTACCTCACCAGCATCTGTTATTTTTTGGCTTTTTAATAGCCATTCTGACTAGTGTGAGATTATATCTTATCATGATTTTGATTTGCATTTCTCTAATGATCAGTGACATTGATCTTTTTTCATTTGTCTGTTGGTCCCATGTATGTCTTGGAACTTTTTCATAAGGAACCTCAGGTTAGACTTTTAAGAAGCCTCTTGAAGCCCAGGCTTGGTGGCTCATGCCTGTAATCCCAGCACTTTGGGAGGCTGAGGCGGGTGGATCACTTGAGGTCAGGAGTTTGAGAGCAGCCTAGCCAACATGGCGAAACCCTGTCTCTACTAAAAATACAAAAATTAGCCGGGCATAGTGGCCCGCACCTATAATCCCAGCTATTCAGGAGACTGAGGCTGGAAAATCACATGAATCCAGGAGGCGCGGAAGTTGCGGTGAGCTGAGATAGAGCCACTGCACTCCAGCCTGGGCAACAGAGTGAGACAACATCTCAAAAAAAAAAAAAAAAAAAAAGCCTCCTGAGGCTTAGGAACCAAGCCAAGAACTCGCAATCAGATTGTGCCTGTAATGCCTGTATGGGTTGAATGATTTTCTCTCCTTCCAAGGTCCCCCAAATATCTTGAGTTTCATGGGTGTATGAGAAAGTGATATTATTTACTTACCACAAGGCTAGGAACACTGTAAGGTAGACATGTGGACAAGACATAAGGCCAGTTTTTCCAAGGCCTTCTATTGGCTTTATAAAATCAACCTCTGTTCCTTACAATTGTCTGGTCATGGGCCGGGCATGGTGGTTCGTGCCTGTAATCTCAGCACTTTGGGAGGCCAAGGTGGTAGAGTCGCTTGAGGCCAGGAGTTTGAGACCAACCTGGGTAACATAGTGAGACTCCATCTTTACAAAAATTTAAAAAAATTAGCTGGGCATGGTGACACATGCCTGTAGTTCCAGCCTCTTGGGAGGCTGAGGTGGGAGGATGGCTTGGGCCCAGGTGGTTGAGGCTTCAGTGAGCTATGATTGTACTACTGCACTCCAGCCTGGATGACAGAGTAAGACCCTGTCTCAAAAAATTGACTGGTTATATTCAAAGATACAACATTTCAGGGAAAGTCTCGGTGATATAACTAGTGTTCTCAATTCCTTTTACAGGAACAGATTCTCATGGAATGTATGCAGATAACTATAATGCCATAAAAAAAGAATAATCATGAATAGTTTCCAAATTTTGGAGAGATGAGGTAGGGAGAAAAGCAAATATCAAAAATATACTTCACATTGCTGTAAGCTATAGATAGCTTAAAAGAAAAAACACATAAAAACAATCAGCAATATTTTAAATAAAAAGTCAAAAAATCATAATCTTTCCTTAGTTCAGTCCCATGTAATTAATTCTTATCTTGCTTAATGTTATGTTAGCATTTTTGAGTCCAGATTTTACTAGAGTTCTGGAAGTTCAGGCCAATGGTATGAACTCAAAATTACTAGAAAGCTGTTATTTGTCAGAGTTCTTTTTGTTCTTTTTACATATCTTCTGAAGACATAACACTTTAGGATTTGTAAAGGGCTTTCAGGAATAAAAGCATCAGAATAAAGTAATTGTGGACATGCCGATTTAAAATGACCATGTTTAAAGATCTGATGAGAGCTCGTTATAACATAATTGACAAGGATATTTGGTTATTTTTGTGGCCTATAACAATTTAACATAATCAGAAGTATGACCTATAACATATACCAAGAAATAAAAGATTTCTAGGCATCTCAGTTTTAGAAGACATATGTTAATAACATTTCCATACAAATATAACTCAAAAAAAGTTAAACACCGTCTTTTATTTGACAGTGTTTCCTATATAATTTTAACATATCAAATATGCCTATTGGTTTAATGTCCTTTTGTGCTTTTAGGGGTTCTTCTGGAATGTTTAAAAAGTTAGCTTGAAGTCAAGACAATTTCGATTCTGGGAAGTTTGTCAGAAATAAAGGTTTAAAACACTGGATCAAAAATAGGATCACAGATCATTATGAAATAATATTCATTTAACTACAGTGATTAAAAGAATTTAATAGCAAATATAGGAAGCTAGGCAGTTGTAGAAAAACCTTAACTCTTCTAATATTTAGCTGCCCTAAGTAATCAAAGACCCAATAAAGAAAACAGGCCGGGTGCAGTAACTCATGCCTGTAACCGCAGCACTTTGGGAGGCCGAGCCAGGGGCATCATTTGAGCCCAGGAGTTTCAGACCAGACTGGACAACATAGCAAGACTCTGTCTCTACAAAAAAAATAAGAAAAAAAAAGCCAGGTGTGGTGGTACACAACCTTAGTTCTAGATACTTGGGAGGCCAAGGTGGGAGGACTGCTTGAACCCAGGAGTTGAAGGCTGCAGTAAGCTGTGATCCCGCCACTGCACTCCAGCTCGGGAGACAGAGGAAGACCCCATCTCAGAAAGAAAGAAAAAAAATATGAAGCACAGGAAGCAATCTTGATAAATTTACTCTTTCTCTGTGTACTGAGAAGGTGAACAAAATTCTTTTACTTATCCATACTGCACAAACATCTTTTTTTATTTTAAAACTTTATTTTTAGATAGTAGATAGGGGAAGTAGAATATATAGTTAGCAGGGGCTCAAGAAAAAGGGATTCAGTCTACTGGGAGGTTCCCTGTGGGAGAAGCACATCCAAGAGAGAAATACAGAGGCCTTTTAAAAAAAGCACAGGGTATTCAAGCTATCTATCTATCTATCTATCTATCAAATATGCTTATTGGTTTTTTATATATATGTAGTATATAGTATATATATAATATATAGTGTATATTTATATATAGTATATATTTAGTGTACACACAAATTATATAAATATATGGTATATATACTAAATTATATAATATATAGTATATATATACGTCTGTGTGTATATATATGTGTGTGTATATATATGTATGTATATATAGAGAGAGAGTGCACATACTTTGGGAGAGACAGAGGATTGAGAGATGGGTTCAGAGAAACCTTGAGGCTGCTTCTTTAGTTCAACGTGTCAAAATGTCAAATTTCTGTGCCCCAGCAGTTACCATTCCCACCATCCATCTCCAAATCTTTGTCATCATCCTGCCTGGTATAGGTAGGAGGAAAATGATGACTCACCAGAATGATCAGGACACTTGTGGTTGAGACTTGTTTGTTTGTTTTGCACAGGTACAAGTCAATATTCAAACTCGCTTTGGAACATTTTTATGACTTCCTCTGAAATGTGATTAACAAGGTTAAATACCCAGCCCTTGGTATCTTTCTACTACACAAGAGAGCTTTTAATTTCATAGCAATAAATATTTATTGCTTCCTGGTTCATTTCTGGGATTTATGCTCAGCACTTGAGGGAAGATGATGGGTTCAGATTGCATCAGCTAGGGCTGTCATTGGCACCTGTCTTCTCCCTGCTGTTCTCCCTGTAACCTGTACCTCTGCCCCTACTGCCAGCTTTCCCCAATTATATCTGAACTACTTTTAAAATTTTTGTTTGTTTTCTTTGACTATTCTTGTTTTTAAGAAATCTGTGGGCACTATCATGCTTCCTGGAAAAATCGCAGCCTTTGAATGACTACTGCAGTAAGATTGCAATAAGATAAATTTCCCAGGAAGTGGGGGTGGTTGTCTTGCTTAATTGATTTTTTTCTAATGTCCTTCGGATTAGGTAGAAAACCTTTTAAAAAATACTCAGGTGAGTGCTGAGGGGGTGGTGGCTCATGCCTGTAATCTTGGCACTTTGAGAGGCCAAAGCAGGCAGATCACTTGAAGTCAGGAATTTGAGACCAGCCTGGTGAACATGGTGAAACCTCATCTCTACCAAAAAATACAAAAAACAGCCAGGCAAAAAAATTAGCTGGGCATGGTGGCACATGCCTGTAGTCTCAGCTACTCGGGAGGCTGAGGTGGGAAGGTGGGAGACTCTGTTTTTTTTTTTTTTTTTTTTTTTTTTTTGAGACGGAGTCTTGCTCTGGGGAGACTCTCTTGAGCCTGGGAGGTGGAGATTGCAGTGAGCTGAGATCCCGCCACTGCTCTCCATCCAGCCTGGGCAACAGAGTGAGATCCTGTCTCAAAAAACAAACCAACAAAAAACCCTCAAACAAACAAAAACAAATAAAAACTCAAGTGAAATATTTGTGAAAGGGAGAAGTTTACTTTCCTTGGAAAATAGATGGTTGAACATTACCATTAAGAAAAATTATTTAAAAGCTGGAAATGAGAAAGTTGGGCAGCATAGCATAGTCTTGCAGTATCAGATAAGGGCATCCAAGGATTTTTATTTATTTATTTTTTTGAGACACAGTCTCTCTATGTCACTCAGGCTGGAGTGCAATGGTGTGATCTCAGCTCACTGCAAGCTCCACCACCCGGTTCAAGTGATTTTCCTGCTTCAGCCTCCTAAGTTGGCTGGGTTTACAGGCGTGCACCACCACACCTGGCTAATCTTATTTTTGGTAGAGATGGGGTTTCACCATGTGGGTCAGGCTGGTCTCCAACTCCTGACCTCGTGATCCACCCACCTCAGCCTCCCAAAGTGCTGGGATTACAGGCACCTGGCCATTTTTTTTTTTTTTTTTTTTTTTTGAGGTGGTGTCTTGCTCTGTCACCGAGGCTGGAGTGCAGCGGTACAGTCTCGGCTCACTGCAACATTTGCCTCCCAGGTTCAAGCTATTCTCCTGCCTCAGCCTCCGGAGTAGCTGAGATTACAGGCACCTGCCACCACATCAGGCTAATTTTTGTATTTCTATTAGAGATGGGGTTTCACCATGTTGGCAGGCTGGTCTTGAACTCCTGACCTCAAGTGATCCACCCACCTCGGCCTCCCAAAGTATTGGGATTACAGGCGTGAGCCACTGTGCCCGGCCCTAAGGATGTTTTAATTATCTAGGGCAAAGCTTCTCAGTCTTCACACCAGTGACATTTTGAGCTGGATAATTCTTAGTTGTAAAGAGCTATCCTGTTCATTGTAGGATGTGCAGCATCATCTATGGCCTCCACGCACAAGATGCCAGCAGACACCACCTCCTGTGACCAAAAATGTCTCCAGACAATGTCAAATGTGCCCTAGGGAGGCGAAATCACCCCTGGTTGAGAACCACTGATCAGGGAGAATGCACCTTTGACTTTGCTATTTGCTAATAATAAACATGTTAAATGGCCGGAAAGCACTGTGTCTAGCTTTAGCTAACTCAAGCTCAGTAAAAGTATATGTTAACTTGCAGATCTTGTTTGGTAGAGATACAAATAATGTATATCCGGTAGAAGAGAAGGGCTCAAATGTTACGATTTTATATGGCCCTATAAGGCATTAGCCAGTTCTATGTCTAAGCTAGGAACTTTATTCCAACATTCTTTTATAAATGTCTACAAATATTTCGTTTCTCAAGGTGCCCTTTGAATCAGCTTTACTATCTTACTTCTTCCCTCATTAATTAGTAAGTTGAGTAAGTTTTTGACATCTTCAATGCATATTAGTAAAGAGTCAAGTTTTAAACTTCTGTGAAAATTATAATCTAGCATGATCGACTTTTCTCTCTGGGCTGACATGAGCTGGGGCTGCCAATCATAATATTTGGGCATTTCTCTTCTACTGGGCATAAATTACTTGTATCTCTACCAAACAAGATCTTCAAGTCAAAGGTACATTCTCCCTGATTATGGTTGTCAACCAGGGGTGATTTTGTCTCCCTAGGGTACATTTGACATTGTCTGGAGACATTTTTGGCCACAGCTCGGGGTAGGAGGTGGTATCTGCTGGCATATTATGGGTGGAGGCTATAGATGATGCTGCATATCCTACGATGAACAGGATAGCTCTTTACAACAAAGAATTATCTAGCTCAAAATGTCATTGTTGGCCAGGCACAGCAGCTCATGCCTGTAATCCCAGAACTTTGGGAGGCCAAGGTGGGCAGATCACTTGAGGTCAGGAGTTCGAGACCAGCCTGGCCAACATGGCGAAATTCCGCAAAAATTAGTTGGGCGTGGTGGCGTGTGCCTGTAATCCTAGCTACTCGAGAGGCTAAGGCAGGAGAATGACTTGAACCCTGGAGACAGAGGTTGCAGTGAACTGAGATCATAGTATTGCACTCCAGCCTGGGTGACAGAGCCAAAAAAGAAGAAAAAGTCATTGTGAAACTTGCGTCATGAGGCTCCTACCTTTCAGATTTGGCTTTCAATTTTTCTCATATCTGTGTGGTGCTTTTAGATCCTTCTTGTCTCTCACAACCCGGTCAGCGTATCCCTAGCATCACTGATCTGGTAGGGTCCTCACCATTTCTACCCGAACTATTGCAGTATCTCCCCAGCTAGCCTCTTCACTTCCTGCCTTTCTTTTTTCTTTTTCTTTGTTTCTTTTTTTGTTTTTTGAGACGGAGTCTCGCTGAGTCACCCAGGCTGGAGTGCAGTGGCGCTATCTTGGCTCAGTGCAACCTCTGCATCCTGGGTTTAAGCAATTCTCCTGTCTCAGCCTCCCAAGTAGCTGGGACTACAGGCGCATGCCACCATGCCCAGCTAATTTTTATATTTTTAGTAGAGATGGGGTTTCAGCTGGGCGTGGTGACTCACGCCTGTAATCCTAGCACTTTGGGAGGCCAAAGTGGGTGGATCACGAGGTCAGGAGTTTGAGACCAGCCTGGCCAACATGGTGAAACCCCATCTCTACAAAAGATACAAAAAATTAGCCAGGTGTGGTGGCATGCACCTGTAAATCCCAGCTACTGGGGAGGCTGAGGCAGGAGAATCACTGGAACATGGGAGGCGGAGGTTGCAGTGAATCAAGATTGCGCCATTGCACTCCAGCCTGGGCAACAGGGCGAGACTCCGTCTCAAAAAAAAAAAAAAAAAGATGGGGTTTCACCATGTTGGTCAGGCTGGTCTCGAACTCCTGACCTCAGGGATCTACCTGCCTTGGCCTCCCAGACTGCTGGGATTACAGGTGTGAGCCACTGTGCCCAGCTACTTCCTGCCTTTTGTGCCATCCTTTCATCCTTGCTGAGCTCTGCTACCAACTAAGGATTCTCAAAACATGGTTCTGACATGTTCCTCCCAGACAAAGATGCCAGGGAGCAGCATCACAGAATTTCTGATCTGAAAGAGCTTGTCTTTTAGATTTAGGTTTAGGGGTTCCAGTTTCTACACCCTGAGGAAACTGAGACCCAGAGAAGACAAGTAGCTGATTAAAGTCACACAGGGAAGAGAATATTGTATAGTCAGGTTGAAAGTGCCCTAGACAGTTCCTAGAAATTGACATTGTGCATAAATCCCGGATATTATTCTGCTCCCCATTCATTTTGGTTGGAAAGTACAAGGCAGAAACTGTTCCCACTAAACGAGTGTGGAGAAAGGGGTGCCAAGTAATTGAGACTTCCCTGGTTTCAATCAACACCTTCTAGATAAGTCTTTCATTATGAAAAACCACACACTGCTTAATCTGTCTTCCTGTGGCCTTAGGATCCTGCCTGCTTTAACCTCAACAAGCTCTGGGTTCCTTATTCTGCCACTCATTTGATTGTGCAGTTGGTTTTTCCTGATACTCCCATAATTAATTCTGTTTGCTTTTCATTGTATGTTCCTGCTTTCTTCCAGCTCTCTGGCCTCCCAGTCTACTTCCGTCTTTCTGTACTAACAACACCTTCTAGCCTCTGCTTTTTTGGATTTTCCCACAAAGAACTAACAAGTTGAGTTAAGTCCCTTCATTAACATTTTTTTAAAATCCCCATGTATAATTGGATCAGCGTGGTGTTCGATGCACGTTATTTTTGCACACTTGCACAGACTGTAATAAGTATCCCATTGGATTGTTGGGGAACAGGAAGCTGACTGGAGCCCACAAGAGTGTCTTATATAAATAGCACCCAAGGTATGTGGGCTCTGCCACTCAGAATGTGGCCAAGATTAGATGTTTCCCGTTAGAGGTAATAAAATTCCATGTTTATATCAATTAAGATTGGGTTGTTTGCTTCCTTTTTCAAATGAATTACATAACTTTCCTCTACAAAATCACTGGCAGTGTGCGGTTATTCAAAATCAGTGACTGGTGTTTTACATTATCCAAAAACAAATGTATTTTCGGAACTCAGTGGCATGTCAGGGCAGCTCTGTTTCCTTAGGTCTGCATCACTCTCTCCGCTATTGGTATTTGGCATTTTTTGGAAGTGCCAAGCTAAAAGGCCAAAAGCTTTCTTTCTTTTTCTTTTTTCTCTTTCTTTCTTTTTTTTTTTTTTTTTTGAGATGGAGTCTCACACTGTTGACCAGGAAGGAGTGCAGTGGCATAATCTCGACTCACTGCAACCTCCGCCTCCCAGGTTCAAGTGATTCTCCTTTCTCAGCCTCTTGAGTAGCTGGGATTACAAGAGCGTGCCAGCACGCCTGGCTAATCTTTTGTATTTTTAGTAGATACGGGGTTTCACTGTGTTGGCCAGGGCTGGTCTCGAATGCCTGACCTCATGATCCACCCGCCTTGGCCTTCCAAAGTGCTGGGATTACAGGCGCGAGCCACCGAGCCTAGCCTTTTTTTATTTTTTCCTAAATGAGACAAGGTCTCACTCTGTTGCCCAGACTGGAGTGCAGTGGCATAATCACAGCTCACTGCAGCCTTGACCTCTCAGGCTCAAGCGATCCTCCTATCTCAGCCTCCCAAATAGTCAGGACAATAGGCATATGCCACCCCACCTGGCTAATTTTTTAGTTTTTTTTTTTTTTTTTTTTTTTTTTTTGTAGAGACAGGGTTTTACCGTGTTGCCCAGGCTGGTCTCAAACTTCTGGCCTCAAGGGATCCACCCACCTCAGCCTCCCAAAGTGCTGAGATTACTAGCATGAGCTACTGCGCCCTACCACAAAGCTTTATTTCAAAGCACAGCTGTTTAGTTCTAGCATGATCATTGCCTTTCCTACTTCATTTCATACATCAAAATATATTCTGGGTGGATCCAGAATTTAAGTATTAAAAAATCATAAAAATTGTTAAAAGAAAATGTGAGTGAATATGTATATGACTCTGGAATGGAAATGGGTTTTCTAAGCATTATATTGAAGCTCAGAAGCCAAAAGGAAAGTGTGGATAAATTTGGCTACACAAAATCAATGCAATCTTCTGTATATTAACTGTTGCCCCTAGGAAAGAACCCCATAAAACGTAGTCAAAGTTGAACAGTACACTAGGATACAATGTCTACAAAACCAGAACAAAGAGGGAATAGACATTAAGCTGAAAGAACTCTCACAGATTAATAAAAATCAGCTAACACTCCAATAGGAAAATATGGAGAAAAAAGTTAATAGTAAAGAAATTTAAGAGGCCAAGGTGGGAGGATTGCTTGAAGCCAAGAGTTCTAGACCATCCTGGGTAACATAGCAAGACCTCACCTTTACACGTTTTTTTTTTTTTTTTTTTTTTTTTAATTAGCTGGGTGGGGTGGCATCCACCTGTAGTCCCAGGTACTCAGGAGGCTGAGGAGGAAGGATGGCTTGAGCCCAGGAGGGCAAGGCTGCAGTGAGCCGTGATCTTGCCATTGCACTCCAGCCTGAGTGGCAAGGTGAGACCCTGTCTCTAAAAAAGAAAAAAATAAGAAATGCAAATGGTCCCCCAAACTATGAAAAAATGCTCAAGCTTACTACTAATCAAAGAAACAGATTAAAACTACAGTAAGATGTCATTATTTAATTTATTGATTGTGGAAAGACAAAAGTACCAGATGATACCAGATGATGACAAGGGGTAAACAGGTACTTTATTTTATTTATTTCTTAAACATTATCTTTTTTTTTTTTTTTTTTGAGAGAGCCTGTCACCCAGGTTGGAGTGCAGGGATACAATCTCAGCTTACTGCAGCCTTGACCTCCTGGGCTCAAGTGATCTTCCCGCCTCAGCCCCCCAAGTAGCTGGGATTACAGTTGCATACCACCACTCCCACCTCTGCCTCCCAAAGTGCTAGGATTACAGGTGTGAGCCACCATGCCCACCCAACAGGTACTTTTGTATTAAGTGGATAAAACCTTTTGAGAAGTATCAAACACTTTTAAAGCTGTGACCCAGAAATTATACTTCTAATAATTCTATAAAAATAGCTGCACAAATATATATACACATGTATTTTATAAAATTTAAATGTTGACACAGCTTTCAATATATGTGTGTATTTTAATACAGCTATTTTTGTAATTAGAAATGCATTGTAAATAACTACTTTTTGTTAAAAACACGATTATTTAAATATACTGTAACTCAAGCATAACTGAAGAGGTAATCTGTGGCCTTTAAAAACAAGGTAGTTTTAGTGTGTTGTCCAGGGTGTTGAAAAAAATGAAAAAAGAAAAAAAAGAAAAATGTAGCTTTCAATGTACTACCATGGAATGACTTTCAGTATATTGTCAAGAGAAAAAGTTTCAAAAAAGCAGGTAAAATATTGAGTTTTTGTAAAATAATAATATGTTGACTGCTGTTGACATGCTTTTTTCTGTAAGTTTCTTCACAAGGAGAGCATGAGTCACTAGGGTACTGAATGAAATGTGTCTTAGAATTCAGTGATCCTTCCTCCTTCGGAGCTGGGCAGTCTCATCCATCCAACCACTTTATCACACACTCCACAAACAGTTACGTGTTCCCCAGGCAATGAGTGTGAGGCTAAGCAAACTGACCTTGAAGCTGGATTCCCTGAGCATGAATTCATCAGTGTTACTCTGGGCAAGTTACTTTTTCCAGTTAGGATCCACTTTATCTATCTTTATGGTTGAAGAAACAGGCACAGGGAAGAGAAAGGTTATATCCAAGGGAGTTCCCCAGCCAGGAAGTAGCCCAGCCTGATCTAGAATTGTACTAGGAGTTGGCCAGCCTGACTAGGAATTATTTTACTTGCAGTGTGGGCAGCTGGACTGGAGTGGAGAAGTAGGTAGGCCTGGCGCTTCTCTGCCAGGGTATAAATTCTGGCTCTGCCACCTACCAGTTGTTATAACTTTGAATAAGTTACTCAGTGTCTCTCTGCCTTATAGGATTTGTTGTGAGAACTAAATGTTAGGTGCTTGGAACAGCATTTGGCACATACTTAGACTCAGTATATCTTAGTTGTTGTTATTTGTAAGATATTAGGGATTAAAAAGTGAACAAGGAAGCATAATCCTTGTACTGGAGGAACTGACAACATAGCCAAGTATAGAGTGTGGGAAATAGTATGATGAGGAAGCATTTCAGGATGGTATGACAGCTAGGAAGAGGGGCTGGGCATGGTGGCTCAGGCCTGCAATCCTAGCACTTTGGGAGGTGGAGGCGAGTGGATCACTTGAGCTCAGGAGTTCGAGAGCAGCCTGGGCAACATGGTGAAAGCCCATCTCTACAAATAAAAAAATTAACTGGGTATGGTGGCACACATCTGTACTTCCAGCTATTTGGGGGGCTGAGGCAGGAGGATGCTTGAGCCCAAGAGGTGGAGGTCACTGTGAGGTGAGCTGAGATCACGCCATTGCATTCCAGCTGGGTGGCAGTGTGACGCGCTCTTTAAAAAAAAAAAAAAAAAACTAGGAAGAGGTGCGTTCAACCCAGGGAAGGGTCATGGGAGGCTGCCTAGAGGAAGTCGCAGGCAAGCTGAGGAGGCAGAGAGAGCAGCCTGAATCAAAGTCCAGAGATGATAAAGAGCCTGGTTATTTTCAGAAGCCAAAAGGAAGGCAAGAGAAATACCTGAGCACACATTGAGACAAGGCCAGGCATTGTGACTCGAGGCTCAGGCCACTGTGTTGGACCTTCAGCTCAGTGGTTCCTGCTTCTCCTGTTGTTTGTCTGGCTGATCTCTGCTCACCCATCAAGTATTAGCCTAAATGCCACTTCCTCCAGGATGTCTTCCCGGAACCCAAGCTTCCCACAGTTTATGTCTTCTTGCTGCAGGAACCATTGGTACTTTTAGTGCTTTTTGCACTTTATTGTTAATGCTAGATTGTTGCTCTTCCCCTCTATGAATGCCTATACAAGTGTATTTCATAGCATTTATTTACTAACACATAACCATTAGTATGCTCAGGTCATAAGTGGGATAACAGAGGCAGAGGGAGAATCTAGGAGTTTCAGGGACAGGATTTTCCATAACCATTCTAACATGGGCTCTAGTCCACAACCAGGCCAGACTCCAGCTGCTGTTCCAGAGCCCCCTGGGCAGGGCTATCGCAGGAAACACTGCTCAAAGACAAAGCTCATCTCTGATGAGCTGGAATTATATTATATGACAGCCGGAAGGTACTGAGAACTAAATCAGTCTGTTCAACCTCCCACCTGTGCAGTTTTACCCTGTGCCTCCCTGGCAGGGAGAGAAGAGAAGAGGCCCATGACTGGCTCCTACAGGTATGCCCTCTTCCTCCTCACCTTCTCCTCTGCTCCCCACCTAGAAAGGTAGACTGTCTGCCCAGGCCCAGCACAAGGTGTCAGTGATCCATGCCTGAAGGATGGCAGTGACCACAACTACACACATGCACCTTTCCAGGGATCCAGAGTGTGCAGTTGATAGGACATTACAGGTTGGGGGGCACAGAAATACTTTTCTCGTTTGATACTGTAGGGGCCTTGGGAAACGGTTCCTTCCACCTACTAAAGGTTTGCGGATGATGAGCTGACAAAGGGTAGATTAATAGGAGAAAAAGGCACACAAAACATTTAATGTGTATGTGGACATAGAAGCCATACACAATGTATAAGACTCAAAAAGGGGCCAGATAGTTGAGACTTAAGTAGTGTCTTTGTAGGGGAAAGACATATGGACCCAGGACAAGATATTTTATGAATGATTCTCTTTGGGAGCTGAATGAGACAAGTTAGGAGAAGGTGAGGGGTGGAACTGCAGAGGAACAAAGGTTGTCTTACTATGCAGATGAAGTCCCCCAGTTGACAGCTGGAAGGTACTGAGAACCAAATCAGCCTGTTTTACACTTGCCTCCCTGGCAGGTAGAGAAGAGAAATCTTCCACTGGGGGACTTGTATTGTATTGTATTGTAGTATTTTTTAATTTCAATAGGTTTTGGGGGAACAGGTGGTGTTTGGTTACATGAATAAGTTCTTTAGTGGTGATTTCTGAGATTTCAGTGCACCCATCATCTGAGTAGTGTACACTGTACCCAATGTGTTGTGTTTTGTCTTTCACCCCCCTTCCACCCTGTCCCCCGAGTGCCCAAATTCCATTCTATCATTCTTCTGCCTTTGTGTCCTCATAGCTTAGCTCCTACTTATAAGTGAGAACATATGATGTTTCATTTTCCATTTTTTAGTTACTTCACTTAGAATAATGGTCTCCAGTTCCATCCAAGTTGCTGCAAATGTTATTATTTTATTGCTCTTTTTTTTTTTCTTTGAGATAGAGTCTCCCTCTGTCACCCAGGCTGGAATGCAGTGGCACAATCTCAGCTCACTGCAACCCCTGCCTCCTGGGTTCAAGCAATTCTCCTGTCTCAGCCTCCCAAGTAGCGGGGACTACAGGCACATGCCATCACACCTGGCTAATTTTTGCATTTTTAGTGGACGTGGGGTTTCAGCATATTGGTCAGGCTGGTCTTAAACTCCTGAACTCAGGCGATCCACCTGCCTTGGCCTCCCAAAGTGTTGGGATTACAGGCAAGAGTGTATATATACATATATATATATACACACACACACACACATACACACATCCAGGAGTGAGATTGCTGGATCAGATGATAGATCTACTTTCAGTTCTTTAAGGAATCTCCATACTGTTTTCCCTAGTGGTTGTAATATTTTACATTCCCACCAACCGGGTAAAAGTGTTCCCTTTTTACCACATCCATGCCAACATCTATTTTTTTATTTTTTTATTGTGGCCGTTCTTGCAGGAGTATCACATTGTGGTTTCGATTTGCATTTCCCTGATAATTAGTGATGTTGAGCATTTTTTTCATCTATTTGTTGGCCATTTGTATATCTTCTTTTGGAATTGTCTAGTCATATCCTTAGCCCACTCTCTGATGGGATTTTTTTTTTTCTTGCTGATTTATTTGAGTTCCTTGTATATTGTGGATATTAGTCCTTTGTTGGATGTATAGATTGCAAAGATTTTCTCCCACTCTGGGTTGTCTGTTAACTATGCTGATTATTTCTTTAGCTGTGCAGAAGCTTTTTTTTGTTTAATTAGATGAAAAGTCTCTGTGGATGTGGCAACAACTCCCAGTCTCTTCTCCCCTGGTTGATTTTTTTTTTTTCTTGGTTATTTGATGAGATGGATCTTAAGACAATTGGATTTCTTTTGGGCAGAACATTTTTCTTTTCTTAAGATAGAGTCTCCATCTGTCACCAGGCTAGAGTATGGTGGCATGATCATAGGTCACTGCAGCCTCCAATTCCTGAGCTCTAAAGAGATACTTCCTCCTCAGCCTCCAGAGTAGCTGGGACTATAGGTGTGCACCATTGAGTGCTCAGCTAATTTTTAAAATTTTTGGTTGAAATAAGGTCTTGCTTTGTTGCTCAGGCTGGTCTTAAACTCCTGGCTTCAAGTGATCCTCCTGCCTAGGTCTCTCAAAGTACTGGGATTACAGGTTTGAGCCACCACAGCCAGTCTGGAAAGATGTTTTTAGATAAGGAAATTGCGGAGAGAGACAGAGTTCCTCTCAGTGCTTCAGGAAAGAGAATCAGAAAGACAGGGAGGCAGGGAAGGTGAGAGAGAGACCTTTGTTCTGAGACTTACATATCAATTCTCAAAGCACTCGGTATGTCAAAGGGCAGTAGTTTGGGAAATCATTTTCTGCACCCCAACACTGCCAAAACAGATGGCATGAAGAGCCAGTGTTTGTTACTGGTTTTAATATCAATAAAATAAAACTAAAATGGTGTCACATGTTATTTCATTTAATGCATTTTAATATTTTTATATAATAGTTGGCCTGGTGATCATGTTCCCTTAAAAGAGACAATATCCTTTTTTTGAGATGGAGTCTCACTCTGTCACCCAAGCTGGAGGTGCAGTGGCACCATCTTAGCTCACTGCAACGTCTGCCTCCCGGGTTCAAGTAATATTCCTGCCTCAGGCTCTGGAGTAGCTGGAATTACAGGTGTGCACCACCACACCCAGCTAATTTTTGTATTTTTAGTAGAGACAGGCTTTTGCCATATTGGTCAGGCTAGTCTCGAACTCCTGACCTCAAGTGATCCACTCACCTCGGCCTCCCAAAATGCTGGGATTACAGGCGTGAGCCACTGCACCCGGCCCAGTATCCTTTTTATAAGATGAGTGAATGAAGTGGCAATTTGTGGGTGCTAGGTGATGCAAATGTTTGAATTATATTAAGTTGCTATTATTATAAAAACACTCGATTTTTTACATACATAAAAATCACCTTTGCAACTACTAGAGTAACTGCCCAATGGATTCTTCTTGCCTAGAAAGTGCTGATTTATCAAGATAGGGAAATTGCAACAGAGAAAGAATAATTCATGTAGAGCCGGCTATACAGGAGACTTCAGTTCAAAGTCAGTTGCCCTGAAAACTTTGGGATCTGGGTTTTTAAGGATAATTTGGTGGGTAGGGGCCAGTGAGTCAGGAGTGCTGATTGGTTGGGTTGGAGATGAAATCATAGGCAGTTGAAGCTGTCCTTTTGTGTTGAGTCAGTTTCTGAGCTGGGGGGCCAGGAGACCAGATGAGCCAGTTTATCAATCTGGATGGTGCCTCTCAAGGGCTGGGGCTGCAAAACATCTCAGGTAATTATCTTAGGTTTTACAATAGTGACATTATCCCCAGGAGCAATTTGAGGAGAGTCAGAGTCTTAGAGCCTCCCAGGTGCATGGCTCCTAAGCTATAGTTTTTAATCTTGTGGCTAATTTGGTAGCTCCACAAAGGCAATCTAGTCTTCAGGCAGGAAGGGGGTTTGTTTTGGGAAAGGGCTGTTATTATCTTTGTTTCAAAGTTAAACTATAAACTAAGTTCCTCCTACAGTTAGTTTGGCCTCCACCCAGGAATGAACAAGGACAACTTGGAAGTTAGAAGCAAGATGGAGTCAGTTAGGTCACATCTCTTTCACTGTCATAATTTTCTGAGTTAGGATTTTGCAACAGCGATTTCGCTAGTATCCAGTTAGACATAAATACACTCATACACACTGTGGGGGCCATCGGCTCTTGGTCTCCTAAAGGTTCACTGAAAAATTACTGATGAGGCAGATTGATTAGAAGGAGAAAAGGCATGCAAATTTACTTAACATGTATACATGGGAACTTTCAGAATGAAGATCCAACCTTTTAATAAACCACAGAAGCTTATATACCATCTTGAGGTTACAGAAGGAATGGGGGCTTGAATCCTGGTAAAAAAGATTATGGGATGGGGAGAAAAGGAATTCTAGGGAGGGTCAACAAATGGTTCTTAGGAAGCATGAATGGATCTGGAACAGAGATTAACTTGTAAATAGTTTTCCTTGGAGGCCATGCGGTGGCTCACGCCTGTAATCCCAGCACTTTGGGAGGCTGAGGCAGGTGGGTCACCTGCGGTCAGAAGTTCGAGACCAGCCTGGCCAATATGGTGAAAGCCTGTCTGTACTAAAAATACAAAAAATTAGCTAGGCGTGGTAACAGGGACCTGTAATCCCAGCTACTTGGGAGGCTGAGGCAGGAAAATTGCCTCAACCCAGATGGCGATTGCAGTGAGCCAAGATCACACCATTGCACTCCAGCCTGGGTAACAAGAGCAAAACTCTGTCTGAAAAAAAAACAAAAAACAACAAAAAAGTTTTTCTTGGAATTTAAATGATCCTTGGATACAGTCTTTATACTTTTTATATTTTATTTTATTTTATTTTATTTTATTTTATTTTATTTTATTTATTTTATTATTTTATTATTTTATTTATTTATTTTATTTTATTTAATTTTATTTATTTTATTATTTTATTTATTTTATTTTATTTTATTTATTTTATTTTATTTTATTTATTTTTATTTTATTTTATTTTTATTTTATTTTAATTTTTCTGAGATGGAGTCTCACTCTGTTGCCCAGGCTGGAGTGCAGTGGTGCGATCTTGGCTCACTGCAAGCTCCACCTACCGGGTTCATGCCGTTCTCCTGGCTCAGCCTCCCGAGTAGCTGGGACTACAGGCACCTGCCACCAGGCCCGGCTAATTTTTTTGTATTTTTTAGTGGAGATGGGTTTCACCATGTTAGCCAGGATGGTCTCAATCTCCTGACCTCTTGATCTGCCCACCTCAGCCTCCCAAAGTGCTAGGTTACAGGCGTGAGGCACCATGCCTGGTCTCATCATACTTTTTAAAGGGTATGCTCATTTTTGGTCACATTTAGAGAAAAAAAAAAAGTATGTACATTCTAGATAAGTTGTCGAATGGATTTATTTTTACCTGCTGCCCAGATACAGCAAATTTATCAAGACAGGGGAATTGCAATAGAGAAAAAGTAAACAGTGTGAGGCACATAGAGCCAGCTAAAAAGGAGACTGGTGTTTTATTACTCAAATTAGCCTCTCTGAAAATTCAGAGGGTGGGGTTTTTCAAGGATGGTTTGCAGGGCAGGGAGGTTAGGGGAATGGGTGCTGCTGATTGATTGAGGATGCAGTCATAGGGGTGTGGAGAATGGTACTTGTGGCTGAGTCTACTGCTGGGTATGGGCCAGAGGAGCAGTTAAATCAAAATTCTTGGGTCTTGGGTCATCAGAAATGCAAAAGCCTCAAAGGACATTATCTTACAAAAGCCATCTCATTGGGTTTTGTAAAACCAAAAGCCAGTCTTTGATTTTATAATAGTGATGTTATCTGCAGGAGTAACTGGGGCAGTTGCAAATCTTGTGACCTCTTGAATAATGGCTGGCAATCATTTACGCCTACATCTTAGCAGAATTCAGGCTCCTCTCATCCTGCTAATGTGGTGTCTTTCATTAGTTTTACAAAGCTGGTTTAGTTTTGGGGAAGGGCTGTTATAACTTAAACTATAATCCAAATTTCTTTGAAAGTTAGCTTGGTCCAAGCCCAGGAATGACCAAGGGCAGTTTGCAGAGTAAAGGAAAGATGGGGGTTGGTTAGATCAGAGCTTTTTCACTGTCGTCATTTTCTCATTGTTACAATTTTTGCAAAGGCAGTTTCAAAAATATTTTGGGGGTATTGGTTTCTGAGGTCCAACACACACACACATCTACTCACACACAATTCTTTCCTTAATAAAGACTAGATGTGTTTGCATAGGCCTGTGAAGAGGTTTAAGAAAAAAACATTGACTCCTGTAATCAAAGAGAGTACTATTTTGTATTTTCTAAAATGATTTTAAAATAATTTAAACATAATGCTAAATTATGATGTAGAGCTAGAGAACAAAAAGCATGTGTATTCTAGATAAGTTACAAAACTGATGAAACAAACCGGCAGTAATCACAGAATCCAGTGATTAATGTTTTGACGCATTACTTCCTGGACATTTTCCTGAAACGTGCTCTTAAGAAACAGAAGATGGTTGTAGTGAAACTGCCTTTGCAAAAATTATAAATAGTAAGGGAAATCAAACATAATTGACTCCATCTTGCTTCTACCAGGCTAAATTGCTTTTGCTCATTTTTTGTGGAGGCCATAATAGTCCTTTTCTTAAACTTATCCCCTCCTGGTTTAAAGATTGAAACCATGTTAGTAAAGACTAATAAAAGGCCACAAGATGAGAATTACGGTGTTACAGGAAAGAGGTCCCAATCCAGACCCCAAGAGAGGGTTCTTGGATCTCATGGAAGAAAGAATTCAGGCTGAGTCCACAGTGCAGAGCAAAAGCAAATTTATTAAGAAAGTAAAGAAATGAAAGCATGGCTACTCCATAGACAGAGCAGCCCTGAGGGCTTCTAGTTCCCCATTTTGATGGTCATTTTGTGATGATATGCTAAACAAGGGGTGGATTATTGATGCCTCCCCCTTTTAGACCATATAGAGTAACTTCCTGATGTAGCCATGGCATTTGTAAACTGTCAGCACTGGTGGGATTGTAGCAGTGAGGATGACCAGAGATCACTGTCATTGCCATCTTGGTTTTGGTGGGTTTTGGCTGGCTTCTTAACTGCAAACTATTTTATCAGCTAGGTCTTGTTGACCTGTATCTTGTGCTGACCTCCTGTCTCATCTGGTGACTTAGAATGCCTTAACCATCTGGGAATGCAGCCCAGTAGGTTTCAGACTCATTTTACTGTGCTCCTATTCAAGATGGAGTTGCTCTGGTTCACATGCCTCTGACAATGGGAGGGCTTGAACTTTGCTAAAAAATAGGCATGGTTAAACAATAGCCATTAATTGCTTGCTTAGCTTGCTTTTCTATAGCTGCCTGCTGTCCCAGAGTCATAAACCAGAGATCAAAAGATTGTGACTTCCCAAACTGCTCCTATAGATAACATTACTATTTTGAGACCTTAAAGGGCTGGTCTTTGAGATATTTTTCAGATTTAGTATTTTGGCAGACCAAGAGATACCACCTGGACCTGTGACCAAGAAACTAACTCAGCTGGTTCTGTTACCTACAGCTGGGAATTGACTCAGCTGTAGCTTTGATACCCCTATAATTTCATCCTTAGCCAATCAATTGTTTCAGTTCCCTATCCCCCTACCCACCAAAATACCTTTAAAAATGCTATGATATGGTTTGGCTGTGTCCCCACCCAAATCTCATCTTGAATACTCACGTGCTTTGGAGGGACCCAGTGGGAGGTGATTGAATTATGTGGATGGGTTTTTCCTGCACTGTTCTCATGATATTGAATGAGTCTCTCAAGATCTGATGGGTTAAAAAGGGGAGTTTCCCTGCACAAGCTCTCTTCTTTTATCTGCCACCATGTGAGACATGCCCTTCATCTTCTGCCATGATTTTGAGGCCTCCCCAGCCACGTGGAACTGTAAGTCCAGTAAACCTCTTTGTTTCATAAATTGCCTGGTCTTGGGTATGTCTTTATCAGCAGCATGAAAACAGACTAATACATCCTACCTCTGAATTCTTGGGGAGATGGGCTTGAGAAACATCTCCTGTCCCTCTTGTGTGGCTGCCCTGCAATTATTAAACTCTTTCTCTTTCTCAATACTTGCTGTTTTTGGTGTGTTGGCTTTTTCAGAGTAGTAGGCAAAAGTAACCCTTTGGGCTGTAATGGTGGGGTAGAGTACAGGAAGTAGTAGTAGAGAGAATGAGAACTAGAGTCCATATTCTACACCTCATAGGCCTCAGTCAAGCTACTCTTTACTCCTCTGCAATGGAATCACCCAGTGGCTTCTTCCTGCCTACTGTACAGACAAAACCAATTCACTGTGAGACCATGGCATTGCAGTAAGGGAAGCATTTAATTGACACAAGGCTGGCCATACCATGCAGGAGACACAGTTATTACTCAAATCAACCTCCCTGAAGGCTTGGAGGTTGGGGTTTTTCAAGGATAGTTTGGTAGGCAGGGGGCTAGGGAGTGGGGAATGTTGATAGGTTGAGGATACCATTATAGGGGTGTGGAAAGTGGTCCTCATGCGCTGAGTCATGAGTTGTGGGTCAAGGTGGAGTCAGCCAGTCATCAGAAATGCAAAAGTCTAAAAAGACATTTCAAAAGGCCAATCTTGGGTTCTGTGATAGTCAAGTTATCTATAGGCATAATTGGAGAATTCACAGATCTTGTGACCTTCAAACATTGGCTTGCTAAGTATACCTACTTTTTAGCAGAATTCAGGCCCCTTTCATAATCCTAACCTTGTGGCCTTTCATTAGTTTTACAAACGCGGTTTAGTTTTTGTAAGGGCTATTATCCTTACTTTAAGGTTAAACTATAAACCAAATTACTCCCATGATTAGCTTGGGCGACACCCAGGAATGAGTGAAGACAGCTTGTGAGGCTAGGTGCAAGATGGAGTCAGCCATATTTGATTTTTCTGCAAAAGTAGTTTCAGAAACAAGTGCTTTTTTTTTTTCCTTTTTAATGTGATTCTAAATGTCCCTGCATTAGGACATGGCATCTCTATGATTTAGGCACTTATGAATGAGTGCTCATGTCAGAGACCTGAAGATGTAATGGTTCCATCAGTTAGTGTTAAGTTTAGCCTAAAACTGCCTTCTTACATGGTTAAGTTTACCCTAAAGTTTCTTGGTACATAGTGAACTGTAACCTAACTGAATGTGTAAACAGACTGTAACGACTACAACCTACTGTTGTAGCAATCACTGAGTTTTTACCAATCAAAGGAGGACAACTGTTTAAACCGTATTCCAATAAAACAAATGCCAAGCTGTAACCAATCTGACTATTTCTGTAGCTCACTTCCATTTTCTGTAAGTCACTTTTTTTTCACTGTCCATAAGTTATCTTCAATGATAGAACAGGGCTGGAGTCTCTTGGAGCCTGCTCTGGTTCAGGAAGCTGCCTGATTCATGAATTGTTCTTTGCTTGGTTAAACTGTTAAATTTGTCTAAGGTTTTTATTTTAACAATAAGAATTATTTCTCTCTTACCCAAATACAGCCCAGGAGGAGGCAGTTCAGAACTGGTGAAGTGGCTTCATGGTATTACTATCTTTTAGCTCATGGCTTCTATTCTTTATTTTTTTGAGATGGAGTCTTACTCTGTTGCCCAGGCTGGAGTGCAGTGGCATGATCTCAGCTCACTGCAACCTCTACCTTCCAGGTTCAAGCAATTCTCCCTTTCTCAGCCTCCTGAGTAGGTGGGATTACAGGCACCCGCCACCATGCCTGGCTTTTTTTTTTTTTTTTTTGTATTTCTAGTAGACATAGGGTTTCACCATATTGGCCAGCCTGGTCTCGAACTCTTGACCTCAGGTGATCCACCCACCCAGCTCGGCCTCCCAAAGTGCTGGGATTACAGGTGGGAGCGACCATGCCCGGCCTATTCTATACATTTTCTAGAAATTTTAGAACTGTCTTTTTAGATTTAAATCTGAAACTTACTTATGTTTATAGTGTGGGGTAAGGATACAACCTTCTTTTTCCTGATGATTGCCCCAAGCGGGTATTTTCTTTAACCTCTTCTAGCTACTAGCCAGAACTTTCCCTAGAAAATGCAGGAGGCGCCAAGACACATTCTTATTCTTTCTAGACTTCACAAAGACCTACACTCATTTGTTTGCACTATTTTTTAATGATTCTCTCTGGGCTTCCAGTATATTCAATGCATCTCTCTTTGCACTTTTAAGTGGCATCATAAATATGGGTGGCAGCTGGGCGTGGTAGCTCACACTTGTAATCCCAGAACTTTGGGAGGCTGAGGTGGGTGGATCACTTGAGGTCAGGAGTCCTAGACCAGCCTGGGCAATATGGCAAAACCCCGTCTCCACTAAAAATTCAAAAACTAGCTGGGCGTGGTCGTGCTTACCTGTAATCCCAGCTACTGGGGAGGCTGAGGCAGGAGAATTGCTTGAACCTGGGAGGCAGAGGTTGCAGTGAGCTGAGATCTTGCCATTGCACTCCAGCCTGGGCAACAGAGCGCGAGACTCTGTCTCAAAAAATAAAAATAAATAAATAAATAAATAAATAAATATAGGTGGCATCATAATGATCTTTTCGCAAATATTTTTCCCACACAGTGCTGTGAACTGCTTGAGAGTAGGAACTGCCTTTATTAACTTTGTATCTCTGGTACTTACTATTTATAGTTTCCTCAGTAAACAATTGTGTGTTTTGTTTGTTTTTGAGATGGAGTGTTACTCTGTTGCCCAGGCTGGAGTGCAGTGGTGTAATTTCAGCTCACTGCAACCTCTGCCTCCCAGGTTCAAGTAGCTGGGACTACAGAATCCCGTCACCATGCCCAGCTAATTTTTGTATTTTTAGTAGAGATGGGGTTTCACCACGTTGGCCGGACTGGTCTCAAATTCCTGACCTCAGGTGATCCACCAGCCTTGGCCTCCCAAAGTGCTGGGATTACAGGCATGAGCCTACGCACCTGGCTAATAAACAATGGTTAAATGGAATTTATAAATTAATAAAACATGGCCATATCTTACATACCCTTCGTTACTGGTTCCATTTAGAAGTTGATTCCTAATGACACAATAGGAGGCATCTTTTTTTAAAAAAAGTTGTTTTATTTTAAAAGATAGGGGTCTTGCTATGTTGCCCTGGCTGGTGTGAAACTCCTGGCCTCAAGTAATCCTCCCAACTCAGCCTCCCAAAGTGCTGGGATTACAGGGGTGGGCCTCCACACCCAGTCATTATGAGGCATCTTAATCTCATTAGCCTGTCTCCAAATCCCATCTCAAACTGAGAATGTTTCCTAAACAAAGTTAATCCCTTTAAAAATGTTGTCTGGGGGCTGGGCGCCGTAGCTCACGCCTGTAATCCCAGCACTTAGGGAGTCCGAGGCGGGCAGATCACCTGAAGTCGGGAGTTTGAAAGCAGCCTGACCAGCATGGAGAAACCCCGTCTCTACTAAAAATACAAAATTAGCTGGGCATGGTGGTGCATGCCTGTAATCCCAGCTACTAGGCAGGCTGAGGCAGGACAGTCACTTGAACCCGGGAGGCTGAGGTTGCCGTGAGCCGAGATCGTGCCATTGCACTCCAGCCTGGGCGACAAGAGTGAAAGTCCATCTCAAAAAAAAAAAAAAATGTTGTTTGGGTTTCTATTAGCTTCAGCCCTGTAGCATCACATTTTTGCATATAGTTTACTTTAGGGAGCTTCTATCCATTAATTCTAGTAGCTACTATGAAGGCCAAGGGAAAGTTCCCTATCCTTTGAAGGTTCACTGAAAAGTCAACTCACAACTCACAAAAGGCAGGTTAATTGGGGCATGCAAGTTGTATTAATTCACACCTGGGGAGAATCACAGATGGGGTTAGCCGCCCTGCAAGGAGGTTCTGAAGATTATATGCCACCCTGGCAACATAGGTTATGGGAGGAGAGAGGAGAAGAGGAATTCTGTTGAGGGGTTTACTAGGGGGAATGAATGGATCAGGGAACAGAGATTAATTTGAGCATTATCTTGTGAACATGTCTGTCCAGGTGTGGTTACACTCTTGGTCTTCAGGGAGGGGAAGAAAAAACAATTGTTCTTGGTGGGTCTGGATTTTTGGCAGATAATAGAAATTAAGCTTCAGAGACAGTGGGTGGGAGGGTTAGAACTTGAGGCTTCTTCAGTAGGTCAAGGTGTCATTTTTGGAACATCAGCTACTGACCCCCAACACCACCAACAAGCTGTATTTCCACGATTCCAGCACAGTAGTCCCCCCTTATTCTATTTCACTTACCATGGTTTCAGTTATCTGCAGTCAACAATGGTCCAACAATATTTGCGTTTTGAGAGAAGAGAGAGAGAGACCACATACACACAACTTTAACTACAATATACTGTTACAATGGTTTTATTAGTTGTTGTTAATCTCTTGCTGTGCATAATTTGCAAAACTTTATGACAAGTATGTGTGTGTGTCAGGCTGTTCTTGCATTGCTATAAAGAAATACCAGAGACTGGGTCATTTGTAAAGAAAAGAGGTTTAATTGGCTCGTGGTTCTGCAGGTTGTACAAGGATGGAGCCCGCATCTGCTCAGCTTCTGAGGAGGTCTTAGGGAGCTTTTACTTATGGCATTCTAACATGGCGAGAACAGGAGCTTGCACATCACTTGGCAAAAGCAGGAGTGAGTGAGACAGAGAGGTAGAGAGGTGGGGTAGGTGCCCTGCACTTTTTAACAACCAGATCCAATGAGAACTCACTCTTTATTGAGAGGACAGCGCCAAGCCATCAAGGATTCACCCCCCTGACCCAAACATCTCCCATCAGGCCCCAACTTCAATGCTGGGGATTGCAATTCAACAAGAATTTGGCAGAAACATGTGTTCAAACTATATCAGTATGTGTAGGAAAAAATCAGTATACGTAGGGTTTGGTACTACCTGCTGTTCCAGGTATCCAACTGGGCATCTTGCAATGTACCCCCATGGATAAGGGGGACTTCTGACTTAGACGACCTTCCCAGGGACAGTGAGGTAGCTGTTCATTCGGGAAATATTCACAGCAAGTCTACTGAGGACTAAACTCTGATTTTTTATCTTGCCCAAATTCCTATCTAAGGGGACTGGGGAGTCATGCCCTACAAATCCAGTTCTCATCAGATGGGCTTTATTTAACTGTATATATCATGATTTACTTTCCAACCTGACTCTGGCATCACATTATGAGACAAGGAAGAAAAACAAAGTATTTTACCCCAAAAACATGTTTCTTTGCCATTATTTTGAAATGGCCCTGCAAAGCTGTCCTTCATGGGGGAAAATTTACATCTGTAAAGACTCTCTGTTAACATAGCTGGATCTTTTTCTTCCAGACCCTCCCAATCTTAAAGTGATTAAGAGTCTAGAACCTTTTAAAGATACGAATAGGAAATATTTTTCTATTGTCTCTAATGGCAGCCACTATAAGATTTCAAAAGAACCTTGGTCTTCACAATCTTTTATCTTAACCTGAACATTCCCTTTCTGTGGATCCCAGGTCTTTAGACAAACTCAACCAATTGTCAACCAGAAAATATTTTAATTCACCTATAGCCTGGAAATACCCCCCTACCATCCCCCACCCCCTTTGAGTTGTCCCGTCTTTCTGGACCAAACCAATTATTTCTTAAATGTATTTGATTGATGTCTCATGCCTCTCTAAAATGTATAAAATCAAGCTGTGCCCCAACCACCTTGGGTACATGTTCTCTGGACCTCCTGAGGGCTGTGTCACGGGCCATGGTTGCTCATATTTGGCTCAGAATAAATCTCTTCAAATATTTTACAGAGTTTGACTCTTTGCTTCGACACTACCGTCTGCAAGTTCTTGTGCTAGCCGCTGTGGGAAAGACACAGCTGAGTCAGACATGATCCCTGCCCTCAAGGAGCTTGTGACACCACAGTGAAGACAAGTCTATTTTGGTGAGTTTGTGGAGACAGGAGATAGAACAAGCATGGCCGTGGCTGCCCTTTGCTTCCGTGGTGCTGAGCAGCAGCAGGGGCAGCTGTGAGCAGGCAGCTGGTCTTGGCAGGAAGCAGAGCACCACCCAAAGACTGGAGTGAGGAAATAAGGCCGCCTTTACAATTTGGCAAATGACTGGCCTTGGGAATGTGAGTAGAGAGAGAGTAGCAAATTAAGATTATCTCACCTGAGAAGATTCAGAAGTTTCCTCTGCATTTTGTGAATAAGCAGTGTGGGCCTGCCTGCCTGCCTGCCTGCCTGCCTGCCTGCCTGCCTGCCTGCCTGCCTGCCTTCCTTCCTTCCTTCCTTCCTTCCTTCCTTCCTTCCTTCCTTCCTTCCTTCCTTCCTTCCCTCCCTCCCTCCCTCCTTCCTTCACTCCTTCCTTCCTTCCTGTGAATAAGCAGTGTGGGGCTTGCTTGCTTGCTTTGAGTAAGTAGTGTGGGCTTTCTTTCTTTCCTTCTTTCTCTTTCTTTTTCTCTTTCTCTCTCCCTCCTCCCTCCCTCCTCCCTCCCTCCTCCCTCCCTCCTTCATTCCCTCCATCCATCCCTCCCTCCTTCCTTCCCTCCCTCCTTCCTTCCCTCCCTCCTTCCTTCTCTCCCTCCCTCCTTCCGTCCCTCCTTCCTTCCCTCCTTCCTTCCCTCCTTCCTTCCCTCCTTCCTTCCCTCCCTCCTTCCCTCCCTCCTTCCCTCCCTCCTTCCTTCCCTCCCTCCATCCCTCCCTCCTTCCCTCTCTCCATCCCTCCCTCCTTCCTTCCTTCCCTCCCTCTTTCCTTCCCTCCTTCCCTCTTTCCCTCCTTCCTTCCTTCCCTCTCTCCCTCCTTCTTTCCTTCCCTCTCTCCCTCCTTCCCTCCTTACCTCCCTCCTTCCTTCCTTTCCTCCTTTCTTTTCTTCCTTTTCTCTTCTTCTCTTTCTCTCTCCCCCTCCCTCCTTCCCTCCCCCTCCCTCCTTCCCTCCCCCTTCCTCCTTCCCTCCCCTTCTCTCCCTCCCCCTCCCCTCTGCCTCCCCCTCCCCTCTGCCTCCCCCTCCCCTCTGCCTCCCCCTCCCCCTCCCCCTCCCCTCCCCTCCCCCTCCCCTCCCCCTCCCCTCCCCTCCCCCTCCCCTCCCCCTCCCCTCCCCCTCCCCTCCCCCTCCCCCTCCCCTCACCCTCCCCCTCCCCTCGCCCTCCCCCTCCCCTCGCCCTCCCCCTCCCCTTCTCCTCCCCCTCCCCTTCTCCTCCCCCTCCCCTTCTCCTCCCCCTCCCCTTCTCCTCCCCCTCCCCTTCTCCTCCCCTCCCCCTCCCCTCCCCTCCCCCTTTCTTCTTTCCCTCCCCTCCCCCTTTCTTCTTTCCCTCCCCTTCCCCTTTCCTCTTTCCCTCCCCTTCCCCTTTCCTCTTTCCTTCCTTTCTTTTCTCTCCTCTCTCTTTCTCTTTCTCTCTCTCTCTCTTTCTTTTCCTCTTTAATCTCTTTTCTCTTTTCTTCTTTAATCTCTTTTCTCTTCCACTCCAGGCCATGTGAAGTGCATCCAGGAGGGCTGTCTAGAGCAAGGGGGAACTTTGAGTGCAGAGAGGATGTGGAGCTCTAAGGAGGAACCTACAGGCTGTCCCTGTCTTTCAGCAAATTGCATCCAGTCTGAGCTTCACTTTGCAACCCTGATTAGAAACCAGTTTGATCACACTGGGTCTTTCAACCGTTTGTCTGTGGCTAGAGTTCATAACTTCATCTTTGTTAAGAGCCCACTACCTAGAACATTTATTTAATGTTAGAGCTCAAAACACCCTACCTCCCCTCTCCTCATCTTCTTTAGTGCCTTCAGTCTTTTTCAAACCCTAGCTCCAGCCTAATAAGTAACACATTAACTGGGTTTTCCTATTTATCTATCCTCTCGCATTACTTCTCTGAGTCAGAGCCTCTTCTCTCTAAGTCACGGGAACTGCCCTTGCTACTTGTGACCTGCCCTTTACTCAGCAGTTTTTGTTCTGGGAAGCCCTGGGATTCTGCTAATACCTATCACTGTAGGTGCTGAAGGGAAACAGATGAAGAACATGACCTCAAGGAGCTTCCTGTCAATGAGAAGACCAAGCTGACGCCTGGCAAAGGTAAATGCCACCATAACAAATTAAGTAAAAGTGTGCATTAGCTAATTTGTAAATTCAGCTTAAGATGAATCCTGCTTCTTGGGCCCTTCTCTGACGCTGGTGTTGGGACTGTAGGATTCCTCGAGCCTCCGTCAAGGTTAACATCAAATCCCACTGGCTTCTCTCAGCACCACCTTGATGACCCTAGCTTAGTTTCTCTGTTTCCCATGACTGGAACTCTTAGACCTTTCCACAAACATACAAGGATTTATAATTCAAAGCTCAAGCGATGAAGTTGAAGCTTTTGGCCCATAGGAAGCCTGAACTAGTGATTAGGAGAAAAAGATTGAGGAGTCTGAGTGGGAAGAGTTAGCTATTTGAAAGACAGCATTATAGTAGTAGTCATTGTAGGAAAACTCAGGACTGGGTTGGACTTACTTATATTATGTTGCTTTATATTTTGGTTACTGAGGGAGGTGAAGGTCATCCTTTCAGTTCTTGGGATGTCTAAATAGCTTCATGACTCCTGGGCTGTTGGATAAATTTGCTTTCAGCATCATCTGGCTGTACCTTTTGTCCTTAGCAGGGGTAAAAGGAACCCTGTGAAAAGCATCATACCCCAGGTTTCAGTTTTTGCCTTGAAATGTGCCCGGGATCCCAGGCAGTCTGGGACTGCGCCCTTTCTCCCTCTTGCCAAGTGTCCTGTATGTTCTTCAGGGCTAGCATGGAATTAAGGTGAGGAAGCTGCTGGCCATCTTTCTGAATGCTTGCCTGATCTCTGCAGGTTGCCTCACCCCCGATCTTCCTGTGCCCTTCCGCAGCCATTCTGTCCCCTCTCCTGTACCTCCCTGGGGTCAGTTGCAGCTCATCCCTGGTCTTATTCTGCCTGAGGTGCTGAGGGTGACAACTTACAATAGAGTCTCTCCACAGAACACAGAGATGGAGGGCAATTCTTAGTCCTTTCCCTCACTACATCATAAACATTAACACTTCTGCTTGGTCCAGAGTTCAGGAATGCTACTTGTAACCACCTTGAGTTATTTTGTCAGTAAAATAGGTCTTTGTGGGCTAGCACTGGATCTATTTCATGATAACCTTCACTGAGGGGCTGTAAGTACCAGGCTATATTTGCCTGGTCCTTCATATGTATCTTGTTTAATCTTCTCAATAGTAGTAGAAAACAAATATTAGCATTAGCTTCTATTATGCAAAAGAATTCACTAAAATACAGACTGATGAATGAATTTGTTGCAGATCATTCAGCTTGAATGTGGCAGAGCCAGGATTCAGACCTAGCTTTTTTGGGCTGAGTCCCACGCTGGGCTTTATTACTAGGTACTTGACGTTACTATAATGTAGACCATCTCAACAAAATAGAGCCACGATTTCTTAATGTGTTATTAACAAATACTTAACACATAACCAACTTACTTTGGTTACCTTAAAAATAAAATATTTGGCTGGGCATGGTGGCTCATACCTGTAATCCTAGCATTTTGGGAGGCTGAGGCGGGGAGATTGCTTGAGCTCCTGAGTTCAAGACCAGCCAGGGGAACAGCAAACTCCATCTCTACAATAAATAAATAAATAAATAAATAAATAAATAAATAAATAAATAAAAATAAAAATAAATCAGCTGAGTGTAATCTCAGCTACTCAGGAGGCTGAGGTAGGAGGATCGCTTGAGCCCAGGAGGCAGAGGTTGCAGTGAGCTGAGATGGCGCCACTGCACTCCAATCTGGGCTGTACAGCCAGACCTTGTCTCAAATGACAACAACAAAAATATTCAGGCCCGGCACAGTGGCTCACATTTTTAATCCCAGCACTTTGGAAGCCCAGGAGCTTGAGACCAGCCTGGGCAACACAGTGAAACCGCATCTCTACAAAAAAAATACAAATAATAAAAATTAGCTGGGCATGGTGGCTTGTGCCTGTAGTCCCAGCTACTTGGGAAGCTAAGGTGGAAGGATGGCTTGAACCCAGGAGTTCGAGGCTGCAGTGAGCTATGATCTGCCACTGCACTCCAGCCTGGGTGACAGCGAGACCCTGTCTCTGAAAAACACATACACAAACAAAAGCCCTCAACTATTCAAGGTGTTGTCTCTTACTGAGGGAATCTATAATGCAGTTTTTATGGGAATGAAGGTGAGACTTGAGGGGGGCACCAAAGAAAAGTAAGATACTAATAAAGTGGAGGAGTTTTTCTAGATTAGAATACTGAAGCAAGTGCTTATCCCATAATCATTCTTGTCCCAGAGATTTTATACTCAACAATGGAAAGTCACTGAGAATCCCAGTACCGCAGAAAACAGCCTGTGGAGCAGGGCCCACGTAGGGGTGCAGATGACCCTGTTACCAGAAAGGGGTCCCGATCCAGACCCCAACAGAGGGTTCTTGGATCTTGCGCAAGAAAGAATTCAGGGCGAGTCCGTAAAGTGAAAGCAAGTTCATTAAGAAAGTAAAGGAATAAGAGAATAGCTACTCCATAGACATAGCAGCCCTGAGGGGACTACTGGTTGCCCATTTTAATGGTTATTTCTTGATGATACGCTAAACAAGGGGTGGGTTATTCATGCCTCCCCCTTTTAGATCAAATAGGGTATCTTCCTGTTGTTGCCATGGTATTTGTAAATTGTCATGGCACTGGGGGCAGTGTAGCAGTGAGGAGGACAGGAGGTCACTCTCGTCACCATCTTGGTTTTGGTGGGTTTTAGCTGGCTTCTTTACTACAATCTGTTTTATCAGCAAGATTGTTATGACCTGTATCTTGGGCCTATCTCCTCTATCTCATCCTGTGATTTAGAATGCCTTAACCATCTGCTAATGCAGCCCAGTAGGTCTCAGCCTCATTTTACCCAGCCCTTATTCAAGATGGAGTTGCTCTGGTTCAAGCACCTCTGACAACCCTACATGACTTTCTTGTCTTTGCTGTGGCTTCATCTAAGTCAGAGGCCGGTGGGCAGAGGACCAAAAAATAAAATACCTAAATTCTCTGCGCTGAAAATCTTGGAGGTGTGTGCATGTAAACAATTTGTGCACCAAGAAGGCAACTCTGACTCATCTCCATTATTGCCTCATTATCTTCAGGAGAAATCCACCCTTCTCAACTCTACTTTGTAATGCTGGAGGTTATTCATGCCTCTTGCAAACCACGTTTCTGCTTAAACTCTGCCAATAAAGGGCACTGGAGGGAGACAGCCGGCTGGAGGAGGGACTTCCTGTTTGCTTCCTATCTGCTTCCTGGTTCTGTGAGCATCACCATGTCAACGCCTATTTATGTCTCAGTGGCTGTTCCTTTGTGTAGCTGCACTAAATTCAGTTTACAGTAGCTATCGGCAAAGATTTCATTTGCCTCCTGAGAGGTCTGGATCTCAGCCCAGAGGGCCCTCCTGTGAGCTCAGAGACCTCAGCATTTGTTGAGTGGTCACCACTCTTCAGAGCCATGAGTTTCAGCTTCTTCGGTGTCTCTCCACCCAAAATTTCAATTTAATAATTTTCAGTTCCTCCCTTAATTCCCTCAATCTAGGAGTGGTAGCTATGTCCAACAATTGCTAGTGCCTTAATAGTGACTCCTTCCCCAACACTTTATATCTTAACTTTATACCTAGTTGAGTTCTTTATATTAAATTTGCCCTGTTCAGGCTGGGCGTGGTGGCTCACTCCTGTAATCCCAGCACTTTGGGAGGCCGAGGTGGGAGGATCACTTGAGCCCAGGAATTTGAGATGAGCGTGGGCAACATAGCAAGACCTCATCTCTACTTTAAAAAAAAAAAAAAAATTATCTCCGCATGGTGGTGTGTGCCTGTGGTCCCAGCTACTCAGGATGCTGGGGCAGGAGGATGGCTTGAGCCCAGGAGGACAAGGCTGCATTGAGCCGTAATCACACCACTGCACTCCAGCCTGGGCGACAGAGCCAGATACTTTGTAAAAACAACAAAAAACTTGCTCTGTTCAGATATTTGGTTAGGAGTGTTGCTTTTTAGGAGGAGCAGTTGGGGGCCGGGTTGGGGAGAAGCTAACAATGTCAGCAGCTTTGAAGAAGGCATTTTGTAATCTATACCATGGCCAAAACCACCCCATGGGGCTCTCACTGAAGTCCAACAGCCCATAGTGTAATCCATTCCTTAGACTGCCAACAGCTCTAGACTCATAGACATTAGTGAGGGAGCTCTACAAACTGGAACCCTGTGGGTATTTCTACAACTTACAGATTATTAATAGTCGTGCAAAGACAGGCAAATGGATGTTTTCTGGTGGGGTACCGGGAGGGAGCAGTTGCATTTGAAGAATGAACTATGGATTTCATTGATGTGCTTTTTTTAAAGAAAAGTAAAATAACAAAAGAAAAATCCTTGAAGAGTATTTTTATTCCCACCTCTTGTAATGTTCAGGGAACATGAGTGACATTTGGACTCCCAAACAAAAGAAGGGAGGGGCATATCTCTCTGTTTCTATGGTTCCTCGTTGAGGGAAAAAGGCTTTCAAGTTCTTGCGTGAGCACTGACAGGCTTTTATGAATAGTTGGTGACACAGGTACAAACTGGGCTGTTCTGGCTGAAATATCTGTTTGCCTTGTCGGATATTGCCAGCATTCTTCCTGCCTCACTGACCTCCCTGAATGACTTGGGCTTGAGAATGTTTCTGCATGATTTCTCTGAGCTTGCTGTCTTACCTGAGAGCAGGAAGTCAAAAGGAGAGTGATGGAGCCACCTGCTGCCCTCTACTTTGCAGATATTAAAGAGGAGCCTGAAACTGTTCCTTGGACATCTTATGAATGTCAGAAAATACCTTTTGGAGGGTTAGAAGATCAGGGGACATGGTTGTTCACATTTGCTGCCACGGAACACCGCCAGTCTTCACTTGGAAACAGAATCACGCCTTGTGAAGAGATCATCCCTAAGCAGGAGAGAAGCTACTAAAGGTGAGAATTTTCTTCATTTTTCATTTTCCTTCCTCTTAGATTCCCATAAAAGCTATTACTAAAGAGAATACATTCTTGTGTTTAGGAAGAGCTACAACAAGGGAAAATAATCATTGCTTGAAGGATGTGGCACATTTTGTCCCTCTCCTTATAGGGATTATTTTCTATAATATCTGGTTTTCTTTACTGATATTCAGTACCCTTTATTGTATTTATTTTTTCTTTTTTTTCCATATTCATCTTAGGATTTCAATGTACAATGTTTTTTCTTTATTTTTCTTTTGTTTTCTTTCTTTCTTTTTTTTTTTTTAAAGGGGCTTCCTGGTCTTCATCGGACAGTGAAATTTGTTTGGGAGTCCAAACAAAATATAAAAGAGCTATAATACTTCCTGTATTGTATTTCAAAGGTAGCTGTGGTTTGTTGGAACAAGCATTAGGCTTGTAGACAAAAACACTGGGGGAGAAGAGAGAGTGGAGAGGAGTCCTGGATTTGCTTCTTAAAACATGTGTATTTGGCAAGTTATTTAGCTTCTGTTTTCCTATCTATAAAAGAGGCTTAATAATACATTTCAGATTGGTTGTGAAGGTTATTAAATGGGACAGTGTAAATAAATATTTCTCACCCACAAAAGGTACTCATTAAATATTGTATATACACAGCTTGTGTGCAAGTATATTTTAAACTTGGATGGATACTCTGAATGATTTCAATGCATTTTTGGATAATATCCAGTTATTTTTACTTCTTTAAGAACATTTTTTAAAAAGTGTGGCTAGATGTCACATCTGACCAATGAATTATATATGGTGAAAAGCATTCTAATGCTATATAAATTGCCAAAATAGAAGCAAGAAATGTTTTGAAAGGACCTTTAGGTTTCTAGAACCGATGCCAAGAGTCTGAATTTTATGGATTTTTCTCTCCAGATCTATCAGAAATTCCAGACCCCAGATAAGAGTTATATTCTAGGGTGGTAAGGCATGAGAAGAAGAATGAGGAATGAAGGGTGGGTGGGGACGTGCTCTTACTAATGACGCTCCATGGCAGCAGGTGCTCAGTTGTTCCTTTTCTCCTGGGGTGGAGGTGGATCCAGATCCAGACTTGAGTGTGGTCGGCTAGTTTGTAGGGTCAGATTACAGATCTCCATCAACAAACCAGATGTAAGGGGCTTCTAGGCAGGTCTTTACTAAGGATTTTTGTCCAGGTAAGAAATATTTTTTGCCATCAGTTTGGAATTGAACTTGATGTTTCTGGGAATGATTGGTTTGTAACTGGAGGCATTTTGTTCTGTCCAAGGATTGTGTCCTCCTCCACCTTCCCTGTGCTCGGTCTCCACCTGTCTCCCATTCTGTGACGATGGTTCAATGGAAGAGACTCTGCCAGCTGCATTACTTGTGGGCTCTGGGCTGCTATATGCTGCTGGCCACTGTGGCTCTGAAACTTTCTTTCAGGTTGAAGTGTGACTCTGACCACTTGGGTCTGGAGTCCAGGGAATCTCAAAGCCAGTACTGTAGGAATATCTTGTATAATTTCCTGAAACTTCCAGCAAAGAGGTCTATCAACTGTTCAGGGGTCACCCGAGGGGACCAAGAGGCAGTGCTTCAGGCTATTCTGAATAACCTGGAGGTCAAGAAGAAGCGAGAGCCTTTCACAGACACCCACTACCTCTCCCTCACCAGAGACTGTGAGCACTTCAAGGCTGAAAGGAAGTTCATACAGTTCCCACTGAGCAAAGAAGAGGTGGAGTTCCCTATTGCATACTCTATGGTGATTCATGAGAAGATTGAAAACTTTGAAAGGCTACTGCGAGCTGTGTATGCCCCTCAGAACATATACTGTGTCCATGTGGATGAGAAGTCCCCAGAAACTTTCAAAGAGGCGGTCAAAGCAATTATTTCTTGCTTCCCAAATGTCTTCATAGCCAGTAAGCTGGTTCGGGTGGTTTATGCCTCCTGGTCCAGGGTGCAAGCTGACCTCAACTGCATGGAAGACTTGCTCCAGAGCTCAGTGCCGTGGAAATACTTCCTGAATACATGTGGGACGGACTTTCCTATAAAGAGCAATGCAGAGATGGTCCAGGCTCTCAAGATGTTGAATGGGAGGAATAGCATGGAGTCAGAGGTACCTCCTAAGCACAAAGAAACCCGCTGGAAATATCACTTTGAGGTAGTGAGAGACACATTACACCTAACCAACAAGAAGAAGGATCCTCCCCCTTATAATTTAACTATGTTTACAGGGAATGCGTACATTGTGGCTTCCCGAGATTTCGTCCAACATGTTTTGAAGAACCCTAAATCCCAACAACTGATTGAATGGGTAAAAGACACTTATAGCCCAGATGAACACCTCTGGGCCACCCTTCAGCGTGCACGGTGGATGCCTGGCTCTGTTCCCAACCACCCCAAGTACGACATCTCAGACATGACTTCTATTGCCAGGCTGGTCAAGTGGCAGGGTCATGAGGGAGACATCGATAAGGGTGCTCCTTATGCTCCCTGCTCTGGAATCCACCAGCGGGCTATCTGCGTTTATGGGGCTGGGGACTTGAATTGGATGCTTCAAAACCATCACCTGTTGGCCAACAAGTTTGACCCAAAGGTAGATGATAATGCTCTTCAGTGCTTAGAAGAATACCTACGTTATAAGGCCATCTATGGGACTGAACTTTGAGACACACTATGAGAGCGTTGCTACCTGTGGGGCAAGAGCATGTACAAACATGCTCAGAACTTGCTGGGACAGTGTGGGTGGGAGACCAGGGCTTTGCAATTCGTGGCATCCTTTAGGATAAGAGGGCTGCTATTAGAGTGTGGGTAAGTAGATCTTTTGCCTTGCAAATTGCTGCCTGGGTGAATGCTGCTTGTTCTCTCACCCCTAACCCTAGTAGTTCCTCCACTAACTTTCTCACTAAGTGAGAATGAGAACTGCTGTGATAGGGAGAGTGAAGGAGGGATATGTGGTAGAGCACTTGATTTCAGTTGAATGCCTGCTGGTAGCTTTTCCATTCTGTGGAGCTGCCGTTCCTAATAATTCCAGGTTTGGTAGCGTGGAGGAGAACTTTGATGGAAAGAGAACCTTCCCTTCTGTACTGTTAACTTAAAAATAAATAGCTCCTGATTCAAAGTATTACCTCTACTTTTTGCCTAGTATGCCAGAAATAATATAAATATAAACAGATAAAGTGTGTGAGACTTTTTCTCATAACTATTCATGACATTTAAAATCCCTAGGGGCTGGCAAGAGAGTTCTCATTATTCTGAAATGGTCCTGACAAGCTGCATGAATAGCAATTTTTTTTTTGAGACAGAGTCTTGCTCTGTCACCCAGGCTGGACTGCAGTAGTGCAATCTCAGTTCACTGCAACCTCCGCCTCCCAGGTTCAAGCGATACTCCCACCTCAGCCTCCTGAGTAGCTGGGACTACAGGCATGCAGCACCATGTCTGGCTAATTTTTGTATTTTTAGTAGAGGCCGGGTTTCACCATATTCGCCAGGCTGGTCTTGAACTCCTGACCTTGTGATCTGCCCGCCTCGGCCTTCCGAAATGCTGGGATTACAGGTGGGAACTACTGCGCCTGGCCTACAAATAGCAAATTCTAACGAAGACAGGGGAACAGGGATGGTTCTTCCATTGTTAAAAGCCATCCTCATTTTGTTTATATTGCCAGGTTTGTGATTTTTCTGTAAAGGAAAAGGCAGGGTGATTTAACCAGTTTGACCACCTTTCCTGTACTCTTACAGGAAAATCGCAGCACTAATTCTAATTTTGTCCACTTTACAGCCAAAGCTTAGCTAATGTTCCATAAAGGAGATAATAGCCAATCAGGTAAGGTAATGTGTAATTCATTATTCAAAGTGGAACATGTTTTTGTAGGGGGAGAGTCTGCACTATTAATAATTGTATTGAGAAATAAAAATAAACTAGGACTATTCAGTTAAACCAGGATGTCTTATTATTCCATGTTTAGGCCTCTTGAGTCAAAACTCTTTTTTTTTTTTTTTTTTTTTTTTTTTTTGGAGACAGGTTCTCACTCTGTTGCCCAGGCTGGAGTGCAGTGGCATGATCTTGGCTCACTGAAGCCTCTGCCTCCCAGGTTCAAGTGATTCTCCCCCCAAACCTTGCAAGTAGCTGGGATTACAGATGTGAGCCACCATGCCCAGCTGATTTTTGTGTATTTTTAGTAAAGATGGGGTTTCACCATGTTGGCCAGGTTGGTCTCAAACTCCTGGCCTCAAGTGATCCACCTGCCCCAGCCTCCCAAAGTGCTGGGATTACAGGTGTGAGCCACCATGCCTGGTCCCCTCTTGAGTCAAAACTCTTATTTCAGAATGCGAATGGAAGGATCGCTATTAGTGATTCTGCAGATTACACATTTCCTTGCGGGGAGACAATAAGGTATGTGTAAATACATATATGTGTGTGTATGTATACACACATACAGCACGCTACCTCCCAAGTGTTACCTAGTGAAACAGTTTCCTTTCCGAAGCTCCAGAGATGGTTGTTGGCTAAGTTATACTCTTCTGTGATGGGCAAGGGATACTATAAAAACATAGGCAGTGCCCTTTGAATATAGTACAGCTCATCTTCTGCATACGATATGCCCTGGAAAGGTGATTTATATGCAAGTTAATTGGTGTAATCTGAAGGATGCTCCCATTAATACGTCATGATGTCATTAATATGTTTCTTCCTTTCTGATTTTTGTTTTTTTTTTTTTTTTTGAGACAGAGTCTCACTCTGTCACCCAGGTTGGAGTGCAACGAATGGCGCAATCTTGGCTCATTACAACCTCCGCCTCCTGGGTCCAAGCGATTCTCCTGCCTCAGCCTCCTGAGTAACTGGGATTACAGGTGTGTGCCACCTTGCCTGGCTAATTTTTTTGTATTTTTTTAGTAGAAACAGGGTTTCACCATGTTGGTCAGGCTGGTCTGAACTCCTGACCTCAAGTGATCCACTTGCCTTGGCTTCCCAAAGTGCTGGGATTACAGGCGTGAGCTACCGCACCCAGCCCTTTCTGAGTGTTGTCATTCAATTCATCAAGTTTTCTGTCATGATCAACTTTCTCTATGCAAACCCTGTAACTCTGACAGTTATCACTGTGTCTGACACAGTGAATTTTTTATTTATAAGGTAGTTACTTTTGGCCAGGTGTGGTGGCTGACGCCTGTAATCCCAGCACTTTGGGAGGCCAAGGTAGGCAGATCACTTGAGGTCAGGAGTTCAAGATCAGCCTGGCCAACATGGTGAATCCCCATCTCTACTAAAAATATAAAAATTAGCCAGACATGGTGGTGGGTACCTGTAATCCCAGCTACTTGGGAGGCTGAGGCAGGAGAATCGCTTGAACATGGGAGGCAGAGGTTGCAGTGAGCTGAGATCGTACCACTGCACTCCAGCCTGGGCGATAGAGCCAGACTGAGTCTCAAAAAAAAAAAAAAAGTTACCTTTTTTTGGTAAGGTTGTACTTCTTAGATAATGGTCATTGTCACTACCAACTTGCCTGCATTGTAATAGAGTCCTATTCACTTTGCTCCCAACCCCACTACGGAGATGACTGATGACTAGTTGTATACACAGTGGGTGTGCCCTGAGAGGTCTGTTGCCAGCAGTGGTGATCGATCACGGCCTCCCCCTGCTGGCTGATGTGATGGTCCTTGGTCCTCCTCTGAAGGAGGTAGAAGGGGCACACGGCCACCGTGGGAAGTAGGCAGAAAAGCCTCCCTGGGTGCAGATTCTCTGAGAAAAGAACTTTGGCCTCATAGTTAACTTACTCCAAAAGCTTTCATGTGAAATAATTTATAATTTTTTATATAAATAAAAAGATTAAAATGTGAACTTGTCATTTTTTTGGGGATAAGTTACTGAAATTTTTCAACCATTGAAATTTTCTCTAGAAATATATTCAGGTGCGTAGGAAGTGCTGTTTATTTAATAACACAGGGTCTTCATATCAGAGGGGTCGAATTTAGCCCTCATTTGTTTAGTGTATTATAGAAATCATACACCAACACATCTGCTGATTTTTCTCTTCCCTCTGAGTCATATCTGTGTCTTTAACCGTTCTCTGGTAAGGAAAAATCTCACAAATTAATTGAACAACTGTGTTTGTATTACCTCTCAGGGTTTGGATTTCCTCCTTATTTTTTATCTGTGGGCTATTGGTAAGCATTGTTTTAATAACTGCATTTTTGTTGTACACTCTGCTCATTGTAGTTTTTGTCTTTCTCTTGGTTGAGTGGAAAAAATGTTTTTTTTTTTTTTTTTGGAAACGGGGGACTCACTCTGTTGCCCGGGCTGGAGTGCAGTGCTGCAGTGATGGCTCACCACAGCCTCGACCTCCTGGGCTCAAGCAATCCTTCCACCTCGGCCACCTGAGTAGCTGGAACTGCAGGCGTGCTCAGGGAGTCTGAGGCTGCAGTGAACTATGATCATTGTGCCACTGCATTCCAGCTTCAGTGACAGAGTGAGACCCTGTCTCAAAAAGCAAAAACAAAAAACCCACAAAAGCGTTGACAGGGAATCCCTCAATAAAAAGGTGATGTTCAAGTAAAGGTCTGAAAGAAGGCCAGGCACAGTGGCTCATACCTGTAATGCCAGCACTTTGGGAGGCCGAGGCGGGAGGATTGCCTGAACCCAGGTCAACCTCCTGGGCTCTAGCGATCCTCCTGCCTCAGCCTCCTGAGTAGCTGGGACTACAGGCATATGCTACCATGCCCAGCTTGAAAATTTCTCAAGAAAGAAGGAGAAGGCCGTTGATAACCTTGCTTGGGAACATATGACATACATCAGTTGAGGAGGTCAAATACTTTGATTAAAACTGGAAAAAACATTGGGGCTAGGTGTGGTGGTTCACACCTGTAATCCCAGCACTTCAGGAGGCTGAGGTGGGAGGATTACTTGAGCTCAGAAATTTGAGGATGCAGTGAGCCATGATCGTGCTACTGCACTGCAAACTGGCATGAGAGCAAGATTCTGACTCTTAAAAAAAAAAAAAAAAAAGAATAATTAAATACCCTGCCTGCTTGTCTGCTTTAAGTACCTTACTTGAGCCAAAGATCAGTTTTTCTATTTTTTTAAGATTCTTCTTACTTTTTAAAGATGAGATCTCACTACGTTGCCTAGCCTGGTTTTGAACTCATGGGCTCAAGCAATCCTCTTTCCTCAGCCTCCTGAGTAGCTGGGATTACAGGCAGGTGCCACTGCACCTGTCCCCAAGAATCTGATCTTACTGCTTCCATTTAGTCTTTTTTTTGAGACAAGTTTTGCTCTTCTTGCCCAGGCTGGAGTGCAGTGGCATGGTCTTGGCTCACTGCAACCTCCACCTCTGGGGTTCAAGTGATTCTCCTGTCTCAGTCTCCCAAGTAGCTGGGGTTACAGGTGCCCGCCACCATGCCCAGCTAATTTTTGTATTTTTAGTATAGACAGGGTTTCTCCATCTTGGCCAGGCTGGTCTCGAACTCCTGACCTCAGGCCATCCACCCCCTTGGCTTCCTAAAGTGCTGGGATTACAGGTGTGAGCCACCACACTGGGCCCATTTAATTTTTTATTACAAAGATGAATAAGATATGGTTTCTGCCTCTATGAAGCTTGAATGTACTGGCAATCAATGAGATAACGTCTTCATCCCACAACTATTGTGCTCTTACTGTTTACCAGGAATTGTTCTTGGCACTGGGGATACATCAGTCAAAACACAGACAAAAATTCCAACACTTGTGTTGTTTGCATACTAGTGGGAAACAGACTGTAAATTATTATAAGGAAACAAATGATAGAGATCAAAGGAAGTGATGGAGAACTTGGGAGGATGGAGTAGAAAGGGAAGATATTTAAAATTTTAAATAGGGTGGCCTGGGCTGGGTGTGGAGGCTCACATCTGTAATCCCAGCACTTTGGAAGGCTGAGGCAGGAGGAAAGCTTGAGCCTGTGGAGTTAGAGGCTGTAGTGAACTATAATCATTGTGCCACTGCATTCCAGCTTCAGCGACAGGGTGAGACCTTGTCTCAAAACAAAAAAACAAAACAAAAACACACAAAACCAAAACCAAAACACACACACACACACACACCCACACACCCACCCATGGGTGGACAGGAAATCCCTCGATGAAAAGGTGATGTTCAAGTAATGATCTGAAGGAAGGTCAGGCATGGTGGCTGACGCCTGTAATCCCAGCACTTCAGGAAGCCAAGGAGGAAAGATTGCTTGAGCCCAGGTGTTCGAGACCAGCCTAGGCAACATGGCAAAACGCTGTCTCTACAAAAAATAGAAATATTAGCCAGGTGTGGTGCACACCTGTAATTCCAGCTACTTGGTAGACTGAGGCAGGAGGATTACTTGGGCTCAGGAGTCGAGGATGCAGTGAGCAATGATTGTACCACTCAGTATACTTCAGCCTGGGTGACACAGCAAGACCCCATCTCAAGGAAAAATAAAAACATCTGAGGAGACGAGGAAATGATCCATGAGGATTAAGGGGGAAGATCACATTCTAGAGGAAAGACTTGCAAGGCCCTGAAGCAGGAACCCACCTGTCATGTTTCAGGAACAGCGAGGAAGCTATTGTAAGTGGATTAAAGGAGGAGAAGAAGAGGAGTTAAGAGGGGCATACAGAGGAGGCCAGTAGAGGCTTTTTTAAGCTATTGTATGGAGTTTGTCTTCTCCTTTGAGTGAAATAGGCCATTGTAGGGGTTTCTGAGCAGAGAACTCACATTTTAATAGGATGACTCTAGCCTGCTGCATTGAGAACAGACTGGCTTGGGGGCGAGGGTAGAGCAGGGAGGCCAGTTAGGAGACTATAGCAATAATCCAGGCACTATGCAATAGTGGCTTGAACCAAAGCCGTAGTAGTAGAAGTGGTGAAAGTGGCCAGATTCTGGAATTTTTTTTTTTTTTTGTACAGGCTAGAGTGCAGTGGCATGATCTCAGCTCACCACAGCCTCGACCTCCTGGGCTCAAGTGATCCTCCTGCCTCAGCCCCCCAAGTGGCTCGGACTACAGGTGCATGCCACCATGTCCAGCTAACTTTGGTATGTTTTGTAAAGATGGGGTTTCACCATGTTGCCCAGGCTGGCCTTGAACTCCTGAGATAGGAGGCGATCCCCCCATCTCAGCCTCCTAAAGTGCCGGGATTACAGACGTGAGCCATCGCATCCAGCCTGGAAGTATTTTGAAGGTTCAGTGTGAGGATTTGCTGACAGATTGAGTTGGAGAGAAATAGAGGAGTAAATAACTCCAAGGGTTTTATCTTGTTAGAAGGATGGTGTTGCCACTAACTAAGATGGGAAGCCTGTGGAAGACTGGTTTTTCAGGGAAGGTCAGGACTTTGTGAACATATAAAACTGCAGATGGCTATTAGATATCCAAGTAGAGATGCTGAAGAGATGAATGTATATAGAAGTCTGAATTTGGGAGAGAGATCTGGATTGGAGATACTTACCTGGTGTTTAACAGCTTACAGATTGTGTAAAGTCATGAAACGGATAAGAACCTTAAAAGAGAGAAAAGGGAATAGAGGTTACCAAATGAATTGCAGTTTCCAAATTGCAGAGGGCAGAGAGACAAGGAGAAACCAGCAAAAGAGAGTAGGAAAGAAGCAACTAGAGTGGTAGAAGGAAAACAGGGTGAGTGTGATGTTCTGGAAGCAAACAGGAAAAAGTGTTTCAGGAAAGAGAGAGCTGATGATTGCATCAAAAGCTGCTGAGACTTGCATATGATGAGGATGAAGAAGTGACTATTGGATTTAACAACATGTAGGTAAGTAAGCTTGATAAGATCGGTTTTTGTGAAGTGCGGAGGTGAGCACTTGATTGGAGGTGGTTCAGGGAGAACAAAAGTGGATTCAGCAAGTATAGAAAATCTTTTGAGGAGTTTTACTTTAAGCCAAAAGAAGCAGAAAAAAAGTAAAGTAACTGGTTAAGAGAAGGTTATCTTGAAAATGTATAAAGTGGTAACCTGTTGGTATATTGATGGGAAAGATCTAGTCAAGAGGAAAAGATGTAGGAATGAGTTGGGAGGCTTGCCAGAATGATGACATCTTTGGAAAGAAAAGAGAGATGATTATTTAAGGGCCCAAGAAGAAAGGCTTGTCTTTCATGGAAGTATGAACAGTTCACCTACAGTAACAGGAGTGAAGGCAGCGTGGATGGACTCAGCTGTAGTAGATGGGTGGATGTTGTGGGATCTGTGGGGTTCTCTCATTGTGTCGCCTAGACTGGAGTACAGTGGCACGATCATGGCTCACTGCAGCCTCAATCTCCTGGGCTGAAGCGATCCTCCCATCTCAGCCTCTCAAGTAGCTGGGATTACAGACATGCACTATGACGCCTTGCTAATTTAAAAAATTGTAGAGACGGGGTTTTGCCATGTTGCCCAGGCTAGTCTTGAACTGTTGGCCTCAAGCAATCCTCCTGCCTCAGCCTCCTAAAGTGCTGGTATTACAGGTGTGAACCGCTGTATCCAGCCTCTTTTTCAACTAACATCTTATCTGAGGTATAATATCCGTATGCAAAAATACAAAAATTCCAAATATCTAACTCAAGAATTTTTACAAAGTGAGCACACCTGTGTAACTAGAACACTGGTCAAGAAAGAGAACATTCCCAGCAACCCAGAGTATCTCTTGTGTTCCTTTCCGATGGCTTTCCAAAAATAACCATTGTTCTCACTTCTAACATCACAGATTATTTTGCCTGTTTTTGAATTTTATGTAAGTACTATGTTCTCCTTTGTTTATGGCTCCTTAAACTCTACATTATGTTTACAAGATTCATCTATGTTGTATGTAGCAGTTCAGTGATTCAGGAAACTCAACAATATGTTTACAAGATTCATCTGTTTTTTGTAGCAGTTCAGTGATTCTCACTGCTGTGTAATAATCCATTGTATGAATATACCATAGTCGATCCATTCTGTTGACGGACATTTGGGTTGTTTCCAAGTTTTGTCCATTATAAATTGTGTTCCTAAGGACGTTCTTGAACATGTTTTGTAGTAAACATATATATACAGGCATATCTCAGAGTTATTGTGAATTTGGTTCCAGGACACTGAGTAAAGCAAATTTTGCAATACAGCAAGTCAGACAAAGTTTTAGATTTCCCAGTGTATATAAAAGTTATGTTTACACCGTATCTGTGTAATGGCATTATGTCTAAAAACACAATGTATATGCATTATTTTAAAAACACTATTGGGTAACCAGTGCAAAAAAATACTTTATTGCTAAAAAAATATTAATAATCTGAGCCTTCAGTGAGTCATGATCTTTTTGCTGATGTAGGTCTTGTCTCAATGTTGATGGCTGCTGACTGGTCAAGGGTGGTGGTTGCTGAAGGTGGGGGCACTGTGGCAATTTAAAAAAATAAGACAGCATTGAAGTTTGTCACATTGTTTGACTGTTCCTTTCATGAAAGATTTCTCTGTAGCATGCCATGCTGTTTGATAACATTTTACTCACAGGAGAACTTCCAAAATTAGAGTCAATTCTCTCATACCCTAGTGCTGCTTTATCAACTAAGTTTATGTAATATTCTAAATGCTTTGTTGTCATTTCAACAATGTTCATAGCATCTTCGCCGTTAGTGGATTTCATCTCAAGAAACCACTTTACTTTTTTTTTTTTTCTTGTGAGACAAAGTCTTGATCTGTCACCCAAGCTGGAGGGCAGTGGCGTGATCTTGGCTCACTGCAACCTCGGCCTCCCATGTTCAACTGATTCTTCCAACTCAGCATCCTGAGTAGCTGGAATTACACGCGTGCGCCACCACACGTGGCTAATTTTTATATTTTTAGTAGAGATGGGGTTTCACCATGTTGGCCAGTCTGGTCTCCAACTCCTAACCTCAAGTGCTCCAGCTGCCTTGGCCTCCCAAAGTGCTGGGATTACAGGTGTGAGTCACCATGCCTGGCCAAGAAACCACTTTCTTTGTTCATCTATAAGAAGCAACTCCTCATTTGTTCCAATTTATCATGAGATAAGATTCTAGTTCTCTTGCTCTTTCTACAACATCTGCAGTTACTTCCTCCATTGAAGTTTTTTTTTTTTTGTTTTGTTTTTTTGAGATTGAGTCTCACTCTAACAGCCAGGCTGGAGTGCAGTGGCATGATCTTGGCCCACTGTAACCTCCACCTCCAGGGTTCAAGCAATTCTGTCTCAGCCTCCCGAGTAGATGGGACTACAGGTGCAAGCCAGCATGCCCAGCTAACTTTTGTATTTTCAGTAGAGATGGGGTTTCACCATATTGGTCAGGCTGGTCTTGAACTCCTGACCTCAGGCAATCCACCTGCCTCGGCCTCCCAAAGTGCTGGGATTATAGGTGTGAGTCATGTGCCTGGCCTCCACTGGAGTCTTGAACCCCAAAAAGTCATCTATGAGAGTTGGAATCAACTTTCTCCAAACTCCTGTTAATGTTGATATTTTGGCCTCCACACCATGAATCACGAATGTTCTCAAAGGCATTTAAAATAGTGAATCCTTTCCAGAAGGTTTTTCTTTTTTTTCTTTTCTTTTCTTTTCTTTTTCTTTTTTTTTTTTTTTGAGACAGAGTCTCTGTCACCTAGGCTGGAGTGCAGTGGCACGATCTCGGGTCACTGCAACCTCTGCCTCCCGGGCTCAAGCAATTCTCCTGTTTCAGCCTCCCAAGTAGCTGAGACTACAGACACATGCTACTATGCCTGGCTAATTTTTGTGTTTTCAGTAGAGACAGGGTTTCACCATATTGGTCAGGCTGGTCTGGAACTCCACACCTCAGGTGATCCACCTGCCTCGGCCTCCCAAAGTGCTGGGATTACAGGCGTGAGCCCCCATGGCTGGCCTCCAGAAGGTTTTTCTTTTTCCTTTGAGACAGAGTCTCGCTCTGTCACCCAGGCTGGAGTGCACTGGCACAATCTTGGCTCACTGCAACATCTGCCTCTTGGGTTCAAGCATTTCTCCTGCCTCAGCCTCCTGAGTAGCTGGGATTACAGGCATGCGCTATCATGCACAGCTAATTTTTGTATTTTTAGTAGAGACAGGGTTTCACCATGTTGGCCAGGCTGGTCTTGAACTCTTCAGCTCAGGAGATCCACCTGCCTTGGCCTCCCAAAGTGCTGGAGTTACATGTGTGAGCCACCATGCCTGACCCAGAAGATTTTTCAATGGACTTTGCTCAGATTCATCAGAGGAATCACTATCTGTGATAGTTATAGCCTTACGAAATGTTTTTCCTAAATAAGACTTGAAAGTTCAACTTACTACTTGATACATGGGCTGCAGAATGGATGTTGTCTTAGCAACCGTGAAAACAACATGAATTTCCTTGTATGTCTCTATCAGAGCTTGAGTGACTAGGTATGTTTTCAACAAGCATTAATTTTTTTTTTTTTCCTGAGCAGTTGTTCTCAACAGTGGGTTTAAAATGTTTAGTTATCCATGCTATGAGCAGATGTGCTGTCATCCAGGCTTAATTCTTAAGGGTCCTAGGATTTTCAGCATGGTAAATGAACACTGGCTTCAACTTAAAGTCACTCGCTGCATTAGCCCCTAACAAGAGAGTCAGCCTGTGCTTTGAAGCCAGGCATTGACTTGTCCTCTGTAGTTACAAAAGTCCTAGAAGGCATCTTCCAATGGAAGAATGTTTGGTCTACAAGGAAAATCTGTTGAGTGTAGGCTTCTCCACCAATGATCTTAGCTAGATCTTCTGGATAACTTGCTGGAGCTTCTACATTAGCACTTACTGCTCCATCTTGCATTTTTATGTTCTGAAGACGGCATCTTTCCTTAAACCTCACAAATAAACCTCTCCTAACTCCAGACTTTTCTTCTGCAGCTTCCTCACCTCTCTCAGCCTTCACAGAATTGAAGAACATTAGGACCTTGCCTGGATTAGGCTTTGATTTAAGGGAATGTTGTGGCTGGTTGGATTAGGCTTTGGTTTAAGGGAATGTTGTGGCTGGTTTGCTCTTCTGTCTAGAGCATTCAAACTTTCTCCATATCGGCAAAAAGACTGTTTCACTTTCTTACTCATGCGTTCACTGAAGTAGCACTTTTTTAATTTTTTTTTAGGGGTTCTGCAAATGGAGTAAGAACTAGCACTTTTACTTTTCTTCAGGAATTTTTCCATTGTGTTTATGACTTGGCTGACTTTGACACAAGAGGCTCAGCTTTTGACATGTCTTCCTTTGTAAGCTTGATCATTTCTAGCTTTTTTTTTTTTTTTTTTTTAAGACGTTAGTTTTAATCTGTCACCCAGGCTGGAGTGCACTGGCGCCGTCACGGCTTACTGCAGCCTTGACCTCCAGAGCTCGGATTATCTTCCCACCTTAGCTTCCCAAGTAGCTAGGACTACAGGTGCCTGCCACCATGCCCACCTAATTTCTTGTACTATTATTTTTTAATAGAGATAGGGTTTTGCCATGTTGCCCAGGCTGGTCTTGAACTCTTGGGCTCAAGGGATCCTCCTGCCTCGGCCTTCCAAAGTGTTGGAATTACAGGTATGAGCCATTGCACCTGGCCAATGCTTTCAATTCTTTTGGGTATATACCCATAACTGGAATTGCTGGATTATTTGGTAAATTTATATATATACACACACACACACACACACACACACACACACACACACACATATATACATATATATACACATATATACACACACATATATATACATATATATATATTTTTTGAGATGGAGTCTTGCTCCATTGCCCAGGCTAGAGTGCAGTGGCGCAGGTATAGCTCACTATAGCCTCGAACTCCTGAGCTCAAGCAATTCTCCTGCCTTGGCCACCCAAGTAGATGGGACTACAGGTGCATGCCACCACACCTGGCTAATTTTTTTTTTTTTTTTGGTGGAGATGGGAGTCTCTATGTTGCCCAGGCTGGTCTCTAACTAGTGGCCTCAAGCAATCCCTCCCGCCTCAGCCTCCCAAAGTGCTGGGATTACAAGTGTGACCCGACATGCCTGGTTGGTAATTCTATTTTTAATTTTTTGAGGAACCATCATACTGTTTTCCTTAGTTGTGCCAGTTTTATATTCTCACCAATACTGTAAAAGAATTCCACTATGTCTATATTCTCACCAACACTTATTAATTTTTTTTTCTCTGCTAGTAGCCATCCTTATGGGTGTGAGGTGGTCTTCAGTATTTTTAAGATTTTATTTCATTGTCTTCTAGCTGCATAGCTGTTAACAAGTAGTCTTTGGAAATCATTATCTTTGTTTTTGTGGGTATAAAGTGTCTCTTACCTCTGCTTTTAAATTTTCTCTTTATCACTATTTTTCAGCAATTAGATTTTGATGTACTGTGGTTATCCTGCTTGGAGTTAAGCTTCTTCGTTGTTGGTTTATAGTTTTCGTCAAATTTGGAAAAATTTGGCCACTGTCTCCTTAATTTCATCTTTCTGTTCTCCCTTCCATATATAGCCACTCGATATTATTCCAAAAATCTCTGAGGTTTGATTCCTTTTTTCCCTAGTTATATTCTCTTTGTGCTGTATTTTAGATAAAATTTGTTTTTCAATTTCACTGATCTTCTTTAGTATCTAGTCTGCTATTCAGTTAATTGTTTTCATATATTGTATCTTTCATCTCTAGAAGTTCTGCTTTTTAAAAAAATCTTTGATTTTTCTCATTAAGTATTTGTATTAATACAAAAATGGCAGTTTTAACATCCTTGTCTGCTAGCTGTATCACCCCTGTCATTTCTGTGTCTGTTCCTGTTCATTATGTTTTGTCCTCATTATGGTCACATTTTCCTGCTGCTTAGCATGTCTAGTCATTTTTCTGTTAGATGGAGTACATTGTAACTCTTAAGTTATTGAGGATCTGGACTTCGTTTACTTGTGTTGGGCTTCATTTTGGCAATATTTGTGGAACAGTGTGATCTCCCTTGAGTCTGCTTTTCCGCTTTGCTAGGGTGAGTTTAAGTCAAGCAGCCTTCATTCAAGGGATATTTGATGCCTGCTACCAAGGCATGACCTTGGGGTTTCTAATGTCTTGGGTGATTACAGAGGACTCTTCCCTCTGGCATCCCCCAGTGTGAGCTTTGGGAATTGCTGTTTCCAACTCCCCACTCTTAGCTTGGCCTAGCGGAGTGTCACTGCTTCTATGCAGCCAGGCACTCAGTAAGGACTCGAGGGGACCACGGTATAGATTCCTGGAGGTTTTTTTTTCCCTCCATAGTGTTCTCCTTTCTGGAAATCTGCTTGCAGCTTCAACTATCTCACCTTTCCTCAACTCCGCAAGACTGCCAGGTTCTGTTTCTATTTCCTTTCCCTGTGCCTGCAGCTTGGATATTGCCTCCATGAAGAGAGCTGGGATGATTACAGGGTTCATCCTATTTTTTTCCTTTCTTAGGGATTACAGTCCTGTCACAGCTGCCTGTGGTCCAATATGTGGAAAACGTTTGTTTCATATACTTAATTTACTTTTCTAGTTGTTTATAGAAGGAAGTTAAGTCCCATCCTTCTTACTCTGGCATGACTAAATGTGGAAGTCTGCAGATAGAGTATTCCTATCAGGGAATAGAGGGAGTAGAAGCAGGAAAGAGAAATGCACAAAGCTTCTGTGTCCATCCCTTAACTTGGCCAAAGAATCAGTGCTGCCCATGTGTCTCCAGAAGTGGAAAGTATACCTTCACATCTCTGCCTACAGGCAAAAGAACCAGTTTTGAAGCCTATTTCTCTTGAATAGAATTTCAGGAAGTTCACAGAATCAGATAATAAGAGTTGGGATATTCAAGAGAAAGTTCCGTTGAGCATATTTCTACACAATGCTCTTTTGAGCTAATTCCCACTAAATACTTTGCTGTGTGTTGCCAAGTTCCTGTACCTCTTATTAGGTAAAATGCTTTGCCCTAAACTCCTTGCAGATTGTGCCTCCCTATGTACTAGAAAAATAAGATTACATTCTTACTACAGCATGCAAAAAATAGATGAATATTCATCAAATTAGAGAAGATTTTAGGATGGACTGACAAAAGCTACAAATTAATTCTGGAGGCTCCCTAAGGAGATGGCAAATAATCATCCAGAGCAGCTGAAACTGTTATGAGACCTTACTATCCATGTTGTGTTACTATCATGGCTTGTACAGGACCAACATGCCATGATAGTAAGACAACATGGACAAAGAAAACAAGCCTCAAATATAATATTTTAGGCTAAGTGCTGCACATTGCAGGCATTGATTTAAAAAAATCTTAGAATTGGCCGGGGATGGTGGCTCATGCCTGTAATTCCAGCACTTTGGGAGGCCGAGGCGGGCGGATCATCTAAGGTCAGGAGTTCAAGACCAGCCTGACCAACATGGTGAAACCTTGTCTCTACTAAAAACAACAAAATTAGCCAGGCGTGGTGGCACATGCCTGTAATCCCAGCTACTTGGGAGGCTGAGGCAGGCGAATTGCTTGAACTCGGGAGGCAGAGGTTGCAGTGAGTTGAGATCACACCATTGCATTCCAGCCTGGGTGACAGAGAGAAACCCCTGTCTGAAAAAAAAAAAAAAAAATCTTATAATTTTATTTTTTTGAGATGGGATTCTCGCTCTGTCACCCAGGCTGAAGTGCAGTGGTGCCATCTTGGCTCACTGGAACCTCTTGGGTTGAAGCGATTTTTGTGCCTCAGCCTCCCAAGTAGCTGGGATTACAGGTGCCCACCCAGCTAATTTTTCGTATTTTTAGTAGAGACAGGGTTTCACCATGTTGGCCAGGCTGGTCTTGAACTCCTGACCTCAAGTGATCCACCCGCGTTGGCCTCCCAAAGTGCTGAGATTACAGACGTGAGCCACCGTGCCCGGCTGAAAATTTTAAACATATATTCAAATAACAAGATGGGTATAATGAATTTCATTTACCTATTAACTGAGCTTCAACAACTATCAATGCATGGTCCATTCTGTGTTACTGAAATCCATCGCCCTGCCCAATTATTTTTGAAGTGCTAAATGCCATTTCATTAAAAATTTTAGTAGTAAGCATTGATTTTTAATCCATTGAGTTCTCATTTAACTGCATATAGTGTGCATGTAGGTGAGTAGTAGTAGCGACTTATTTATTTTATTATTTTTTGAGACGGAGTCTTGCTCTGTCACCCAGACTGGAGTACAGTGGCGCGATCTCAGCTCACTGCAAACTCCGCCTCTTGGGTTCAAGCGATTTGCTTGCCTCAGCCTCCTGAATAGCTGGGATTACAGGTGCATGCCACCACGCCTAGTTAATTTTTGTATTTTTAGTAGAGACGGGGTTTCACCATGTTGGTCAGGCTGGTCTCGATCTCCTGACCTCGTGATCCACCCACCTCAGCCTCCCAAAGTGCTGGGATTACAGGAGTGAGCCACTGTGCTGGGCTAGCAGGGACTTATTTAAAGGTGCTTAAATAACTAACAATGCTATAAATGGCAGCTTTTATTTTCATGTAGTCTAGTTTTATAATTTGGGGGGTTTTACACTCAGCTTTCCTCCTGATTGGATTTTTGGTCCTGGAAAGGTGAATCCGTGTCTGGGTGTTAATTTTCCTGTGCACTGAAAGAGGAGGTTGAAGTCATTAGATCATCGTTGAGGTTCCATTCAGCTTTGAAAGGTTCTGATCTGTGAACCTCATCATGTGACCATGGGTTGGCATCTTGGCCAGTAAGTTCTGACAAATATTCATATGTATGTTAACCTGAACTCCAGGCTCTGAGTTTTCATTGGAATTTGAATTTCCCTGATCTGGGATTTGTCATTCCCATAATTACATCCCTAAACCAGTCTGATTTTAACTTCTGCCTGGATACTCTTATTTTCCTGCATATTGCAGCTTTGTTTCATGTATCTCCCATCCTCAAAGACCACTAAAGGCCTTTTGAGAATTTCCCTGCCCAGCTTTCAAGGCCTCCTGTAATCTGCTCTCATGCTACAAAATCAACTGTATTTTCCACTTGAATCCAAATTTCATAACTAATGCTACAAATTGCTACCCCAGTTGATCCATATATATCATTTTAAATATAAGTAACTTAAAAATTTTCAGAATTTTACAATTAGTGTAAATTTGTGACCCATTCAAAACTGAAGGCAACAAATCAGTGTGTTGCGAGTGACTGATAACCTACTGAAACACTTTTTTTCTCCCCAGTTGGCTGAATGTAAATCATAATAAGCCAATCAGTCACCAGTCTGGCATTAAGCCCAAGGAAGAGGCTATTCTTTGTCCACTCCTTGGGTGTTAAAATAGCAAATAGCTGTGAATCTAGAGGACTGACTCTACACTATCACAAAAAGCCCAGCTTTCTTTTCACTCAATCTTGACAGTAGGTGAATTAATGGATTTCTTCTTCTTCCACGTTAATAGGCAACTAAGATTCTTTAAGTTCCAGGGTACGTGTGCAGGATGTACAGATTTGTTACATAGGTAAACATAAGTCATGGTGGTTTGCTGCACCTATCAACCTATCACCTAGGAATTCAGCCCAGCATGCATTAGCTGTTTTTCCTAATGTGCTCCCTCCTGCTACCCCACCCCGTGACATGCCCCAGTGTGTTGTTCCCCTTTCTTTGTCCATGTGTTCATTGTTAAGTTCCCACTTATGAGAACATGTGATGTTTGGTTTTCTGTACCTGTTTGCTGAGGATAATGGCTTCCAGGTCCATCCATGTCCCTTCAAAGGATATAATCTTGTTCCTTTTTATGGTTGCATGATATTCCATGGTGGGTATGTGCCACATTTTCTTTATCCAGTCTATCATTGATGGGCATTTGGGTTGATTCCATGTCTTTGCTATTGTGAATTATGCTGCAGTGAACATACGTGCATGTGTCTGTGTAATAAAATGATTTATATTCCTTTGGGTATATACGCAGTAATGGGATTGCTGGGTCAAATGGTATTTCTGGTTCTAGATCTTTGAGGAATCAGCAGGGAACTAAGACTCTTATCACTGAAACCTGTGGCCAGCTGGGAGGGCACAAAGTGATACATGCACTTGCTGTGACCCTTTTAATTCCAGTGGTTTGAGTAACACTATGGTAATATTGGAAGACACGCCACAGTGCAAGTGTCAGTCATGTGATGTGTATGCGATCATTAGAAGTGACAGGAGGAAATGCCAGGCTTTGACTTCTGCACCTCCGCCCAGGCAAATGCAGAGGTATGTATGGTGTATTTACGGTGGCTAAGCTAAATATGAAAACTGGTTTTAATGGATGAAATGTAAAAACTCTAGGTGTATTCCATACTGGTTACCTAAATGAGTACTCTAGCATCTATTATAACTGACTCAACTTCAGTCAGCCTGAAATACCTGTCCCATCACAGAAATGGTCTCCCACTAAATAATGCTGAGCAAAGCTCTAGGTACAGAGCACTTCACAGTACAGAGCTATGTTTGAAGTTTGGGCTGGGCGCGGTGGCTCATGCCTGTAATCCCAGCACTTTGGGAGGCCGAGGCGGGTGGATTACCTGAGCTCAGGAGTTCTAGACCAGCCTGGGCAACACGGTGAAAACCCGTCTCTACTAAAATACAATAAACCAGTCAGTCATGGTGGCATGTGCCTGTAATCCCAGCTACTCGGGAGGCTGAGACAGGAGAATCTCTTGAACCTGGGAGGCGGAGGTTGCAGTGAGCCAAGATCGTGCCACTGCACTCCAGCCTGGGTGACAGAACAAGACTCCATCTCAAAAAGGGAAAAGTCCGGGTTGAAGTGCATATTCTACTCCAATAGCAGTTTTCTAGTCTGTGCGCCTGGCATACTTGAGTTTAGTAAGCATTTGTGAAAATACTATTCAAATGTTAGCTGTAATACAAAATAAACATACCTGAATGATTATCCTGCCCTCTTTTGGGAGGAAACATGTATTACTGCCTCTGTTCTCAAAAAGGTTTATATTCTGTCCTTGATTGTTTTTTCATGTACCTAGAGCTTTGCTCAGCATTATTTAGTGGGAGACCATTTCTGTGATGGGACAGGTATTTCAGGCTGACTGAAGTTGAGTCAGTTATAATAGATGCTAGAGTACTCATTTAGGTAACCAGTATGGAATACACCTAGAGTTTTTACATTTCATCCATTAAAACCAGTTTTCATATTTAGCTTAGCCACCATAAATACACCATACATACCTCTGCATTTGCCTGGTATGCATTTGACTATGTAATAGGTAGTAGTGGAGGTTAGGAAGGGAACATGGAAATACATGCATAGAATGAATTGGAAGATGAAACAATTTTATTTTCTTTGTAGGGACAGTCTATATTGGCCAGGCTGGTCTCCAACTCCTGGACTCAAGTAATCCTCCAGTCTCAGCCTCCTAAAGTACTGGGATTACTTACAGGTGTGAGCCACCAGTACCTAGCCAAAGTTAGTTTTAATGTGAGAGTCAAGGACTACAGTGGCATGCTGAGGTAACAACTGCAGGAGCATCGAGGTAACAGCAAAAATCTTTTACTCCAATTGGGTCAATCCAGTTAACCATGTAAGAAACTCCTCACCTAGGGTCAGTATGTTACTTCTGTATTTCTGCAAGCACAATCCACTGACATAAAAGTCTAATAATTAGACTTTATTGTAAGTCTAATGTATCTTGTACATGATAAAATGTATGAACTTTGGATCAATATGGCAAGCTGAAGACACCTGTCATGTGGGGGGACTATTTTGTTTGGGTTTTTTTCCCCCTTCCTCATGTTACCTGGTCTAAGAAGGAAAGTTTTTTGGTTTTGTTTTTGCTATGATTGTCTAACTTTTCCTAATCAAGTTGTACTTGGGTTTTTTTATACCAATGATTAACTTTGGTTTTGTATTTTAAAAAGCAAGGGATTTTCTTAAAAAATTCCATCCAGAGTTTGGTTTTGCCCCTGCTGATGCTTTCATCAGGTAAAGTTACAACTGACAAAACATGACTTTATTGAAATAAGCATTCTGAAAGGGCATCATGTTCCTTGCAAAGGAAATGGGAAAATGCATTATCTAATATCTTCATATTGCTACCTTAATAGCTTCACCAGTTATTACTCAGAGTTTTAAAATGAGTTTATTAAAGAAGGTTCTTAGGAAGGCAACAACTTTTGTCCTTAAAAAAAAGTTATGGTTTTTCATGCTGTATAATAAAGGTGATGTAAGAGGCTACAGAGTTACAAGTTTCTTTCTACTGGAATTCTCTGGTATAGCACAGTGTAGTCATTTCTGCAATTCTAGAATAAATAAAAAGTCTCTTCTATGCTTCTCTTCAAAAGCAATGAATAACAGAAGATGGTGTAAAAAAGTCATATTTTTTCTATTCATTCTGTAGTATTGGAGCCAGTATCTAGGAAACAAAAGAGAAAGTAAAGTAAAGTAAATTCAAGGAGCAATTTAATTTTACAATTAACTATTTTAAGACTATCAAAAATGAGAACACAGGACTAATAGTGGTGGTGGCTTGCAGGGTGGGGAAGAACAGGAGGAAAGGTGACACTGTAAATATGTTGAACTTCAGTAAGTTTCCTTTTAAGCAGAGATACAAAGATGCTTAGCTCCTCATATTCATACTAGAGTAAAACTAAGTTGAACTACATTTGGTTCACATAATTGTTACATAACCTTTCTTCCCCCAGGTCCTTTACTGTCCCAAATTTTTTTTTTTTTTTTGAGATGGAGTCTAGCTGTTGCCCAGGCTGGAGTGCAGTGGCGTGATCTTGGCTCACTGCAGGCTCTGCCCCCCGGGGGTTCACGCCATTCTCCTGCCTCAGCCTCCCGAGTAGCTGGGACTACAGGTGCCCGCCACCTCGCCCAGCTAATTTTTTGTACTTTAGAGACGGGGTTTCACCATGTTAGCCAGGATGGTCTCGATCTCCTGACCTCGTGATCTGCCCGCCTCGGCATCCCAAAGTGCTGGCATTAGAGGTGTGAGCCACCGTGCCTGGCAATTTTTTTTTAAAGACAGAGTCACACTGTGTTGCCCAGGCTGGAGTGCAGTAGCGCAATCTCAGCTCACTGCAATCTCCACCTCTCGGGTTTAAGCAATTGTCCTGCCTCAGCCTCCGCAGCAGCTGGGATTACAGGCGGGTACCACCATGCCTGGCTAATTTTTGTATTTTTAGTAGAGATGGAGTTTCACCATGTTGGCCAGGCTGCTCTCAAACTCCTGGCCTCAAGTGATCTACCCAACTTGGCCTCCCAAAGTGCTGGGATTACAGGCGTGAGCCACTGCACCTGGCCTACTGTCCCAAACTTCTAACACTGCATTCTTTTCTGCAGATATAAAGTAAATGGAATACAATTTAAGCTTTCCTTGAGTCAACAATCTTCTCACTAAAGATCAATTACTACACCGTGCTGAAGTGTGAGGGAAAATCCTCAAAAACTACTGCAATAAACAAGGCCAATCTGCTACTTCTCATCCACTGAAGTTTGGAAAACAATCTTGTATAGTAAAGAGAAACACACTCTAAGGACTACCAGACAGGAGCTCCTATCAGTAAAATACGTATCTTTACATGGATTCTTTGATATTATACACCAGTATTTATTCTGTTCAGAGGCTTTATTTACTGATTTTCTGGTTCTCAGCTATGGTTCAAATGTATGGTTCAAATGACTGAAACTGACACTCTACTAGTCTACATCTGTTCTGTCCAATATGGTAACCACTGGCTAGCCATATGTGGCTAAATTCAAATTAATAAAATTAAAACATTGAGTTAAGTTCCTCAGCTGCCCATACCCACATTTCAAGTACAACAGCCATGAGTGGCTATTGGAAAATGCAACAGAACATGTCCGTGCTAAAAAAAAGTTCTAAGCAGTACTGGTGTATGTCATTAATTCATTTTGATAGAGATCTAGGTATTATAAATTAATCCCTGAATTCTACAGACTAATAAAAATAAATATAACAAGGGTTACGAGGATGCTGTTACCTTAAATATGAAAAAAATTGTACACAATTTCAAATATAGAAATGTTATCTTGTGATTCAGGAAACAGCACCACCTTCACAGGAATTTAAAAAAGACCCAAATATTGTTCCTTGCTGTAATGACAAAGATGTATCTAATGACTATAATAAAAAGTTAACTATGCCCAAAGTTCTTAGAATGATTATTCCTAGGTAACCTTCTGAACTATAACAAGTCCCCAACAATAACGCTGCTAGGTTCAGAGACTTTCTGATATCTGGAAGAGACTATTTCTTTAAAAAGGGCTTAAGGTGTAATTTTATATAGCTACTAAAAATCAGGCTTAAGTGCAGGGGCTCACGCCTGTAATCCCAGCACTCTGGGAGAAGGAGGTGGGAAGGTCACCTGAGCCCAGGAGTTTAAGACCAGCCTGGGCAATACAGCAAGACTCTTTTTTTTTTTTTTTTTTTAAGGCTTAAGAGTAGTAAACTCAAAAATACATTTACTAATGTCTACATATACATACATTTTTGCAAAAAAAAGTTATAACACCATCAGGTAGTGTTACAGAGAACGTTTTTCTTCCATGTGCTTTTTTGTATTCTCTACATTTTTTCAGTGATTGATTGATTAGCTATTTCTTTGGAAATGCAAAATATATAAAACAAATCCGACTCAAACAGGGAAATGGAGGGGGTTACTTTCTACATATCTTTCTCTTGCTTTTCAAAACTCCCTGTGTCAAAGAGCAGCAGTCTTTTCTATTTACTTTCTGGAATAGCTGCTCTTAACACAAATGGTTCAGATTATGAAGTATATTTAAAATAATATAATTAGCAAAAAGGAAATAAACTAATCATGAAACAGAAATTAGGTGTATAGTTTTTGAAACATTTAAGGACCTGAAGAAGTTCCTAGGTCTGGTGTGAAAAGTTCACTTGCACATGTCATATTTAACAGATTAGATGAATATTTACCATCATGACTCCAAAGTTCTTATGGCTAATTAAAATCCTGTTTAAAATAACTCTTTAAATATATGGGTCTCCAGCAACATAGAAACCATAGGATTGTAAAAATTATTCCTTAAAGTAAAAGGTGTCTGAAAAGCCTGATAAACACTTAAAATTTGTAATGGAAATAGGGAACAAATGCTTATTAATTTGCTTATTTTACCCACACAAATCCAACCTGTGTAAGCAGTCTATATGTTATTAAGTCACAAAGTAAGAGCACTGTTTGAGATATGTAATCAGAATTTAGTGGAGATAAAAGCCTGGGCTTATCTGGGAATTGATCATAGGGCCATTTTACCCGTTAGGCTTTTCATATGGATGCAGATCTTCTAAAGGCTCATAAAAACAAGGTTTCAAGTAGCTTTCACAGAAATAAGGCAAGCACTTACTTTTACCATCACAGGCTACAATTTTCACTTTATCCACTTTAATAAGTTCTGTCACCTCTCTGAATTCAACATCATTCAGTACAAAAGTCCACACATTATCGCAGAATCTGTACGTATTTAGAGAGCCCTTTAAAACAAAACATTTAGAAATACCGTGAAACGTTTTTTCCCCTCACATTTTTCTCCAAAGCAATTTAAGAGATCTTAGCTACCAAGAACATAATAAGTTTAATGCTTAGCTTAAGATTTTCCTTAACTTTAATCCTAGCTATTAAAAAAACAACCACCAGACAAATTTGCTAAGGGAAGATTTCAAAAATATTTTAGTTGGCAGACTGTATTTTTAGTCTGCATTGCAAATTACTTACCTGAAATATGAAGAAAAAATAAAAACTTGCGTTTGTATTTCTATTGCCCTCATGTGGCTAAGTTATGAAAGTTCATTCAAATTATGGAAATATTTGTTAAAAGTTACATATTTTATTGTGTATGTTAATTCTCCAAATGTACAAAAGCAGGGATTTCTTAGAAACACTAAATTTTAATCCTGTGACTTGGCTCAGATGCATTACTGCATCGGTCACTAAGACTACAACATTCATTGTCTTGTGCAACTTATAATTTTTTATACGTTTTCATTTTATTTTTTTGAGATGGAGTCTTGCTCTGTTGCCACGCTGGAGTGCAGTGGTGCGATCTTGGCTCACTGCAACCTCCACCTCCCAGGTTCAAGAGATTCTCCTACCTCAGCCTCCCAAGTAGCTGGGACTACAGGTGCCTGCCACCACGCCCAGCTAGTTTTTTTATTTTTAGCAGAGATGGTGTTTCACCATGTTGGCCAGGATGGTCTCGAACTCTGACCTCAGGTGATCCACCCACCTCAGCCTCCCAAAGTGCTGGGATTACCAGTGTGAACCACCGCGCCTGGCCTATATAATTTTTTTTTTTTTTTTTTTTTTTTTGAGACAGAGTCTCACTCTGTTGCCCAGGCTGCAGTGCAGTGGTGAGATCTTGGATCACTGCAACCTCCGCCACCCAAGTTCAAGCTATTCTCCTGCCTCAGCCTCCTGAGTAGCTGGGATTGCAGGTGTATGCCACCACGCCTAGCTAACTTTTGTATTTTTAGTAGAGACAGGGTTTCACCACGTTAGCCAGGCTGGTCTCAAACTCCTGACCTCAGATGATCTGCCCGCCGTGGCCTCCCAAAGTGCTGGGATTACAGGCATGAATCACTGCACCAGCCTATTTTAATATTTAAAAAGAAATAGAGACAGGGTCTTGTTATGTTGGCCGGGCTAGTCAAACTTTTGGCCTCAAGCAATCCTCCCGCCTCAGCCTCCCAAAGTGCTGAGATTACAGGCGTGAGCCACCATGCCCAGGACACATTCTTATAATTAAGAAAAAAAAATTGTTTAAAGTAGGAATATATATATACTTGAGCATCAAAAGGAAATTTTTACTTTTTTTTTTTTTTTTTTTGGAGATGGAGTCTCACTCTGTGGCCCAGGCTGGAGGGCAGGGGTGTAATCTCAGCTCACTGCAACCTCCACTTCCTGGGTTCTAGCTATTCTCCTGTCTCAGCCTCCAGAGTAGCTGGGACTACAGGGCGTAGGCCACCATGCCTGTCTAATTTTTATATTTTTAGTAGAGATGGGTTTCACCATGTTGTCCAGGCTGGTCTCAAACTCCTGACCTCAGGTGATCTGCCCACCTTGGCCTCCCAAAGTTTTGGAATTACAGGCGTGAGCCATAGCACCCAGCCTATTTTTATTTTTTTGAGATAGAGTCTCACTCTGTTGCCCAGGCTGGAGTGCAGTGCTGTGATCTTGACCAACTGCAACCTCTGTCTCCCAGGTTCAAGTGATTCTCCTGCCTCAGCCTCCCAAGTAGCTGGGATTACAGGCGTCTGCCACCATGTCAGACTTATTTTTGTATTTTTAGTAGAGGCGGGGTTTTGCCATGTTGGCCAGGCTCGTCTTAAACTTCTGACCTCAGGTGATCTGCCCACCTCGGCCTCCCAAAGTGCTGGGATTACATGTGTGAGCCACCGTGCCCGGCCGGAAATTTTTAAAAAGAATGTGATGAAAGTCGTGCATAGACACCAACAGAATACAATTAAAACCTGAGATATACACATGCACACATATAGTCACATAGGAAATTTAGTAGGCAACACTTAAATGCCTAAAATCTTCAACTCAGAAACCACCAAGCATGAAAATGCTGCTTGCAATATTATTGTAATAGCAAAAATGGGATTCATTCTAAATAGTCTATCAAGTGAGAATGACTAAGGAAAGTGATAGCTATGAATGAATGAATATAATAAATGAGTAATTACTGTGTGCTAGACTATGCTGGCCTCTGAGGATACAATGGTAAGCACAGCTCCCTGCCACTGGTGAGCTGAGTTTAGCAGGGAGATCATTAAAACAGGTAAATACGTAGTATAACAGTGCTATGAAAGAGTAAGTTACTGGGTACAATGAGAGTACAGCAAAGGCACTCAAGAGTATGGAGGACACAAGGCAGAGAGCTTCTCTCAAAAAGTGAAGTTTAAGTTGAGTCCTAAAGAATAAGTAAGAGTCAATGGAGAGGAGGGATAATGGAAAGGAAGACAAACACTTGGAATGGGGTGGTTGATTCCAGAAAACAGAACGTGTCAGGAGGTCCTAAGATAAAGGAGAACCTTGGAAAACCTTTGCCCCATCCTAACGGTACTGGGAAGTCAGTGAAGGATCTTAAGCATAAGAGTCTGATCAGATTTGCATTTTTGGTGATGACATAATGGGTTAGACAGGAGTATGACTAAAGGAAGTAAGACCAACTATGAAGCTGATGTCTGTTAGCTGGGTGAATCAGAGAGGTGAAAGTGGCTTTACTACAGTAATAGTATAGTAAAGGGATCAATAGAAATGGAGAGACTTTTAAAGTAGGACCGGTAGGAATGGACAACTATAAATATGGTGGGGTTGGGGGACAGAGAAATCCACGGTAACTCCCAAGTTTCTGACTTGAATGTCAATGCATTCACAGAAAAAGCTGGTTGGGGAGTAAAGTTAAATTTGGAACTTGTTGAATTTCAGGTATATCTAAGTCATGATGTCCAATAAGTAATTGGAGTATAGGAGAAAGCATGTGATTATGATATTCAGTTTAACCAAAGCCAGAGGGTTGGATGAGACCAAGGACAGCGGACGCACGCTGTAACCCTAAGAAATACCAACAATTAAATGATAAGCAGAGACAGAACTACAGAGGAGTCTGAGAGCAACAGGCCAGGGAATACGAGAAAAGCTCACACAGTATGGTTTCAAGGGAAATAGGGGTTCAAAAAAACAATCATCAATAGCACTACAAATGATGCATTAGATTTAGCAAAAGTAACTCGGCAACAGCAATTTCAGTGGAGTGATAAATATACTGAAAGTCACCCATGACGTTAAGGGAAAAAGACACAAAATTGTAAGCCTATAAAATATATTTAAAAATTAGATCTCCTCGTTTGCTACAGTCTGAACCTCTGGAAAGCTAAACAGCTAGATGCCAAACTCAACGTTCATTTCCAGCATCCTGAAGTTGTGTGTAATCCACGATCTTAAGAGTGTGTATATTACTGGCCGGGTGTGGTGGCTCACACCTGTAATCCCAGCACTTCGGGATGCTGAGGTGGGAGGGTCACTGAGGTGAGGAGTTCAAGACCAGCCTGGCCAACATAGTGAAACCCCGTCTCTACGTAAATATAAAAATTAGACGGGCATGATGGTGGGTGCCTGTAATCCCAGCTACTCGGGAGGCTGAGGCTGGAGAATCGCTTGAACCCAGGAGGCGGGGGTCACAGTGAGGCGAGATCACACCATTGCACTCCAGCTTGAGTGACAGAGTAAGGCTCCGCCTTAAAAAAAAAAAAAAAAGTGTGTATATTACTTTTTTTGTTTTGAGACAGAGTCTTGCTGTGTTGCCCAGGATGGAGCACAGTGGTGTGATCTTGGCTCACTGCAACCTCCACCACCTGGGTTCAAGTGATTCTCCTGCCTTGGCTTCCCAAATAGCTGGGACTACAGGAATGCGCCACCACACCCAGCTAATTTTTGTATTTTTAGTAGACACGGGTTTTACCATATTGGTCAGGCTGGTCTTGAACTCCTGACCTCAAGTGGTCTGCCTGCCTTGGCCTCCCAAAGTGCTGGGATTACAGGCATGAACCACTGTACCTTGCCTTACTTTCTCTTTTAAAAAATGTGTAGTCTTTTATCCCTCGCCACCCTCCCACCCTTTCCCCAAAGTTCCCAAAGTCATATCATTCTTATGCCTTTGTGTCCTCATAGCTTAGCTTGCAGTAAATTACTTTCATTGGATAATGTTATGTAAATAATTTAAACAAAGCAAGTCCTTGGGATTTATGAGCCAGTATGTGAGTATTCACTTTCAAATATAAAGCATTTTAGATGTAGATTGGAGTGAAAAATCTTACATATCATATGCTGAAATTCCATTAGTTGCAGTATAAATGTATATGCTTCATTTATTTTACCACAAAAATAAAATGCTACAAAACTTGACTGAAAGATATTAAAGTATATTAAATGCCTTCCAACTGTAAATGAAAATTGACAATTAACATCATCAAAGTGCACATTAGCTACGTAACTTCTGAGCCAACAAATGTTTTTAAAAAGGTAAACGTAAGAAATAATATAATCTTTTTAGAATAATTTGAATTAGAATCTCTAACATGAAATAAGCTTTTCTGTATATAATTTTTACTTATTTAAATATCTTGCTTTTTCACTGATTTGAAAGTCAGAATCCATTTAGTATCTTAAGTATAGTATAAAAACGATGTTTATATATATGTATATACTATATATACATATACTCTATAATTATATAATTACAAACATAATATATACATGTCTTTCATATTATATAATTTATATGCGTTTATACATATTTACATACATATAGTTTTTTTGAAGCAGGGTCTAGCTGTGTCACCCAGGCTGAAATGCAATGGCATGATCATGGCTCACTGCAGCCACAACCTCCTGGGCTCAAGCTGCCCTCTCACCTCAGCCTCCCCAGCAGCTGGGACTATGGGCACACACCATCACACCCAGCTACTTTGTTTGTTTTGTTTGTTTGTAGGGACAGGGTTTCACTATATTTCGCAGACTGCTCTTGAACTCCTGCCCTCAAGTGATCCTCCCACCTTGGCCTCCCAAGGTGCTGGGATTACAGGCTTGAGCTGCAGTGCCAGATAATTATACTTTTCAAAGTGTAATTTTAGATTTATTCTTTAAATTCAAAAAGTTTCTTCTATAAGATATTTAGCTTTGGTCAAATATTACTTTTAACACTTAATCATTTGGCCAAATTGTATCTTCAATGCACTTTTAATAAATACATTTTTGGTTTTACATGTATCCACAATGGGGCAACATGTTTTTGTATTTTTTTTAAGATACAGTCTCACTCTGTGGCCCAAGCTAGAGTGCAGTGGCGCGATCTTGGCTCACTGCAACCTCCGCCTCCTGGATTCAAGCGATTCTCCCGCCTCAGCCTTCCAAGTAGCTGGGACTACAGGCATGCACCACCATGCCCAGCTCATTTTAGTAAAGATGAGGTTTCACTGTGTTGGCCAGTCTGGTCTCAAATTCCTGACCTCAAGTGATCTGCCCACCTTGACCTCCCAAAGTGCTGGGGTTACAGGCATGAGCCACTGTACCCAGCCTAAAAGAACATCTTAAAAGTTATATAATAAATGTTTGTTACAGAAACATCAAAAAACAGGGAAAAGGAAACTTTCAGTTTTGTTAGAAGGGCTATTTTTCTTGATCACTAAATCTTATTTTTGGGGGGTGTGGCATTAAATCTTTTAACGCTTGTTAATTACTGTTCGAGGCTCAACACTATAAAGTAACCATTACTTTTATCTATGGGCATATGTTCTCCCAAAACCATACAATGGCTCTTTAAAAGCCTAGTTATGGCCGGGTGCGGTACCTCACGCCTGTAATTCCAGCACTTTGGGAGGCCGAGGCGGGCGGATCATGAGGTCAGGAGTTCGAGACCAGCCTGGCCAACATAGTGAAATCCCATCTCTTACTAAAAATACAAAAATTAGCTGGGCGTTGTGGCGTGTGCCTGTAATCCCAGCTATTCAGGAGGCTGAGACAGAAGAATCGCTTGAACCCAGGAGGCAGAGGTTGCAGTGAGCCGAGATTGCGCCACTGCATTCCAGCCTGGGTAACAGACTTCGTCTCAAAAAAAAAAAAAAAAAAGAATAAATAAATAAATAAAAGCCTAGCCTAGTTACAAATACTACTTCAATCTGAATTTTCTCCCTAAAAATTAAGTTCAAGCTCCATGGTACATATGAGTTTTTTACTAATAAATTAAAACATATAAATGATTAAAACCTTAGCTCTCATACTTAAGAGGATTTTCTCCTATAACACTCTACTAAATAATTTCACTTATATTGAACCCATAAAAGGATTTAAAACAAAAAACAGGCCGGGCGCAGTGGCTCAAGCCTGTAATCCCAGCACTTTGGGAGGTCGAGGTGGGCAGATCACGAGGTCAGGAGATAGAGACCATCCTGGCAAATACGGTGAAACCCCCTCTCTACTAAAAATACAAAAAATTAGCCAGGCGTGGTGGCGGGCACCTGTAGTCCCAGCTACTCGGGGGGCTGAGGCAGGAGAATGGCGTGAACCCGGGAGGCGGAGCTTGCAGTGAGCCAAGATCTCGCCACTGCACTCCAGCCTGGGCGACAGAGCAAGACTCTGTCTCAAAAAACAAAAACAAAAACAAACAAAAAAAACTATAAAACAATTTAACATGCTATATAGGATTATTCTATTCTTGTAAAGGATGCTTACTCATTGCTAGGTCAGCAAATTATACATAAAAAATATATACCTAAATTTGATCTAGCAAAATGGCTCTGAAAATTAGGTATTTCTAACACATTATCTTTTGTCTTGGCCATATGCTACACTAAGCTAAACAGAATGTTATTTGCAAACATTCTGGATTTAAAATTGATCAAGTTGGCTGTAACCCAGGAGTAGGGTGATAAAAAGCGTGAGTTAGAATAGTAGCAGCAGGAAAATAAAAAGCAAGAATGGAAAAGTTCTGATCAAGGCTGAGAGCAATTATTTATAGCTTTTCGAAAATAGACAAACTCACAAAACACTATGCAAGATAAATGTAAATGTCAAATTACTTTAACTCTAGCTAAAGAAATCCAAACTAGAAACCTACAATAATGCACCTAGAGGATGACTAGTTAGGCCTTGTGAACTATCTTGCCTCTGATAAGTAGTCCACCAAATTTCTTATTAGAGCAAAATTTATGTATTAACATGGATCATCTGGGCAGACTTCTGCATATGGGTATATAAAAAAACACAAACTAATTTTGGCAGAATCATTACTGTTAAAAATTCATGGATCCACTGGTCAAATTATACAGTCTTGAAGGCATATTTTACTCCAGATAATTTTTTGGCACATGAAACTGATATATGAGACTTATTTATATTAATATAAAATACATGGAGATTTTATCCTTCACTAAAATTTAAGTCAAATGGGGCTTTGTCTATCTTGTTCATCTCTGAGTATCTAGAACATGCCTGGTATGTTATCTTTTCATCTCTGTGTATCTAGAGCATGCCTGGTATGTTAACAGACACTCAAATTGTTTACTGAATGTTTAAGTACCAAATGAAGTAGGCAGATGTTAACTAATGATCAAATTTTGGTTGTAACCATATTTTAACCTTCTTTTGACTATATTTCTACAGGTTATGCCTTATAATACAATATAAACATAAAGTTAGATAAATAATAAGCAAACATCATCATATATTATATGACTCCATCAATACCATAATGTGGTAAAATTATTTCTGTTGCACCATGACTCTTTCAATGGGCACTTAATCTGAAGTTATCAGGAAATTGAGAGAGATAATTTTATTCAGCTTTGGATGACTACTGTTCAAAGTATAAGTGACTGAAGTGAGACCAAGCTACCAGAATAGACTGTTATCTACCATTAGAGATCAGGTTTTTATCAGCCAAGTTACCTAAGAGTCGGAGGGAGGCAACATGAAGTTTCTAGAAATAACTCTACTTCCCTGGAACGGGGAAAGGCCAGACTTTGAAAACCATAACAGAACCTTGGGGATTACTCCGCCACTTACCTTTAATCCTGCAGATAATATTTCAGGTGTTTGGAATCTCAGTAACTCTTCAGGGAAGGTAGCCAAACATACAAAGGCTGATTTGTGAAACAATGAAATAAAAATCTAAAAACATCTCTGTATCTCACATTAAGTGGATCAACTTAGTTTATAGTTGATTGAAAAGTATAATTTAGTTACTATAAAACAAGTTCCAAAAATTGACTAAGCCACCTCTTCCTCTTATGATTAATAAATATGTAGGGGTCCTAAAAAAAAATCAGTGTTTTAACAACCATTGGTACAGGCTTCTAGATTCAGGAAAATATCCTTACCCTGAAATTGACTCTGTTCCTGACCCTCTGAGCCAGTGCTGCATTTATAGCCTTATCAAACTGAAGTAGAACTTGAAGGGCAAGTTGGGGGGTGATCTGTTGAGACTGAGAAAAGGTAAAGGTCATAAATCCCGTTAAGGAAGAACATTAAAGACAAAGTAAATAAAAATATACAAATTATCATCTAAAATTTAACTGAGGTTAACCAAAGCCTCTAAACTAGAATTCCTTTATCTCCTTTGCCATAACTGATGATGAAGCACCAAGCTTGAAGACATCTTTTGTACTATCTTGACACAAACAATCTTGAAGAGAAAACATGCAGTGATGTTACAAAGCCAGAACAAAACTTTGTCAATTTTCCCTTACAGTGGCTGGAAAGGAGAAGATAGACAAAGAGGTGTTTCTTTTAAATACACAGGGCCTATATTAACAAACAAAAAACCTATTAAATTTTATTGAATCTCATAAAATATACCAACAAATGGAAATACTTAATATGTTTTTTTTTTTTTTCCTTTTTTGTGAGACGGAGTTTCGCTCTTGTTCCCCAGGCTGGAGTGCAATGGCGCAATCTTAGCTCACCACAACCTCTGCCTCCCGCATTCAAGCGATTCTCCTGCCTCAGCCTCCCAAGTAGCTGGGATTACAGATGTGTGCCACCACACCCAGCTAATTTTATATTTTTAGTAGAGACAGGGTTTCTCCATGTTGGTCAGGCTGGTCTCTAACTCTTGACCTTGGGTGATCCGCCTGCCTCGGCCTCCCAAAGTGCTGGGATTACAGTCATGAGCCATGGTGCCCAGCTGGAAATACTTAATATGTTTTTATTTGGGAGAATTATACAGAAGGGTTAATTCTCTTAAAATTGAAATATAAATTCAGACTTGTAAATCTCAGAAGACTTAAATTGGACAAAACTATCTTAAAGCTAAAAAGTATATGACTTTCTTCCCTAAATTTGAGAAGGGGGAAACCAACAATCTCAATTTTTATGTTGAACAAAAATTTTTGAAGATTTAACTTTATTTATTTAGAGGCAGGATGTTGCTCTGTCACCAAGGCTGGAGTACAGTGGTACCATCATAGTGCACTTAAGCCTCAAACTCCTGGGTTCAAGCCATCCTCTCACCTCAGCCTCCCGAGTAACTGGGACTATAGGCATGCGCCCACACCGAACTAATTTTTTTATTTTTTGTGGAGATGGGTGGTGCTATGTTGCTTAAGCTGGTCTCAAACTTCTGGCCTCAAGCGATCCTTCCACCTTGTCCTCCTAAAGTGCTGGGATTAGAGGCATGAAACACTGCATGTACCCAGATTTAGCTATATTTAATGATATCATTCAATCATGTTTTGTGTCCTGTTGTCAGGACAGTGTAATAAACAAGAATTTGAGGTAATTTAATCAGTGTTACTGACTTGCTGGGTCAAATAGTCCAAGATATTTTACCTCATATCTCTTTGCCTAAGTGATATGACAAGAATTACTGTAAACCCATCAAGATAAAAATGTTTGATTTTTAATTCAGTCTCCCACCTGTATGAGCTCATCTAGGCTCTCCTGAAGACTGTTTCCCAAAGTAGTATTTCTGTATAACTGATATGCCATGGCTTAGGAGGAAGAATTTGTTTTTCTTATTCAAGCTTGCATTGATGTCCTAAAAATTTAATATAAAATTGTTAAAAAAGATCATACTGTAACATCATAAATTATGTATATAATATCATCTACCTCAAATATTCTAATATAGAACTAGGAGAACGCTTAGTGGTTGCACATTACTAGATAATCATTTTAGAATTACAAGGAATTGCTACAAATGATTTTCCAGTTTTTTTCCCCATGATTTTGACATGGGCATTTATACTCCTTTATGCAGTATAGCTGTTATATTTATTAAAATGTCTTTACCATTTCCTTCAAATGTCTGCCTTCTGACTTAGTCTAGAATTTTCCATGTACTGTCCTTTCTACCTGCTGTCAAGTCACTGGTAAAATCTTCAGCTCATGTTTGCATGTCTGCCCCTTTATTTTCCTGTTCTCTCTAAATTCAGTATTTACAGAGTGCCTACCAAGAGAATGGCACTGTGACAGGTTCCAGAGAGAAGATGATGATTAAAGGCATGCTCCCAATCCTAAAAATTTATACTCTAGAGAATGTAACAAACATACAAAAAGATAAGAACTGGGATAAAGATACAAAGCATACCATGGAGGCTGCCTGTAGAAGTGAGCTGGCTCAGAAAAGCTTCCAGGTTCTTTAAGCTAGACTTTAGCCAAGCAGAGGAGGGAAGTCATTCCAGAGGCTGACAGAATAGAATAAGTAAAGCCATGGAAGGATGAAATGTTTGTGGGGAAAAACATAAACTGTTCTACATTATCAGGGCATAAGTACGAATAGGGAGTGGCAGGAGATGAAGCTGAAAGAGACAGCATAGATGGAGTTGTTTGGCAGGATAGGTGCAAGCAGTGGGGAGTCACTGAAGAATTTTAGGCAGGAAAGGTCAGACAGCTGGGCTTCAGTGCGTGATTTAGAAACAGATGAGGGATGGGGGCTCGAAAAGGGTGGCAGCAGTACACAGTCAATAAATATTTACTGAGCTTCCACTACACGTCAGGTGTAAGATCTTGACCTCATGGCCCTTTCAGTCTGGAGATGGATGGGGGAAAATACATTTGAGGAGCAATCATCAGATAAAACTCAGCAAAAATAATGGCCAGCCATCAGTCCTTACATTTCACACCTTGCTAGCACTGGATTCAACAGATCATTTCTGCCTTCTTGAAACATTTCTTTGGCTTTGAGACAGCATTCTCAGTTCTCATGTCACTGGATACCATTGTATTTTTTATTTTCTTTTGCTGGTTCCTCCTCAGCTCCCTGACTTGTAACTGTTGAACTGCCCTAAGTTTTCTTGGGTCCTCTATTTTCCACATACTTTACTCTCTTAGTTACCTCATCCAGACTTACGGCTTTAAATACCATCTACTATCTGGTGATGACTCTCAAATTTGTATCTCCAGCCCTCAATTCTCCCTTTGTACCCATATATAAAACTGCCTGCTTGACACTGGATAAAAATATCAAGTAGGTAGCTCAAATTCAATTTGTCAAAAACCATGTTTCTGATGCTACTCTTGCAAATATGCTCTGTCCTCAGTCTTACCCACCTCGGTAACAGTAAACATAGTCTTCCTGTAACAGCTCAAAAACCTGAGTCAAGAGTAACTTCTCTTTTTCTTACCTGGCATCCAATCCATCAGCCAACCTTTCAGCTCGTCCTTCTAACTATAGCCAGAATCTGACAGCTTCTACCATCTTCAATGCTATTACCCTAAGTCACCATCATCTGTCACTAAAGTTAATGTGATAACTCATGGTCTCCTTATTTCCAGTCTTGCCTATCCCAACCCCACCCTCATAGTAGCCACACTAAGACTTTAAAACATAAGGCAAATCACATCACTGGTCTATTCAAAACCACCAATGGCAGCATCCCATCTCAGTGAAAACCACAGAGTCCATGGCTTGGAAGGCCTATGTGATTTGGGCCCCCCAGTGCCTACTTCCCTATCTTCGCCCACTCACCCTCTCACTCTGCTCTGGTCATACTGGTCCCCTGCTGTTCTTTGACAGGGGAAGCATGATCCTGCTTGAGGGCCTTTGTGGTGGCTCTTCTTTTTGCTGACAGTATTCTTTCCAAATACCTGCATAGTTCACTCTCTCATTTGATTCAGATCTCTGGGTCAAGCATTACTCCATCAGAAAGGCCTTCTATAATCAACCTATAAGAAAGAATTACCTTCCTTCTTCCTCACACTGCTTTATTTTCATTCATACCAATAACTGAAGCTAACATATATATGCTTATTCTGTCTCCATCTACTAAAATAGATGACACACTGAAGACAGGGACTTCTGTTCATTTACATATTTACCAACTAGAACAACGTATGTAGTATCTATTAAGTATCTGTTGAGTGAAATACTTGGTAGTATGTTAAAGTGCTAATATATTAGAAATGTATCTGAGTATGACACAAAGTATTACACTTCACTGAGGAAACTGCAGCAATAACTTCCAGACTCACAGCCACATCCAGCTACCTACCAATAGCTATACAGGTTGAACATTCCTTATCTGAAATGCTTGGGACCTGAAGTCTTTTGGATTTTAGAATATCTGCATCGTATATACTTAGTGATTGAGTACCCCAAATTCAAGCTCTGAAATGCTCCAAAGAGCATTTCCTTTCAGTGTCATGTTGGTGCTCAAAGTTTTGGATTTTGGAGCATTTTGAATTTGGGATGCCCAACCTGTACCCATATACTCTCCCTCCCTGTCACTATAGTTGAACTCTATACCTATTTTTATCTAAATCCAATCCTTCTACCTTTGTATCAGGCATTGTCTTCTAATTCACTCAAGGATATTGTTCTGACAATTCAGTTGTTACTTCTCTCCCTCACCATCAAATTTTCCCTCTCTGCGGATCATTTCCATTAGCAAACACATAGGTGGCTACTTCTCCCACCTTAAAAAGTAAAACAAAACAAAAACCCCTCAACCCAAATCCCCTGCCAGCTACATCCTATTTCTCAGTTCCCCTTTGCAGCAAAATCCCTTAGTTTTGTCTGTATTCACTGTCTCCCAATTCCTTTTTTCCTATTTTCTCTTAAGCTAATTTTTGCCTCTAGCACTCTAAGGAAACAGGTTGGTGAAGGTCATCAATGGCAATGCTAAAGCTAATTCTCTAGCCTCACTCAGAATATTGGACACAGCTGATTACTCCCTCCTCTTTCGTACAGGATCTTACCTTGGCTTCTGGGACACTGCCCTTTTCGGATTGTCCTAACTCACAAGTTCATCCTTCTTAATACTGTTTGCTGGTTGATCCCGTTTTCGCTAAACTCTTAATATCACAGGACACAGTCCTTAGGCCTCTGCTGCTTTCCGTCTACACCCATTCCTTACGGATAACATTTATTCTCATGGTTTAAGTACCACTGCTGATGATCCCCAAATTCATATAGCATAGAACTTCTCACTCCTGAATCTAGCTGCCTACTCAACATCTCTATTTGTTATCTTTTGCATCGTGGCTTAAAGAACTCCATACTTCTACGAGCTTGGGCAAAACCTTTGATTTCATCCTCCACTCCCTCTATCTCACTCTCCATATCCAATTCCTAGCAAATACTGTAAGGCCTACCTTCAAAATGCATTCAGAATCCAACCACTTCTCACCATCCCTACGGTTATCACCCTGACCTGGGCCACTCTCGTCATCTGGATTACTGCAAAAATCTCCTAAATGATTTCCCTGCTTCTACACTCACCCCTACACTCTAATCACAACTCACAGCCAGGGTGATCTTCTAAAACTTCAGTTACAACATACCTCTCCTCTATTCAAAATCTCCCATGGCTTCTATCAGCCTTTACAATGATCCGGCTACCATGATCTCTTTGACTTTATCTTCTTGTCCCTCCACCCCCAAAACTCTTGCTCATCCCTCTCCAGATACACTGGCTTCCTTGCTATTCCTCAAACATGACAGGCCTAAAAGCATTTGTATTGGCTTTCCTATCTGCCTGAATGCTCTTCCTGATATTTACTTAGCAAATTTTCTTAATTCCTTCAAGTCTTTGCTCAAATAACACCTACTAAATGAGGCTCAAACTGACCACCGTCATCTTTAAAATACCAGTTCCCACCTCCACTCTGGAACTTTCCCGTACTCCTTTATATTTCTCTTTTTTTTTTTGATGGCACCATCACTTTCTAACACCATTATATATTTTATTTTCTGCATCCTCTAATAGAATGTAAGCTCCATGAGGGCAAAGCTTTTTATTTTGTTCACTTAAGTAAAATAGGCGTCTAGAACAGTACCTGGCACACAATAGGAGCCAAAAAAAAATCTGTTCAGTAAACGAAGGCAAATATCAGTAAGTATAATATGCGTGTGGGAGGGGAGAGGGGGTTAAAAAGGGCAAGAAGTCCCAATAGGTAGATAAAAACTCCACAGAGTAGGAATACAGAATCGTGCATCGTGTCCCATTTGACAAATTTTTGAGTTTATCTAGAAAATAGCCCTGCGTTAAACGTTTGTTAAAAGTGCTGATTTCAATGTTCTTACATTCTTTAAAAATTCCTTGTTAAGTGTTCTAATCTTTTAGATGTGGTATCAGCCACAGAAATTTATTGTTCCCTTCTTGTTTTGCAGTTCAGAAAATTAGAAGTCAAATTCGGAAGTAACTCGTCCTAGCATTTTTTGATTAAACCACCAAGTTTAAAATTCGTTCCTTTTGTCGGAGTTCGCACGAAGAAAGTTGGAAGGCAGACTTCAAACAACAAGCTACAAAGCACAGGAATGAGACATTTAAAAAATGCTCTCCGAAATTCGGCAAAACTCACAGGGCGCTAGTGGATGCTTTAAGACATTCACCTGGCTGAAAATACGGTGGTGGGCTGAAGACCTCCCCTAGGTGGGTTCTGTGGGCGCCCCGTGAACGACGAGCCTCCCGCCACGGGACGCGACCATCACCGCCGCCTCGCCGCCCTTCTCCGGTGCCGGCCGCGGGGCCTTGCCGGCAACGGTCGGTAACGGGCAGATCCCAGGAGCGAAGGGCCCTCAGAGACTACCCCACCAACGCACTCCGACTCCGGGGGGGCGGCAGGGAGCGCGGCCCTGCTTCCCTCCCTAACCCTGCCCTCCCTAACCCACTACCTGTGGGGAAGGCGCTTCCCTCCGCGGAGCGGACAGAAGCCGCCACGAGCCCGGCAGGAGGTTCCTACTTCTCCGACCACCTCTCCAGCCGCCGCAGAAACCGCAGAACTGAGCTGACGACCCGGAAGTGCTCGCGGAACCTGGAAGTGACACCCCGCCCGAGGGACGGGAGGCCCCGCCCAGCCCTGCTCTCGCCCGCCACTCAAGCCTTGTCAGGGAAGGGCGTGGAGAGGGAAGGAGGGGCGTCGGGCTGGAGCTTGAAGCCTTAAAGTGGTGGACAGGCGCTCTGCTCGAGTAATTCACCAGGTTTACTAAATCGTTCCTAAGGGAATTATAATTTTTAGAGACTAATCTTCTCCATTGTTAGATGCACAATTTAAGAAATGTAGGGCATTCATATTTCATGCCGGAAGTGTGTTCAGGGTAACAGTGTTGAAGACCTTGCAGACGAATTCTGAAAAGATTATAGCAGGGGCCGGGCGCGGTGGCGCACGCCTTAATCCCAGCACTTTGGGAGGCTGAGGCGGGTCGATCACCGGAGGTCAGGAGTTCGCGACCAGCATAATATGGTGAAATCCTGTCTCTACTAAATACAAAAAATTAGGCAGGCGTGGTGGCGCATGCCTGTAATTCGAGCTACTTGGGAGGCTGAGACAGGAGAATGGCTTGTACCTGGGAGGCGGAGGTTGCAGTCAGCTGAGATCGCGCCATTGCACTCCAGCCTGGGAAACAAGAGCGAAACTCCGTCTCAAAAAAAAAAAAAAAAAAAAAAATTATAGCAGGGTAAGCAGGGTATCTTCTTTACCCCTCGAAACAGGGCTGCAGGCAAAGTTTTTAGTTTGTGACCAGTTCATGAAGAACTTTAATTTGGGAGAAGTTATATTTAAAATTTGCATCTAATATGCAAGATAAATACTTCACTATAAATTTCAAGTTTGCAAAATCACAAATTGTTTTAGGTGTCAGGGTGCATGGTACACTAACTGGCTTAAACCCAGCAGTCATGTGTAGAGCAGTTTATCCTACAAAATAGCTGAATAGTGATTAAAGAGTATGTGCAAAACAACAACAACAAAACCACAAAAAACACCAAGTGGTATCAGCTGGAACCTCTGAGCAGGTCTATGAACTAAACAAGTTCTTCTTATTTAAGCCATGTTTTCGGCCAGGGGCGGTGGCTCATGCCTGTAATCCCAGCACTTTGGGAGGCCGAGGTGAGCGAATCACCTGAGGTCAGGAATTCGAGACCAGCCTCAACGTGGAGAAACCCCGTCTCTACTAAAATACAAAAAAAATTTCGCTGGGCGTGTTGGTGCATGCCTGTAATCCCAGCTACTCGGGAGGCGGAGGCAGGAGAATTGCTTGAACCTGGGAGGCGGAGGTTGCGGTGAGCCAAGATGGCGCCATTGCACTCCAGCCTGGGCAACAAGAGCGAAACTGTCTCAAAAAAAAAAAAAAAAAAAAAAAGCCATGTTTTCATTTTAAGCCACTCATGGTTTCATCCTTGGATTCCCCATTAATTAAAAAAAAATCTCAACTATGAAACACAAAGTTTCATTATTGTTTTGATGTTAAAATAAAGCAGGCTGAACTCTCTAATCCCCAAAGAATAGAAGCACTTAGACTATAGAAAGGGAAACAAGTGTAAAGGTCTGAAATTATTTAAGAGGTTTATAGGATAATTCAAAGCAAAAATTTAGTAGCATAATGAAAGAAAAATGTGATAAAAAGACAAAGACGAACGTTCCAATTAATTTATTTAAATTCATTAATGTTGCAAAAAATATGATGTGCAACAAATCAAGACACAAGTTATATTCCTAACAGGTCAAAGAAAATATTACATCTCCTTAGTAAATCATGACCAACTCTGGTATTTCTTACAGGGACCACATTAATATCTTGCACACACAGACATCAGAACTGAATTTCTGACAGTACTCGGCTGGGCAACATCATCTTAAGAGTAGGAAAATATCACAGTACATTAATTTTGTCTAAATGACAGCAATGAACCTGTGGTAACAAAAGTATTTTTGGAATAGATATCAAAGTGTGTTAATGTCTTAACAAACTCTGAATTGTGTTCTGTGTGAATAGTGCTCCAAGGGCTGTGCAAGTCAGTGGCCCTGAACATCATCAATATTTACTAGCTAGGTTTACACAAATAAACAAGCAACTGTTAAACGGACATTAAACTTTACAAAGTCCACATACAAAAAGTGCAGTGTAGAAGCTGATGAATGTTATTTTCCAAGTTCCTCCTTAGCCAAACTGCATAAAAATTTCAAAATGCAAATATTTTAACTTCTTGTTAAACATGATTCTAAGACATCCTACAAGCCTAGTATCATTAATTTGAAAGCACGAAATGATTTTCATTTGGTGCTTACGTGCTTTATGTGAATTTTTCATAGCATTTTACTTAGTTCTCAAAACATAAATAGGTCTATTATAAATAGTTGCAACATACTGTTATATTCAAATTTTAGTGTCACTCCTTACTGTTAAACATGCCAGACTACTTTATTTTCAATTATCCTTTAGAACTTCAAAGGAAAGTTACATAACTGGGTCTCACCATTGATCTGATTCTAAGTTCATTCAGAATTTCAAGAAGGGCAGAGGGGGATGCTTGCCAGGTAATTCTTTTGTATTAGCTTAGAACATTTGAGTAGATAATACCCCACTTCCCTCACCAGTTGGCCTTCCCATTCAAGTCTAAGTTCTTGACTCTTTCTCGCAGCAACTCAAACTACACAATTCCTATGACCTATAACAAGACCAGACCTATTTTAACAGCAAAATAGGTCTAACTTGTGAGTACATACATTAATGCCTCTTTTTACTCTATCCCTCTCAGATTTGTGGTCCATTTCTCAAATGTCCATATAGGATTGGAGAAAAAACAGGCATGAAAACAAAATAGAATGGTGTAGCAATCTCTATTTTCAGCCTATCTCCTACTCCCATTTGCTTGAGCAAGTTTAACACTTCTCCACATATAACATGGAAAAAGGAAGGATGAACCTACCGTAACATCTCTACCAATCTCATCAGGAAACTGGCCTGTTCTATCTGATATGTCCTAATGCTAATTTATCACTTGAAGAAATATAAAAAGCCACTTCTGTATAAAACACATGTCCAAATTCCCTGAGCATTCACATAAACAGCCAAATAGAAATGTTATATAGTCTTTTTAAAAGGCCTCTATCAAAAAGCAGATCTCTTACCTTTTTAAATTCTGGAATTACGGTTAAAAAAATTCTAGCTACAGATATATGCTTGCCAATCAGCATATTTCAGTATTCAGTGCACTTACTAGTGATGTCCATTTTGGAAGACTAAATCAATGTTCAGCAACAGTGAAATATGAAAAAACAAAAAAACCAACCAAAAACCCTCAATCCTAAACTTTTAAGTGCTGTAACTGCTAACCTTCTCTGCTCGAACTTGCTTCTGTATGAAGAGACAAAGAAAGAGAAAATATGAATTCTTATCATGGGTATGTATTATCAACTTTTCCCCCTTCAATCCACAGTCTTTATTCACATACCTTGCGTATAGCCTGCAGGTTTTCCTGCTGCATACAAGAAATGTTACCATCAGCAGTCACATATGGTACTTCCCTTAAAAGGACACACATGGCCGGGCGTGGTGGCTCAAGCCTGTAATCCAAGCATTTGGGAGGCTGAGACAGGCAGATCATGAGGTCAGGAGTTCGAGACCAGCCTAGCATGGCGAAACCCCGTCTCTACTAAAAATACAAAAATTAGCCGGGCATTGTGGCGTGTGCCTGTAATCCCAGCTACTCAGGAGGCTGAGGCAGGAGAAATGCTTGAACCCGGGAGGCAGAGGTTGCAGTGAGCCAGGATTGCGCCACTGCACTCCAGAATGGGTGACAGAGTGAGTCTCTGTCTCCAAAAAAAAAAAAAAAAAAAGAGAGGGCACACATACAGTGGCATCTTAGGTAACAACTATGTCTTTATCTCTTTATAAAGGTTTGCTTTCTCTTACTTCCTACTTTTATCACTTTCCAATGCCTCTGCTAGACCCTACTTAGAATCATATTTCTTCATATCTCCCTCTGAGTTAAAGATTGTTAAGCTTAAATTGTGGGGTGAATAGAACGTCTTCCCTTGGTGCTTGCTTAGGAGTATGATCAAGCAGAACACAGAATCAAATTATTTCACATGAAAAACTTCTGACTAAAAAAGGGGCACTTAGAGCCTAGTGACAGAAGCATCAAATTAAGCCAGTTAAATTAGATCCATGATCCCAACAGAAAGATAAAAGTACAATCACATATACTTTCACCTTGGTCAGTAATGGGAAATTAAAATGGAATAATATGGGAAATGTTAACTTAGCTATAGATTAGAAACAACAGACTTAATAAATGCTCTTCCTCTAACCTACTATTATGATCTTAAATCTTATAAAACATTTATTGTGGGTACATCTCTATACCAGATTCCATTAAGGTGCAGGTTAAAGCAGGTATCCCTTTAGTTTACTGATTCACAGCACCTCATTTTCATTATATCCCAGGTGTTATCACTGTTGTCTCTGAATTTTAATGTTTAACAGAATAGTCTTCTACTTTTAAAAAAAATTCAGAAAAACATCACTTTTGCAACATGTATCTACAGTTAGGAGCAATGACTGCAAAATCAAAAATCAAAATAATGCAAAAAAGAGTTGAAGTTATTCTTCATATTTTTTAAACTGAAGAACCAAGTACTTAATGTGGTAGAAAACCACCTATTAAAAACCTCAGCCCATTTTGAGCAAGATAAAGATGTACAGATGAAAGACTACGTTAAATCGTCTACAAATATAGAATCTAATGACAAATTCAATATAATTGTTTATACATAATCCTTATATGGTAAATTCAGAAGGAATGCCTAACTTGTTATTGTTAGTTTGCTTCTTCAACAACAAGTGTTCCTAAAATGTGAGCAAGCAATAATCGTTTTGGCTCAATTCACTGTAATGACATTAGTTCAGGATCTGCCAAGAGCTGCTGGATCTGAGTTAAGTCAGGAGGCTGCTGAGGAATGTTTCATCCTGGGAATCCTCCAGCATCTCTCTCCTATAACTGGTTTTAAGTTAGCATGCCAAGTTTAGGACTGAGGAGGACAAAAAATATAGGAAAGTTCCCTTTTGTAACAGAAGGTTTGTAAGTACATGAGAATGGTCACAGCCACATGTGTGTTCAATCTAGGATAGACTAAATCTTGAAAGGTTAGCTCACATCCACTTCAATTTTGCTACTCTAGGCCACTGTTTTGTAAAATACCTTACAGGAAGGGTTGAAGAGTAGCCATGACCTTCAAATTTGGAAGGTATTATGCTTACCAGCTGTGTATGAGCCTTTCAAGTATATGACACAATATCAGATCAATCTGTTGTTTTAGAAATAATTTTGTCGGTAATTAAACTTTTTGTTTGGAGGCACAAACACAATTTATTTCAATGTAAAGGTACTACCAAATGAAACAGTTTAAATGCTTGTAACAAACGTGTTATCCAAAACAGCACAATATGATGATGCTAAGACTTACAAAATTAACCTAATTTACAGTATTGTCAAACATGATTTCATACAAACTTGAATAAACACCACATCTAACTAGGTCAAACAACTACCGAGTTCAAATAATTGATATGGAAGTATTTTGGTAAAGTGCCCATAGTGAGAGTTTAAAAAGCAGCCCCTGTTTTCTATAGAAAAAGTTGTGACAGTGAATAACTCATCACATTCTCTGCAATACTACTCAGCACTCATATACACTCAGGGGAGCAATACCCTGGACACATAGCTTATTTCACATTAGTGAACAAACTCAAGATTTTTATAAAGTTCTGACTTTGGGCCAGAAGATAAAATGTCCCATATATACATATATACAAACCCTAATTCCTACCCTCTTAAATCCTCTAGTTCTAAGAATGGCTTTTTGACTTGTCTTTAAGTTTAGAAAGGAAAAAGTGTGCAATGCGCTTGCATCTGTACTTGCTGAATTATGAAACAAATATGTTAAATGAGAAAAAAACCTTGGGATGGTACTAATACACTTCGATTATATACATGATCTTTGGGTATTCATGACAATCAGTTTAACCATCTGTTGCCTTATGAAAAACTTAATTTCCTAAGTTACCCAGGAAATGTATTTAACCATTTACAAAAACAAAAATTCTAATATGCACTTTAGAAAATCGTGGTCTTATATACCTGCATATTTCTTCCATAAGACAGGTACACATTAAAAAATATTGCTCAATGACATAAAAATATATATTATTTCTTTCCTTTGCCATTTATGCATATAAATATTTCACCGAAGAAGATGCATCATTCAATAAACAAATGCAAAAACTACTTTATATAAAGTGTGGTTCTCTATTTAGCAATATAAAATATAAAACGATAATAATACAGTTAGCTATTAAAGAGCTAAATTCAAGAAATTTGCAAACCAGTACAGCAGTGAACAGTCCCTTGTATAATACAAAAGTCCATTATGAAAAAGTCAAGTCTATTTTGTAACAGGTTACATAAAAATATGGGCCAATAAATGCATTATGAATGCAGAAACAGCACTGCTCCATCAGCACATTCTTCAGTCTTGTTTGGACTAGATGCCAAACTTACTGTTCATTTTTCGGTTCATCTTGTTTTCCATTAAGTTCTTGATCAACTCTGTTTAATGAAGAATATATAAAATAAGAAACCAGCAACTGAACAATTTTCTTTCTAAAAATAATGACTATTTTAGCATAGAATATTACTCTGTTAAAGACAAAGCTTTGCAAAGAAGCAGACATAGTAAAAACAGTTACCAAACATCATTTCCCCAACCAGAAAAGAGAATTTTTAAAGGCAGGAGGACACTGGCAAGAAATGTGACCGTTGTTTCTTTAAAGATTATAAAATACTTTACATACAAATGCATATAAACTTTTTTTTTTTCTTATTTTTGAGACGGAGTCTTGCTCTGTCACCCAGGCTGGAGTGCAGTGGCACAATCTCAGCTCGCTGCAATCTCCGCCTCCTGGGTTCACACCATTGTCCTGCCTCAGCCTCCCGAGTTGCTGGGACTACAGGCGCCCGCCACCATGCCCGGCTAATTTTTCGTATTTTTAGTAGAGGTGGGGTTTCACCATGTTAGCCAGGATGGTCTCGATCTCCTGACCTCGTGATCTGCCTGCCTCAGCCTCCCAAAGTGCTGGGATTACAGGCGTGAGCCACCGTGCCCAGCCATAAACTTTCTTAAAAGTTCAAATTACATGGCATATTAAAATCTTGACCTGTAACTTGGCTGTGGTAGGGATCCAGGTGGTACGAAAATGGCAGGAAAAACAACTCCCTCAAAAATGATTCTGTTAACTAAAATATGAAAATGCCATGAAGGCCACCAATTATCAATCAATATTTTAAAATTCAGTGATAAAAAATGCATCCTTATAGAACCCATAATTATTCTCCAAAACTTATTGGTACACAGTTTGTGAATGCCTTAAATTTGTTTTGACAGTAAGAAGCCTTAAGAATTTAACATTCAAGGCCGGATGCCGTGGCTCACGCCTGTAATCCCAGCACTTTGGGAGGCCTAGGCGGGTGGATCACGAGGTCAGGAGTTCGAGACCAGCCTGGCCAACACAGTGAAACCCCATCTCTACTAAAAATACAAAAATTAGCCAGGTGTGGTGGTACGCGTCTGTAGTCCCAGCTACTTGGGAGGCTGAGGTAGGAGAACCGCTTGAACCCAGGAGGCAGAGCTTGCAGTGAGCTGAGACCATGCCATTGCACTCCAGACTGGGTGACAGAGTGAGACTCCGTCTTAAAAAAATAAATAAAATAAAAAAAAAGAATTTAACATTCAAAAATATCTAATATAAATTAATTATTGGCTAGACACAGTGGCTTACACCTATGATCCCAGCACTTTGGAAGGCCGAGGCGGGCGGACTGCTTGACCAGGAGTTTGAGACCAGCCTGGGCAACATGGCAAAACTCCGTCTCTACAAAAAATACAAAAATTAGCCAGGTGTGGTAGTGTGCACTTGTAGTCCCAGCTACTCAGAAGGCTGAGGTGGAAGGATTGCTTGAGCCCTGGAGACGGAGGCGACAGTGAACCGAGACTGCACCACTGCACTCCAGCCTGGGTGACAGAGCAAGACCCTGTCTCAAAAAAACAAAACAAAAACCCATCAAAAAGCTTATTTATTTAGTGGTGGGTTGGACATCAGTCATATCAAAATTTACGCATGTGGGCATTAGAAGGATTACATAATTACCACATAATAATTACAGACAACCCTTCAAAGCTAACAGTCTATTACTATTACATTTGTAGTGGTCTGAATAACTGATGAAGGGACCTTTAAAACAATCCGGTATTAGATAAAGAAAAATATTTTTCATATGTTTTTATTCTCATCACCCATTACTATGCCCACCTGAATATTAGTGAAACAGACCTAAAAGCCCTGGTCTGTGGTAAAGCCAAAGTAACATTTTAAAATATTTAAAATATTGTTATAAAAAATTTGGAATGTATTTCTGATAAGGCATGCAAAATATATCAAATCCTCTTAACATCTGAAATATCCTTACCAACTAATTTCATAATTATTTTTAAACTCCCCTGAAACATTTTAACAATCTGTATCTGCATGGCCACACTTGCATCCAGTTGTTTGAAAGAAACATTTTAAACATTTAAACTGCTATCCTTTTTCTGTCACTGGGGACACTGGATCTCCCTGTTGTCAACATTTCTTCAACCCTCTTCCCCACAAGCCCCTCAAGAAAATGGTTTTGCCCCTTCTTCCCCTGCTCCCCAAAAACCTGCCATAGGGACTCATAGCTTCATACTCTTCTTAGCACCACTACTTATCATATCATGCAGTTGTCACCTTAAATAAGCTCCCTTGCACCTAGCTTCTGTAAAGTTTGGTTTAGGCTGGGCGTGGTAGCTGACGCCTGTAATCCCAGCACTTTGGGAGGCCGAGGTGGGTGGATCACTTGAGATCAGGAGTTCGAGACCATCCTGGCCAACATGGTGAAACCCAGTCTCTACTAAAAATGCAAAAATTAGCCAGGCATGGTGGTGGGTGCCTGTAATCCCAGCTACTTGGGGGGCTGAGGCAGCAGAATCGCTTGAACCCGGGAGGCAGAGATTGCAGTTAGCTGAGACTGGGCCATTGCACTCCTGCCTGGGTGACAAGAGTGAAACTCTGTCTCAAAACAAAACATGCCTCTCTACCTAAATTTAATTTAAAAATTAAATTTTATCATTTTCAGATTGACAAAAATTTATTATTTTTTAAGACTAAAGAAACTACAAAAAACAGAACGTTTTTGAAAGATACATGTAATCATTCTATTTATGGTTAAACACAAGTAAAAAAAAAATCAAGATAAAATAGTGACAGGTTTCAAACAATATATTTAAATAAAAAGTACAAATTCCATATTTTTTCTGATGTCTAAATTACTTAACAGTATTAAAAACTTTTTTTAAAAAGGCTTAATACAGCATATTTTATCAACAAAGGCAATTCACTGTGAAATCTATGAAGCAGCTGGCTTCAAAATATTCTACAATTACAAATCATATTTTTAATTTCAGCCACTTGTCTGTCGAATGCACAGCAATGCCTAGAAAGGAATGTGAAATCAGCATGATCTAAAATCACTGTCTACATTTCTATGTTAAAGTGTTGGTTAAACTGTGAAGTGTCATATAGAAGTGTAAAACTGATTCTATCACAAAGTCTACTAAATTCTCACTCATCAACAGAAACAAAATGTGTTCAAAGTTAAGAATGTTCCAGTTAGTTACAGTTGGCTCCTTAGAATGGTCAAGATAATTACATATAAATCTCTCACCGTAACTCTTAAGATTGTATTAAACTATGTTTTGCTAATTTAATTGCCAATATTTTAAAGATCTAACAAACTAGATCTAAATTCTACGTTTTTCTAAATTATTATACAAAATTCTAAGTATTTTATACCCTTGCCTTTCATCATCTATGTCAAGGTATCAATAGATAATAGTTTGTTATGCTCAAAGCAGAAGTGTTCAAAATTAAATTTAAAATAGAAAGTGAAGTGTTTAACTGTTAAATGGGACACTGAGATTTTAGGTATTTTATCACATGTAGAATTTGACTGGTTAGCAAGCCATTTAATTTAAGCATAAAAGGAAACCAATGTTGGTTAGCCAAAGTATATATGCATTGCAAATATAATAATCAACCCCAGGGAAATAAATTGAGAACTTTTAAAAAGTCTGCAAAAATATTTCAAAAGCACAAGTTAGCGATTTAAAGAAAATGGTGAAACAGATAAAGTCTTAAAATTATTTGGTGTTCCAAATACCATTTTTAGTAATTTCTCTGGTTTCACCATTAGTACTTAGACTAAGAAGGAGAGAGAAGGGTCTGTGGTTTTTAATTGCTAATTGGCATCATATATGGCAATAAAACATGGTGAATCCAAGTCATATTCAGCCTTAGGAACTCTGGGTTCACCCTGTATTTGGAAGTTGGGGTACATTTATATTTGCAAATGCTATTATCTTTGTCTACAAGCTAACCAACCAATAAGGAAGAGTTAGTCTGCAATGCAAATGGACTAGTCTAGATGCAACCCAGTCAAGGTGTGCATATACCTTTTTTGTTTCTTTTTAAACTTTTCTTCTTCATACCTTTGTAGGGAAGAGTTATTTCAGTAAATATACATGTTATGAAAATGAATAAAAACTTGAAAAAAGCTACTAAAAATAAACTCATTTAAATTTTCCAGCAAAACCAAAAATATTTACTACATGATGTAGAAAGTAAAAATTTACTTAATAAATCTGACTTTCATACATTAAATAGACTAAAACCTCAGGTGAGCAGAACAAAGAAACTTTTCCACATGCATTGTAATACTCAGTTATTTATGTTAACAGCCTTCTACCAAGTCCAAGAAGTTACATGGAAGAATGTGAATCTGATAATCAGAACAGAATTTCAGTCACTGGAAAACATTAAGGTTATGATGATTTAAATATTTTTATTTATTTAGCAATATGATTATTCAATAATAATATTGATGATCAGTTTACTCAAATTTGTTGAGCACTATGTTCAAGTTTGGAGAATGCTCTTTAGTACTGATCAATTAGAGAAATCATCTCTTAGATTATAAGTAGTCTATAAAAGTATAACATGAATCACAACCGGAAATAATTTATCCTAGTTCTTCAACTGACAGCCTGAAGAAAATGCTAACTTAGGGGGATGGTGTGGGAAAATGGCTTCTTCCTCTTTTTCTTTGTTACACACACACACACACGCGCGCGCGCGCACAGTTATAAAATATAATACATAAAGAATGAGTATTGAAAAGTATTATCCATTGCACATCAAAATGTTAAGATCCAATACAATTAAGGAAATAAAACAAAACATACTGTTTTATGCATTCTGGTATGCCAACGTATTCCATGGGGACAAGTTCTGCTAGTTCTGCCAAATTAAACACGTATCTAATTTTTTGGCTGAATTTCGAGCTATGGAAGAAAATAAAAATAATTACTTCCATATTTCTGACAAATACAATGGATACAATGTTTACAAGATACAAAAATCATGTCATTTTGAATGTTCAAAACACAAAAAGATGATAAATGTCTGAGGTGATGGATGTACTAATCACCCAGGTTTGATCATTATACAATGTATACACATATCAAAATATAGCTCTGTATCCCATAAGTATGTATAGTTATTATGTGTTAACTAAAAATAAATAAATAAAAAAAATAAAATTAAAGTCAATGGCTCTCAAAAATTACCTAATAAATGGTCTTGTAACAGCCAGAAGTGTTCTGATAAACCAAGAAGGATGTACAATGATTAGGGATTTTAGATTTTTCCGTAACCTGGAGTTTAAAAAAAAAACACACACACACAAAGAAAATTAAAAATTTCTATAAATTCTAATGCTGCAAGTTTATACAAAATAATAGTTGAAAAATCTCACCCAAAAGTTCTCAATTAGGTGTGATACCCCTGTAGACAAGAAAATGCACTCTTAAATTCTTATGGTCCCTCCTACTGCTATGAAATGAACTTTACTTCATTTGGCCAGATTTACGTCCACAGTATAGCCTGTTACTAAATGTCTCCTAGCATACACATTCACTTGTCTTCAGGACTCTGTAAACAGGGAAAGAGGCCAATACTGAATGTAAAAGTAAACTATTCTCATTTTCCAAGACTAGGGAGAAATTGGTGCTAAGTTCTTCAAAACCATGAAAAGCACTGTGCAGGCAGAGAAGTGTGAGTGGAGAAGATGACCACAGGAACAAAAACAAATCAGATCTAACTCCTATTCTTAAGGAATTTAAAGTTTTGATTAAAAATTAAAGGTTTTATCCTAGACTTCTCCTTTTTAAATGACTAAATACTCTTTGTATTATGCATATTTCACACATAAAGTGAGATACATATATAATCATAAGAGCTAGCCAATGTCAAATTTAGATGTGAAGAGAAACCTATTAATGGGTCTGACTTGATTTAAATTAGCCACAGCAAGATCAAACCAATCGGAAGATCACATTCCTTCCATTAAGTACTGATGACTAACTCCCAAGACAAAACACTTCTAAAGCTTGTTCCAAAGAAAGATTACAACTAAATAAGCACCATTAAAAAACATAAATACTGAGCGCTGTGGCTCATGCCTGTAATCCTAGCACTTTGGGAGGCTGAGGCAGGTGGATCGCTTTAGTCCAGGAGTTCAAGAACCAGCCTGGGCAACATGTCAAAACGCTGTCTCTACAAAAAATACAAAAATTAGCTGGGTGTGGTGGCACATGCCTGTAGTCCCAGCTACCTGGGAGGCTGAGGTGGCAGAATAACCTGAGCTTGGGAGGTTGCCGCTACAGTGAGCAGAGATTGCACCACTGCACTCCAGCCTAGATGACAGAGTGAGACCCTGTCTCAAAACAAAACAAAAACAAAAACATAAAACATGCTAAGCACTATAAATTAGGCAAAACTCAATGTAATGAAATAGGAAACATACTACATTCTCCATCCTTTGCCAAGACGTAAATAATAGGAAAAAAAGTGTTCAATGTGGAGAAAATTGCATCTTATAAATAAGGAGAAAGTCTTCAATTAAATAAGGAGAAATATAAAGCTACTTTGTAAGTTTGAAGAATTAAGGTTATTCTTTATAGAAAAATCAAAATTGATTTCCCTCACAATATTCTAAAATGCTATCTTTAGAAAACAGAAACCTGCCATGAAATAAATAAATAAAATTTAAAAAATAAATGGTGTTTTAAAATAGCAACAGAAGGCTGGGCGCGGTGGCTCACGCCTGTAATCCCAGCACTTCAGGAGGCCGAGGCGGGTGGATCACCTAAGGTCAGGAGTTCGAGACCAGCCTGACCAACATGGAGAAACCCCGTCTCTACAAAAAATACAACATTAGCTGGGCGTGGTGGCGCATGCCTGTAATCCCAGCTACTTGGGAGGCTGAGGCAGGAGAATCGCTTGAACCTGGGAGGTGGAGGTTGCGGTGAACCGAGATTGTGCCATTGCACTCCAGCCTGGGCAACAAGAGTGAAACTCCGTCTCAAAAAAAAAAAAAGTTAAAAAAAAAAAATAGCAACGAAAAACAAAGTTTGATTTCCTAAAGCCATTATAAAATTTTTTCAGACTAGCTTTCAACTTGTATTTGTATTACCTTCTATCAATTTGCTGATAACATTTCCTGAGCCATCCCAGACTGGGCATTTTTCTTCGAGTTGTTGCACCATTTAAATAAACTATCATGTAGTTTTCTGCTACTAATAGCTCCAAAGTGCCAATAACATATCTGTAAAAAACAAATTAAGTTTAAGCCTTAAAAATCACTGTGCATAACTGAACTAGGTTCTCTAAATTGTACCATTATACAATTCCTTCCTCTCTCCTACAATGAGAGCAACAATGAAAATGCTCAAACCGCATTAGCTAGTATTACGATTATCTTATTTTTTAGAGATATATTTTGAAATGTTTCTAGGTGAAATGATTTGCTCCTGGGATTTGCTTCAAACTTGTAAACTGGGGGTTAGAAGTGGGAACAAAGTATAAATTGGTAATTGTTGAAGTGACTGATACATGAAGATTTGATATACTTCTCTTTACCCCTGTGTATGTCTGAAACTTTCCACAATACGGTTTTTAAAAACTGCACTAACCTGAGAAATAGAATGACCTTGTGGAAAAAGAACTGATTTGGCTCAATTATATTGGCCTTCTAGGGGTAAATGTAATTTAGCCACATGATTTTGAGACAAAAATCACTTCTTTACACTTAATGTGCCTGCAAATGTTAACATAAAACAGTTGGGACAGGTAAGGCATGGTGGCTTACTTGAGCCCAGGAGTTTGAGACCAACCCTGGCAACATAGTGAGACTCTGTCTCTACCAAAAATTAAGAAGTCAGCAGGATGTGGTGACATGTGCCTGCAGTCCCAGCCACTAGGGAGGCTGAGGTAGGAGGATGGCTTGAGCCCGTGAGGTCAAGGCTGCAGGGAGCCGTAGTTGTACCACTGCACTCCAGCCTGGGTGACAGAGTGAAACTCCATCTCAAAACAAAACGAAACAAAGTTGGAACAAATAATCTGAGATATATTTCCCAGTTTTAAAATGACAATTTTTCTCTTGAATTGGAAAACTATCGTTCCATAATATCAAAGAATAAGGACTCATCTAGTCCTGTATCTAGTAACAAATACTTTTACTTTAACCTTCATTCTGTTGTTCACAAACTTGCACGTGAAAAGATCTGGGATATTTATTTTTCTGAGACAGGGTCTTACTCTGTCACCCAGGGTAGAGTGCAGTGGCAAAATCACAGTTCACTGCAGCTTTGACCTCATGGGCTCAGGTGATACTTCCACCTCAGCCTCCTGAGTAGGTGGGGCTACAGGCCCATACTACCATGCCTGGCTAATTTTTTGATTTTGTAGAGAAAGAGCTTTGTCATATCGCCTAGGCTGGTCTCCAACTCCTGGACTCAAGTGATCTGCCCACTTCAGTCTCCCAAAGAACTGGAATATTTATAATTTTTGAAAAGGTTAAGTTTCTTAAGGTGTAGATCTAATTAGCTCACAATTCTGTCCAAATGTTTTTGTTTAATATATACTTACTTAAAAAGATTGTCCATCAGGTATCTATAGTTAGGCTGACTACTTTCAGGCATGAAACAGACAGCAAACACAACAATGGCATTTAATCCATCCCCATAATATCCTAAAAAAGAAACCAAAGACAGTATCACCAGCACGATTTTACTCTTAGGCATTTTTAGAAGACATCTGTATGATTAGTAAATTATAAATAAGAGTTTACTTTTCACAGATTTCTGTATTAAATGTATGTTTTGTAAATCTTATATGGTCTTATATAGAATTTTAATGTCTTCTTCCCAAAAAGAGAACAGTAAAATTTAAAGAGGACGGTGGACAGAAAAAACAAAAAAACCCAAGACCACTTAAATTCGCATATTTAAAAAGCCAGCCCTATTTTAGCAGGTAGACAAATATAGTGATATAACCCAATACAATACAGACACAATACAATAACTGCAATGTATTTTTATTTATTTCTATGATGCTTATGGTTAAAGTGGGTGCTTTTTTTTTTTTTTTAGATGGAGTCTCGTTCTGTCGTCCAGGCTGGAGGGCAGTGGCACAATCTCGGCTCACTGCAACCTCCGCCTCCTGGCTTCACGCGATTCTCCTGCCTCCCGAGTAGCTGGGATTATAAGCGCACACCACCGTGCCCGGCTAATTTTTTGTGTATTTTTAGTAGAGATGGGGTTTCACTAAGTTGGCCAGACTGGTCTCGAACTCCTGACCTCGTGATCTGCCTGCCTCAGCCTCCCACAGTGCTGGGATTACAGGCGTGAGCCACCGTGCCCGGCAAAGTGGGTGCTTTTTTAAATTTTTTTTTAGAGGATAGCATCTTGCTCCATTGCCCAGGATGGAGTGCAGTGGCGCAATCACAGCTCATGCAGCCTTGAACTTCTGGGCTCAAGGGATCTTCCCACCTCATAGCCTCCAGAGGAGCTGGGGATACAGCGCACACAAACATGCCTGGTTAACCTTTATAAAATTTTTTTTGTAGAGATAGGGTTTCACTGTGTTGCTCAGACTGGTCGTGAACTCCTGGCCTTAAGCAATCCTCCTCCTTTGGCCTCCCAAAGCACTGGGCATGAGCCACATCGCCAGAGCCATAAGTGGGTGATTTTTAAAAGGTAAGTTTATATTTAAAAATGCTAGCATTTTGTAGAAATTAGGACATTAAAACTAAATTAGGCCGGGCGAGGTGGCTCATGCTTGTAATTCCAGCACTTCGGGAGGCTGAGGTGGGCAGATCACTTAAGGCCAGGAATTTTGAGACCAGCCTGGCCAACATGGCGAAACCCCATCTCTACTAAAGATATAAACAATTAGCTGGGTGTGGTGGTGTGCACCTGTAGTCCCAGCTACTCAGGAGGCTGAGGCAGGACAATCATTCAAACCTGGGAGGCGGAGGTTGCAGTGAGTCGAGACTGCACCACTGCACTCCAGCCTGGGCAACAGAGCAAGACTTGGGTCTCAAAAAAAAAACAAAAACAAAAACAAAAAAACAAACTAAATTACATCTCTGACATAATTTTCAGTAATGGAAAACAGCGCTAAAATATGTATGTTTCAACAGCAGTCTTTAGATATTAAGCCAATATTTAGTAGCAAATACTTCTGCTTTAACCTTCATTTCTATTGCTTACAAATTTGCACATGAAAAGATTTGAACATTTCAAGAACATCAGAATCTTCACTACCTTTCTTAATCACTCAGTCACAAAATATATTAAGTGTGGTAATGCAATAAAATAAGGTGGTCTTATTTTCCCCTATAAAAAAAGTGCTATTTCTGAAAGATAAGAGATTTAAGCCATAAATCAGGTCTTATAATTTGATTCCTGTGAACTAGCTGAATAATGTATGTCTGTGGACTTCCTGATGCAGATTACGCCATTTTCTTCATCTGAGTACGATTAAATTAGGCAGAAGAATGCAACTACAAATATTCATGTGATTTGCTTTCAGATGAATGAAGACTGTAGAAATAAGCAGGGGAATGCATCTGGCAGAGAGTAAATCAAGTGGAAATGACCCTGAAAAAAAATCAATCTGCTTGACCCATATGCCCTCCGTCCTGTGTTAGGAGGATTTAAGGTAGTATGACATGCTCTACAGTGAGTTGTGTTCTGACTTACCACTAACATTCTAGCACTATTTACAATGTGCCTAGGTTAACTTCTATATATGGTACTGTTAGATTGAAAGGATTTATAACTTAAACTTTTATGGCTTTTCCTATTTCTTAAGGGCAGGGACTTAAGCCTTGTATTTTTGTATATCCCATAAGTATGGAAAGTGGGTGCTGTATAGAAGTGTGGAGTGAACTAGTTCTCTATTAAAAAATAATTTGGCCTGGGCACTGTGGCTCATGCCTGTAATCCCAGCACTTTGGGAGGCTGAGGCGGGCAGATCACAAGGTCAGGAGTTCGAGACCAGCCTGGCCAATATGGTGAAACCCCGTCTCTACTAAAAATACAAAAATTAGCCAGGCGTGGTGGCGTGCACCTGTAGTCCCACCTACTTGGGAGGCTGAGGCTGGCGTATCGCTTGAGCCTGGGAGGCAGAGGTTGCAGTGAGCCGAGATTGCGCCACTGCACTCCAGCCTGGGTGACAGAATGAGACTCCATCTCAAAAAAAAAAAAAAGAAAAAAAAATTTGTTCACGGTTTTAAGGCAAATTAAGAGTTAAGGTTAAAAAGTCCAAGTTTTAGGGCCGGGCACGGTGGCTCATGCCTGTAATCCCAGCACTTCAGGAGGCTGGGGTGAGCAAATCACGAGGTCAGGTGATCGAGACCATCCTGGCTAACATGGTGAAACCCTTTCTCTACTAAAAATACAAAAAATTAGCTGGGCATGGTGGCGTGCACCTGTAATCCCAGCTACTCGGGAGACTGAGGCAGGAGAATCCCTTGAACCGAGGAGGCAGAGGTTGCAGTGAGCTGTCACGCCACTGCACTCCAGCCTGGGTGACAGAGCAAGACTCTGTCTCAAAACAAAACAAAACAAAAAGAGTCCAAGTTTTACTTATATCCATAAATGACTTCTACAAGAATGTTCAAAGCAGTTTTGTTTATAACAGCCCAAGCTGGAAACAACTCACATGCACATAAAAAAAAACGGATAAGCAAATTATGGTTTATCCAAGCAATGGAAAACTACTCAGCAATAAGAAGGAATGTACTGTGGATACGTGCAACAACATGGATGAATCTCAAAAACTTCATGCTGAAAAGTAAACAAAAGAGTGCATAGGATGATTTTAGTTACTATATATGAAATTCTAGAAGAGGCAAAACTAATCAGGGGGTAGATATGACAGTGGCTACCGAAGCTGAGTATTCATTGCACAGGGGTACTAAATAATTCTTCTGGGACAATGAAAATGTTCTACATTTTTAGGGGTATGGGTTTTATATATATGGGTATATATGGTTATATAGGCATTTGTCAAAACTCATTGAACTGCACACTTAAGATCAGAGCATTTCACTGTTTATAAATTAGGGAGACTGTTCAGTCCCAGTTTTGGGTAGCCTAGAGACAGTTTAAAAAATTTTTTAATTTTGAGACAGGGTCAAAAACCAAAACAAAACAAAAAACTAGAGTGCAGTGGGATGATCACGGCCACTGAAGCCTCATCTTCCCAAGCTCAAGCTCTCTCTCCTCCCACCCCAGCCTCCTAAGTAGCTGGGACTACAGGCATATGCCACCACTCCTGGCTAATTTTATTTATTTTTTTATTTTTTTTATTTTTTTGTGGAGACGAGGTCTATGTTGCCCAAGCTGGTCCTGAACTCCTGGGCTCAAGTAATCCTCCTGCCTCAGCCTCCCAAATTGCTGGGATTACAAACCTGAGCCACCGTGCCCAACCTGACAGTTTTCACTACAAATTCTTTTGTACTTTTTCAACTTACTGTATGCATATAATCATTTTTAAATGGTACTTTTATTCTTTTACTTTAAACCTGTCATGTTTCTAAAATGAATGAGAAATGCTTATTATTCTTTCAAAATTACATAATATCTCTAGGCAGAGTTTCTAAAAGTATTTAGAATTCTGATATTGCATGAAACGGCTAGGGCAGGCGAGCGCAGTGGAGTGCCGCGCGGTGCGGTGCGGGCGGCAGAGTTGGGGTGTCATGGAGGATGAGCGGAGCTTTTCGGATATCTGCGGTGGCCGCCTGGCCCTGCAGCGCCGCTACTACTTCCCTTCCTGCCGGGAATTCTGCCTCAGCTGCCCTGGGCTCTCGCTGCGTTCGCTCACCGCTGTCACCTGCACGGTGTGGCTGGCAGCCTACGGACTCTTCACCCTCTGCGAGAACAGCATGATCCTCTCTGCTGCCATCTTCATCACCCTCTTAGGTCTGCTTGGTTATCTCCATTTTGTGAAGATTGATCAGGAGACTGTTAATCATTGATTCCCTTGGCATTCAGATGACTTCATCTTATGCTTCAGGCTAAGAAAGCACTACCTTCATAGAAATGGGCAAGGTCAAGGATATTGTCATCAATGAGGCTATTTACATGCAGAAGGTGATTTACTACCTCTGCATCTTATTGAAGGATCCAGTGGAACCACATGGGATATCCCAAGTAGTACCCGTCTTCCAGAGTGCCAAGCCCCGGCTGGACTGCTTGACTGAAGTATACAGGAGCTGCCAGGGGATCCTGGCACACCAGAAAGCCACATCAACAAGCCCATGAGCCCCAGCGTTCAGAAGGCCAGCATCGTCTTCCATGGGAGATGACTCTTAAGCCATAAGGGTTGGTTTTCCGTACTCCAAACCATCAGGTGGACACAGTCCTAGGAACCATTATGGATATAGTGCATCTCAGAGCCATAGAGCAGGTGACTGGAAATCTAACTCAGTATATTTCCACGTATTATAGTGTTTTCCTTGTAAGGTTTTGCCTACTTTACCAAAGGAGGGGAGACCTTAAGAATTTTGACACAGTATGTCAAAAGTAATGTCAGCAAAGAACATTGGGAAATTGCTAAGCATGTTCAGGTTTACTTTGTTGATGTTTGTGAAGCAAAACAATGGGAAACTGACATCAGATGTCTTGAGAAAGCTATATTTTCCATTAGTGCCCCTTGTGTAAAGTTACAAAAAAAACAAGCCCTCCAGGAACTGGTTAGCAGGAAGAAATGTCCTACAAAAGACGAGTCTCTCAACCTAGCGCCTGTGTTCTGTACAGGGCTTATTTACTCTTAATAAACAGATATCCTTCCAAAAAAAAAAGAATTCTGATATTGCATTAAACAATCTGAAAAATCCTCAGTAACTCTTACCCCCATGGCTGATAACTTTTTTATAGGGTTCAATTGCCTTCATATCAACCCTGTGGTCCTGTTCTCCAATCCTGAACATACGCCAGCGTCGTCCATCTTCTTTTTCCTCTGCTGCTGTGTATTCAGTAATTGAGCCTTTCCTAATTACTTCAGTAGTCTTGGGTTTTGGAAGATCATCTGTCAAAATACAAAGTTTTTGAATCACAAATTGTTACACAACAAAAATCAAATTATACGTTAACCACTTTACTACCTAGATTTTACAGAGAATTTTCATTATACCATCTGCACAATTTTCAATCTCTCTTCCATAAAGGAGGAAAAGGCTTATTCTTAACATGAGGCTGTTTTATGTCTTTGGAAATCATGGTTCTTTAACTTTTATTGCCCAATTTAGCAAAAACCACCTAATCATAGTGAAACGTGTATCCACAAGTTCAGAAAATATAATTTGTAGAGTCATCAAAATCTTAGTACACTGGCCTTACAATGCCTTTCCAGATTCAACTTGTGACAATATTCTCCCTGGCAGTTATGACTATAGGTTACTTCAAGTAGCTATCTGGGAGCCAATTTTGTTGTTGTTGAGCACATAAATTAACTGTAATACCAGATAGGAAGTGGTTAACTACTCAATGATCACTTCTCATTTGATCAGTTTTATAAAGCAGAAATGTATTTATAATACTTTGAAGTATACATGCAGAAGTCTATTTAAATTAGCATTAGCCAAAGCATAAGCACCAATGATTAAGTGTAATTTATGTTTTGAGATTGCAGTTTAGCTGATTTTCAATGTAGTAATAATTTTCAAAATTTCAGTATTATAGTCCTTACCAAAAGATGGGGGGAGGGGGAAACCTACTGCATGTTAGTTGTTTCCAAGACAAAGCTGTTAACGGAAAATATCCTTCCAGGAAATGACTACAGCAGCATTAAAGAAAGAAGAGACAAAACACATAGGCACAAAACTATTTCAGTATCTTTACAAAGTATTGCTTACTACTGGACTGTTTATTGAACCAGTAAAACAGGGAAGAAAAAAGAAACCAAAAATATAGCATATCACACTTTATTACAGTAAAATACTGAATGCTAAACACTACTATGAAAACAAAATCATTTTCAAGATGGAAAAAAATATGTAAAAATTATAACAACTATATATAAGATACTGTAGACAATTTTGTAATTAAAGAAAGCATGCAAAGTAAAACAGCACAATTCCTTTGAATTACAAGTAATAAGGAATACTAGGTTCGGGGGCTAAAAGTATACATTAATTTAAGTTGGTCATTTCACAAAGTAGAGCAATGTCAGGCAAACCTACTTAAAAAGTCACCCCAAATGCCTCCTTTCAGAACTCCCTTCCCACAAACTGTTAACTATATGTCTCTTCAAAAGTTTCTTACTTGATTGACTAAAAAAGAGCATGCCATAATTATCAAGAAATATTTTTGAAACAGCTATGAAAAAAACATGAGAGCAGTGGGCAAATAAGAGGGGAAAAAAGCCACTGGTGTACTCTATACACACTTTTTAAGTCCTTGAGAATATTCAAGGGTTAGCACAATTTCCTATCTTAGTAACAAATATATGAACTTTAGAAAGAATGATGTATTTCAAACAAAATCCCTTAGTACATTAATAAAGATCAGATTAAAAACAGTGAAACATTTACCTTCCCACTCAAACTCATTACTATTCTCTGACGGTGTGTCTAAGCCATCTAAGTCAATCTCCCCACTTTCATCCAAATCATCTGACAATACAGAGCCATCACTAGGATCCAGTGTCAGGCTAATGTCTGGAGCCATTAGTTTCTTTCTCACTTTATTTCCATTAACTTCTAGTGAGCCTGGAATTGGAAAATAAAGAAAAAGATACGTAACAAGGAATGCTTAGATGCTAAAGTTGAATAAGAAAAATTTTAACTACCCCATTCTTGGGAAAAAATAATATTAATTGAACATAATTTCAAAGCACCTATTCACAAAATTTTTATTCTGATCATTATTGCTTCTACATCGTTGGCAAGAGATCAATAAAGTATCAATGTCTTTTAAATAGAGGCAGACCTTATAGATACCTCTTACCACTAAAAATGATCTCCTCCACCCCTTTACTGTAAAACTTTCCAAAAACCAAGTGTATGTTTTTGGAATTTTTTTTAAAGCATTCTAAAAATGCTTTCCTCAATGTTCAACTTATACTTTGACTTCTATGATGGAATAAAAACTCAAGTTTTTTTTTTTTTTGGACAAAGAAACGTGTTTTAAAAAATAACACAAAGTCCATAATTTCAATGAAAGTAAGTGTCAAGCTCTTACCAGGCTGGTCCTCTGGTCCAGTTATAGCTAGTATATCTGCTTCAATACTATCATCTTCTGGTAAAGGTCTAGAAGACACAGGCATACTTTTTAATCCAGAAATTAAGAAAGAATTTTTTTTTGAAGTTCAATCTATTAAACATACAGCTTATAGAAATAATTATTTGGAAAATGGAATAAAGCAGTGTTGTTGTTTTTGAGACAGGGTCTTGCTGTCTGTCACCTAGGCTGGAATACAATGGCACAATCATGGCTCACTGCAGCCTTAACTCCTGGGCTCAAGAGATCCTCCCGAGTATCTAAGACTACAGGTGCGTGCCACGACGCTTGGCTAATTTTTAGTAGAGACAGGGTCTTGCTATGTTACCCAGGCTGGCCTTGAACTTTTGGGCTCAAACGATTCTCGTGCATTGACCTCCCTAAGTGTTGGGATTACAGGCATGAGCCACTGTGCCCAGCCTAGCAGTGTTTAAGATAAAGTCTCAGCCTTCTGAGTAGCTAGGACTACAGTGGCACACCAACATGCCCAGCTAATTTTAAAAGTTTTTTTGGTAGAGACCGGATATTGCTATGTTGCCCAGGCTGGTCTCAAGCAATCCTTCTGCCTCGGCCTCCCAAAGCACTAGGATTATAGGCGTGACGTGCTATGCCTGGCTACACTTTCAAAGTAAAAATTCTGACTGTCAGAGCTGACTTATACACTTATTATATATAAGTAACACATAAAAGTAGATATAAATTCCTTATGCAACAGCTCTTATACAATTATAAAACATGTAACAATTTTAAACAAATATGACTGAAATGCACAAATATAATGTGATGTATGATGCAATGTATGAAGCTCAATTTTTACTCACGAGACTACAGTAACAATGGTTCAATTCTTCTGAGATCAGCATTCCTATATTTACTATCACCACCATATGCAACAGTGACTCAGGTCTCCGATCAGCTGTCCAACTGCTAAGCTATCCAACTGCTAAGGCACCTGATTATGCACTAGGATGTCTTCTGACAAGTACGGCACGGAAGCACTATTTAAACTTAAGGTCTGCCTTTGCTCTCTTTTTCATTAGCCTACCTGGTGCCAATATAATTGTAAATACAAATGCAAACATGTCAAGGTGGCTGGCCAGATAAGCTAGAAAATCCTTATTAATTTACTTAGTAAGGTTTTTTTTTTTTTGGTGGGGGGGAACCCACAAATTTTTTTTTTTTTTTTTGAGATAGAGCCTTGCTCGGTCGCCCAAGCTGGAGTGCAGCAGCGCGACCTTGGCTCACGGCAACCCCTGCCTCCTGGGTTCAGGTGATTCTTGTGCCTCTGCCTCCTAAGCAGCTGGGACTACAGGCGAGCGCCAAGCCTGGCTAATTTTTTGTATTTTTAGTAGAGACGGGGTTTCACCATGTTGGCCACGTTGGTCTCAAACTCCTGGCCTCAAGTGATCTGCCTATCTCGGCCTCCCAAAGTGCTGGGGTTACAGGCGTGAGCCACCGCACCTGGCCACAAAATTAAAGAAACATTTTAAAGACAACTAAAGACCTCCTTCTCTGAGGAATCCCTCAGATCTTGTTTAAATGAAAACAAAAACAAAACAAAACAAACAAACCACACTAAAACACTTTATTATAAAAGCAAAAATTTGCAAACTTAAGTGACCAAAACAAAAATGAAAGATTATAGAAGATTATATATATACTTGGTTGGAAAGTAAGATACAAGAGAATCAATCTAACTGTTCCGAAGAAACTTTACTTCCTAGTATCAAATGATCGCCTTGTATTACTGAGTTTCTCAGTGACATCTCAGCTGTGCAGTGGCTCACACCTGTAATCCCAGCACTTTGGGAGGCCAAGGCAGGCAGATCACGAGGTCAGGAGTTTGAGACCAGCCTGGCCAATATGGTGAAACACCGTCTCTATTAAAAATACAAAAATTAGCCAGGCGTGGTGGCGCACACCTATAGTCCCAGCTACCTGGGAGGTGGAGGCAGAAGAATTGCTTGAATCCAGGAGGCGGAGGTTGCAGTGAGCTGAGATCGCGCCACTGCACTCCAGCCTGGGCAACAGAGCAAGACTCCGTCTCAAAAAAAAAAAAAGTAACATCTCGATAAAGAAATTTTGAACTTTTGCTCTAAAATTGTTTTCTTTTAAAAGCATTGCTCACATCGGAAAATCTTCATCTTGCCATTCTTCTTTAAGTTCCACACCTTCCATCCTCAGCCTGGATTCAATGTCAACTACAAACTCTTGATAATCCAGGGAGCCAATGTCCTATGAAGAGAGAAAAATGTATAACTTAATTTCCACTTTACTTTTTATCCACTGAAAAGGCGTAATAATCTTATATATTAGTTCATACTTGATGTTTAGTACAATGGTCTGGTCATGAAATTCATTTACAGGGTTGCAATTTTTTTTTTTTTTTAAAGAAAAGAGAATACTCAGACTACATATATTCTGGGAAAGTTAAATACTGTTTATAGTAAGGATACTGTTCAGTGAAAATACTTGTTTTCAGTTGCATGTATAGTATCTCAGGTTATGATTGAAAATATATTTCATACTATGGATTATATTAAAAAATTTGAAGTGGGGTAAGAAATAAAAATGTTCTTTATTACAGACTCATAATTAAATTTTCTGTCCCTTGGATAGAGGTTGATTCTAGACCGTAAATAATAGTAAATCAATAATATTTAAACTCATGATTCAGCAGAGTCAGGTGGTGTGCTGTCTTTCATATTTCCTTCTCAATAGTTTGATGCCACAATTCCTGAGCCACTTAAAGAAGTCTATTCAATAACTTGTCCCGTAAATGAATTATGCAATCTTTTGATTTGTTTCATATCTATACTATGCCCTTCTCATATAGCTCGGCATATGTTTTCAAACACTGAACTTGGTGAATGCCCTTTTATGCAACTACGTATTTTAACATATGCCATGAACTTTAGTTTTAGTTTTTCCAAGGAATCACGTGAGTCCAATATCCTCATTTTAAAAGTAAGAAATCTAGAGATACTCCCTCTGGTGATGGAGTAAGAAATAGAAGTTGAGGTAAGGTAAAGATCAACTGGTTAACAATGCAACAAAACAGTGAAAACTATAGAAGGAAAGAGGTATACACGAGTATTTAGTTCATTTACATTCAAGTCAATAGATGTCTAAAGTTATTCAACAAACAGCAGTAACATATTTCTGTTCTTTTCTTTTCTTTTTGCAGTAACATATTTAAGAGATACGGAGCATCACTAGCAGTACTAAAAATAAAGTTAAAAGTCGTTGACACTAGGCCGGGCGCGGTGGCTCACGCCTGTAATCCTAGCACTTTGGGAGGCCGAGGTGGGCGGATCACTTGAGGTCAGGAGTTCAAAACCAGCCTGGCCAACACGGTGAAACCCAGTCTCTACTAAAAATACAAAAACATTAGCCGGATGTGGTGGCAGGCGCCTGTAATCCCAGCTACTTGGGAGGCTGAGGCAGGAGAATCGCTTGAACCTGGGAGGTGGAGGTTGCAGCGAGCCGAGGTCACACCATTGCACTCCAGTCTGGGTGACAGAGCAAAACCAGTAGCAGAGGAAAGAGGGTGAAATGCAGAAAATGACTAATGCTTTTCATAGTAAGTCCGTCTATACCATTTGATTTTTAAAACAATACTATCTGTGACTTTAAAAGATATTTATTAAATAAAATCAATTATGTCAGCCATTCACATCAACCAGTCTTCTAAAAGAAAAATGTGGTCATGTCCTATAGCTATCTTATCTGCTACGTCAACATTCAAAAGATGCACAAAGTTACAAAGAAAAAAGCCTTATGTTCCGTAATGACAAAATTACAATGGAAATATCCTGAAGTGTTAGATTTCACAAGGTAAACTAAATTTGTATCTCTGCCAAGGCTGGAAGACTCTCTTCCCAGTTTGAATTTTTACTTACCCTCAAGAGAAGGTTTTAAACATTCCCAAAAGGTTTCAATGTTTGATGATACACTTGTTACCACAGAAAAAAAATGGTAGATGCTGACTTTTCCACACCAACTTATTTGCTTGAAAAAGTCATTTACATATAGGAGTAAGGTTTTTAATTCTCTGGGAAAACAATGATCTAGGCAGTTTTTATAAGTTAATGAAAAACATTTAAAATAATCTTTACTTATTTAGCACTTTCTCTGTTGGGAGGGAAAAATAAACAAAAAGAGGGACACCTACCTTACCAAACAATCCCCTCTGTTTAGAACAGAAATAGTAGAAAGGAGCCCACAATTACAATCAACAAGCCCAAATGGTGAAAATACTTACTACTCTAGAATTACAATGCTCAAGTGAGACCAAAGCATGCTATGACTAAAGGCTGAAAACTGGTAAGTCTTTTCTAGATGTTTAATTTACTGTATTTCCCAATGTTTAACTTTTCTTAAGTCTTTGGTACTCACTCTAAAGCGAATGATGTATTTTCCTAAATTCAATAATCAGAAAAGCTTTCTATTATCTTGTCGTACCTTTTTATTGTGTGTTGAAAAACACACCAGGATGTTGTCTGGGTGTCTTTTTCAAATATCTCAAATACTCAGAAAAATATTTAGCATTTCAAAAATAAAAGCAGAAACTGAAAGTTGTACCCAATATATTCCCAACACCTACCATGGTGCCTAGCACATAACAGGCCTATAAAAATTAAGTAAATAATACTTACCTGTAGGGTATGGACACTGGTCAGCAAACCTTTGCTCAATCTCTTAGGCTTATTTTGCTTATTAAACTACATGAATAGGATTTGTCATGTGTTACCCCATAAAAATGTAACAAAAATATTCTGTGGGAAACTACACACCAGCAATATTAATTTCTATTTGTAAAATTGTTCCTCACTGGTAAGAGGAAAGGTTTATCTTGGGAAATTCTAGAAGACAATCCATTCCTTTCAGCTGCTTAACCAATGGAACAAGTTTGTCTCTGTGAAAACAGCTCCTTGAGGCCGGACGTGGTGGCTCACACCTGTAATCCCAGCACTTTGGGAGGCTGAGGTGGGCGGATCACCTGAGGTCAGGAGTTTGAGACCAGCCTGACCAAGATGGTGATACCCCGTTTCCACAAAAAATACAAAAAATCAGCCAGGCGTGGTGGCGCCTGCCTGTAATCCCAGCTACTATGGAGGCTAAGGCAGGAGAATCGCTGGAACCCCAGAGGTGAAGGTTGCAGTGAGCTGAGATTGCACCACTGCACTACAGCCTGGGTGACAAAGGGAGACTCTGTCTCAAAAAACAAAACAAAACAAACAACAACAAAAACTAAATAGCTCCTCGAAACACAGGCAGCCCAAGTCTTTCAGCTATCTCAGCCTATTTATTCCATTTTTACCTTAATATCATATTGAATCATGTGTTAATACCTCAGCACATAGACATGGATATTTAGTTTGAGGATAATCAATTATCTAGTTAAACAGAACTTGGGGAGAGAGATATAGATAGATTTACTCTACCATTTCATCATGAATTTTAGGGGAAAAGTACACTAGGTAGATCAAAACAATTTAAACAATTGAGGGAGTACTGTTTCTTGGAAGCACTTTATCATCAAACAGCTGTTAAGAACAGGAAACAAACAAGAAAGGAGTTAATATAACCACAACCTCTTCGAAGAAAATCAGGATACTGCTGACTCACAAGTTAACTGTTGTTGCTTCCCATTTCTTGTTCATGTATTTTTTTTTGGAAATTAGAATGGGAAATAACACTTTAAGATGATATTTGTTAAAATAACCTGTTGGCACAGGAATAACTTGATTTCTCAATAGATTGACTCTTGGTAGTGGTGGCACATCCTTATGCCACTTACTTGTTGCAGTCATAAAGATAAATTCAAAACAGTTGTTGACCTTAGGTTAAAAATCAAAGAGATAATTGATTCCTTCTGACATAGCTTCAAGGGGGAGGAGTACTGGTAAATCCAACCAGGATGAAGCAGCTTTCCCCAGGCAGTTTAGCAACATAAGCAAAAATTAAATGTTAAGATCACATTTAGGCCAGGCTCAGTGGCTCACTCCTGTAATCCTAACACCTTTGGAGGACAAGGTGGGAAGATGGTTTAAGCCCAGAAGTTCAAGCCTAGCTTGGGCAACACAGTGAGATCTGTCTCTACAATTTTTTTTAAGATCGCATTAGAACTGTTTAGATTATAACACAATTTTACACAGTGATTTTACTATATGCAGTTTAATACTGGTGCTGCAATAGGTGCCAGTAATGACCGTTTATGCGGAAATCAATTACAGTAGGCAGATGGAAACGCCCGGGCAAGCCTTTCACTTCCCCATTTAAACAAAAAGGTTTCATTCTAAACATTTATGTTCACTTTTTAACCAACAGCCTGTATGTTTAGGAGATCACCAAACATGCTTGAAAAAATCCTAGACATGTGCTTGTCATTGCTCCCATGAGGGTAGTTTTCAAACAATGAAATGAACTGCTCTATCAGAAATGTTAACACAAGCCGGGCATGGTGGCTCACACCTGTAATCCCAACACTTTGGGAGGCTGAGGCGGACGGATCACCTGACGTCAGGAGTTCAAGACCAGCCTGGCCAACATGGTGAAACCCCATCTCTACCAAAAATACAAAAATTAGCCAGGAGTGGTGGCACTGGCCTGTAATCCAAGCGATCAGGGAGGCTGAGGCAGGAGAATCGCTTGAACCTGGGAGGCAGAGGTTGCAGTGAGCCGAGATTGCGCCATTGCATTCCAGCCTGGGTGACAGAGCGAGACTGCATCTCAAAAAAGCTAAATAAAATAAAATAAATGTTAACACAAAATTTAGAGGAAAAACTAGAATGGTGCTGAGTTCTCTCGAAATTGTGAAAATAAATCAAAAGATGACTGTGCCACCTACAAAAGTTACATTTATTGTCACTATGCGGAACACACTTGAAAATGCTGAGATCTTTAAAAAGATAATCTACTAACTGATGTCTCAGTTTGTTGTAGTTAGAAATATTAGTTGCAATATAAAACTATAATCGTGGAATATTACTATCACCACATTATACTAGTATTCTGCTTTATAGGATGTAAACTTACTTCATAGGATGTAACATGACATCTTTTCATCCTTTTTTTTTTTTTTTTTGAGACGGAGTCTCACTCTGTCGCCCAGGCTGGAGTGCAGTGCTGCAATCTCGGCTCGCTACAACCTCCACCTCCCAGGTTCAAGTGATTCTTGTGCCTCAGTCTCCCGAGTAGCTGGGATTGCAGGCACGAGCGACCATGCCTGGCTAATTTTTGTATTTTTAGTAGAGATGGGGTTTCATAACGTTGGCCAGGTTTGTCTCATCTCATTGCTTTATCATTTTTTGCTCCTGACCTCAGGTGATCCGCCCACCTTGGCCACCCAAAGTAACAAGACATCTTTCAATCTATCAGCCCGGTAACTTACTAGATCTGGTTACATATACTTTCTCTGACACCTTCCTCCCTATTGTTCCTTCTACCAGCATTACTCCAGATAGAATGAACAGAACTTTTCCAGAGTGCTTTTCACATTTACTAACCACTTTTACATCCATCATCTCATGTTCCAACCAGCAACTTTGGGATGCATGACACTTGTGTTATCATCATTTTATCTTATATATGAGGCAATGACACTACATCCTGGTCCCCATATCTAGTCCGGAACTGTTTCTAATACAGCACACCGTCTCCAGTGCACTGGCAATTTTATACAGAAGAAGCCTGTAATGCCTGATTTGGCCGCACTTAGCTTCAAAGGGCTTGTAATGCCTGAAGACCATAATAGCACTGACTTATGATAATCTAGTTCAAGTTCCGTTTGCAGAAGTGGATCTGTCATACTTCCGGTCTAAGCCCAGCAGTATTAGGCTGCACTAGAGAATATGAAGACTAGGAATAGAGTTTAGAGAAAATGTAAACCAAAAAGAACTAAGAATATGTGCAAAATGATCAAGAAACTAGTCTGCAGGGGTAACTTAATTGGGTAAGGTCAGTTGTAACTTTGAGGAAACATCCATTTACAAATTACAGAATTTGTTTCTACAATTGCAGAGATTCCTATAAAATGTTAGAAAAACTACATTTAATTGAAAATACGAAATCAGGTATTAGGTGAAATAGAGATCCTAATCAAGAGAAGGTGAGAATGAAAAAAGCAACACTAAAATGCAATCACATAGTTTATTCAATTAAATAAATAGGAGGCACCGTAACTATCTTGATGCAACACCGGAAAAGCTGTTTCGTCAAAGAGCTCACAAGACACAGACAAGTAACTCTCCAGCGGCATGAAATGCATCCAGAAATCCAAACCATTTTGCCAGGTATTTAAACAGAAAGGGTTGTGTCTAGATTCACGCGGGGACTCGGCTTTTGACGTACACACTCTGTATTTGGTTTAGCGTACTAGGGAAGATCTATTAAAGCCCTGATTACTTATGCTGCTTCCGTGTCTATTCCCCGCGGTTACGAGGCATACCAGAAGTCCAAGTTTCTTTGTTCTGTACCAGGACGGACGCTGGTCATAAATACTGAACCATCGTAGCCCAGCCACTTCACCCACACCAGGGTAAAAGGGTGGGGGAGCGGAGGAGGGGCAAGGTTCCATCCCGAGCACAACTACCAGAAACGGAAAAGCGACGGGGTGGGGGGCCAAACTGCCAAATACAAACAGGACCCAAGCCAAGGGCGGGGACCTAAGCAGGGCGGGGATCCAGGAAGCACCTCCCGAGCAGGTTCTATGGCTCCCCCTACCAAGGGTAACTCTCTGGGTTTCCTCTCCCCGGACGTCGTGGGCACGCGCCCGACAGACTTTCGCCCCTAGGCCGGTTCCCAGTCCAGCTCCGGAGCCACCGTGCCGAGTTCTCCCAGGCCGCACTCACCCCGGAGGAAGCCTTGGCCCCCTCGTCCTCTTCGCCCCTCCAGGCCGGCGACGTGGGGCTGACGGCCAGGTCGCAAAAAGCAGGGCCGAGCGGAGCCCGCTCCCCTCGGTCGGCGGTGGAGACCCCGGCCCAATCCCCCGGCCGCAGCGGTACGGCGTCGGCGGCAGCAGCTGACCCGGACACAGTGAGAAGCCCCGGCGGAAGTGATAACATCCCGACCTCCTCCGGGCGCGGCAGCCGGCGGTGGAGGCGGCGGGGGCGTGGCGGCGGCGGAGGCGTGGCGTCTTCTTGAAACCCACACAGCATCCCCCCAACCCCCTCAGACGTCACGGGCTAGCGCTCGCGCCTGCACTCGCGGGGTCGGCCTTCCTTGCCTGTGGGCGGACCCGTCGCGTCGACTCCTTATTGGTGGCGTTACTACGCCTCAAGGCGTTTCTTCCCTCTTTGCTGTTCGCAGGGACGCTGCCTGGTAGTTTCAGTTACTTTTGTTTTCTTTCTGCCTGCCTTTATTGATCATTACAGTAGGTGAAATTATCGATATCAATAATAATATTGTAATACAATAGGTGCAATTATCAATATCAATATTATTACAACAGGTGCAATTATCAGTATCATTACAATAGGTGCAATTATCAGCGATCAATAATGTGAATTATAAAATGGATGAAATAAGGGGAGGAGGTCGGGCGCGGTGGTTTACGCTTGTAATCCCAGCACTTTGGGAGGGCGAGGCGGGTGGATTACCGGAGGTCAAGAGCTCGAGACCAGCCTGGCCAACATGGTGACACCTCGTCTCTACTAAACAAACAAAAATTAGCTGGGCGTGGTGGCGCGCGTCTGTAATCCCAACTACTCAGGAGGCGAGGGCGGAGGCGGAGGCGGAGTTGGAGTTTGCAGTGAGCCGAGATCGTGCCATTGCACTCCAGCTTGGGCAACAGAGCAAAAACTCCGTCTCAAATAAAAGGAAAAAGGAAAAAAAAAAAAAAAGAAAAAGAAAAAAAAGAAATAAGGCGAGGAAAAATATCCGAGGCATCATTTTGGGGAGTTAGGCCTCAGAAGCGACCTTAGAGTTTGGTAATATTTGAGTGTGAAAAGCTTTACAGCAGTGCTTCTCTTCACTGGGGGAACGGTCGGTTTATTTTTTTCAATTTTCAATTAGTTTTTGACAAGTTAATAAAACAGAAAAATGAAAAGACATACAAAGTCCAAGTCAAAACTTTTTATCGTTAGAGTTAACAGCCATAAAATTACCTGCAAAATTGACATAGAGTTTTCTACTCTCTCTCTGTGAACCATTTGCAAACAGTTCTCAGAAGAGCCCAGGTCTATAGACCATGGTTAGAGTACTCAAGGTAAACTACTCAAATTAGACCATACTCAGCTGTAGAGTTTCAACCAAATGAGATTTGTTTGGAGAACATCATAGTCTCTCTCAGTTGGGCGTGCTGGCTCATGACTGTAATCCCAGCACTTTGAGAGGCCGAGTCGGTAGATCGCCAGACCTCAGGGCAACATGGCGAGACCCCATCTCTTAAAAAAAAAAAAAAAAAAAGAGACAGAGAAAGAAAGAAAGAAAAAGAAGCAAAGAGAAAGAAAGGAAGAAAGAAAGAAAAGAAGAAAATTAGGTGGGCTTGGTGGCATGCACCTGTGGTCCCAGCCACTTGGGAGGCTGAGGTGGGAGACTCTCTGGAGCCTGGCAGGCGGCGGTTGTAGTGAGCCAAGATCGCGCCACTCCACTCCAGCCTGGGTGACAGCGAAACCCTGTCTTAAAAAAAAAAAAAAGTCCCTTTCCAAAGTTTCATCTGATAAATCCATAGAAAGGCTCAGCATCAAGTATTTGGGTGATTCCATTGGGGTACGATCAGGCCTGAGGGGAACAGAAAAGCTCAAAATTTTAAATCATTGACTAAAAATGCAGCATTCTGCCTGGATTTCACATTGCTTTGGCAACATTTACCCACCATTGGTAGATTAAAGTCCGTCTCTTTGATAAAATGGGAAGAAAATAGTACCTACCTTATAGGGTTTTTGTGAGATGAATTCATATATATGTATTAGGACCTTGGTTGTCATATTGTAATCACATTTAAGTATTAGGTATTCTTTTTATCCTAGTCTAGCAATTTCACTAAATAGCTAGTAGAGAAAACAAAACTGATCAACAGAGCTTTAGCTAAACAACTACTTGGGCCAAGAAATTTCATCTTGATTTACAGAAGTTTTTGTAGTTTCATACTTTGCTTCTTCAGTTCTGCAATGTGCAGAATTCCCCACAGGGTGGCAGAAAATCACTGGAAATCATATATAGTTATGTGATTTCTTTTTTTTAAGATCTTCAGTTCCTTCTTCATTTTAGTAACTTTATTATTTAATAAGCTTGATCAGTGTTTGCTTTGGTTTCGAGTAAGCCATCCTATTACTTATCTTTTTATCCCTATCTTGTTAATTATCCATACTTATTGTTGAAACATTACAAACTACAAGTAAGCCAAAAAGATAATTATTATTAACATATTTATGTATAGCCTTTCAGATTATATATATATATATATTCACACACATATATATTTTATGTATAAATTGCACATATAAGTCTTTATAAAAATCAGATAATGTACTTAGTGGTTTATAATCTCCATTTTCTTCTTTTCATTTAAAATATGAGCTGGGTGCAGTGGCTCACACCTGTAATCCCAGCACTTTGGGAGGCTGAGGTGGGTGGATCACCCGAGGTCAGGAGTTCGAGACCAGCCTGGCCAACGTGGAGAAACCACGTCTCTACTAAAATTACAAATATCAGCTGGGTATGGTGGTGGGCACCTGTAATCCCAGCTGCTTGGGGGTGCTGAGGTAGGAGAATCACGTGAACTCAGGAGGTGGAGGTTGCAGTGAGCCAAAATCACACCATGCACTCTAGCTTGGGCAACAGAGTGAGACTGTGTCTCAAAAATAAATAAATAAATAAAAATACAGATTCTGAGGCTTCACCCTCTACAGTCTATGGAAAGATATGGGAATCTATATTATAAAAATAAATAATTAAAATATATTATGAACTCTTTTTCAAGTCAATAAATACATTCCAATGCTATTATTTTCATTATGGATAATGTATATATTAAACAATCCTTTATTGAACTTTTAGATTGTTCCTTTTTTTTTTTTCTTTTGAGACAGGGTCTCACTTTGTTGCCAGGCTGGAGTGCAGTGGCATGGTCTCAGCTCACTGCAGCCTCCACTTTTTGATTTAAGTGATTCTCGTGCCTCAGCCTCTGGAGTAGCTGGGATTATAGGCATGTGCCACCATGTCTAAGTTGTGTACTTTTGGAGAGACAGGTTTTTGCCATGTTGCCCGGGGTTGTCCTGAACTCCTGGCCTCAAGTGAACTCCTGCCCACCTTGGCCTCCCAAAATGCTGGGAATACAGGTGTGAGCCACCACGCCCGGCCTTGTTCAATTTTTTTTTTTTTTTTTTTTTTTGAGATGGAGTCTCACTCTGTCGCCCTGGCTGGAGTGCAGTGGTGCGATCTCGGCTCACTGCAATCTCTGCCTCCCGGGTTGAAGTGATTCTCCTGCCTCAGCCTCTCAAGTAGCTGGGATTACAGGCATGCACCACCACGCCTGGCTAATTTTTGTGTAGTAGCGACAGGGTTTCACCATGTTGGTCAAGCTAGTCTTGAACTCCTGACCTCAGGCAATCCTCCCGCCTTGGCCTCCCAAAGCGCTGGACAACACTTCATAGGTGTTCAAAAAGTCAGAAACATAGGACTAATTTATTTTCAAACAATGTATTAGTAACATTTCGAAATAATATTGCTCAATATATTTTCCTTTGACTTCCACATACTGTCTTAGGTAAGTGTCTCTAAAGAAATAAATGGAATTGTTAATCCAAAATACGATGTTAAATATACACTGTAGGCCAGGCGTGGTGCTCACGCCTGTAATCCCAGCACTTTGGGAGGCTGAGGTGGACGGATCACCTGAGGTCTGGAGTTGGAGACCAGGCTGGCCAACATGGTGAAACCCCACCTCTACTAAAAATACAAAATTTAGCTGGGTGTGGTGGCACACATCTGTAATCCCAGCTACTTGGAAGGCTGAAGCAGGGAAATCGGTTGAACCTGGGAGGTGGACGTTTCAGTGAGCCGAGGTCGCGCAACTGAACTCCAGCCTGGATGACAGAGCGAGACTCTGTCTCAAAAAACAAACAAACAAAAAAACCCACTGTATTCCCTGTGTTTCCAGACTTTTTGGACAAGATTTAGGGTATTTTTACAATTACTTATTGTTTCCTTGAATAGGCAGATATTTAAGCTCTTAAAAATTGGGGAAAAATTCCGTGGAAAAAAAAGCATGGCTTCCAGCCCTTATGCCCTACATAGCAGGTAACACTTGGAGAGTGATACATTAGCTCAGAGCCATGGTCAGCCTTTTCTTGTGTAGTTTTTGGTGTTATGTTTAAATAGGCATTCCTCACACTAAAATTGTATAGTCACTGTTGTTTTCTTTTTCTTTTTTTTTTGAGACGGAGTCTCGCTCTGTCGCCCAGGCTGGAGTGCAGTGGCGTGATCTCGGCTCACTGCAACCTCCATCTCCTGGGTTCAAGCAATTATCTGCCTCAGCCTCCCAAGTAGCTGGGATTATAGGTGCCTGCCACCACGCCCAGCTAATTTTTATATTTTTAGTGGAGACAGGGTTTCACCATTTTGGCCAGGTTGATCTTGAACTCCTGACCTCGTGATCCGCCCGCCTCAGCCTCCCAAAGTGCTGGGATTACAGTGAGCCACTGCGCCCGGCCCATCACTGTTGTTTTCTTCTGGTGGTCTTATAGTTTCTTTTTCTTTTTTCTTTTCTTTTTTTTTTTACATATGAATATTAAATCCAATTGGCATTTTGTGTATGTGCTTATGATATGAATAGGGAGTCTGACTTTACTAAACTGACTAAAGAGTTTGTGTAAAAGCATTTATTGAATAATCCAGTAATTCTTGAACTCACCTAGGACTCAGTCAAATGAATGTTTACTTTCAAAGTTGTCATTTTAGATTACCCACTTCTTTCAAGTATCCATTCATTTGATACATCTTTATTTACTTATTTAAATATTTATTTAGAAATGGGGTCTTGCTATTTTACCTAGGCTGGTCTCGAACTCCTGGCCTCAAGCAATCCTCCTGCCTCAGCCTCTCGAAGTGCTCTGCCATGCCCGCTTGAGATATATATATATATATGTTCTGAGACAGGGTTTCACTCTGCCATCTAGGCTGGAGTGCAGTGGCACGATCTTGGCTCACTGCAACCTTCGCCTTCTGGGTTTGTGCCTCAGCCATCAGAGTAGCAGGACTATAGGCGTGTGCCACCACACCCGGCTAATCTTTTTACTTTCATTTTTTAGTAGAGACAGGGTTTCGCCATGTTGACCAGGCTGGTCTCCAACTCCTGACCTTAAGTGATCTGCCTGCTTCAGCCTCTCAAATTGCTGGGATTACAGGTGGGAGCCACCACACCTGGCCAGTAAATCTTTATTGAACAATATCATAAATCAATGCTGTTGGGCCCCGAGGATGCAGGAAAAAAAAAGACATAGTATCTGCATTCAAAGAGCTTATCAACTGGTTAGGGAGAGGAGCAATGAAGACAATAAACAATTTGGTGGATTGAGGTGACCTTGGTACTTTTAAGGTGCAGCTAAATTGAAGGGAGCTAAACAGATTAGAGAGTGGGAGATAAAGGCAGTAGAGGTTTTCTGAATGAGGAGATCTTGAGCTTAGTAACAAGAGGATGATCTTTCTGGCAGAGGGAATTGGAATATGCAGATTCACAGAGGCTTCTAGGAACTGCAGTGTTCAGCATGACCAGAGCACAAGCAATGGGAGAAGGGGTGGCTGTAAATAGCCCTTAACAAAAAGGAAGTAGTCAAAGGCCAGATTAAAAAGGGATTTTTTTTAATGGTAAGGATTTATTTGTAGCCAATATAATGAGCAATGTGGAAAAGGAATCATCTATTAATTTATAATCGAATTCCAAAAGAAGAGATTGAAAGGTATCCTGCACAGTGGCAGCAGCGTTAGGATGAGTCCTCCTAAGACAACGAACTTTGAGAAAGGCAGCACTCATTTGAATATATGCTTCAGTATGTGTTAAAAGCATTTATGATACTTTGTCACACTTTGTACATTAAAATAAAAGTGCTCAGCCAACATAGACTTGGAAGAGGTGTTGAGCCTGTGCCGAGAGTGGTGGATAGTGATGAAAGGCTGAAGGCATGGACATGATGGCTAGACGGGGAGGCAGAAGACACCATCTGACCTATGCTAACAGGGAGTGATGTATCAGACTGATGAGAACAGGCCCTCTGACAACTTCTTGAAAGAATGATAATAGGCCAGGTGTGGTGGCTCGCACCTGTAATCTCAGCACTTTGGGAGGCCGAGGTGGGCGGATCATGAGGTCAAGAAATTGAGATCATCCTGGCCAAAATGGTGAGACCCTGTCTCTAAAAATACAAAAATTAGCTGGGCGTGGTGGTGCGTGCCTGTAATCCCAACTACTTGGGAGGCTGAGGCAGGAGAATTGCTTGAACCTGGGAGGCGGAGGTTGCAGTGAGCTGAGATCATGCCACTGTACTCCAGCCTGGGTGACAGAGTGAGACTCTGTGTCAAAAAAGAAAAAGAAAAAAAAAAAAGAATGATAACAGTGTTCAGGGTGAGTGGTGGAGCGGCTTTTCTCTGGGAAGCTCTCTCTATTATTAGGCACATGGTTTCCACAGAGAAGGATCATGTGTAGCCTGGGAATTAGTAATTACTCCTCCGGTCCCCCACTCCCCAGATTTCCTTTTTTTGTTTGTAATTATTCTGTATTGGGATACATTTTGTATCCTGTTTCCCTACTCCATCTGGCCCACTCTGCCATGAAGTGTGAGAGTCTTGTGCTAAGTTCTGTTCAGCACACAGATTCTTGGGTAGCTTTTTTTCTGCTTCTTTGTGCTTTGCTATTCCCACTGCTCATCATTCCTCCTTTCATCAAACCAGCCTCATAGCATCTCCCAACAGATGGAGAATTTGGGTATGCTATTACCCTGTACTAACAGGGCATGTTGTATTCCTTCAAATAATTTTTGTAAATAATTAAAAGCATTTCCTCACACAGTCTTCCTCTGAATGTTTCTCATAATTCCTACCTTACAGATGGCACAATGAAGGTATCTATTAGAATGGGAAAGTTCCTCACACAGCTGTTGCCATCCCATGTGACACTTTTCTGTAGATTAGCCAAGGAATCTCTTCTGGCTAATGGAGAAGCCTTTAGAATGGGCTGAGCCCTTCCGGTTCAGCTCAACAACCTTGCCCCAAGGAGCTGATAAAGCTCCTTGGTGTCTTGAGCTGATAAAGCTCAATAGACGTCTTTGTTCAAATTTTCAAAAGCTAGGCCTCCCGCCTGGGCAGGTGGAGCCTTGCTCCAGAGCATGTGGCTTGATAAATAGAATGTTCCCTCAGCTGAGTCCTGTGTGTAGGCCACAACCTGCTCAGCTGGACAGACTGGCCCTGGTTCCCCACCAAGGTCTTGGAATCGCATGTAATTATTTTCCCTATAATAAGACTTCCTTGGGCCGGGGTTTACGTTTGTAATCCCAGCACTTTGGGAGGCCGAGGCTGGCGGATCACTTGAGATTAGGAGTCCCAGATGAACCTGTTCCAGACGGCGAAACTCCATCTCCACTAAAAACACACACACAAAATTAGCCCTGTTTGGTGGCTCATGCCTGTAATCCCAGCTACTGGTGAGGCTGAGGCAGGAGAATCGCTTGAATCCAGGAGACGGAGGTTGCAGTGAGCCGAGATCGCTCAATGCACTCCAGCCTGGACGTCAGACCGAGACCCTGTCTCAAAAAAAAAAAAAAAAAAAAAAAAGACTCCTTTATTGTTCTGTCGATAAAGCATCTTTGGAGGATTGGATCTCTACATGAAGATTCTGTTTCTAGATACATTTACATATGCTACTTAATGATGTTCACTAGAACTGCTTCCCAGCACCCAAGCCAACCTTGGACTAGAAGATGAGAGAGGATGAAGAAGATATTTGAGACGATGCTTAGGAAATGCTTGTGTAATTTCAAATTTTAGAAGATAAAAGATACATTGCACAAAACTCGCATGCTGCTTTACTTTTCACTGTAGGATTTTATAGACAGATTGTTATTCTCACTTACAAGCATATAAATTCAGTGATGTTTGGCAGCTTGCTCATAATTTTCAAAAAAAACATGAAGTAACCTTTTTACATGGGCTGAAGATGTCTTTGCTGGTTAAGCTTGAGGGTAAAACTGGATAAAATTATATATTCATTTAATAATTCATAACTTGAGTTGAAATGAATGTGTATATATTTTTCACTTGTTCACTTTATAAAATTCAAAACTAAACCCAGCAGCAGTTTTGTCTTTGGCATGGTGACAAGTTTCCTTTCTACAGTGAACCAGTCAAAGAAATTGTTCCAGAGAGAATTTGTGCTTCCCAATTTCAGAAAATCAAATTGGACTGTACACAATTACACATCACCGTTGTGTGATGCTTCCACATCCCAGAGTGTGCAAGAGAGAAGTAGCAATATACATTTCTAGGAAATACTTCCATCCGGCTGGGCGCAGTGGCTCACGCTTGTAATCCCGGCACTTTGGGAGGCCTGAGGTTGAGAGTTTGAGACCAGTCTGACCAACATGGAAAAACCCTGTCTCTACTAAAAATACAAAAAAATTAGCCGGGCATGCTGGTGCATGCCTGTATTCCCAGCTACTCGGGATGCTGAGGCAGGAGAATCGCTTGAACCTGGGAGACAGAGGTTGCGGTGAGCTAAGATTGTGCCATTGCACTTCAGCCTGGGCAACAAGAGTGGAACTCCATTTCAAAAAAATAAAAAAGAAATACTTCCATATACAATTAGATTATAGCCATTCAAGGGAAAAACTAGGCTTAGTTGTCAGAGGATTTTATTGCACAGAACTTTAGAGATTCAACTCATTCAAAGAAATAGCTAGGTTATAATTTGCAGTGAAGTGAGACTGAGCGTTCAGATATGGACATAGTCGTGTTTGCTGAGGAGGAGGGGGTGTGCATTTCATCCAACAGAAGTTGAGAAAGGCTGACACTAGCTTAAATGACTCATCAAAACCAATAGTGTGAAGAAATTGTTTTTTTTTTTTTTTTTTTTTGAGACAGGGTCTCACTCTGTCACCCAGGCTGGAGTGCAATGGCACAATCTCAGCTCACTGCAACCTCCGCCTCCCAGGTTCAAGCAATTCTCCTGCATCAGCCTCCCGAGTAGCTGGGACTACAGGCACGCCACTGCGTCAGGCTAATTTTTGTATTTTTAGTGGAGATGGGGTTTCACCAAGTTGGCCAGGCTGGCCTGGAACTCCTGTTCTCAGGTAATCAGCCCACCTCGGCCTCCCAAAGTGCTGGGATTACAGGTGTGAGCCACCGCGCCTGGCCAGTGTGAAGAAATCTTAAGAGTTCATATTCAAGTCCTTTGTGAGGATATTTCTGCAGTCATAAAAACTTACAAATATGAGTTTAAAATTATCTGAGGATATACATTTTATATTATAAAATCATAAACTTTGGCAAAATCATAGCAACCACTTGGTTACTATCATGGTCGCCATTTGGAAAGTAGCTGATGGACAGTGATGCATGTACACTGAATCCTCTACACTGAATAGTATACAAGATCTTCTACACTCAACAGGGGTCATTACAAAAATGATTCTTCACTGAAATAATTAATGCTCTTGCAAAAGTATTAATACATAGTATCTGCATGCTTGGTTTATAATTAAAGTAAAGATTAATCTTGATGAGGGAAGTAGATTTCGCTCTTTCTTCTGTTCTTCAGGATATGAAATGTTAGTAACACTGTGATCAACTATATTTAGAAAAACATGAATAAGCAATAGCCTCCAATTAGAAAAAAGCAGTTTGTTTGATTGATTGATAATTTTAGTAGTGATAATGTTTTTTAAATTATTTTTGGGGTGGGTAAGTGGAAGTAAGAATTGATCAACTAAAGCTAACTGTTTTGCGGTCAGTTTCAGTCTCCTTATCCAGATTAACACAAAATTAGATATAACACTGTCCTTCATCAAAGCATTAATCATTCATTCTGCATCTTTAGAGTCAAAGTGCAATCTTATTTGTTTAGAGAAAACAAATGCATTTCAAAATACACAAGTAATTGTTGGGTCAATTGGAAATTTTATTACATTTAACAAAACAAAGCACTGATATGGCTCTATGTAAGGCACATGCATTTTTATTTAATACAAATATAAAAATTAAAAGGTGGCATCTAATTCACTGTTGCAATGGGTAAATGTTCTACAAGTATATTTCCAAAAATAGTTTACATCCTAAAAGTAACTTACTCAGCTGAGAGAATCTAGGTTATTGTTTGTATTTTGAAACATGGGAACTCTGTAAATTGATAAAAATGTACTGAGTTTTAAAAATGAATTTCAGTATAACTGAGAAGAAAATATTAAAATTGTAACATTATTTCTCATTTATGTGGTTCCTTTATGATAAAGAAGGAGAAACACCTTCTCCTAATACAATTGCTAAAACACCAAATTGTACTTACTAGGAAAAAGAAGAAAGCTTTCCAATTTCAGGTATATACATAATAGGGAGAAATGAAATGCGAAGTTTAGTATGAATTATCTTCTTTAAAAGATCCTTAATATCTAACATCTAGATTCTTTTTTTTTAGTGGAATACTAATTCCTTAGCAGATTACTCATTTAATATGAATGATTTTAATGTAAGACATAAACACACACATACATGAATGAGATGCCATTCCATCTATATGCCTTGTGTGTAGTTTGAGGTATGGGGGCAGGATTTGAATCAGTAAGATGACTGATGCCTGAAATTACATTATTCATCTTTCCTTAATTAGCTTATGACACTGATCCATGTTAAAATGCAATTCTTTTTCATAGAAGGGCTCAACACATAAACCTTATGCTAAAATGGAAGGCGTGCGAACTTGGTTGGAGTTAGGAGAAGCATTTTAATTATTATTTTTCTATAGTCTCTGTGACCTTAGGCAAGTTACCTAACTTCCCCTGACATTGTTTCCTTATCATTAATTTCTGACGTACCTATGACTCATCTAAGTTAGCATTGTGCCTGAAGCTGAGATGATTATTTCCTTGATTTTTAGAAATTCACTAAAATGTTATGTGAATGTTTAAGTACAAGCATCTGAAAATTATATTTTACATGTCTATATTCTGTCTTTTCAAAAAATGGCATAACACAAGAAGACCATCCAAATATGTACATAATTCCACACCAGGTAATAGGAAAGATTTTAAAAATCTGAATATTTACAAAGTATTTTGGCATTTACAGTTTTCAGGTTTGCACAGTATAGGTGAAAGAGCCCTGAACTCAGAATCAGCAAATTTTCTTTAAAATTTCAATCCGACCATTGAATTTGTAGATCCTCCTCCCCCTACTCCCTCCCACTTCATTCCTATCTGCGTTACCTAAGACTAGAAACCAGGCAACAACATATGAAGAAACAGATGACAGTTTCAGGCATTCCCTTGAACTGATTGTTTTTTGTTTAAGTCCCATTCTGAAAATGCAGAATTCCTTCAAAGTTTTGTCTATAAGACTGCCTCTTCTTTTTTGTTCTTTTTTTTTTTTTTTTTTGAGACGGAGTCTCGCTGTGTTGCCCCAGCTGGAGTGCAATGGCGTGGTCTCTGCTCACTGCAACCTCTGCCTCCCAGGTTCAAGCAATTCTCCTACCCCAGCCTCCCGAGTAGCTGGGATTACAGGCCTGTGCCACCATGCCCGGTTAATTTTTGTATTTTTAGTAGAGACAGAGTTTCACCATGTTGGCCAGGATGGTCTTGGACTCCTGGCCTCAAGCGATCTGCCCGCCTCGGCCTCCCAAAGTCCTGGGATTACAGATGTGAGCCACCACGCCTGGCCAAGACTGCCTCTTCTTGTAATAGTTTTTGCTTCAGTTCCTTATCCAACCTGGTGGTATAGAGAACACATGCTGAAATGTAATCACTTGAAACTTGCTCTTTTTTTCATTTTAATAATTGTTTTTTGTGTTTTGACTATTAAAAAAACCACTCCCTAGCAAATGAATTTCTTGGCTCAGCTATATATATTTGTAAAGTATTAATAAAAACGTGTGTATTTTTAGGTTCTTCTAGCTAGGGTACAATATATTTCCGAAGGTGTCCTAGGGACCTCTTAAATAAGGAATCTTTTTGTTAAATTAACAAATCTATTCAAAATTAAGCTTCTTATTTCTGTTTATTTATTTTTTTTAAGTCACAGGTTGTGGTCTTCACTGCCCATCTTCTCCTACACCCTTATAAAATGGTTTGGTATTTCATTTTTGATCTAGGAAAGAATAATTCATTTTTATCTTCATTTAATTTTAATAGTCAAGGAGTAGTCTATAAAGATTGAATAAATTTAATCCTTCTGCAATTAGTGTCAAGTTAATTCATTCTGGATGTGAATAACTGAAGAAATACAGACCCTCCCACACACTGACAGACACCTTTATCAGGTGTAATGTTTTATGTAAATGATTCTACTTGAAAGGAAGTTGTCTTGTTTCTCCCTCCTCCCTTTCTGTCCTTGTTAATTGTTTTTAAACCTAAACTTTCTCTCCGCATTTTCTCAGGACTATAGTACCATTCACTGGATCAACTGTGTTGATCCTACAAAGGTAACACATTTTGCCGCTGATTTGACTCCTTTGCACAGAGAAATTCTTCAGTTTTTCCCCTCTCATAAAAGTTCACAACCATGTAACTTCTGTGGGTTGCTCCAGCAAGGATATGATCAGACCTCATGAGGATTAAAAGGATCTGGGTATGTCTCGTGTGCAGCAAGCAGATAGGATTATTGTAAGCAGCCTTTTGTCTCGCCCAACACGATCCATCTGAATCATCCCAGATTTGATCAACCCAGAGATGACTTCTCTGAGCCAGAATATTTTCCCTCCTATGGAGAAGCCAAGATACAAAAATCTATCAGGCAGGTTAACATCTAAAACACTTAAAATAACCTTTCTGCTTTTTTTCCATTAAAATCAACACTTGAGGTTATATAGCTGGTGTTCATATAGATTTTAAAATGAACCACCTTAATACATAAGGAATATAACAATCTAATATACTTTTAATTTCAGTGCAGCTATAAAGGCATACTGGCTATTACTAACATGACTCATCAAGTTTTTTTAAAAGATAATTTAGTTATCTCTTGTCAAGTCACTATTTAATGTTACTTTCTACATTTGCTGTGATAAGCATTAAAATCTATATATTGGTTGATAAATCATTGTTTAGGAGTGTCTAAAGGGTACAGTAAATGGTATGAAATTGCCATAGTGTAGTAAATGGTTATTTGATAATGAATGAAATTGTTTGAAAATACTGTTAAAATGTCAAGTTTAAACATATAGATCATTACTCAGAAGGAAGGCAAACATGGAAACCACAGTGACATCATAAATATACTGCAATAAACACATTTATTTATACCAGGCAAGTTGTAGGTACTTTGTATAAATGTGTACAAATTGATATATGAAGTTAATTTCAATCTGTAAAAGTAATTGCATTGGTTTAACTTATTTAACTCTCCTTACAATAATATTTATTGCAGAAAAAGAAGGTAAAGAAATAAATGATGATAAATAGATAAAATACATAGGAAATGGGAATTGTTTTACAATTTAATTATACTGTCACATGAAATTATCACACAAATACACCAGTCCGACAGCAGAAATACATTAAAACCCTATTATCCAATGTAGGGAACAGTTTTTTTTGTTGGCCTTTATTTCATTTACACATTTAAGATAATTTTCTTTTTTTCTACCAGCATGAAATGTCTAAACAATGTCAAAAGCAAAAAGAGTAAGTCAGGAACAAAAATTACTTTCTGAAAACATGTTCTGCTTTGTGCAATGTTGTGAAGTCTGACATGCAATCTAAGAAAAGAGCAGCAACCCCCAGTCCCCCATGACGGGTGTATCGAAGAAATGTAAACTCAGGAACTCACAATAGACAGTGAAGTTAATTGGTTTGTTAGACTTCTGCAGAGCTCATAACATGTGCAAATAACTTTACAGCTGTACATCTGAAATGATAGAACATTTCATTTTGGGATAAATAAATATATACTGCAAAGATTCAATGGTTTTACAAAGCCAACTAACATTTATTTCCTAATATTTATGAGGCATATGCTAGGTGCTGTGGCTGTTACTCAGGCTCTGTCCTGAAGAGGCTGATTATCTAACAGGAGATGAGATATGTTTGTAAGAAATAAGGCATTTATATCAGGTGTAGCTGTTTATTTGTTGATATGTATATTGGGTTATTTTGCTCCAAGTTTTAAAATTATAGGTTGAGACCAGAGCACAGTGTCACAAACCTTCCAGTAAAATGTTTAAAACCTGGAATCAGTTTCTGCCTTTGTTATTTAATTATCCTAAAAGTGCTGTAACACACTGAAAAATATGTATACTAGTAACATATTTAGGTTATTAGAGCAAGGATAATTTCATTCATTCTATAATGGAAAATATAAAATTTAGTTTGAGAAAAATGAACATGATAATGAAAATAAACTAGTCAAAGGAAAAATTAATTGAAGGGATGTGTGAGAATTGAAAATAATCATAGGAGTGAAAAAAGGTTTAACACAATTAGTAATATGAAGTGATTAAAAATATATGCAATTTCTTTATGTGTCAAATATTTAACCATGGACAATAAACTAACTTTTTAGATGATTTTTAGTTTTTATGAAATAAAGCCATATTTCTTTCTCATTTTTCTCAATGTCTATTCAAAGTGAAGGCAAATGTCTGGATCTTTCACAGTGTGAAGGTTAAATAAGACGTTGTAAACACTCACAATGCCTGGAACATAACAAATTGGGTTTATTTTTCTGATTTGTCATAGAATGCCCAGTGGAGAAACATAAATGATGAATGAAAACCCAGAAGAAAGTTTTCATGGACTTAATTGACCAGACAAGGGCTCATCTGAAATTAATTATGTTGTTCTCTAAACTAAAAAAACTTTGATAATTTTCTTACCTCTGGTATTTGAAGCATCTTTTATAGTATCGGTTTTACAGAGTCATTTTATAGTATAGTCTGTATTCATTTTATGTGTTTATTTATGTATAGGTTCTGTTACTTGCATCTTTTTTTTTTTTTGAGACAGAGTCTCATTCTGTTGCCCAGGCTGGAGTGCAGTGGTGTGATCTCAGCTCACTGCAATCTCCACCTCCCAAGTTCAAGCAATTCTCTTGCCTCAACCTCCTGGGTAGCTGGGATTAGACGTGCATGCCACCACGCCCGGCTAGTTTATTTGTATTTTTAGTAGAGATGGGGTTTCACCATGTTGGCCAGGCTGTTCTTGAACTCCTGACCTCACCCGCCTTGGCTTCCCAAAGTGCTGGGATTACAGGCATGAGCCACTGCCCCTGGCTACTTGTATATCTTTCAATGGATAATTTTTTCTTTTACAGGCATGAGCCACTGCCCCTGGCTACTTGTATATCTTTCAGTGGGTAACTTTTTCTTAAGTAAAACAAGCAGTGAGAATGATGGAAATACAGTTACAATAACATTCACATTGTTTAAAAATTTAAAAATAATAAGAATAAAGTCAATTTTAGTATGTACTTCCATTTTATTGCTATTAAAAGATAATTTTTAAGAAGTCCAATTTAATGATAAAATAAATGTAAACATAATTCGTATCAGAGAGGGAGCTATATCTGATTTTTCTTAATAGCATGATATATGGTAACTAAAGTGTGTCTTAAATCTTAAGGGTTTTTTGGCTCATTTTGACTTCAGCTAGTGAATTCATTTATAGAAGAAAAAAGGAGACACTGAAATAGGTAAAATACAATAATGAAGGTAATTCAGACATGACAATGGAAAATGGAGATGCTTAAAAAGAAAATTTAGAGTATCAGATATTGATGAGAGTAGAATCATAAAATATTATTCCTAGAATGGTTTTCATATACCTATAAATTAAATAAATTGACTCACTTCTGAACGTTAGGGTCTTCAAAATGATATGTATATACTAAAAATATGATCCTTTTTATTGGCTATTGCTACAGAAAGGGTCATAAGTAATTCCAACCATTATTAGAATTTAGAAGACATCATTTATTATACTTCAGAATGGCCTGTTATATACAATCATTTTTAAAGAAAATATTGAATATGGGAGGTAGTTAACTTTCAACATATTGAAAATATTGTTAATTTAAAACTCAAATTTCTTTATTCTCAGAGGAGCAGTGCTTACCCATTAAAAAAATGTGTACCCCTACCTTGAATTTAAAAGTAAAACTCAAGAAAGGCAAGCAATATAGTAAATCAGAGGGTACAAGTTGCCATCATTCTAAAATAGAGCTCTTTTGCCTTTAATTTCTAATGTGCTCTCAGTATGAATGCTTTCACAAACACTTCTACTATTCTTACTGTTCCTTCCTGTTCCCCCATGTCACCTACTTCTCATTTGACATTCTTTCCTAAACTGTGCCATTTGGGTGTCTGGGGAAGTTTGTGTGCTTCTGTATGAAATTGCAAGAAAACAATGGGGGTAAATCCTCCTGTTTCCCTTAAGGTGAGTGATAGGTCTTACAACAGTTTACTCCCTCTGTTTATGCAGAGATAACATTCAAGTCAGGTCAAACATAAATAGGAAATCACCAGTTGTATCTGCATTTTGTATCAGAAGAAGGATGACCGTGGGAATGCTGCCACAGACCTTCTTAAGGCTTGACCTGTCACAGATACCCATGTTAACCTGTAGGCAAGAACCTCCCTAGGATGTGAAAAATAGGGATAAAATTGCCCAGAGTTCTGTGCTTGGAGTTCTAAACTTTTCAGGATTTAAGCAGCGGTTGCTACATGGCATCAAAGAGAGTGGAGGAGAAAAGGATGCTGTCAGTTGGTGCCAAAACCAAACTGGAAATCCTGGTGCATATTTGCATAAATATGCTGTCTGGGCTTGGAAGCCCTTCTTACCGCAGACCTCTTCATCACCCTGAACATCGCCTTTTGAAATATTTCTGGCCAGGTGCTGTGGCTCACACCTGTAATCCCAGCACTTTGGGAGGCTGAGGCAGGTGGATCACCTGAGGTCAGGAGTTTGAGACCAACCTGGCCAACCTGGTGAAACCCTGTCTCTACAAAAAATACAAAAATTAGCCAGGTATGGTGGTGGGCGCCTATAGTCCCAGCAACCCTGGAGGCTGAGGCAGGAGAATTACTTGAACCTGGGAGGTGGAGGTTGCAGTGAGCCGAGATCATGCCACTGCACTCCAACGTGGGTAACAGAGTGAGACTGTGGCGCAAAAAAAAAAAAAAAAAGAAATATTTCCTCCTCTTCTTTTCCTGTTTAAAACAACAATTGTTGTTGTTTTGTTAGATTTCTCTGTGTAAAAATAAATTATTTTATTTAATTCAATACATATATATTTCTTGCAGAGGTTGGTGTTTGGGAGGTAGAAGAAGGGAGGATATTACATAGTATGTTGTGACTCCAGCCTTGAAAAGCCCTAAAGATCTAGACAGAGGCCTGTTTCACTAGACAGATACTAAAACTACTATACAGTGCTTAATTTTTTTTATCTTTTTTTTTTTTTTGAGACGGAGTTTCGCTCTTGTTGCCCAGGCTGGAGTGCAATGGCACGACCTCGGCTCACTGCAACCTCCGCCTCCCGGGTTCAAGGGATTCTCTCCTGCCTCAACCTCCCGAGTAGCTGGGACTACAGCACCCGCCACCACACCTGGCTAATATTTGTTTTTTTAGTAGAGACGGTGTTTCACCTTGTTGGCCAGGCTAGTCTTAAACTCCTGACCTCAGGTGATCCACCTGCCTCAGCCTCCCAAAGTGCTGGGATTACAGGTGTGAGCCACCGTGCCCAGCCAGTTCTCTCTCTTTTTTTTTTTTTGTCTTAAGTCAGGTATAATTTCTGTCTATTAAATTCACCCTGTTTGGATATACAGTTCCATGAATGACAAATGTGTACAGTCTTGTAATCACCATTACAATGAAGATAGAGACTATTTCCATTATCCTGAGAATCCTTTTACCCGCCACCTACCCTCAGCCCCTGGCAACCATTGATCTACTCTTTGTTCTTACAGTTTTGCCATTTTGACAATATCATATAAATGGAACCACACAGCATGTAGTCTTTTTAGTTTGGCCTTTTTCACTTAGCATAATGCTTTTTGAGATTTATCCATGTTGTTGCATGTATCAGTAGTTGATTCTGTTTTATTGCTAGTATTCCATTGTATGGATGTATCATAATTTATCCATTAATTGAGGTATATTTGGGTTAAGTTTTTGATGATTATGAATAAAGCTGCTATAAACATTTAAGTACAAGGTTTTGTGTGTATCTATGTCTTTGTTTTTCTTGGGTAAATACCTAGGAGTGAAATTTCTGGATTGTATGGTAGATGTATATTTAACTCCATAAGAGACTGTCAAAGTCTTTTCCAAAGTGGCTATCCCATTTTTTATTCCCTCTGGAACGAGCGACATTTCCAGTTGCTCTGTTTCCTTGTCAGCACTTAATATTGTCAGCTTGTTTTACTTGAAGCAGTCTAACAGATATGCAATAAAGTAGGTTGTATTTTAATTATTTCACATCTATGACACTTGATTCCATGGGGAATTTAGTGAAATGTAAGTAATTCTGTCCACTAGGAGCTTGTTTTCTAGTTGAGAAGCGAATACAAATACACACAAAAGTCAAATGGAATATTTCGATAGTAGTCCAAGATGGTAGCAAGAAAGATAGCAGAAGAAAGTACACTGATTTTCATGGAATTATGTTAATCATTGTTCTGGCAATGATTAAACTAGTCATAGTTAATCATTGTCCCTGCATTTTTTCTTGTGAACATCAAGTCTAATGGACTCTTTCTTTATAATTTATTACTAGTTTTTTCTTCTTATATTCTGCTGTCAGTACCTCAGTTCAGGACTTTTTCTTCTCATCTTAAATTACTATAGCAATTTTTAACTGATTTTGTGTCTTTTAAATTCTTTCTACTGCAAGTAGTCCTAATTATAGCTGTTAAACAAATCTACTTAAAACAGTTTTCTGTTGCCACATAACAAATTAGCACAAGCTTAGTGGCCTAAAACAACACTCATTTATTTGTTCCCAGTTCTATAGGTCAGAAGTCTGGGCATAGTGTGGCTGCATTCTCGGCTAAGGGTCTCACAAAGCTAAAATCAAGATGTTCACTGGGCTGGGGTCCCATATGGGGCTTGGGACTCTTTTCCAAGTTTATGTGGTTGTGGCAGAATTTAATTCATTGGGGTTATAGGACCAAGGTTCCTGTTTCTTACTGGCCATCAACAAAGACACGCTCTTAGTTTCTTGAGGTCACCTTCATTCCTTGACACATGGTCTCTTTCATCTTCAAAGGCAGCAATGGGAAATCTCTCACAAAAAATTTTTCTAATGCTTCAAATCTCTCTCTTAATCTATTGAGGAGAGCCAAATCCCATTTAAGGGCTCACTGGACTAGGTCATGTCCACCCAGGATAATCTCTCTTTCTTAGAGTCAACTATTCCATAAACCATAACCTAATCATGGTTGTGATATACCATCATATTCACAGATTTCATCCACACTCAAGGATGAAGGAAATAATGTATACAGTAGTCCATTTCCAAGACAAAGTGCCTTAGATTGGCTTAGGTCAGCAAACTACAGAAGAAAAAGGATATTCTAGGCCCCTGCTTGGATAGCCAACACCTGCTTATCTGCCCCACCCCTCTTAGTTGCCCTCACCTGAACCAAATAAGTTTTTTTTCTTTCTTTTTTTGAGATGGAGTTTTGCTCTTGTTGCCCAGGCTGGAGTGCAATTGTGCAATCTCTGCTCACTGCAATCTCTGCCTCTCTGGTTCAAGCGATTCTCCTGCCTCAGCCTCCCAAGTAGCTGGTATTACAGGTGTGTGCCACCACACCTGGCTGATTTTTTGTATTTAGTAGAGACGGGGTTTCACCATGTTGGTCAGGCTGATCTCGAACTCCTGACCTCCAGTAATCCTCCTGCCTTAGCCTCCCAAAGTGCTGGGATTACAGGAAAGAGCCACTGTGTCCAGCCAAATTTCTCTTTCCATCATAGTTTTGTTTGGCTCTCTTTCTTATAATTTGTTTTCTTTTTTCTTTTTCTTTTTTTTTTTTGAGACAGAGTCTCACTCTGTTACCCAGGCTGGAGTGCAGTGGCACAATCTTAGCTCACTACCCTATCCATCTCTCAGATTCAAGCGATTCTTATGCCTCAGCCTCCCGAGTAGCTGGGACTACAGGCACATGCCACCATGCCCAGCTAATTTTTGTATTTTTAGCAACAGTGTCTCACTATGTTGGCCAGGCTGCTCTCGAACTTCTGACCTCAAGTGATCTTCCCGCCTTGGCCTCCCAAAGTACTGGGATTATAGGCATGGGCCACTATGCCCCGCCAGAATTCATTTTCTTCTTGTAGTTTAGAATTTAGGTTTTCAGACTCATTTAGAGTGGGAGGTTTTTATTTTCCTTTGCACTTTCCTCTTACTGTCTAGTGATTTTAAAATTGCCTGTACATGATCTCCTCCAGAGGCCTCAGGCTAGAACCCAGTCTGGTGTCAGTTGTTCCTAGATCCAGTCTTAGAGGATATTCATGATATTCAAGGTGATATTGGATCAAGTCCAGGTCAAGAGGAGATATACACATCCTCTTATCTCCCTTGATATTCATTTACTTGTAAATCATACCCCTGGACCAAAGCATCCTTGAGCTTGAACAGAGGAGTTCCATCCCTAGTCATGGTTTCAAACAGCTAGAAGGACTCTAGTCCCCTGCCTCTTCTTGGGCACTTTAGTCCCTGGTATCTCAGAGAAGCTGAACTCCTGACCTTCTCTATATGCTTCCAGATCTAGGGTGTATTCCACAGCTGCAGCCCCATCCATTGCAAGGTTCTGAGCAGATTGGCTTGATATGATGCACATTTAAAAATAATTATTCTGGTTACTGCACTGGAAATAATCTTTGGGGGATCAGCAGTGGAGTTGGGTGGGGTACAGGCAAGGGTGGAGGCAAAGAAGAGACTAGTGAGGAGGCTGTTGTAATGATCCCAGTCAGAGACGATGGTGGCCCAGATCAACACGAGGGAAAACAAAGAACTAAGGATGCTTTCTAGAGTCCCACTGTGAGCAGCTGGGTGGATGATAGTGCCATTCACTGAAATAGGAAAATAAGCTGAATATTTTCCCAAATGAGTGAAGTGGTTGCCCAAACCCAGGTGATTATGGGTTATTGCAGGCACCCTGAATCTGGTCTCTAATGTTAAGGTTAAAGGTCAGTTGGACCAAAGGATCAGAGCTCCCTAAAAGGATAGGTTCCTCTAAAACTGGAATGGAGGCCAGTGCAGTGGTGGCACTTGTAGTTCTAGCTACTCAGGAGGCTGAGGCAGGAGGATTGTTTGAGCCCAGGAGTCTAAGACCAGCCTGGGCAACATAGCGACACCCCTATCTTAAAACCAACCAACCAAACAACACCACCCAACCCTTTCCTCCAAAAAACAAGTGAACAAACAAAAACAAAAGAATAAAATCCTAAATTAAAAAAAAATAAATAAAATTGGAATGGGTCTTCCCGGGCTGGGGGTGTGATAAGGAAGCCCTTTGGTATTGACAGTCCATGACTTACTTAGACCCAGCTTAAGCCTCTGTTTCTGTATATTCATTGTCATCTACTTGCCTGAGTCAGCCTGTGTCCAGTCCTTCTGAGATGGGGCTATCTCCCTAGTGTGTGATACCTCTGTTACCTTGGCAGTTAGCCTTGGCATCCATACTGTCTATGAGAAATCAAAGGATAATTCAGATTCACAACCAAAGTGTCATTTAGGACATCTCTCTTCATAGAAAGTGAAATCAAATGTTGAGGCAATTATGAAAATTATTCAGGCAAAGACATTTCTTTCTCCCTTATATGGATGTTTCATGACAAATTTTTGGGCCTGTCATTAACTAGCTCATTACTTTAATTAACCACTTCATTATGAAAGTGTAGACACAGCTTTAAAATTATTTATACTGTTTCTTCCTGTGTGTAAATAATTGTGAAGTAAAAATATTAATTTATGAATGTAATTGTGTAGGTGATCAACCCAAATTTACTCAGAACTAGCAATTAGTGCATGCAAATCAGCTAAGACAAAAGCCTCTATGATCCTGTTCAGAATACAGGAAGAGTTAATTTGCAAAAATGCCTGCTCCCAGCCCATCTGATTCTCAAAAGTCACGTTCTTTCCTCTGAGAATCAGAAACTGACCATATTTGTTGTCAGCTGTTTGATCACTCTTAATGCCCTTGCAAACACAGGAAATAAAATGCTAACAAATCATCATCTATTACCTAATTATATTTATCTAGACAGATAAAGTTGGGGGGGAAAGAGTGGATTGTACTTTTTTAAGAAAGGCATTTCTCTTTTGGCAAACAAAGACGAAATGTATAGCTTAATTATTCCTCATAGGCCAGACAGAGCCTTTTCTGTTAATCATACCCAGGTCCTGAGATTTTTTTCTTTCCCAAAGAGGTGTAAATGTGTGTTGACTCCCAATTAAATCAGTACCCTCTCCAGTGGGAGTAGTGCTAATGGGATTTAAGTGTTTGTGAGGTTTCATGGGAGCCCACAGTAGAAAAAAATTCTGACGTAGATGGAATGTCACTCCTTCAGCAATACAAATATCAACTAATACTGAATAGTTCAGCTGCCTTGGACATCTTGAACTGTGGAAGCAACTAGAATTATTCATCTTCATTAAAAAATCATGCTGTCTGTGAATAGCAGCTGTTGAGTTGTCTGATCATTGGACAATACGTGGGCATTTATGTCTGTACTATCTATTTCAAAACATACTGTTCTGAAGTTTTATCAGATGCATTCACAGGTCTCTCTAAACAGAGTTACATCCCCTGGCTACTGTGATGATATATATTCTTAACTCTATGTGCCTTGGGGAAGGCACTCATGTGCAGGCTCCTGAAGGTGAGGGTTACCTTGAAAAGGCACAGCCTGGAGTGGTTATAGAGGATAAAGATAGGTGTGGAATCCACTTCTCATTTACTCACGAGTTCAGTGTTTTAATTTTTATTTCTCCACTTGGTGTAACACCTAAATATCTCTACCAAAGACAGAGATGCTAGTGTTTGGAGAAAAAGCAACAAGTAGACTTATATCACTACTCACAGTAGTGGCAGACTATTTATCAGAGGCTGATAAATAGTGCCATCCATATGCTAGGTATTTTACAACATTACTTCTTTTCTTTTCTTTTTTTTTTTGAGGCAGAATCTCCCTCTGTCACCCAGGCTGGAGTGCAGTCGTGTGATCTCAGCTTACGGCAGCCTCCACCTTCTGAGTTCAAGTGATTCTCCTGCCTCAGCCTCCCAAGTAGCTGGGACTACCGGCACACACCACCACGCCTGGCTGATTGTTGTATTTTCAGTACAGACAGGGTTTCACCATGTTGGTCAGGCTGGTCTCAAATGCCTGACCTTAAATGATCCGCCTGCCTCGGCCTCCCAAAGTGCTGGGATTACAGGCGTGAACCACTGAACCTGGCCAGTTCTTTATTGATTTTTAAATAAAAATATCAGTTAAATCTTGCTTTCTATACACACACACACATATATTTGAGACAGAGTTGCCAAGGCTGGACAGTGGTGTGATCATGGCTCTCTGCAGCCTGGATCACCTGGGCTTAAGCCATCCTCCTGTCTCAGCCTCCTGAGTAGCTGGGACTATAGGCACTGCCATACCAGGATAATTTTTTTATTTTTTTTCAGAGATGGGGTCTTGCTATGTTGCCCAGGGTGTTCTCAAACTCCTGAGCTCAAGCTATCCTCCTGCCTTGTGTTTGCTTTTGTTTTTACTTAAAGCAAACACATTACAACACATAAACAATTCCAGCCTGGGCCAGGAAATCTGCCTTTATATTTCACCTAGATCTTTCTTTCTTCCCCTTCCTTTCCCTTTCTTTCCTTCTTTTCTTTCTTTCCTTCTTTTCCTTCCTTCCTTCTTTCTTTCCTTCCTTCCCTTCCTTCCTTCCTTCCCTTCCTTCCTTCCTTCCTCCCTTCCCTTCCCCTTTCTTCCTTCCTTCTTTCCTCCCTTCCCTCCTTCCTTTTTCTTTTTCTTTTTTTGATGGAGTTTGGCTCTTGTTGTTCAGGCTGGAGTGCAATGGCGCAGTCTTGGCTTACCACAACCTCTGCCTCCCGGGTTCAAGTGATTCTCCTGCCTCAGCCTCCTGAGTAGCTGGGATTACGGGCATACGTCACTATGCCCAGTTAATTTTTTGTATTTTTAGTAGAGACGGGGTTTCTCCATGTTGGTCAGGCTGGTCTCGAACTCCCAGCCTCAGGCGATCTGCCCGCCTCAGCCTCCCAAAGCGTTGGGATTACAGGCGTGAGTCACCGCACCTGGCTCACCTAAATCTTTCATATTGTAACTATAGGGTGTTTGCTTTGTTAAAGGGTTAACCCTTCAACATACAGTTTCTCTGTAAAATAGCTCTTGAATCGATTTCCTTCCATTCTTACTGTCTGTGCCATAGGTTGGATTCTTGTCATGTCTTCCTGTGTCCCAAGCCTAGTCTCCTAACTGCCTTTCCTCTTCCATCTCTTCTCCCTTCCAATTCAGCTTCCATGGCTGCCATAGATAAGGAATAGAATGTCAGTATTTTTAAAGTACAGCAAAGTATTTGTTTATTGACGATCTCCCCTTGCCTTAGAATACAAGAAGGGACTTAGTTTTGTGCCCTGCTGTATCCCTAATGCCTAGAACAGTGCTTGGCACATAGTAGGTGCTCAGTAATGAATGGATACGTTTGTGTGGAGTGACTGCTCCCTTTCCATCATTGATCGAAATCTTACTTGTTTTTCAAGTCACAGCTAAACCTCCCTTAGTCATTTCACTCTGAGTTTTTTTTTTGAGACAGAGTTTCGCTCCTGTTGCCCAGGCTGGAGTACAATGGCGCGATCTCGGCTCACCGCAACCTCCCGCCTCTCGGGTTCAAGCGATTCTTGCACCTCAGCCTCCCAAGTAGCTGGGATACAGGCACACACCACCACACCCGGCTAATTTTGTATTTTTAATAGAGACGGGGTTTCTCCATGTTGGTCAGGCTGGTCTTGAACTCCTGACTTCAGGTGATTTGCCTGCCTTGGCCTCCCAAAGTGTTAGGATTACAGGCGTAAGCCACCACGCCTGGCTCTCTGAGCATTTTTATTCATCTCATAGCACTCATCAAATTCTGCTTTGTATTAAATTATTTCCCTACAAATTTATTACCCCACTAGATTGTAATTACCTCAATGCAGGCTCTATTCTGCCCACCTGTTTCCACTACAATGTATAACACCTTAATAGTCAATTAGCATCAAGGTTGCGAATAGTCTTCATTCTTCAGCAGGTGACTATGATTATCCTAAATGGTCAATTCCAGTAACCTCACTGATTTAAAATAGGGGCTTTTTCAATCAACATGCACACTGAGCATTCACGTCACAGTTAGAATCTATGGGGGACACATATAGGGTATGCTGTTGGTCCTTAAGTGGCTTACTGTTTAATTAGGAATGTAAGATGATTCTGGTTACCACAGCATCAGGACCACCTGGGTGCTTGTCAAAAATTTCTGTACTCTACCCAAGACCTCCTGAATCAGAGTTTCTAGGGAAGATTGCTGAGAATTTGCATAATTAGGAATCTCCCCAAATAACTTATTCTCAGTAAACTTTCAATTAAAGAAAGCCCCGGCCGGGCGTGGTGGCTCATGCCTGTAATCCCAGCACTTGGTGGGGCTGAGGTGGGTGGATCACTTGAGGTCAGGAGTTTGAGACCAGCCTGGCCAACATGGTGAAACCCTGTCTCTACTAAAAATACAAAAATTAACCGGGTGTGGTGGTGCACGCTTGTAATTCCAGCTACTCAGGAGGCTGAGGCAGGAGAATCGTTTGAACTCAGGAGGTGGAGGTTGCAGTGAGCCGCAACTGCACCACTGCACTCCAGCCTGGGCAAGAGAGCAAGACTCCATCTCAAAATAAAAATAAAAATAAGTATAAAAACAAATAAAGCCCCAGTCAGCTGCAGTCCTCCTTTCAACTCCAAGATGGCATATTTGATCTCTAACTATAGACCCAGCCAGCTCCCAGTTCCTAGAAATGATACTGAGTTCTTTTAGACCAACATGCAGTGGCTTAGTATCAAATCACTGGCACAATAATTCTGGTATCATTCATTCATTCATTCATCAAAATTAATGGAGAACTTGCTGGAATTTTTTTTTTTTTTGTATACCCTTGAGTCCTGGGTTTTATTTGTAGATTTCGACCTTGGTCCTGATTCTCAAATCCTCATCTGCCAATCTTCTTATTAGGGAAGTTTTCTTTTAGAGTAAAGTCTCATTTTACTCTTGGTTTTCCTCTCTGCAGAGACCAGAGCTCTTTCCTGAGCTTTAGGCTAGCTTCTGCAGCCTAGCTGTTTGTGGACGATGCTCCCAGAGGCTGAATGCTTACCCCTCTGGCTTCTGGCTTTCACCTGGCCCACTGAATGCCAGGTCTCATGCCTGCCCATCTGTCCTGGCTCATTTTAAGTAAATGGATACAACTTTTATATGGCTAGTAAGGTTCAAAAGATAAAATATATGAATAGGTAGCTTTTCCAATTATAAAGGGTTATACAAATGCTAATTACCATCATGAAACGATAGGGTCCTAGGCATAAATGTGGGATATCAGCCCAGAGGTGCTGGGATCCAGCTGTGTGTTCAGCGCATTGAAAACATAGGAGACCACTAACATCCTCCTTATAGTTTCAAAGTTAAATGGAAACAAGGCCTCATAAATGCACCATATTCAGAAGCACATGAATTGCAACAAACAGCCCTACTTAATGTTTACTTAAAGCTATGCAAAAAGCCTATTTCTCTCTCTCTCTAACTCTCTGTATAAAAGGAAAACTAAGGCTGGGCGCAGTGGCTCATGCCTGTAATGCCAGCACTTTGGGAGGCCAAGGTGGGCGGATCATGAGTTCAGGAGTTCAAGACCATCCTGGCCAACATGGTGAAACCCAGTATCTACTGAAAATACAAAAATTAGCTGGGCATTTTTTTTTTTTGGTGGTCCATGCCTGTAATACCAGCTACCCGGGAGGCTGAGGCAGGAGAATTGCTTGAACCGGGACCCAGGAGGCAGACGCTGCAGTGAACCAAGATAGTGCCACTGCACTCCAGCCTGGGCTACAGAGCAAGACTCTTTCTCAGAAAAAGAAAGAAAGAAAAAAAAAAACAAGACAAAGAAAAAGCAAGACTCTGATTAGAAAGCACAAACTAGAGTAGACACTGTTGGCTGCCTACCCCACAGCCAATCTATTGTCTCCTATTTCTTTCTTGCTGGAAGAGCTGATTTTCATGTGAGAGGCTGAAATGTCAGAAAGACACCTGCCAGCACTTGTCCTGGCAGCTAAGGCATTGGCCTGTGACCCAGTAAGTCTTTGCCAATGGACCTTAGGGGTAAGTCTGCTGCTGAGGTACTCTGAAAAGCTTTCCTCCTTAGTGAAAAGAGAAACATATAAGGAAACATTGTCCTTTCTGCCTTTGGGCGTGATTGTGTGATAACTTGATGTCTGGAGCTGTGGCAGCCACCTTGCTACAATGAGGGGACATGTCTGAGGATGATAGGCGACACACAGAAGATCACTGAACACTAAGACAGAAAGAGTCTTGGTAATTAAGGTCATTGTTGAGCTGCTGAATTAACCTTCCCTGTACTCTCCCTGTAGCTGCTACCTCTAAACCTTTTTTTTTTTTTTTTCAGATGGAGTTTCACTCTGTCACCCAGGCTGGAGTGCAGTGATGCGATCTCAGCTCACTGCAACCTCCACCTTCTGTGTTCAAGCGATTCTCCTGCCTCATCCTCTCAAGTAGCTGGGACTACAGGCATGCACCACCATTCCCGGCTAATTTTTTGTATTTTTAGTAGAGACGGGTTTTCACCGTGTTAGCCAGGATGGATGGTCTTGATCTCCTAACCTCGTGATCTGCCCGCCTCGGCCTCCCGAAGTGCTAGGATTACAGGCGTGAGCTGCCCACCCCCCCCAACCCCCTCGGCCCAACTCTAAACCTCTTTTTATGTGAGATAGTAAATATTCTTTTGTTTAAGTCATTTTCAGTTAGGCTTCTATATTTGAAGCTAAAATAACTCTACGTTTAAACAATTTTGCAATTCAACTGTCTTGATTTGTTATGGCCCTGGGTATTTGTAAGACCAGTGTTATTCACCTAGCATCTTTTTTCTGATTGAGACTTTGGCTTGAGGAGTAGCTATAGCGTCGCTGAGGTGTTACTGAGTTATGAACCTATATATATTGTAAAACGTGTTGTTATTTTTTTTGAGACAGAGTCTGTTGCCCAGGCTGGAGTACAGTGGGGTGAACTTGGTTCACTGCAACCTCTATCTCCCGGTTTCAAGCAATTCTTCTACCTCAGCCTCCCAAGTTGCTGGGATTACAGGTGGGTCCCACCATGCCTGGCTAATTTTTTATATTTTCAGTGGAGACGGAGTTTCACTATCTTGGCCAGGATTGTCTGGAACTCCTGACCTCAGGTGATCCTCCTGCCTCATCCTTCCAAAGTGCTGGGATTCAGGCGTGAGCCCCTGCGCCCAGCCATGAAACTTAATTTTTATAAGCCAAGCTCAATCAATATACCATACAAGATGGAATATTGATTCTCTTTTATATATCTGATAAGTAAGGTAGAGTGTGCTGTGGAAGTGAGTATTAGAATTCTATATCTCTGACTCAATTCTGATCCCATGATGTAACATTCTGACTTATATACTCAAAAATCCCTACCACGGCCTACCTATGAGGTGGCTCATGTCTGTAATCCCAGCGCTTTGTGGGGCTGAGGTAGGTGGATCACTTGAGGTCAGGAGTTTGAGACCAGCCTGGCCAACATGGTGAAACCCCGTCTCTACTAAGAATACAAAAATTAGCCAGGCATGGTGGCGGGTGCCTGTAGTCCCAGCTACTTGGCAGGCTGAGGCACCAGAATTGCTTGAACTTGGGAGGCGGAGGTTGCAGTGAGCCGAGATCATGCCACTGCACTCCAGCCTGGGTGACAGAGCGAGACTCCGTCTCAAAAACAAAACAAAACAAAACAAAACAAAACAAAACAAAACAAAACAAAAACATATTAAAAGAACCCAAAAATACCTACCAAAATACAGTGACATGATTAAAGAATATCCTCTTCACTCAAATAATGCTGGGAATATCTGTTTCAGTTAATTGGAGATGTGTATGTATCTAAGCTTGAATAATTGCAAAGGCCCACTATTCATTTTTTTTCATTTTTTTTTTTTTTTAGCTAAACTGACCCAGGAAATGTTTTTTAAAGTTTGCATGCAAAAAGTTGCACTTACTGTATATTTTCAACACTGTTTTCTATACATTAGGTGTACAATGACCATAACTACAAATTTACTTGTCCAAATCTGATGGAGAATCTCATTTTTTAGGTACAACTTGCAAACATCATTTTCAAGGTCCTTATTGGGAGACCCCAGGCCATACATAAATGCTTTGTCTTTGCAGATGATAAGAATGTTGAAAACATTTCATTTCAAGAATATAATTTAACTTGAATCTCAAATTCTTTTAGCAAGAGATTTCTAGACAAGAGATATTGTGTACACTGAGACCATTGCTATTTCAGTCTTGTTAGTACTTGTAATTATTCTTTGAAACGAAGTTTATAATTATAACATGATCCGAAATGAATTAAGAAAAGCAATAAAAAGATGCTGAAACCCACAGTAGCAAAAGGCAATTATTTTATAATTTGTATATTTAGATAAATAGTAATTAGAAGAGCTAAACTATTTTAAAGGTTCTATTATAAAATTAGAAAGGAAAGCCAGGCGCGGTGGCTCACGCCTATAATCCCAGCACTTTGGGAAGCCGAGGCGGGCAGATCATGAGGTCAGGAGATCGAGACCATCCTGGCTAACACGGTGAAATCCCGTCTCAACTAAAAAAGTACAAAAAATTAGCCAGGCGTGGTGGCACATTCCTGTAGTCCCAGCTACTTGGGAGGCTGAGGCAAGAGAATCACTTGAACCAGGGAGGCAGAGGTTGCAGTGAGCCGAGACTGTGCCACTGCACTCCACCCTGGGCAAGACAGTGAGACTCAGTCTCAAAAAAAAAAAAAAAAAAAAAAAAATTAGAAAGGAAGCGATTCAATTATAGTAGATTTTTTAAAAAAAGGAATATGATCAATGAGCAGCAGGTAATCTAATAAGCAGAAAAGATAAACAGAATTTCCCACACATGATCATTTCCCACATTTTAGAAATGGAAGGCATTCTTATAGTGACTTAGAAGTACATTATATATTGTAGATGTTAATTGAATTATAGATGAAACAATTATGTTTTATAATCTTATTTTGAGCCTGGAAATTAGTGCATGAACATACATCAAAAGGCAAAAATTTTGGCTGGGTACAGTGGCCTACACCTGTAATCTCAGCACTTTGGGGGACCGAAGTGGATGGATCACCTGAGGTCAGGAGTTCAAGACCAGCCTGGCCAACATGGTAAAACCCCGTCTCTACTGAAAATACAAAATTAGTTGGGCGTGATGGCGTGCACCTGTAATCCCTGCTACTCTGGAGGCTGAGGCAGGAGAATTGCCTAGAACCTGAGAGGCGGAGGTTGCAGTGAAAAAAAAAAAAAAGAAAAAAATTTGGCATTGCAAAGAGAATACATACCCAATTTTTAACAACTAGGAAGTACAGATAAATAAAAATATAGATAAAAACATAGATGTAAATGAACATAGACTCAGTCTCACTTGGAGCTAACCATATTTTGATGCATATTCTCTGACTTTTCTCTACATATTATGTATATTGTGATGCACTAATTCTACAAAGTGGGATTATAGTTTATATAAAACAATATTGTTTTAGATCCTGATGTTTTACTTTGCAATAATTTAAATTTACAGAAACTTTGTTACTACTAAAAAGTACCTAACCACATCATCCAAAGTCCCGTCCCCAAATGCTCAATCTGCTTCTATGTAGCCAATCTCCCAATCCTTTAAAAATGTAAAAAGCATTTTAAAAAAGTCTATAGTTGAGACTTTCACTAATTCAGAACATCCTCTCCATTACATCCTGTAGTACATTTTTCTTGTCAAAACACATTATAGTACATTTTTATTATTAGAAAAGATTTGTGTTTATACAACAATTGTAAATCAAGATATTATAATATGATTTTTCCAAATTCTAGGACAGTCTAGTAACTTTTTATTTTTAAGAGACTGTAGGCTTAGTATAAATACGTACTTTGGCCTGGATGCAGTAATTGGCCTCCTTAAGGTACATTATGCTTAAAAATGCAGACAGCAGACTGCTTTAGGGCTTCTTAGTGAAGCGGGGTGCTGAATGATGTATTCACTGATTTTACTGCACTGGGTATCCACTACCCCTGAGACACCATTCCAGGCTATGAAGATAACAAGATATGAGAGCGTGGCTCTGCCTTCAAAGAAGTGGAAAGCAGGAAGGTGAGCAAGGTAATAAAACAAAGATCTCCTTTTGCTAAATTAAGAAAATGATAATTCAGTTTATTTGTTTCATCCTCAAGCAAGCTGTAAGTTGTAATTCCTTAGAAATCTAATTCCGTGTTTCGGTGCTCTTGAGTCTGATAAAAGAAACAACAGGCCAGGGAGATGACATAAGTTCCATATGCTACAGCAAGTCTTTTTTTTTTTTTTTTGGAGACAGGGTCTCACTCTGTTGTCACTCAGGCTGGAGTGCAGTGGCGCAAACACAGCTCACTGCAACCTTGACCTCTTGGGCTCAACTGATCCTCCCATCTCAGCCTCCCAAGTAGAGCTAGGACCAAGAGTGTCCTAGCCACCACACTTGACTATTTAAAAATTGTTTTTTATAGGGACGGGGTCTTGCTATGTTGTCCAGGCTGGTCTCAAACTCCTAGACTCAAGCAATCTTCCTGCCTTGACCTCCCAAAGTGCTAGGATTACAGGCGTGAGCCATTGTGCCTATCCCTACAGCAGGTCTTAAGAGGACTATAGTCATTGGCAAATGGGTTGATTTCTTTGGGTATATCTGCCATAAAGTAGGCATGAAGTCACATTTTTCTAATACGACTTCTTTTTCCTTATTCCCCTTCAACCTTTCTAAGGCTTTCTAATAAAGATTGGCTCTGAAGGGCTCTTGCAGGCACCCTGATTCAGATTCATGAGGCGTGCTGACTCTTGGCCTGGGGATAAGAGCATCCAATCCTTTGAAAAAGTCTTCTCATTTCTCCAATGAATAGCACAGTGTCCTGTTTCTGCTGGGCCTCATTTATCATTCCTAAGAAAAATCTCTTGCAGCCAGACAGATTGTCTTTGAGGGACCATATCATATTCTCTGTTTTTCACAGGCTCTAATACTTAAGGTGCCTTCTAATTGCCTTTCTAGAAACTTTTAGAGGACTCAATAAATTCCTTAGAAGGCAGATTTCTAGATTTTAAGGACTTAGTGAGATGGGGGCAAATTCTTTTTAATCTGAGTGCCTGAAACACTGGTTGAGATTCTGAGCTTCACCTGAATTCCCTGGGAAAGGGAACTGTGGCTGAGTGCTGGTGTTTGACAGTAGCTTGGGAGAGGGTGGCAGCCCTGTGCCACGCATTTCCCTTCTCTGACTTATTGACCTCTTAATGCTGCTTCCAATCCTTTTTCGGACTCAGGATAGCGCAGAAATGATTCCACATAACCGCCACTAGTTTTTCATTTCTGTGTCTGATTCCTGTGTCACTCTGACTGCATCAGGGTAGTGCTGTGGTGTGTTCATTTCCCTGAAGAGCGCTGTCAATCACCCTCGGTCTTTAAAGTTCAATCCCAGTGAATCGCTAAGACTGTATCTGGTGTCTCTTTCCTGCACGTGGGCCTCATACAGTGGGGGCTGGGGCATGGGGAGAAGAGGATATCTACTTTCATATGATCTGCACAGGACATTAACAGAGGAAAAATGTCCCATCACTGTCAATGGAATGAATATTCTATCAAAATGGCTCTCTCATTCTCCAGTATTGAGATTAAGTTTACCTGCTGAACATGGTAAAATTTATTTCGGTGGCCTATGACCACCATTTATCAGCTCCCGACCCCTATCTATATAAAACAATAAGCATGATCTTAAGGCACTCTTAGGGGCTGTCTAAGAGATGTATATTTGCTGACATACAACCTGACTGAAGCCAAACACCATTACCCCTGTGACTGATTGGAGGGCGGCCTTAACTGAACAGTTTTATTTCCTTCCAGCAGCTGAGCTCCCTGACCATGCGAGCTGAGCTGACACGGCATTTCAAGTCCTGTTACCAGCTCAACGGTTCTCTTGTAAAAAAAAGCACCTCTTCATTTAGCCTCTCCATCTTGATCATTGCTGATGGGCTATCAATAATTTCAAGTTGGGTGAGCAGTTGGCTGAAGGTTAAATAAATTCTCTCGGCTGTTTGCATGATTATATCCAAGCGGAAGGATTCCAGTTTGAAGCGGGCTTCTTGCAAGTACTCCTTGGAAATGTTTCCAGAGTCAGAAAAGTTAAGAAATTCAGTTTTGGAGGCCCAAGTGCACTTGAAATGGAAATAAAGTCAGACATCGTAAGAACCTTGACATTTTAAAAAATGGGTTTTTCTGTATTTCAGATTTTCCTCAGAGTAATTTAGAACCCCAAAAGCCCACAGTATTAATTATTAGCAGGAGAAATTCTCAATACACTAAAGTGCTATTTTGGATATTGTTTTTTTTCTTTATTTGAGATGGAGTTTCACTCTTGTTGCCCAGGCTAGAGTGTATTGGCGCGATCTCGGCTCACTGCAACCTTCTCCTCCCAGGTTCAAGCAATTCTCTTGCCACCTCAGCCTCCAGAGTAGCTGAGATTACAGGCATGCGCCACCATGCCCAGCTAATTTTTTGTATTTTTAGTAGACAGGGTTTCACCATGTTGGTCAGGCTGTTTTCAAACTCCTGACCTCAGGTGATACACCTGCTTCGGCCTCCCAAAGTGCTGGGATTACAGGGGTATTTGTTTTTTAAAAATGAGCAAAATTATATTTTCAGGAATTTCAGCCAATAGCAATAAGGGTAGGAAGGTCTGTCATGAATTGCAGTCTTACCGAATATGGTTTTCAGTTGCTAAATAGTGAGCTTTTAAGTACTTTATTCACATTCAGGAGATAATTCTCTTTTTTTAGAATAAAATTTGTCTTTGGTTTTTCTCCCCCCATTCCAAAAGTGATATATATTGGTTACGGAATTTGGAGAAAATAGAGTTAAGCAAAAAGGAAATAAAAGTCATCCATGAGAGCTAACTGTTCCCAATGTGTTATAGTATACCTTCCTATTTTCTTCTATGCAAATGTACTTGTAATTTTTTCTCTAAGATGTGATTTAATTAATACAAAATGTTGTGGTTTCATATACACAGTGCCATAGTCTGAATGTGTCCCCTCAAATTCATGTGTTGGAAACTTAATCCCTGATGCAACAGTGTTGGGAGGTGCCTTCTGGGAGGTGCTGAGGTCATGAGGTTTCTGCCTTTGTGTTAGGCTGTTCTTGCATTGCTAAATGTCTGAGCCTAGCTAATTTATAAAGAGAAGAGGTTTAATTGACTCAAAGTTCTGCATGCTGTACAGAAAGCATGGCACCAGCGTCTGCTTAGCTTCTGGGGAGGCCTCAGGGAGATTTAACTCATGGCAGAAGGCAAAGCGGGAGAAGGCACTTCACATGGCCAGAGCAGAAGCAAGGGAGAGGGGAGGTGCCAGATACTTCTCTCTCTCTCTCTTTATTTATATTTTGAGACGGAGTTTCACTCTTGTCACCCAGGCTGGAGTGCAGTGGTGCCATCTCTGCTCACCGCAACCTCCACCTCCCGCGTTCAAGTGATTCTCCTGCCTCAGCCTCCGAAGTAGCTGGAATTACAGGTATCTGTTACCACACCCAGCTAATTTTTGTATTTTTAGTAGAGACAGGGTTTTGCCATGTTGGCCATGCTGGTCTCAAACTCCTGACCTCAGGTGATCCCCCCGCCTCGGATAAGAAAACTGAGACTTGGAAGGGTTGGGTACTTTGCTCAATATTATACACAGAGTATTTGCTCAATATTATACACAGAGTAAGTAGCAGAGCTGGAATTTGAATTTATGCTAACTGGCTCCAAAGTGCATTCTCTTAAGCACTATGTATACTGCTATACAAAAACACAACCCATTCATATTTTATGTGAACTTGAATATGGTAATTTGAAATCACATAATAAACATGTATAAATTGAATCACTCTTTTTTTGAGACAGAGTCTAGCTGTGTCACCCAGGCTGGAGTGCAGTGGCGCAATCTTGGCTCACTGCGACGTCCGCCTCCCGGGTTCAAGCAATTCTCCTGTTTCAGCCTCCCACGTAGCTGGGATTACAGGCACGTGGCACCATGCCCAGCTAAATATTATATTTTTAGTAGAGATGGGGTTTCACCATGTTCGCCAGGCTGGTCTCAAACTCCTGACCTCAGGTGATCCACTTGCTTCGGCTTCCCAAAGTGCTGGGATTACAGGCATGAGCCACCATGCCCAGCCTTGAATCACTCTTTATGCACAAAATTTAAAATGATACAAATGTTTCCAAATGAAAAAAAGTAAAAAATCTCCTAATTTTGAAGTCACCTGGTTGAGTGAATTGTAAACTGTGTGACGCTAATGCCACATGGTGGCGCCACTTCAACGAGGAAATAAATACCAACTACCCTTTATCAGCTCTATGGGAAAACCACAGTCTTTAACTACGCTTGAGAATAACCTTTAAATACAATGTAAGCCCTAAGAAGTTGGCTTCTTACTTACTGTAGCCTGGATCAGACTGTCTGGGTTCACTTCAGATGAAAGATGTTAGCTTCTTATGTTATCCTCACGGTGACTTTGAGTGACATATTAATTTCAAAGTTTACTTTCAAAAAGGCAAGGATTTGGGAGACAAAATGGCTAGGACATTTGGTAATTGAGCAGTAACTGAATACTTTTTACTTCTACCACCACATCTCAACCAGACCTTGCCTGTGAAATACACAGATAAAAATCGTACCACACCTGGTGCCCCCTTTTTGGGGAATGATGCAAATTGTTTCAAATTGGACAGTGGACTCTCCAGGTACTTTTTGTTGCTGTAAGACCCACATTGTTTATTTTATTAATATCTTATCTCAATGTAAATGTACTATATGCATTTTATTACCAGTTAAAGAAGATTGTAATCAATTTTCACGTGATGTATGTGTGTGTATACGTACATTTAATACATCCTTTAAAATATTAGGAATATTGTGGAATGTTATTAAACCAGGGTGGGATATTACTAAAAAAATAAAACTAGCAGACCCTTAGTGAATGTTTTTCCACTTGGAAAGTTTATGGCTATAAAGCTAAGAGTACTACTTGCTAGAGCATGAGAATAACTAAAAAGACTTACCCAAAGCATCGTTTCATCAAGAAATGAAATCTGGACAGTCTTTCTATTGCAAAGGGATCAAAACATATTGAAGTCATAATTTACTGAACTAATAATCATTTTACTATAAGTTCAAGGCAAAAGTGAATTCCTCATAAGAAAATAAGTTTATCTCATATCATTTAAGAACTGTCAGTTTATTCACAGGCCAGTGTTAATATACATGCCAATATACTAGAAATATACACCTAATAAAACTGGAGGTTACAGTAAGTCATTAATTAAGACTGGTGGCTTTGGCAAACCATCTGAATTAACTTTACAGACTCATATCAAAAGTGTTCTCTAATAGTTGGAGCTGAGGCTGGATTCCAGCTTCATCCCTCCTGGACCCCCTGAACTTTTTTTATTTGAAGAGGGCTATCTGCCTATTCCAGACTTTATTTCCCTGGAAACAAAAAAGAATATGCACAAATCACTGTATTTTGGATTTGAATATTATATTTAAAAAATGTATTTAAGGCCGGGCACGGTGGCTCATGCCTGTAATCCCAGCACTTTGGGAGGCCGAGGAGGGTGGATCACCTGAGGTCGGGAGTTCGAGAGCAGCCTGGCCAACATGGAGAAACCCTGTCTCTACTAAAAATGCAAAAATTAGCCAGGCGTGGCGGCTCATTCCTGTAATCCCAGCTACTTGGGTTTCTTTGAAAGGGTAGCTCACAGAATAAAGTAACATTCACTGACCAAAAACTATCTATAAATATCAAAGCATGTATATTAAAATGTCTTCCCTAAAGCCCTAGGCTCTGTTTTGTTGGCACCATTTCATGCACTGTAAATGGAAGGTGAATGCCCATTAAGGAGAATAAAGGAAAAGTGAGTGCTCCTTGTTCTCTTATTTGACCTCCAGCAGGTCAAGGAAGACAGATGATGGGATGGCGCTAAAAAGGCAGCCCCATTATTGAGAGATGAGAGAGCAGCAGCATTTACAGAGGAATTACCGTGAGCACATATGGGGACCAGTGCCCAGGAGAAGAAACTTGGCAGAATGATTCTGAACACAAACACTGAAGCCAAACTGCTTGGGGTTCTATCCTGCCCCTACCACTGTATGATCTCAGACACATTACTTAACCTCTCTGTGTCTCAGTTCCCTTGCCTGTAAAATGGGGAGAACCTACCTCAGAGGGCTGTTGTGAGGATTCAATGCATCAATGTGTGGAAAGCACTTAGAACAGTATTTGGCACAATTTACTCATTGAAAAAAAAATAGGTTTTACCATAGTGTTCTTCAGTTCCCTTAATGGCTACAGTGAAGTCTACATCCTGACTCTACATCTGTAAAGTTACCTTTGAAAACTGCAAGTGAATGCTTGTCAACCTCCTGCATGCAGGATCATGTTGAAACTCTTTGGCCAAGTACAGAGAACTTTTACAACTTCTTCCTTCTGCCTTCCCAGTTCTTGAACCCTAACTCCACAGCCCCCACATTCCAGACACACAAAACGATTTACTCTTCCCCAAATCCGGCAGGTTCCATGCCTCCAAACTTTGCTTATGCCGGTCCTTCTTCCTGAAATATCCTTTCCTCCTTGTCTAGCTAGTGAAACCCATCTAGGCCTAGTTCAAATGCTGCATCCTCTAAAAGGCCTCCTGAACCACTCCTCTGCCTGTCTGCCTGTCCCTCCTCCCATAGCATCACCCCATACTGAGGAATAAATCATTGTCACTTCTGTACTCTCATAGAAACTTAAATGTCATTATACTACATATAGCTCTAGATTACAAATGTCTAGAGGTCATCTGTTTCCCCAAACATCTGGTAAATAACTATTTGTGGCATGCAAGTTGTTTATAATGTTTTAGTACACAGGATCACTTTCAGTGCAGCCTCATCTTCTGCCTTTAACTATTCCCACCCCAGGTTCTGATCTCCTGAAGAGACCTAGGTTTTCTAATTAAGTCTTTATCTGGGATCACATTAATTTGCCCAGACACCATGGCCAGAGCAGCCCAAGCCACTCCTTCCTGATAATTAGGAGCGGGTGGTACTGGAGCTGAGACTGGATTCCAGCTTCAACCCTCCTGGACCCACTGGACTTTTTTTATTTGAAGAGGGCTATCTGCCTATTACAGACTTTATTTCCCTGGAAACAAAAAGGAGTGAGCAGAAATCACTGTATTTTGGATTTGAATATTATATTTAAGAAATGTATTTAAGGCCAGGCATGGTGGCTCACGCCTGTAATCCCAGCACTTTGGGAGGCCAAGGCGGGTGGATCACCTGAGGTCGGGAGTTCGAGAGCAGCCTGACCAACATGGAGAAACCCCGTCTCTGCTAAAAATACAAAAATTAGCCAGGCGTGGTGGCACATGCCTGTAATCCCAGCTACTTGGGAGGCTGAGGCAGGAGAATAGCTTGAACCTGGGAGGTGGAGGTTGTGATAAGCCAATATCATGCCATTGCACTCCAGCCTGGGCAGTAAGAGCAAAACTCCATCTCTGCAAAAAAAAGAAAAAATACAAAAAATAAAAAATAAAAAAGAAATGTTTAAATACAGAACATGAGAGCTGTGCCTGCCATCTCTATTATCACCGCCTATAATTCCTTCTCTTTGTCTTAGGGCAGGGGAAAGATCTTGGGCAAGTGCTGTAGAAGGTCTTTCTTCCCTGCAGCTCTCTGTTGAGGCTGACGATGAAGCAAGCACTGGAATTGCAGCCGTTGTTACACTGTATGGCGATATGTGTTTGGGTACCAACATCAACATTTTTTCATGCTTTAAAGGTTTTTCTAAAGGGAAATCGCCAGTCATGATGACCTCACTACGACTAGAATACAGGTTTTTAAGGGAAATTTTTAAATTCTGTATTTTTACTACTGTGGCTTTCAATAAACATGCTTCTGGCATAGGTGGCATCATGAAAATGTAAAGTGTCACTCAGGATGGGTAGTTTTGTTTTTTTCTTTTGAATCTCCGTAACATTTTGAATCTATAATACTTCAACATTTCCGATCAGCAGAGACCCTGAGTAGCAAAATAAAAAAAAATTATTAGAAGATGTGTTTGTTAGTCATGAATATGGAAACTAATGAAGTACCCTGGGCGGTCAATGTGTTCTGAACTCTTAAGTAAGAACTACTTTGGAGGGTGAACAAATGAGGGGCTGATATATCTCAGTTATTTGTAAAATGCCTCTCCTACTCCCTACTGTTAGGAATAGGGTGTGGGACATTATTATGGACAGAAGGACAGAAAAGAGCCATCTAAGGTGTGTAAGTGATAGCATGAAAACACAATGGTGCCTCTTACATAATTTTAGGAGGGAGGATGTGTGAATTGACCCTCGTGCCCACTTCCAGCAAATGGGCCAATGTGCTATCCTATGCAAAAGTGCTGGAAGCCAGTGTTTAAGACTTTAGTTCTGAATGACTTTTTGTCATTGGGTACATCTGACATGATCTTTATTAAACACATACAGTGTTTTAAGGTAAAGGGAGAGTGTGGGCATTCAAAGCATTCTCTAGCCGTTGTCCTCCCTGGAGCAGTGAAATGGAAATGAATGGCCTCCCGGAAGGTTTCTGTGCCTGTCTTCACCCTACTTCATACCCCACCCTACCAACTCTACTTTTAGCTATAAAATGGTTTTGTTGAAGACAAATTTTGGCATTAGAATTTAGTTTGCGTTTAAATCTTATTTTACTTAACACACCTAACTTTTTCCCTGAGTTGTGCTATAAAAAGAAGGCAGGACACAATACTTATATGCACTGTTTTGTGAGATGGACTGTCTCACACAAGCCTTCAAGGTGGGAGGTGTTCTTCCCATCACACATACAAGGAAACCATGTTTCCCAGTCATTGTGCAGCTACATGCTGTGGAGCAAGGATTAAGACCCTTGTCTGTCTGTGGCCAAGTCTCCTTCTACTATTCTAGGGGCTGGAAAACTATGATTCGTGGACTGCCTCCTGTTTTTGTAGAGTTTTACCAGGACACAGTCACGCACATTCATTTACCTATTGTCTATGGCTGCCTTTATGCTATAATGGCAAAACTGAATGGTTACTTTATTAGTCTGTTTTCACACTGCTATAAAGAACTACCTGAGACTGGGTAATTTATAAAGAAAAGAGGTTTCATTGACTCACATTTATGCATGGCTGTGGAGGCTTCAGGAAACAGTTACGGTGTAACGTGAAGGGGAAGCAAGGTGCCTTCTTCACAAGGTGGCTGGAGGGAGAATGAACACGGAGGAACTACCAAACACTTATAAAATCATCAGACCTCATGAAAGCTCACTGACTATCACGAGAACAGATTGGGGGAATCTGCCACCATGATTCAATTACCTCCACCTGGTCTCTCCCTTGACAGGTGGAGATTATGAGGGTTATAATTCAAGATGAGATTTGGGTGGGGGCATAAAGCCTAACCATATCATTTGCAGAAGGATGTAAAGCCCAGAAGTCTAAAATATTTACCATCTAGCCCTTTATAGGGAAAGCTGGCTGATTCTTGACAGAACACCATTTCTAAGAAGCCGTCATTTGTATATTTTAAAAACAATATATGAGAACAAGAAACTAGTGAGGTTTTCTCTTTCCAAAATTGCCTTTCCCATCCCAATTTCAATAAACTCTGGCTAAAAATTTCAGAACACTAGAAGGTAACAAAGAAGGAAATCTTAATCACTGAGTATCCTGCTATCCAGAGATAGCCATGGCTTTCTTTCAAATTGTTTTCTTTTCTCTTTTTCTTTTATTTTGAGACTGTGTCTTGCTCTGGCTCTGTTGCCCAGGCTGGAATGCAGTGGCATGATCATGGGCTCACTTCAGCCTCAAACTTTTGGGTTCAGAAGATCCTCCCATGTTGGTCTGGCAAGTAGCTAGGACTGTGGGCTTGTACCACCATGCCTAGCTAATTTTTTATCATTTTATTTTTTGTAGAGATGGGGTCTTGCTATGTTGCCCAGGCTGGTTTCAAACTCCTGGCCTCAAGTGATCTTCCTGCCTCAGCCTCTCCAAGTGCTGGGATTATAGGTGTAAGCCACCCTGTCTGGCCCAAAGCTTTTTTCTATGTGCTTATATGTACATGGAATTTTTTTCCCCAAAATGAAATAATATTGTATGTGCTGCTTTGTTAATGGATTTTTCACTTAGTATATTTTGTACATTTTCCCATGTGAACAACTATATATTTATATCATTTTAATGACTCTTTATTTGATTTTTAAATTTTCCCATAATTTATTTAGCTGGTGAGTTTTTATTTATTTGCAGAAAGGAGGAACTCGACAAACTGCTTACTGCTAGAATAAGTTATAAGTAGAACACAATCTGAAATTATTCTGAAATGCTTCTTAATTATGGTAAAATCGTAGGTTTATTTGTAACTTAATATAGTGTTGGGCTAATTTGAATGCAGATGTATCTTGAGAAATGAATGGTATTTCACCCTGTACTCTAGAAATTATGAGGACTATTTGAATATTTTCCAGCGATCCATGTTAAAGTGAGCATTTTATATCTGAAGCCAGTGCCATTGATATATTGCTGGTTCCATGCGTGGATATTTTACATCTTTTGTTACATTAAAAGGGAGGCAAGCATGCAGTTTGATAACATGGCATAATTAGGTTGTTATGCCAAATAACAGCCATATCTACACTAGCATTTGGCCTGGAATAAGGCAGTATGAATTGTGGAACAGGTGAATGCTAGAGACTGTCAGATACAAACTCTTCATTTTACAAATGGGGAAATGGAGCTCAGAGGGCTGAGTTCTAGAACAGTGCTCTTTTCACCATTAAGTGGTTTTGCAAAGTTTTTAAAATAGCCTTTTCTCCTTTTTAAATGAATTCTTACTGGGAACACTAATATAAAAATGCCTAAAGGAAAGCTGCTCTGGCTGAAGCAGGGTGAAGGGCTGCAGGTACCTTCTTGGCCCCTATCTCTGTGCAAATGTGGTTTCTTAGGTTCAAAACCATGGGTACTATATCCTACTACCTGGCTTCTTTGTGCTCTTCTTTCCTATCCCCCAGCTTGCTATTTTAAGAATAGTTTTCTATCTGGAAAGCTCTTTTTTTTTTTTTTTTTGGAGACAGAGTCTCGCTCTGTTACACAGGCTGGAGTGCAGTGGCACAATCTCGGCTCATTGCAACCACCGCCTCCTGGGTTCCAGCGATTCTCCTGTCTCAGCCCCCCGAGTAGCTGGGATTACAGGCGCCCACTACCACACCTGGCTAATTTTTGTATTTTTTGTAGAGACAGGGTTTTGCCATGTTGGCCAGGCTGGTCTTGAACTGCTGACCCCAAGAGATCTGCCTGTCTCAGCCTCCCAAAGTGTTGGGATTACAAGCATGAGCCACTGTGCCCAGCCTGGAAAGCTCTTCACTGGGAGTTATTTTATCTCTTATGCATCAACCATCTCTAGCCAGAAATTGAAGAATGACATTTGGGGTTAAATGCATAAAAGCCTTTGTTTCAGGTAGACCTAGTCTTAAAGGTCAGAAAAAAGACATATTCCAGTGATATTGTTCCAGCTTCAGAGCAGCACTCTGGCAATGACTATTATGTTAATGGTGAAATATATTCAATAAAACATTGATTTTTGCTATTCAATGGCACTTTGCCACAAGGGTGATCATAGAGCCAGTAGATCACAAAAAATTTACTATAATTTTAGGGACATTTTTATTCCAACATTTTATGAAAGGTGAACCACTCTATTACCTAATTCAGTGGCATATATAAAAATTATTAAAACCCATCTAGATTATTACTTTATTGATATTTCTCACCTGCACATTCTATAATATACAATGTTTATCTTGGAATGACAATACCTTGCTGCACAAAAAGAAAATTGAAAACGAGATCTTCTCTAAGAGAAAAGCAAGATCATTATGTAAACAGCAGCCGGGTCTCATTCAGAATATGTCACATAAATACCACACCATCAAACAAGAAATGTAAATTATTATACATATGCTGTAATTGAAAATTGTATTATACATTAGTGAAGTCACCCATTTATCTAATCACAATCAGTTCCCATAAAATCTCATTTTGAAAAGTTGAGTGCAATTCAGGGGAGGTGGCTATGAGAATTTCAATCATGGAAATCTAAGTTTGGATTGAGATCTCAGCAAGGTCTGCAAGTCAGTTTTCATTGCTCCTCAGACATGCCTTTCAAATCTTTGAACTTATCTGTATGTGAACTGATCAGCCCAGCCTCTCATCTGGGGAGAGGAGATGAGATCAGCCAGCATTCGTGGCCCTGGTTCAAAAACAATGTGCAACACATGGTGCCATCTGAATGTTTTCTGGGCTTTCTCACCCCTTTCTGACTAGAACATAGTCACTTACGTTCATTCATTTGTTCACATTTTTTTAATTCAGCAAGTATTTACTTAGCACCTTATATGTCTAGGCTTTGTGCTATGAACTGACGACACAAAGGGAGCCAAAACACAGTTTCTGCCTTCAAGGTGTTGCCAGTCTAGTGGGGATAATAGAAGAACAATTGCACTATTTTATATGCAATTCTAAACTGTGATAGATGCAAAAAAGAAAGACAGAGGGTGCTATGAGAGCAAAGAACACATCTGGTGCTATGATTTAAACGTCTCCCACAGTTTACGTGTTGGCAACTTAATCCCTAATGCATCAGTGTTGAGAGGTGAGAACTTTAAGAACTGCTTAGGTCTCATGACTTTTAAGAGGGTTAGGGCTTGTTATTGTGAGAGTGGGTTTGTTATAAAAATGAGTTTGACCCTGTCTTGCTCGCTTGCACTCTCTTGCCTTTCTGCCTTCCACCATGGAATGATGCAGCAGGAAGGCCCTCACCAAATGAAAGCCCCTCAACCTTGGACTTCCCAGCCCCTAGAACTGTAAGAAATAAATATCGGTTCTTCATTAATTACCCAGTCTCAGGTATTTTGTTATGGCTGCATAAAATAAGTTAAGTTATCTAGTTTGTGGGGAGCATTACTCAAGAGTGAATATGGGTGGGAAAGAGACAAATACCAACTAAAGGTATAAAGACTTAGAGGGGAGAAGAAGCTTGGAGCATAGCAAATGCTTAGACAAAGTTGATATGGCTGGATCCCTGAACAAGAGGCACTGGACAAGGCTGGAAAGCAGATGAGGTGGGGTAGTTATAGTCTACAAAAGCCATATAGGCCATGCTAAAGATTTTGGATTGTATTGTAAGTATAATTTTTAGGTTGGGGGCTAGTGGTAGGGAGAGTAGAGCAACGAAATACCTAGTCTGAGTTGCACTTTAAAGAGATCTCTCAAGCTGCAGATGAAGAACAGATGGAATTGGGGCACCATTGTCATAAGGAGGCCAGTTGAAGGCTGCTGCAGTGCAGGGGAAATATGATGGTAGCTTGCGTGAGGATTGGCAATGAAGGAAATCAAGAGAAGTGAGTGGATTTAAGAGATGTTTAAGAGTTAAGAACTAGAGATGGATTCGGTGTTGGGGGTGGTAGTGAGGGAGAGAAAAATATCAGAGATGCCTCCTGGGCTTGTGGCTTGAATATCTGGATCTATGGAGTTGCAAACTCCTAAGACGGGAAACATGAAGGAGGGCCAGCAGCCTTACTATGTCACCCCACATGTTTTCTTTGCTGTATTTACTGCCATAAACAAATGATAAGTTGTGGGCTGTAGCTCTTCCCTATAATGATGACAAATAAAGGGGGCAAAGCTACCTCCAACACTCTCTGAGATAGCACCATGAATTCCCTTTCTGAATTTATCAATAGAAAATGTGCTAATGGATATTAATATTCAGTCATGGCAAATATGAATTCAGTTGTGTTTGAATCTCTCTCCAGCTGCCAGGAGAGCTTCACTATCAACCTCAGACATTCAGTGGATAAAACATAAAGTGTTTTTTAAAATTGCCCCTATGCGATGTCTTGATTATGCATTCTGATGAAAGAGTTTATTTTTGAAACATTGTGAACAATAATAATCATGACGTGTTTGTTTTTCTTTCTGTCTTTTTTTTTTGAGATGGAGTCTCACTCTGTTGCCCAGGCTGGAGCGCAGTGGCACGATCTCAGCTCACTGCAACCTCCACCTCCCAGGTTCAAGCGATTCCCCTGCCTCAGCTTCCCTAGTAGCTGGGACTATAGGCGTGCACCGCCACGCCTGGCTAATTTTTGTATTTTTAGTAGAGACAAGGTTTCACCGTCTTGGCCAGGGTGGTCTTGAACTCCTGACCTCAAGTGATCCTCCAGCTTTGGCCTCCCAAAGTGCTGGGATTACAGGTATGAGCTACTATGCCTGACCTTATAATGTATTTCAATTTATGGACATCTATGCCTGAAGGCCTCCCAGCATTTTAAAAGAAAACAACCAAGAGAGTAACATAATCAAACAAGGCAATATGCCCAAATAAATAAATCCCATAGTTGGCTCATAAATAAACTTCCATACCTGGTACTCAACATTAAAGATATGCAACATATGAAACTGAAAATATATATATATATATATTTTTTTTTGAGACAGGGTCTGGCTCTGTTGCCCAGGCTGGAGTGCAGTGGCATGATCTCAGTCCACTACAACCTCCGCCTCCTGGGTTCAAGCCATCCTCCTATCTCAGCCTCCTGAGTAGCTGGGACTACAGGCACGCATCACCATGCCTGGCTAATTTTTTTTGTATTTTCTGTAGAGATGGGGTTTGGCCACGTTGCCAGGCTGGTCTCCAACTCCTGGGCTCAAGCGATCTGCCTGTCTTGGCCTCCCAAAGTGCTGGGATTACAGGCATGAAAGTAAAAATTCTTTTTTTAAATTTTCCTTTTATTTTTCTTTTTTTCCTTTTCCTTTTTCTTTTTTTTTGAGATGGAGTTTCAACCTTGTTGCCCAGGCTGGAGTGCAATGGCGCTATCTTGGCTCACTGCAATCTCTGCCTTCTGGGTTCAAGCAATTCTCCTGCCTCAGCCTCCCGAGTAGCTGGGATTACAGGCATGCGCCACCATGCGTGGCTAATTTTGTATTTTTTAGTAGAGACGGGGGTTTCTCCATCTTGGTCAGGCTGGTTTCGAGCTCCCGACCTCAGGCGATCCGCCCGCCTCAGCCTCCCAAATTGCTGGGATTACAGGTGTGAACCACTGCGCCCAGCGGAAAGTAAAATTTCTTGTATTAAAGTATGCTGCAGTCATATGAGATAGGTGCTTGAATAGAGTCTGGACCCTGGACTATTTCACATACATTATTTTCCTCCACAGCTGACACCTATCATGTTGAAGGCTACTGATCATCTTTTCCTAGCCTCACCAACAGAAGCATCAATATGCCAATTTCCAACCTACCGTGCAGCAAAGATGCCGGCCTGAGAACTAGGCACCACTAATCAGATGTACCAGTAGGAGGATTTCCTTCATCTTAGCCGCTGGAGAAAAAGGCTTTGTGCAGGGTTTCCATAATTCCTGGTGGAAGGGATGATACAGCTGTCTAGCGTTTGGTGCAGCAGAGGCGACGGAGGTATTTACCCCTGTGGTTTCATGGCAGAAGTGGCACTGGGGACAGAGGAGAGGCAGCACTCTCTGGTGGTCAGGGTAGCAATGCCGCTCTTTCACCTGGCCATTTGTGCAATGTGATTTAGGCCTTGCTCCTGAAGGCTGAGCCTCAGAACTGGTCCTGCAATCCTTTGCCCAGCTATCTAAGTTACTCAGTATTTTTCCCCATACCTCTGACGAACACGTGTATTATCTCCACCTAGCTTCAACAATTGGAACCTTTTACTATATTTATTTTATCCCTGGCTGCTTGTGTGTGTATATTTCTAATTTTATTCTTATTTTTGCTATAGCACTTGAAAGTTGTTGACCTCCTGACACTTAGCTAGCTCCTAAATACTTCAGAATACATCTCCTAAAAGTAAGTGTAATCTCTCACAAAATCACAATACTGTTATCAAACCTAAGAAAATTATCAATATCATAATACTCTCTGGAGTACAACCCATATATAACTTCCTCCAATTGGAGAATAACTCTTATAACTATTCTTTTCAAAGCAGGATCTGATCCAGGTTCACTATTGCAGTTTATTTTCTTTTAGTCTGCAGTCTTTCTTTTAACAATTCATTCATGACTTTGACTTTTTGAAGGATGAAACAGTTGTCTCATAGGCTGTACTACATTCCTGATTAGCCTAATAGTTTCCTTGTGATGCTGTTTAATTTATTCATCACTCTCCTTGTATTTCCTGTAAATCTTAAATGAGGGCTAGACGCCTGATTAAATTCAAGTTAACATTTTTTTGGAAAGCATATTTCATAAGTGGGCTTGTATGAATACACATCACATTACTGACAGGGGTTTCACTGTTGGTGGTATTATGTTTGGCCACTTGGTTAGGATGATCGCTGCCAGATTTCTCCACTGTAAATGTATATATTTCATTACAGGTAACCTTGTAGTACGTAATCTGTGCTTTGCCATCTGTGAATATCTTTTTCTTTAAATACTTTTCGGCCAGGCGCAGTGGCTCACGCCTGTAATCCTAACACTTTGGGAGGCTGAGGTGGGGGGGGATCACCTGAGGTCGGGAGTTTGAAACCATCCTGACCAACATGGAGAAACCTCATCTCTACTAAAAATACAAAATTAGCCGGGCGTGATGGCGCATGCCTATAATCCCAGCTACTTGGGAGGCTGAGGCTGGAGAATCGCTTGAATCTGGGAGGCAGAGGTTGCAGTGAGCCAAGATCGTGCCATTGCACTCCAGCCTGGGCGACAAGGTTGAAACTCCATCTCAAAAAAAAAAAATAAATAAAAATTAAATAAATTAATTAATACTTTTCACCATATAATTTTTGTGTCTACTGGTGATTTTTGCCTGGCAATATCTTTTTAACAAACTCTTTTCCTCCTATATCAGCCCAAATTAGTACCTGTTGCTTGCAGCTAAGAACTCTGATTTAGTGAGCTGTCTCCTGGGAATAAGAAACAGCCTGCAACTAGAAGACCTGAGCGCTAGTATGGGTTCATTAACTGGCTGTGAGACCCTGAGCAGGTGCTTGACCCTCAGTGTGCTGCTGGCAGAACCAGTCACAATACACTTTCCTGGATTTAGTAAACTTTTCACTTCTGCTCACTTTGTTCCTTGCCTCTTCTTTTTCTCTGCTCCATTCTTTTGTCCATGGAATAGTAGGACAATGGGTAAAGGGGAAAAGGAACAAGATGGGCAAAGGGCTGAAGAGTTCTACCACACTTCACACAACGTTGCCCCAGATCAGTCTAAGAAATCCAATCATTTCAGTTCTCAGGTGCCGACTCCTTCATGGAATTCAGAGACTAATGCAACGGGAGCCTATTCTTTGGGGAACTCGTGGCTTGGTGGAGTATAATGTATGCAGGTTTTGTTGGATGCTTGCATGTGGACTTCTCATTTCCAATTCCAGCCTGTCTTCTTTTCTGCATTGTGAGCTCCTTTAGGGAAATGAAGCCCTTCCACATAGTGGAAACATTTAATGGCTGTCAAATGGATGACAAATAAATACCAACTCATATATAAATATAATTACCCCTAAATTTATATCTCTCTTGACCTATATGTGTGTGTATATGTATACGTGTATATATCTATGTATGATGATGCTTCAATGAAGTAGTAACGCATGTATTATAATCTCTGTGTAGCAGATAAAGAAACTGTGACACCAAGTGGTCAACTCGGTTGGCCAAGTTTCTAGTTAATCAATGGCAGAGGTAGAAGCAATTTTCCAATTTCTGGATCATTTCTCTGCATTTTAACTAAGTTCTGCAAAAAACCAGCATTGGCTTAAAGAAGAATACACCAGGCGTGGCCCACACAGACCTTAGTTAGCATCTTCACTCAGACCACTGCGGGCATGAAGCATTTCTTACTCTACAGCCAGCCGCTTACCTCTGAGCCATCACCTCACAGCTGGGCCAATAAACAGCAGAGCGTCCAGGCCTCAGGCCTCACCCAGCTAGGTGTGGGTGACCCTGCAGGTCTTGCGCCTGATTGCCAATTCCCGTAGATGCCCTTGGTTTTTAGTGTAATTGATGTGTCATAGGCTTCATCCTGTGATTTGTTACAGCCTCATTGATTAACGGGGGTTTGGCAGAGCCCAGTGTTTTTCTGCTGCTTTCTCTGGCAGGAGTGTTTGTTCAGCAAACAAGAAGGAAGCAGGTAGGGATGAAAGTACAGAGACTGTCTTCCCTTGTATCTCTTCCCCTCCGGGCATCACTGAATCAGCCAGGGTTGGATTAACCTAATGAGGTTTGGTGATGTGGGTTCCATCACGACCGGTTCCTTTAGTGCCCCAGGGGAGCTGTCGTGCCCCTTTTAGCTTTATAAGGAACTAGAGGCTTAAAAGAATTTATGAAAAGTTGTGGGTATAGAAGACCTACCTGGGTTTCCTAGAAAAAACAAAACACAATAAAATATAATGCAGCCTGTTGACAAAATGAATCAATGGCAACCGAAGTCAGAATAGTTTATCTCTGGGGGTGGGTACTGACAGGGAAGAAGGCATAGAAATGGGCCTTCCATGATGGAAACATTGCATATCATGAGCTGGGTGGTAGTTATCTCTGTATGTGCATATTTATATAGATGTAAGATTAAGATTTAGACACTTTACTCCGCGTATATTATGATCTTATTAAGTTTCTTATTCTTAAAATACAGCCTGTTGTAATGGCAGGAACACCATGTTCAGGGCCACCTTCTTATTGTTCACATTTTAGTTCTCGTCACTTCTTCAGTGAGGCCTTTACTGACCGTGGCTAGAGTAGCCCACCCTCCCCTCTGCACTCTATCCAATTATCTGAGTTGTTTTCTTCATTGCACTTATCATCATCTGAAAACGGCGTATTTACTGACGTATTTATTGGCTATCTCTCACCACTAGCATGTAGATTCTGTGACGGCAGAGTTTCTGATGGCCTTATTTCCTGTGGGATCCCCAGCAGGAGACACGTGCTGATTTTCTGACTGACTGCGGCGGAGACACGTGAGCTGGTGTGAGGACTCAGTTATGGGACAAGTGTTACCAAAATGAGATCACGAGATCATAGGACGCTCATGGTCAGGACTTAGGACTGTGGTCAAAGACAAGAGTGAGAGTGAAGCAGGCCAAAGTCCAACATACTGGCCAGCAAACCAAGTGGAGGTCACAGTTAGGCACGAGTGGTCACCAGGCCAGCTGTGAGGGCAGCTCAGACCTGCCAGGCCAACGCTGCCCTCTCCAGCCAAGGCACGGCCCTGCTGGCAGGTCAGCTTAGAGGTCTGAGCCTGCCTCCTGAGGTAAGAACAGACCAGTGGTTCTCAACCAGGAGCAATTTTACTTTCCAGAGGATAGCTGACAATATCTGAAGACATTTTTAGTTATCACAACTGGGGGAGGAGGCTACTGGCATTTACTGATGAGAGGCCAGGGATGCTGCTAGACATCCTACAATGCACTGTACAGTCCCCAACCCTCCATAGACAAGAATCAGCAAGGCCAAAATATCAGTAGTGCCCAGGGTAAGAAACCTTGGACTCGAGGGTAGGGCAGACCCCACTTGAAGAAGGGAGAAATCGCGATCTGTGCTTTCAAAGTGTATAAACACTGTGCTCTTATGCTTTTGGAGGCAAAGGACACTATTTTCTTTCTTTCTTTCTTTCTTTTTCTTTCTTTCTTTCTTTCTTTCTTTCTTTCTTTCTTTCTTTCTTTCTTTCTTCTTTCTTTCTTTCTTTCTTTCTTTCTTTCTTTCTTTCTTTCTCTTTCTTTCTTTCTTCTCTCTCTCTCTCTCCTTCCTTCCTTCCTTCCTCTCTCTTTCTTTCTTTCTTTCTTTCTTGGCCAAGTCTCACTCTGTTGCCCAGGTTGGAGTGCAGTGGTGCTATCTCAGCTCACTGCAACCTCCACCTTCTGGGTTCAAGTGATTCTCCTGCCTCAGCCTCCCTAGTAGCTGGTATTACAGGCATCCACCACCATGCCCAGCTAATTTTTGTATTTTTAATAGAGATGGAGTTTTGCCATGTTGGCCATGGCTGGTCTCAAACTCCTGACCTGAAGTGATTCACCTGCCTTGGTCTCCCAAAGTGCTGGGATTACAGGTGTGAGCCACCATGCCCGGCCAGGACATGGATTTTCTGAGAAAAAGAATTTCTACCCACAAGCCAGTTTTTATGGCTATCCCTTTCTTCACAAAGGCTGATCAATATTTAAATCTATTTTATAGTGGCATTCTGGAATTTAAAACCTAAACCTGGTTTGAGTTTCCCTCACTGGATGAACTCCTAACTCCTGGCAGCTCTGTCTGACAACCAGTCATTCTTGGGCTCCAGGCCAATTTCTTTAACGAATCTCTCTAATTTAATCCATATTTTCCCGCCTCTCTATTAAGTGCCACCCAGGCTCATTGAACCTAATATTTGAACCAAACATATTTAATGACTGTCCTTTCGTTAAACATTACAAGCTCTTTAAGACCTTGGCAGACGGGTGCCCCCTTGGATAACCTAGAGCCCCAGCAAAGTCAATAGTCAGGGCCAAGTTAATCCCTCTGCTCCCTTCCTCCCCGCTGGGCCTGGAGCCTTGTGGGTGAGACAGCCTTTATCACTGGGGAAGCATACGTTTTCCAGGCCAATGGATTCAGTGCTTCGGCTGTATCTCATGCCTTGACACTAGATGTCAGCGAAGGGTAATTGTTGTCTCAATTTAGAGGCCAGCTTAGGTAGCTGCTGGCACCCTTGGTTCATGTTTTATAGCAAAGGTGAAGTATGGCTCCGTTCCCGTTGCACACATATATTACAATAAAAGGGGGTATCGGCGCCTAGTGTTTTTAAAGGCTAGTCATAAAAGATGAATAACGAGGCAGTTTAAAGCTAAAAGACAGCTGCCAAGTTCAATGGCCATGATGGATGCCAAATACCCAGTGTAGAGAAAACCCGTTCCTCTGACACCACCATCCAAAAAATTAATTACCACAATTCAGCATCTTTAAATGTGCCACTTAATATACTGCTACCATAATTAAATTTCCAGCCCTGTGACCTTGAAACCATTTCCTGAGATAATAAATGAGATCAAGGTTTAATCGATGCAGATGCAAGTAGAAACTGTCCAAGGATGCAAAGAGCCATTGCGCTCTGAGTCGAGGTTGGTGGGGGGTGGGCTGGGGAGGCTGAGGTGGGACAGAGCTCTGCCACAGGGTTGAGCTTGTCCTTCTTTCAGAGGGATGTCTCTTAAAGTTGCTGTATCTGCCAACTGGGATGGCACAGTGAGGTAGAAATGGAGCTGAATCCAGAGCCAAGAGGCTAATGTTCTTGTCAGAGCTGTGCTACTAAAATTCTGTTTGACCTCAGAGGAGACACACCTCCCTGGGCATTGGAGGCTGTTCTCATCTGTAGAAAGAAGGGCTAGAGAACATAGCCTCCAGAGTTCTTTCTAGCCCTAATGTCCCATGATATACATATTTTTTATTTTTGGTCAAGCTTTATGAGAGCAATGTGCCTCTTTCCCTCCCAGAAACAGCTCCCAGCCCCAGCTATCTTTTGGAAACTGTGTGGTACACAATTTTTCTGTCAGCTACTCAGGAGTTATGGATGACGGTGGTGGATGCATGGGGTTTGCTTGTATCTCCTCCTGTAGAATACCATCGTCTTACTATCTAGGTTCCTCAGGGGACTATTAACACTCCCTTGTCCAGCTAACCTCAGGGTGTACTTGGGGCACATTTAGATCCTCACCAAGTGAAGAGTTAATTCTCAAATAGAAGAGCACAGAACATAAAAGGCCTTCATAAAGAATCTGGCTAAAACAAAAGCCAGAGGCAGGTTTAAAAAGTGGAACCACATGCAGTCAGGGAGCTGTGTGTGAAGAAAGAGTGGGTGACCCTATCCCCATGCCTTGGACATGGGGTAGGGCAGTGCCCACATTTGGTGTCAATTAAAAACTGCTGAACACCAATGAGGCTCTAGGAACTGTGCCAGAGGGTGGTCCTTGCCCTTGATTTGCTCATAGCATTTTAGGGAAATGGGAAGAAATCATTTCACAACAGTGTCGTGGTATGATAATACAGGTAGGTATGTATATGGTACTTGCTGATCTGGGTGGAGCCTTGTTAGCTTTGCCTTTTATTAGCCCCTTATTTCCAGATGCCTTCTTGAATCCCTGCCAGTGGATTGGTTTTTGTAGCAGGGACATCCACCCTTAACATAAGCACAGAAACTAAAAGCTGTAATTCACTAGCCTAAGAAGGGTTTGTTTAATGTTAGCCTTTTCCTCTCTATATCAATATTGAATAAATCTCTCAACCTATCTGCTTGCCTACACACACACACACACACACACACACGTCTAAGGCAGTGGGTCTCAACTGGGAGTGATTTTTGGCAATGTCTAGAGACATTTTGATGATCACAACTGGGGTGTTGGTAACTGCTGGCATCTCACGGGGAGAAGCCAGGGATGCTGCTGAACATCCCATGATTCACAGGATAGCCACAGAAATTCTGGCTGAAGGCAGTTGCTATGGACTGAATGTTTCTGGCCCTCTAAAATTCATATGTTGAAATTCCAATTCTCAATGTGATGGTATTAGGAGGAGGGGCCTTTGGGAGGTAATTAGGACATGAGGGTGGAGCTCTCATGAATGGGATTAATACCCTTGTAAAAAGACACAAGAGAGCTTGCTTTGTCTCTCTCTGCAACCATCAGAAGGTTTGTCTGAGAGCTAAGGATCTGCCTCCAAGTTGGCACAATCACACCACTGGCAAGCTCATTGAGAATACAATGAGAAGATGACCATCTGCAAACCATCTGCAAACCAGGAAGTGAACCCTCACAAGACACCGCTGGTCCCTTGATCTTGGACTTCCCAGTCTTCGGAACTGTGAGGAATAGATTTCTGTTGCTTAAACCACCCAATCTATGGTATTTCTGTTATAGTTGCCAGAATTAAGACAGTAGTCTACCTAACATCAACTCAACCAGTTGAAAAATAATAAAAACAATCATACATCTGTTGTGACTTTGGTCTTAATGTATCAAAATAATTGGTTCCATTGATTTTTTTAAGTAGTGAATTACTTTGATGTGGATTGGTGAAGGCACAGACTAAGTGCGCTGCCAGTTGATTAATGCAGGCATTGAGTGCTCAGAATCCTGAGCTTGAGCAGGGGTGATGACCAATGTGGATTCAAGCAGTCATCACAGAAGGTGGTCATAATAATGGCAGGTATCTTGAGAAAGAAAATTGACTCAAGGACTGAGCCCGGGAACACTCTGACAATTAGGGTCAGGAAGATAGGAGGAAACCAGCAGAAAACCTGGAAAGGAATGCTCAGAAAACTAGAAGGAGAGCAAAAAAGAGGAATGTCCCAGAAAGAAAGTGAAGCAAGCATTTCATGGAGGAGGGAGTGATCAATTTTGTCAAATGCGGCTGAGAGGTTAAACAAAACGAGAACACTGGATTTTAGTGTTGAGATCTTTTGAGAGTCCAGTAGAGAATCAAAGAAGACAAAGCAGAGACAGAAAATACAGACTTTCATTTGAGGGATTTTGCTGTGAAGGGGAATAGAGAAATACTGCTGTAGCTAGAAGGCAGTTGTGAGGCCAAGAGGTATGTGTTGCTTGCTTTTTTGATAGGAGATATTATAGCATGTTGGCATGCTGATGGTACTGATCCACTAAAGAGGAAAATATTGGTGATGCAGGAGTGAAAGGGGACAATTGCTTGAACAATGTTTTTGAGTTGGTGAGAGGGGACTGGACCTCCGGTACAAGGGAAGTGTTTGCCTATGGTGGAATCGCAGATAATTCTTTTATATTGTGTTATTGTGTTAGTAATCTATTGCCATATAACAAATGACCCCCAAATTTAGTGGCTTGAAAAACCCACATTTATTATTTCACACAATATATGTTGATCAGGAATTTAGCAGCATCTAAGTTGGGTAGTTCTGGCCCAAGATCTCCTATGAGGTTGCAGTGAAGATGTTGGCCAAGGCTGGAACCATTAGAAAGCTTGTCTGGGAGCTAATGATTTGCTTCCAAGATGGTGCACTCACATGACTGGCAAGCTCATATTGGCTGCTGGTGGGAAGCCTGAGTTCCTCACTGATGGACTCCTTCACAGGGCTACTTGAATGTATTCACAACATAGCATCTTTCCCCAGAGCAAATGATCTAAGAAAGAACAAGGCAGAAGCCTCAATGCTTTTAAAACCTAGCCTGGGAAGTCACACACCTTCAGTGCCTTCACATTCTATTTTTTAGGACCAAGTCATTAAGTCCTCAGTCTAGGGAAGGGATTTTAGGCTCCACTTTTTGAAGGGAGTAATGTCAAAGATTTTTGCACATATTCTTAAACCACCACATTGTAGTAACAGGAAGAAAGCCAGGGAATGTGGCCACAGATGCCAGTATCACATCCACAGATGCTGGTGGATATAGTGATGGCAACTGGTAGACTTTTCTGAGTGCTTCTATGTCTTCAATAAAATAGGAAGCAAGGCCATCAGCTGAGAGTGGCCATGGGGAGAAGGGGTTGGAATGGGAGAGTGAATGAACTGGTAGGACTTTCAGGTCAACTATGGGCTCCCTCAAGGTGAGTGGCCATGAACTTAAGCAAAAACAATCAACAGTGTAGATGTTTTCCTCCAAGTGGGCTCAGCTAAGAGCACAGAGTGTGAGAAAAAATACCCTGGCCAGGCGCGGTGGCTCACACCTGTAATCCCAGCACTTTGGGAGGCTGAGGTGGGCAGATCACGAGGTCAGGAGGTCGAGACAATCCTGGCTAACACAGTGAAACCCCAATTCTACTAAAAATACAAAAAATTAGCCGAGCGTGGTGGTGGGCACCTGTAGTCCTAGCTACTTGGGAGGCTGAGGCAGGAGAATGGTGTGAACCTGAGAGGCAGAGCTTGCAGTGAGCCGAGATCCCACCACTGCACTCCAGCCTGGCCGACAGAGCAAGACTCCATCTCAAAAAAAAAAAAAAAAAAAAAAGAAAAGAAAAAGAAAACAACAGTGACTATATAATTTTAGTGTGAGGAATGCCTATTTAAACATAACACCAAAGCCAGAAACACACACACACACACACACACACACAAAGAAAAAAGAAAAAATACCCTCACCTCCAAGAAGACCAGATTTTTATCTTTTTATTTAAGTATTCACAGACTTATTTCCTTTTTATTTTTATTTTTTATTGTTTGAGATGGAGTCTCACTATGTTGCCCAGGCTGGAGTGCAGTGGCACGATCATGGCTCACTGCAGCCTCAACTTCCCGGGCTCAGGTGATCTTTCCACCTGAGCCTCCTGAGTAGCTAGTACTACAGGCATGCACCACCATGCCCTGCTAAATTTTGTATTTTTAGTAGAGACAGGGTTTCACTATGTTGCCCAGGCTGGTCTTGAACTCATGGCCTACCAAAGTGCTGTGATTATAGGAGTGAGCCACCATGCCTGGCCTCCTTTTTATTTTTAAAGAACATATTTGCTTGTATCAACATAAGAACAGTGCTTCATATCTCTTTCCAATTCATATTATTCTGTCATGTTTTCCCAAATTAACTGCATGCAGGATTTCTCCTCCCTGTTCGCTTAACATGAGCAATGTAGGGGTGAATTAGAGCTGCACTGTGCCCACAGCTGGTTGAGCCCCAGCATGCTGTTGGGGACCAAATTGGAAGTGATGGTAGAAGCTACAGCAGGATAGATTTTTCTCTGTGCGAGGAAAGCATTCTCGTATGTAGAGCTACTTAAACACAAAAGGGGCTCCCTCACAGGTAGTGGATGAGCCCCGCTTTTGGAGAAGTGTTGATGCATCTCTAGGCTCCTTCAGAAGGAAAACCTACACCAGGTGGGAGGTTGGAGGAGTGGACTTGCAAGGACTCCTCCAGTTCTCTGATTCTGTGATCCGGTCACCTGGGGTCTTTTCATTGAACAAATATTTATTGAGCCCTTACCGTGTGACATGCACTGTGTATTGAACACCTCTTGAGCGCCACTTCAGGTCTTCTCAGACTTGCCTCTTGTGCCAGCCACAGCTGTGGTGCCCAGTTCCCTGCAGACTTCAACAAAGCTCCACAGATGCAGCCTGATGGGGCTTCGCCTCTGGCCTGCAGCGTGAGCCTCTTTGCTTCCTGCCCTGGCTTCTCTACAGCTGTGTCATCCGTTGGATTCCCAGGGGAGTCCACTTGGCACTCAGACCTGTGCAACCCGGAAGGGTGGAGGAGTTAGAGCTCCATAAGATACCTGGACCAGTGGGGCATGGGGTTCCTCCCACTTTCTTCTTCTGAGAAGACGGCCTGAGAGGCATTTCAGAAGTCTCCCCAGAAGGTCCTGCGGGATCCACCTGTTACTGCTGCAGCAGTTGACTTGATAATGTGACCTTGTACTGCTTCTCCCTCCTTTGCTCTTGCCCACTGGTGTCACAGTCTCAAATAACTATTCAAATACAGGCTTTGTCTTCCACTCCACTTTTGGGGAAATCTAGGCTAAGATAATTGTAATAGGTGATAGGAATATAGTATTGATCAAAATAAATGTGACTTCAGTTGGCATGGGGATTATAGTCTTATGATATACGCTACCATGAAGGTCTATATTTCTATTTCATCCACAGGGAGAAAGAGAAATACAGGTGCTTGGTCACTGCATATTCATGGGGGGTTTGATAGTTATAAGATCTTTCAGAGACACCTTTATCATATAATCTTGGCTGAAATTTTACTAGCACTGTTATTCACAGTTTATCATCATAGAACCTGAGTAACAGAGGTGTGAACCAGCTGTTGAAGCCTACATTCATTAGATATGCAATACGATCTAAGAAATTGGAAAATAGATTTACTAGAGTCCTTTTCAGATCAACATATGATATGAGCCTTTGGGTTTTTAAATTACTTCTTTGTAATTTATTTTGGGGATACCTTCCTAAATGCTATTATTTGATACTAAGTTGCTGGTTTGGAAGTTTATCTTTGGCATAAAATGGAATGTTCTGGCTGGGTGTGGTGGCTCACACCTGTAATCCTACCACTTTGGGAGGCTGAGGCAAGTGTATCACTTGAGCTCAGGAGTTCCAGACCCGCCTGTGAGATCCTGTCTGTACAAAAAATACAAAAATTAGCCAGGCATGGTGGTGCGAGCCTGTGGTCCTAGCTAACTGGGAGGCTGAGGTAGGAGGTTTGCTTGAGCCCAGGAGGTGGAGGTTGCAGTGAGCCAAGACTGTGCCACTACACTCCAGCCTGGGTGACAGAGTGAGACCCTGTCTGAAAAAATAAAAATAAAATAAAGTGGGATGTTCTTAAGTTTCTTATAAAGTATGACTTTTTTGTAGTTTAATTTTTTTGAATACATAATGTATTCATATGGTTAAAATTCCCCCTCCTGCCCTCCATGTCCTCCAGTTCATATTCTCTCCAAGAGGTAACTAGTTTTTAGTTTCTTATTTATTCTTCCAGAGAATTTGTATGCATATTAGAATCAACACACATACATATTTTTTTGCTTTTTAATTTTGTTTATTTTTTTAATGGTAGTACACTATGTTTGTCATGGATCTTGCTGTTTTCTCTTAATATATCTTTGAGATCTTTCCATTCTATTATATAAATAAATTCATTCATTTTATAGCTATAGAGTATTTAATTGTTATATATGTTGCAATGAGCTATCCTGTACAAATGTCATATTTACATGTGTAAGTATATCTGTGGGGTAAATGTTTTAAAAGAGAAAATGCTGCATTAAAGACATATGCGCTTGTCATTTTGATAGCCATTGACATATTGCTCTTTGGTGGCATCGTAGCAATTTGCATGCCCACTGACAGTATATGAAAATGCCTATTTAGGCATAAAATGTTTACTTTTAAAAATTAACAAATGATTTACATTCTATTATAAAAATACATGCACTCGTATGTTCACTGCAGCACTAGTCACAATAGCAAAGACATGAAATCAGCCCAAATGCCCATCAATGATAGACTGGACAAAGAAAATCTGGTACACATACACCACGGAATACTATGAAGCCAAAAAAGGAATGAGATCATGTCCTTCACAGGGACATGGATGAAGCTGGAAGCCATTATCCTCAGCAAACTAACACAGGAACAGAAAATCAAACATCACATGTTTTCACTTATAAGTGGGAGCTGAACAATGAGGACACATAGACACAAAGAGGGGAACAACACACGGTGGGACCTGTCAGGGGAGGGCGGGGGTGGGGAGAGCATTAGGGAAAAGAGCTAATGCATGCTGGACTGAATACCGTAGGTGATGGGTTTAAAGGTGCAGCAAACCACCACGGCACACGTTTACCTATGTAACAAATCTGCACATCCTGCACCTGTACCACGGAACTTAAAAAAATTAATATATGACTTAAAAGTTTTTAATAGAAGTCAAGAAAGTGAATGAAACCACCTTTACCTACTGTGAAGCTTATGTTTTCAAGAAAAAAATTGAAATCAATATTACTCTAAAACAAAAGTCTGCAGAGAACATTTTCTGATTTGAGCCCTAAGGTTAGATTTCTATTCCCGTCACCCGTGGATTTAGAAGTTTCTCCTCCAAAGACTGAACTCTTAGGCTTCTGATCTTTTTTCCTCTCTTGTGGATCCGTTAAATGAGTTTCTCAGCTCCCCTGATTGCTAGGAAAGGAGGGTCTCTCTGTTGCATGTCAGGATGGGCTGCAGTTCAAATAGCTCCCCAGATATCACATGTAATGAAACCCTGAACTCTCCCTGAACTAATGCATTTCTCCTAGGACTTTGTCTCCGCCTGGACACATTCCTAACAGTAACTACTTTTTTCAGTTCTTTCTCAGTGATTTTCCTCTCATAGTTAGTAAACTCTTGAAGTTGTTTTAATCTACATTCCCCATTTCTCCAAAGAGTTCTGTTTTTAGCTTTTATGCCTAACTCCTGTTTAGTTTACTTATGTGATGTTAATGATTATAAGTTGACCTAGCAGTTCATATTTCATAGGTATTTAAGTGTATCTCAACAAACCATATTTATGTGTGACCACTCTTTCCTCAACCAGGAGCAACACACATACATGTTGAGAAGGGGGCTCATACTCCATGGCAGTATGGGCTTGTGGGTACCTGGGATAGTTGGCTTTTGGGCCTTTGGGGCTTACGCTTTTATAGAGAAGTGGCCGTTTGCCAGACACTTCACACTCATTGGCTCATTTAACCCAGACAATAAACTCATGAAGGAAGTACTGTTATTAATCCTGTTTTACAGATGAGGAATCTGGGGCATAGAGAGGTTAAGTTACTTACCTAAGGTCACACAGCTCCCACAGAGCCTAAACTCAAACCGAGTCCCCACCTGCCTCAGAGAGTTTAAAGGTAAACTGAACACACATTAAGAGAGTCATATTTGAAGTTTCCCATCCCCTTACCCCTGACATGCTATCTCCCTTCCACATTTGGCCAAATAAAAAAAAATCGTAATTTCTCTCCTTGTTTTGCTTTTATTTATTTATTTATTTATTTTTGAGACAGGGTCTCGCTTCATTGCCCAGGCTGAAGTGCAGTGGTGTGATCACAGCTCACTGCAGCCTTGATCACCTGGGCTCAAGCGATCCTCCCACCTCAGCCTCCTGAGGACGTGGGACCAATGGTGTTCACCACCACTCATGGCTAATTCTTTTTCTTCTAAAGAATGATCATACCGTTCTCTGTAGTAAGACAAAGGAACAAGCAGCTAGTACTTGCCTTGATTCGTGCTCAGCTCTCTCATTTCACCTCACTCTGACTTTCACGTCTCACAGATGCAGCCACAAAAACTTTCCAAATTCAAGGCAAGAGAATAAGAGTATGTTCTGAAACTTTTAAGGAAAAGAAGGACAAAGCACAAATCTTACCTTTCAGACACACGTTGCTGGATTCAACAAATGTTTACTGATCTCTAACTCAATGCCAGATAGGAGACAGTGAGTCCTTATTCTAAGGCATTTTAAGAAAACTTCCAGCCGGGCACGGTGGCTCACGCCTGTAATCCCAGCACTTTGGGAGGCCGAGGTGGGAGCATCACCTGAGGTCGGGAGTTTGAGACCAGCCTGACCAACAGGAAGAAACTCCATCTCTACTAAAAACACAAAATTAGCTGGGCGTGGTGGCGCATGCCTGTAACCTGAGCTACTTGAGAGGCTGAGACAGGAGAATCGCTTGAATCTGGGAGGTGGAGGTTGCAGTGAGCTGAGATTGCGCCATTGCACTCCAGCCTGGGCAACAAGAGTGAAACTCCATCTCAAAAAAACAAAACAAAACAAAAACCTTCCTGGGTTTGGGTGAAGACAGTCATATAAGCGACTATGACTAAAGGCACAATGTAAACAAATGTTTACATCTTGCAAATCTTCTCTCTTCATCATCCCACATTGCATCTCTCCTGCATAGAACTACATAGGGAACCTATCCAAAGAAAGGTTTCCCATCAAACAGGAAGAAAGGAAACATCCAAAACTGAGGCCCCAGATTATTTGCTACTGGATTATTTGCACCTTTGAATTTATTTCTCTTTAGTAAATACAGGTGAAATGCGGAAAGATAAATGAAAGATGCCAACCATAATAACTGCGTTCATCACTATCTTTTAAAAAATAAAATTGTGAGGGAAGGATTATGCAAGTCAAAAAAGTATAAAAGTGTCCTATCAAGGAATAAAACTCAACTCCACCAAGGAATCCTATTACTTTGTAGTCATACTTGTTGAACCTGGGGAGCTAGTTCTATAAGCCATAATCCCCCTACCTCTCAAAATAAAATAAACAAAAACCTGAGAAATTCTGTTATTGCTTTCCTTTAACCTATATTGAAATAAACAGAGAGGATGGGTGAAAAAGGAAGTCATCAAATGATGTCCCCAAACACTGAGTCATCTTGTTAAGCAGATCATGAAAAGACAAGATCATTGAGGAGGAGGCAAAAGCTGAGAGTGATTTAACTAGAAGCTCGACATACTGAAAGGCCAAACCCCAATGTGGTGAGTTAAGCTGAATTTTTAATTGTTTAATTGGGGGATTCCAACAGTTAAATGTAGCCAACCAGCAACAGCCCTTAAGGATCTAAGTCCATTGCTGTAGTGACATTGAACGACCTCTAGGAACACATTCCTCTTCCTATCTGCTGCTAAGGTAGACTGTGTTGTTAGCTGAAACCCCAAGATGGCATTCTTGCCTTACTTTTCTAAACATTCCCTTTGGTTCAAAACCAAAACAAAACCTTCTGAAATCCTCATAAGGTTGGGTAATTTGATTTGAGGGGAGAGGGAGGAAGTGGCATTCTTTATATTATCTAATAATCAGTGCTTTCTGAGGACTGGACGAGGCAGTTGCCTATTGGCTGTGATTTTAGGTATGCTGCAGAGAAAGGTCTTTGCTCAGGATGATCTCTGCCTGCTGCTCAGCCACGTGGCCTGCAATGGATTTTGAGATTCTGTGTATTATCGTTGAAGCTATAGGAGACCCCCTCACAGACATCTAGGAGTAGCAGTATGACAAGCCATGATCAGCCACAGATAACTGCGTGCATTAGCTATCTAGCCAGAACCTGGAGGAAGACGACATAGGAAAGATAAGCTTTGGCTGAACCCCAGGTTGAGGAGAAATAATAATTGCTGCACCTTTTTAATTCATTTTTATAGTTTAGAGTTCTGTTCACCTGTTGTTTTATTTTCATCTTCCCGACAATCCTGTGTGATGTTGCACTTCCCATTTTATATAAGATGCAGTTTAGGGAGATGCTCTGAATTGTCTAATATTGTGCAGAATAGCACAAAGTGGTTAAGCCACTGGGATGATGTTGGACAGAATCCCAATGGAAGTCCTCTCTTCTCTCCTGCCAAGCAGAAGCTACCCACTGCTATTTAAACATGCTGAAATTCTGCCATCACTTGCCATGTTGTTAAGTCAAATGTACACGTTTCAGTCTCAATTCTCTTGATTGCTTCTCAGAAATTGAGACTATTGATCATTCCCTCCTTCTTAGAACACTTCCCTCTTGATTCTGAGATAATAGACTTCCCTGCTTTTCCTCCTAGTTAATCATTTCTAGTCTCCTATGGAGGCTTACTTGCCTCTGTTCAGTCATCACATAGGGAAGTTCCTTCTGGTTCCCTCCTGGTTCTTGTTTCCCCTTATATCACTCCATATATCCCCAGTGTTTGAATTACTAGTGACTTCCAGATTTAAATCTCTAGCTCAGACCCTCCTCTGAGATTGACTATTTCACAGATACCTCAAATTCAGCATGTCCAAGACCCAGAATCAAACCTGGTTCTCTCATGTTTTCTAACTAGCTAAATAATTAAACATTGTTTAAGCCAGAGACCTCAGATTTGTACTCAATCCGTTTTCCTTCCTCGCCTTCTGTAGCCAACTTATTACCAAGTCCTCTCCATTTTATCTAAATATCTCTCAAATTTGTCACCTTTCACCCTCATCACTGCTGCTTCACTGAATCTAAGTCACCACCATCTCGTCCAGACTTCCCATTACACTCTGTGTATCCACTTTGAGTTCTTTTTAACCCATTTTCCACAATAAAGTTAGAAGTATTTTTTTCCAGAACGTAGGTCTGCTTATGTTCATCCCTTGTTTAAACTGTGTCAGTGGCTCTCTGTTGCCCTTGTGATAAGGAAAAAATCTTGCATGTCACTTTTCTGTGCTATAACAGAATACCTGAGACTGAGTAATTTATAAAGAACAGAAATTTATTTCTCATGTTTCTGGAGGCTGGGAAGTCCAGGATCAGGTGACCACGTCTGGCTGGCTTCTGGTGAGGGCCTTGTGTTGCATCATAACATGGTGGAAGGCACTCCAGGGTGAGAGGGTGCATGAGAGATGGCTAAACTGGCTTTTATAAGACACCCACTTTCGTCATAACCCATCAAACCCTTAATCCATTAATCCTTAAATGGATTAATTCATTCATGAGGACAGAACCCTCATGACCCAATCACCTCTTAAAAGCTTCATCCCTTAGGCCAGGTGTGGTGGCTCATGCCTGTAATCCTAGCACTCTGGGAGGCTGAGGCAGGTGGGTTGCTTAAGCCCAGGAGTTTGAGACCAGCCTGGGCAACATAGTGAGGTTCTGTCTCTAGAAAAAATTTTAAAAACTTAGCTAGGCATGGTGGTACACATCTGTGGTCCCAGCTACTCAAGAGGCTTAGGTGGGAAGATCACTTGAGCCCAGGAGGTCAAGGCTGCAGTGAGCCATGTTCGTGCCACTGCACTCCAGCTTGGGTGACAACAGTGAGACCCTGTCTCAAAAAAAAAAAAAAAATTAGCCATGTATGGTGGCACATGACTGAAGTGCCAGCTACTTGGGAGGCTGAGGTGAGAGGATCACTTGAGCCCAGGATGTTGAGGCTGCAGTGAGCTGTGATCATGCCATTGCACTCCAGTCTGGGCGACACAGCATGACATTGTCTCAAAAATAAATAAATAAATAAATGCTCCATCGGTTAATATCACTACATTGGGATTAAGTTTCAACATGAGTTTTGGAGGGAACAAACATTGAAACCACAGCAACACAGTTTTGGGCCACGACAGCCTTTCCAGCCTCATACTAGTTTAGCCCCTCTTCCCGACCCCAACTTTTCCTTCCTTCCTTCCTTCCTTCCTTCCTTCCTTCCTTCCTTCCTTGTTTCTTTCCTTCTCTGTCTCTCTCTTTCTTTTTTGAGACAGAGTCCCTCTGGAGTGGCGTCATCTCGGCTCACTGCAACCTCTGCCTCCCGGGTTCAAGCGATTCTTCTGTCTCAGCCTCCCGAATAGCTGGGATTACAGGCACATGCCACTATGCCCAGCTATTTTTTTTTTTTTTTATATTTTTAGTAGAGACGGGGTTTCTCCATGCTGCCCAGGCTGGTCTTGAACTCCTGGCCTCAGGTGATCTGCCCGCCTCAGCCTCCCAAAGTGCTGGGATTACAGGCATGAGCCACCACGCCCAGCCCTTTGGTATGTATTTCAACTCTCTATTTATTCTAGCTTAATCCCAAGCCCCAATCCTTAACTTTTTGTCTGTCAGATCTGAGATTAGGGGTCATCTTCTCAGGCAAGGCTTCCCTGACCTCTTCTCTCCTAAGTAAAGTTCCTTTGGTATTATCCACTTTGAAATAATGGTTATCACTTGTCCCAGTTCATTTTGTGTTACTATAACAGAATACCTGAGGCTGGATAATTTGTAAGAAAAGTTTATTTAGCGCACGGTGCTGCAGGCTAGGAAGTACAAGAAGCATGACGCTGGCCTCTGCTCAGCTTCTGGTAAAATCTTTCGTGCTTTGTGACAACACAGCAAAAGGTCAAAGAAGTGGACATGTTTCGAAGAGGCAAAACCTGAAGGGTGTCCTGACTTTATAACAACCCACTCTCATGGGAGATAATCCATGCCCACAAGAACTAACCCGGTGTGTCTAAAGCGAAAACTCACTTTCTACTGAGAGAACAGCACCAAGCCATTTGAGGGATCCACCTCCATGATCCAAACACCTCCTCCTGGGCCCTACTTGTCTTTTCTTTTTCTTTTCCTTCTTCTTTTTCTTTTTTTTTTTTTTTTTGAGACGGAGTCTCACTCTTATCGCCCAGGCTGGAGTGCAATGGTGTGATCTCAGCTCACTGCAACCTCTGCCTCCCGGGTTCAAGCAATTATCCTGCCTCAGCCTTCCGAGTAGCTGGGATTACAGGCACCCGCCACTGCACCTGGCTAATTTTTGTATTTTTAGTAGAGACGGGATTTCACCATCTTGGCCAGGCTGGTCTTGAACTCCTGACCTCGTGATCCACCCGCCTCGGCCTCCCAAAGTGCTGGGATTACAGGTGTGAGCCACCGCGCCCGGCCGGGGGCCCTACTTTTCAACACCAACACATTGAGAATCAAATTTCAGCATGAGTTTTGGTGGGGACAAGCAAACCATATTGAAACCATAGCCCTATGCTTCAGAGTGCTCACTACACATTCCTTGACATGATTATTTGATTAATGTCTATCTCCCCCCTTACATTCTAAGCTTGGCTTTTGCTCGACATTTTAATACTAACTACATAAGGCCTGGCATATAACAAGCGCTCAAAAAATATTTGTTGAGAGACTGAATGGTGAAAAAGGAATAGCAAGAGCAACTTCATGTATTACTATTTTACCTAGTTCAAACCGTGCTATAGTTTTGCAGGGAGTGTATGATATGTCATACTTCAGGGGTTTTAAGGAATAAATTCTAGTTTGGTTACACTTTAATGGCATTAAACAAATCTCGTAGTTGTTTTTAAATGTAAAAACAAGGTGAGATAACCCTAAAAATAAACATCTGTTTATTGGAGCTCATATCTCTCTTAAGAAGGCATCCAGATATATTCCATAAGATACCGAGTTGGGGTTTTGTCATCAGGAAGAGGAGGAAATTCCATAGGTAGAAGCCCTTGATGGAAAAGACGAATTTTCTTGCCCAAATTTTAATCAGAGCAGAGTTGACTCTGTGCTGCTGAGAGAGTATTCATGAAAATCTGCCTGTTAAAATGTCACTACTGGAAAGTGGATTGAGAAGAAGGAAACTGTGTAGAAGTAGGAAAATAGCCAAGTTAGATGGGGCTAAATGTATATGACTCATCTACCACAGAGAATTACCGTGATGATCAAAATAAAAATATTATAATGATATGAAAATATTATACAAATATAAAACATCCCATGGATTGTCCTTAGGGCCAATCCAATAAAAAGATTTCAAAGTGAAAGAAGCTAAAATTGGTAAGTATATTCTTCATGTTAAGTCTAATGATTGCTAAATCCAATACTCACACTTAAAAAATGACATGGTTCCTCTGAAAATAAATTTGTACTTAAGAAAAGGTGACATTTCAGTGGACTGTAATTTTTATGACAAACTTATACATTGTGTTTTTCTCCAAAGGTACCTTATGGGTATATTTATTCACACTGCCATTTAATTTATTCAAGCTACTTGTTAGTAGCTAAATGTTTTCAAAGAATTTACCATTTTGGCAGAATTCAACAGTGAACTGGTGAATTATTTTCTAAACCAATTTGTTTGGAAAAAAATTCAACTGATATGTTTTTAAGCCCTGAAGTGTATAGGAAAATTAATTCCTAATTATAAATATGGAAACTTATGACAGTTAATTCATCTTTCGCATTTACTTGTCATATTTAGCCATCAAAATCCACTCATAACTAAGAAAACTAAATAAATATTACATTTCTCTCTTACATGTTAAACAACTCTAACTTTTGATTAATCTGCTAGACAAGTTGAGGACAAATGCAAAGTCTGAGATGTATTTTTAAAGGTAGAGTTCTTTTCTTCAGTCTAATTTAAGATCGCTGGGATAAATAAGATATTTTACACACACCTCTAGAAATAATTGATAGTTCAAGCTTCTGTGTGTTACACTTGTTAAAATATTTGCATTCACAAGCAAAGTCAGAATTGTAGCTCAAGGCTATATGTATATCTTTCCTGAGGAATATAACACACAAGTAGCATTTTGAATTATAACTATTTTGAAATCATACATTTAAAGATACAGACCTGCCTTTTTAAAAAATAGGTCCGGGTGTGGTTGCTTATGCCTGTAATCCCAGCACTTTGGGAGGCTGAGGTAGGTGGCTCACCTGAGGTCAGGAGTTTGAAACTGCCTGGTCAACATGGTGAAACCCCGTCTCTACCAAAAAATACAAAAATTAGCTGGGCGTGGTGGCGCACGCCTGTGGTCCCAGCTACTGGGGAGGCTGAGGTGGAAGAATCTCTTGAACCGGGGACACAAAGGTTGCAGTGAGACGAGATCGTGCCACTGCACTCCAGCCTGGGTGACAGAGCGAGACCCTGTCTCAAAAAAAAAAAAAAAAAAAAAGGCATTGTCCTCTTCATTCAAGTTTTTCCTCTGAGTTTATATACGTGCCACACACTGTGGCAGGTATGAGATATAAAAGTAAGGTTGAGTGCTTACCCTTCAGAAGCTTGGGGTCCTATGGGGGCACACTGACTAATAATCAGGTAACTGGAATACCGTTCAATAAGTCCTGCAATTGTGGTAAGTACTGGGATTCTGTGATAGCAGCAAACTGAAAGATCTCTGTGCTGGTTCTTAGTGGCTTTCACTGATACTCTGCATCTTCTCCTTGGCACATAGCACGACATTTCACTTCTTCACCTCTTTATAGTTAGGCATCACCTATTTTGACTAATGGAATATAAGTGGAGGCAACACAAGTCACATATAGGTGGAAGTCTTTTTCCTTCATGGTGACTATCAATACTCCAGATGGGGGAGGCTCCTTCGGGCTAGGACCCTGAGGGAGGATAACAGGGAGCGCAGCCCCCAGCTAATCTGCAATGGATATGTAGTGTGTGTGAGAGAGAAACCTTTATTTTTTTTCAAGCCAGAGAGAATTGGAGGACATTTATTATTGCCTAACCTATAAGGACCACTACAGGCTTTATTCCAGACTTGTAGAATTACAGAAGGTTCCCAGTGGGCATGAAGTGTAACTGGGACCTGAAGGATGAATAAGTGCTGTCCAGGTAAAGAGTTGAAAGAAACAGCTTTCCAGAGGTAAAGGTACACGCAAAGGCTTGGAGCAGGATGAGAATTCCTTATGTTTAGGCAAGAAGTTTTTTTTTTTTTTTTCTTTTTTTTCCAACCAGAGTATAGCAGTCCAACAGAGCCACTGGAGAACTGGTCACAATAGGACTAATAGTGATTGCTCTTCAGGAATAAGACACCAAAGAGTTTTGACAGGTTTATTTGGGCTCTTGGACACAGAAAAGAGAATAAATAATCAAACTGCTGTGGACTCAAAGTAGTTGTCCCTTATGGAGAATTTGCCTGCAAAGCATAAAGTAGCTCTCCTCTTTCCAAAAGGGGTATTTATATTCCTTACTCTTAAAATCATTGCTTCAGTTCGTGCTTCTGTGCATATAGACTCAAAAGAATTTTTCATTGTATACAAGTCAGTTATGTTTATGTCTTTGCATGTGTACTGGTTTGTAAGCTCCTTGAAGACAGGGCCCATGTCATTTGCAATGTTATGCATTGTAAGTACTCAATAAATTCCCACTCAGCAGCTGTCATTATTTTAGGAATCTAATGGCTGATTAAGGCTTTGGCTAACTTCTAAATAATTGCTTTAAAAAGGAGATAATGAGGCCAGGTGCGGTGGTTCACATCTGTAATCCCAGCACTTTGAGAGGCCGAGGTGGGCAGATCACCTGAGGTGAGGAGTTTGAGACCAGCTTGTCCAACATGGTGAAACCCCGTCTCTACTAAAAATACAAAAATTAGCTGGGTGTGGTGGCGCGTGCCTGTAATCCCAGCTACTCAGGAGGCTGAGGCAGCAGAATCGCTTGAACCCGGGAGGTGGGGGTTGCTGTAAGCCATTGCACTCCAGCCTGGGCAACAGAGTGAGACTCTGTCTCAAAGGGAAAAAAAAAAAAAGGAGATAAATCTCTCTATTCACAGCTGGGGATATGTCCATTTAAAATTGCTCTGAGGTCTTTTGATGACAGTGAAGGCTGTGGACTCAGAATTTGCTGCCCAAGACCTAGATTTTAGGACCATTTCCTGCCTGTGAGCCCTTAGGTTTAACTTTCACAGTCTTGGTTTCCTAACTTGTGAACTGCGTGGAAGCTCTGCCCTGCCAGAACCGCCCAGTATTGTGGGGCCAAAATGACAACTCTGAGACCTTTAAAGTGCCATACAAAATGTATGTGATATTCATGTTACTGCTGTTAGCATCACAATTCTTGGATCATTAGAGGGGGTAGGTTAATGTGAAACCCTTTATTAGACCTGGGTTTGAATTCTTTCTCCATCACTTAATAGTTGCATAATTTTGATCAAGCAACAAAATCCCAGCATATTACTAATCTCCCACCAATTTAAATTTAAACTATGATTTCTAAATTATATATATGTGTATGTGTGTGTGTGTGTGTATATATATATATATATATATATATATATATATATATATATATATATATATATTTACAAATGTTCTTAGAGAAGAAGTCTGGCACACAAGAAGGCTACCAAGCTTTGAAGTCGTGCAGGTAGAGTTCAAATCTCACCTCCATCACTTGTTAGGTGTGTGAACTTGGGTAAGTTAATTAACTTCCTGGAGTCCCAATTTCTAGCTCAATATAACTCAGTATAATGGGAACAGTACTACCCAGTTTTTCAAAGTTAAAAGACTACTTGAAGTAGAAAGTGCTGACTTGGTGGGGCATCGTGATTCACACCAGTAATCCCAGCACTTTGAGAAGCTGAGACAGGAGGATGGCTTGAGCCCAGGACTTCGAGACCAGCCTAGGCAATATTGCAAGATCCTGTCTCAAAAAAAAAAAAAAAAATTAAAAAAAATTTCCAGGCGTAGTGGCACACCCCTATAGTTCCAACTGGTTGGGGGGCTGACTTGGGAGGATCACTTGAGCCTGGGAGGCTGAGGCTGCAGTGAGCTATGATCATATCAGAGGTGTTTAAACCAGAGTGACTCAATCTTGAATAGGGGCTGGGTAAAATGAGGCTGAGACCTGCTGGGCTGCATTCTCAGTAAGTTAGATACTCTAAGTCACAGGATGAGATAGGAGGTTGGCACAAGATACAGGTCATAAAGACCTTGCTGATAAAACAGGTTGTAAGGAAGCTGGCCAAAGTCCACCAAAACCAAGATGGCGACGAGAGGGACCTCTGGTCATCCTTACTGCTCATTGTATGCTAATTATAATGCATTAGCATGCTAAAAGACACTCCCACCAGCTCCAAGACAGTTTACAAATGCCATGACAACATCAGGAAGTTACACTTATGGTCTCAAAAGAGGAGGAAACTTCAGTTCTGGAATTGCCTGCCCCTTTTTGGAAAAACTCATGAATAATCCACCCCTTGGTGGATTATATATTGATTATATATAATATATAATCAATAATATAATATATTGATTATATTATTTAGTATATAATCAAGAAATAACCATAAAAATGGCCAACCAGCAGCTCAGGCTGCTGCTGTGCGTATGGAGTAGCCATTCTTTTATTCCTTTACTTTCTTAATAAACTTGCTCTTTCTTTACTCTATGGTTTTGCCTCAAATTCTTTCTTTTGTGAGATCCAAGAACCCTCTCTTGGGGTCTGGATAGGGACCCCTTTCCAGTAACAATCATGTCACTGTACTTCAGCCTGGGTGACAGAGCAAGGTACTGTCTCTTAAAAAAATGTGCTGACTTATTACACCTCTGAAATGCTGCCATATCTGTTTACCACACAGCATACTTCATCCCTAAAAATTCCAAGCTATTCATGGAAAAGCCTCACCAACACTCAGCTACTTAGAAAAGGACATGTCCCTTATCCCAGCATAGAGAAAATGACTGGGTAAACTTATTTTTTCTATTTTTAATTTTAATTAATTAATTAATTTTATTTTTCTCTCTGTTCTTTGAAAGACAGTACATTTAAACCTAAACCTCAGGTCAATTTGTCACTCCTCACACCAGACCAGATTCCTACTTAACTGGAGGTATCTAAGGCAGCTCATGAGACCCCCAAGGGTCCTCATCTTCCTTTTTCTTTCTTTCCATGGAACAACAATCATTTGTGTTCCCCAAGTTTATACAAGAAATTTCAGGAGAAAAATAAGAGATATGGGTCACATTCCAATAGAGATTATAGCACTACATGGACAAGATACTCATGTTTCTTTCCTTCCTTCCTTCCTTTGTTTCTTTCTTTCTTTTTCTTTCATTCTTTCTTTCCTCTCTCCCTCCCTCCCTCTTTCTTTTCTTCTTTCTTTCTTTCTTCTTTCTCTTTCTCTCTTCTTTCTCTTTCTTTCTTTCTTTCTTTCTTTCTTTCTTTCTTTCTTTCTTTCCTTTCTTTCTTTCTTTCCTCTTTCCTTCCTTCCTTCCCTCCCTCCCGTCCTTCCTTCCTTCCTTCCCTCTTTCTCTTTCTCTCTTCTCTTCTTTTCTTTACTTTCCCTTTCTTTCTTTTCTTTTTTCAGCTTCTTGCTCTGTTGCCCAGGCTGGAGTGCACTGGCATGATTATAGTTCACTGCAGCCTCCAGCTCCTGGGCTTAAGTGACCTTCCTGCCTCAGCCTCCCCAGTAGCTGAGACTACAGGTGCATGCCACCATGTCTGGCTAATATTTTATTTTTTATAAGGATGAGTTTTGCTATGTTGCCCAGGCTGGTCTTGAGCTCCCGGACTCAAGTGATCCTCCTGCCTCATCCCCACAAAGTTCTGGGATTACAGGTGTGAGCCACTGCACCCAGCTGATACTCAAATTTTTAGCTGTTTTCTTAAACACAGAATCCTGGCCTAATAAAATTGCTCCCTGTGGTCACTGTCATGTTCCAGTCAGTTGGCCACAGGATTAACTCTTCTCTAGAATGAGTGGATGGTCCATGAGCCAGGCATACAGATTTACCAGTTGACTAAGCTTCCCCTCACACACAATCTCTGTGTTCCGTTCTTCACAAAACAGCAAAAGTGAGCTGTTTGCTAGCCCTTTGCTTTATTTATTTATTTATTTATTTATTTATTTATTATTATTATTTTGAGACAGACTATTACTCTGTCACCCAGGCTGGAGTGCAGTGGCCTGATCTTGGCTCACTGCAACCTCCGCCTCCCAGGCTCAAGTGATTTTCCCGCTTCAGCCTCCCAAGTAGCTGCGATTACAGGCATCTTCCACCATGCCCTGCTATTTTTTTGTATTTTTAGTAGAGACAGGGTTTCACCATGTTGGCCAGGCTAGTGGTCTTGAACTCCTGACCTCAGGTGATCCACCTGCCTCGGCCTTCCAAAGTGCTGGGATTACAGACGTAAGCCACTGCGCCCAGCCTTTGCTTTCATTTTGTGTGTGGTTTGTGCACCAGCAGCATCAGCATCACCTGGGAGCTGGTTGGAAGTGCAGACTCTCAGGCCCCACCCAGAATGACTGAATCAGATCTGCATTTAACAAGATCCCCTGGTGATTCATGTGCATTTTAAAGTTTTCAAGAAGCACTGGGCTAGAAAGTCTAAATAATGCCTGATACCTGGTGCCAAAGGGAGTCATTCTTTAGGATTTATTGGGGACAAAGTTTGCAAATCTTTTCACCAAAATTCTTAAACTAGACACATTTTTCAAAGCACTGGCCTCTCTGTCCTACTACATATGCTACTACTGCAAGTGCAATACAGATATTCTTCACTTTCTCACAAAGGATTTTTGAATTTCGAGACTTGCATAAAATCATATAGACAGGCAGATGCTAAAACGTAAAATAACCTTCCTTTTCTATAACTATTGGTTTTGGCTGACAGAAGTCATGCATAGGGTCATATTTCAGAGAAATTACCATGCCTTAATGAGAACTTTAGGTTGAAGGAAGACATTTCAGTGAAATGATAGTGGAATTGATACGATCAAAATGAAATATGTGGCATATTTATCTAATCAGCTAGAGCTGCAATCTCTAACCATAGTCATTTACAGCTCAATCAACTCATCTAGTCATTATCAGCTAATGATACAATGAGTGATTACCCTCACATTGAGATAATAAGTGAGTTCATGAAAATCAGCACTTCTATTATAAAGTGTGACAGGTAGGACTGAAAATAAAGTCTTTGAATACAGTGAGTACATGGCTTACATGACAAAAATGTAATAGGAAAAAATAGAAGTGCATAATTATAAGATGAGGTACCACTCTTTTGGAAAGCAACTTAGCAATTTGTATTAAGAATCATTAAAATTTTCACACCTTTGTACCATGTAAATTTTTTTATAAACAATAACCAATTTCCAAAAATTGCAATTGGAGTACAAAGAACGTTTTCCATACCATTTGAGAGTAAGTTGCTGATAGGATGCTCTTATCCCTGAATACTCCAGGGTGTATTTTCCACAAACGAATAAGTTTCCCTATATAACTACAATACAAACAATGAAAATTAACATGGATACATTACTACCATCTTGTCCTCACACTCTATTCAGGTTTCACCAATGCCTCAATAACATCTTTATAGTAAAAGGATCCAGCTAAGAGTTACATGTTGCATTTACTTGTCATGTTTCTTTAGTTTCCTTCAATATGGAATGGTTTCTCCTTGTTGCCTGGCTTTTCACACTCATGCCACTTTTGAAGATTACTGACCAGTTATTTTGTAGATGGTCCTTCCATTTGGGTTTGTTTGAGGATGCAATCCAGGTTGCATGTCTGCAGTAAGAATATCACAGAAGTGATGCTATGTTCTTCTCATTGAATCCTATCAGGTGACACACAATTTTGATTAGCCCTATTACTGATTATATTAACAGTATTCACTTCATTAAGGTGGTAAACATGAGATTTCTTTACTGTGAAGTTATTCTTTTTCTCTTTTTAGTTAGTAGCCATTGTGTAAGGAGTTAACTTTGAGATGCTGTAAATATTCTGTATTTCACCAAACTTTCAGTTATTTATTTATTTGTATCATGTCTTTATTTAGATTAGCATGAAAGATTTTATTCAGTGAATTTTAAGCTATTATCTCATAATTTATGTTGCTGCTCAAATTGTCTCAGATTTGGCCAGCGGGAAGTCCTTCAAGTTGGTTTTTGTGTTTTGGCTTTGACATGCCCCCATCATTCTTTGTGCATTTTCTCTCCTTCTGGCCCAAGATGTTTCAGGCTCATCTTGTGCTTTCCCTGCACCAGCACTGGAATCTTCCATTGTTTAAAGAACTCCCAGTTTCTTTTAGTGGAGAATGATATTTAGAAACCAAAATCTCGGGGCTAAATTTGTTCATTGCACAGAGACACTGAGTATGACTTCCTGTTTTTTTCAGTAGACAGAGCTAGGGAATGAATATATATCTCTATCTCTATAGATAGAGATATGCATAAAGGTATTTATATCTTTATGTTAAACCATGAGTATAAACTGATTCTTTCTATTTGAATCCAACACCTCATGGTTGATTGCAGCTTTCTTCCTTTCAGTAATCCCCTTCTCTGACAATAAGAAACCTGGCTCCTGTTATTAATATATTTACTTACTGATTAACCCACTTGTATATAACCAATCTCAAGTCACTGCTATCACCCTCCTTCCCCCCAGGACACCCTTACTGTCCTTCTCTCAGCTTCTAGGGCTCCCCCTACCGCATGTATTATAGTGCTTGGCTTCATGTCATAGCTTTTATGCCTAGCATGATTAATGGATTTCAAATTCAAATTCCTTATTTTCTGGGACTCATAGAAATATTTGGTGTATAGAACCTTATATAAGCCAATCAAAACAGAGCTTATTTTAATTTAAAAGACTTTGTAAGCGTGTTTACTACATTCATGATGTGAGAGGTAAAGGACTTTCTGAATTACAGACATATAGACAGAGTTTATAGCTTCAGTTGTACAGTTTTATTCATAGTTTAAAAGTAAAGACAGCAACACAAAAACTCACAGGGCCAGATATCGTAGACCCGTATGCTCTCCTGATGAGGATAAAATTTTCAATTGATTTGAGCTCAAAATGGACAAACAAATGAGACTAACAATCTGAATTCTCTATCCTTTTGCCCAATAGAGAATAGACCTCTTTGGTCCTTTAATTCACTTATCTAAATTACCAAATAGTATGAACATAAAGTCAAATTCCACTAATTATTGATGCCCCCATAACTTATCCTTCATGCATAAACCAGAAACAAAAGCAAAATGCAAAATTAGCGAAGAGAGAAAAAAATACCAAGAGAAACATACAGACAGAAAAGTTAAAGTTCTCGTGCTGCCTGAGAATGACTTTCAGAAGCCAAGAAAAAAACATGCCTCATCTTAAGCCACCCCTGATCTCCCGTCACTCTCCCGAGTAGGTATAGTTCTCTAGCAGTGCAGTTTGGCTCTGTGAGGACATTGTGGTAGATGATCTCCCAAACTGTGAAAAGGCAATTAAAAAGAAGTAAAATCATGACTCCTATACAAACATAAATGAACATGTGTCAAAGATTTTATTTAACTTGTTAACTAATGAAGAAACAATAAGATATCATCACCAGTTTCTATAATGACTTTTAGAAAAAGAGAAAGGAAAAGGAAACAAAGAAAGAGACAGAGACAGAGGAAGAAAAGGAAGAAGAGTTTACTATATAATTTCAATTCTAGGACCGGGTCCGAAGGAAAAATCTAAATTAAGGATGTAGTTTTATGCACAAAGATGTTCATTTTGGCATTTCTGCACTAGGACAATACATTTGAGGAGACAATGGACCATTTGCTACCAGAGGGTTGAATGGAAAAGACGGTGACCTGAGAATCTGTATCCAGTGTAAAATCTTCCGAATGAAATACTCAGAAATGCAAGTCTTTTAAAATTATTTTTATGCTGACAAATACAAGTCGTACATATTTATCAGGTAGCACATGGCTAAATCAGGCTAATTCACATACTCATTACCTCACATAATTTTTTTTTGTGGTGAGAATGCAAAAGCTACTCTTGTAGCAATTATCAGGAATATAATATACAGCTATTAACAATAGTAACTCCGTTATACTATAGATCTCTTGAACTTATTCCTCCTATCTAACTGAAATTTCACATCCTTTGATCAATATCTCTTCCAAGCCCCTGCCCCTGAGCCCCTTGTCACCACCATTCTTTGTATTTCTCAGTTTGACTTTTTTGGATCCCACTATATGTGAGATCATGTGATATTTATCCTTCTGTGCCTGACTTATTTCACTTAATATGATGTCCTTCAAGTTCATCCATGTTGTTGCAAACGGCAGGATTTCCTTCTTTTTTAATGGCAGAATGGTGTCTCTGTATATCCATACACCAATTTGTATACGATGTATATATATACCACATTTTCTTTATCCTTTCATCCATTGGTGCACACTTATGATGACTTCATATTTTGGCTATTGTGAATAGTGCCGCAATAAACTATAAAAGTGCAGACATCTCTTTGACATACTGATTTCATTTCTTTTGAATGTATACCCAGTAGCGGGATTACTGAATTGAAATGCAAGCATTTTGAAACTACCAATGACATATCTCTATTTTAAAAATAAAAATATTTTGATTAAAAAGTGAGTCAAAATTAAGAACTTGATAATAGATAAGATGTAGTAGAAATGGTAGAATAAATAGAGACGATGCAAATGTTAAAAGAGTTAACAGCATCACAATGTAAAAGTATTAGTAATAAGGATCTAGGTTAAAAATCTCTGATCATACCAAGAAAAGAAGCAAGATGGAGAGAAAGGAAGCAAAATTATGATAAATTTCACCAGTTTCATAGGAAGAAGTTAACAGAAAGGTTTAATGACATTGATAAACAGATACACAGTCAAATACATTTTCGAAAATTTAAAGATGTAGTTATAGAAACAAACATAAAGAAAAAGACACCATTACAAAAGAAAAATCAAGGAAAATTAAAAAGCCAAATAAGACAAGAGAATAGAAGAAAGCACAGTTGTATCCATTAAGATAACTTTTCTTTAAAAAATAGAGTTCCTTAAAGCAAGTTAAAGTAAGATTTGAAAAACTGAAGAGAAATACCATGTTGCTGAATGGAAATATTTCACCTTGTACAAAGGAAGATTTTTTCCAAATAAAGCAACGAAAGTATTGCAATTACAGTAAAAATCCTATGGGAATTTTGGGAGATCTCAACAATCTTAACCTAAAGTTGATCTGTAAATATAATAAGTGAGATCAGCTGAGTATATTTTCGCAAATGACAAAAATAAGTAGATAAGAATAGATAGTCTCAAAGGCAAATCAGTTGATGAAAAACTTAAAATTTGATTTATGATTTATTTATATGTAAAAGTTAAATATATTTCAAATGTATGTGGACATTATAAGATACAAGCCCTTCATGTGACCATTGAGTAGATCATTCACAGGTGATGCTCAGTGAATGGTCAGTGGCAACACTAAACGTACAAGCATTTGGTATGCACTCATGTTACTTCCTGGCATTCTCAAGTATAGCAGATTATATCTTCAAAGTAAATCTCAAATAATAACTACTATTTATACATGCCTAATATTTTTCTTGCATTTATATTTAAATGCATATATATTTAAATATTTTAGTAAATCATATCATTAGTATCGATTTTTTTTCATTTTTAATGAAAATTTACTACCATTTTATGGGACATTAATTCTCTGTAGAATGTAGTTTAAGCAATGCCATTTAAATATATTGGAAGATCTCATAAATTAACAAGAGAATGATGGGTATTACAGTGGAAAAGTGGTCAAAGAACACCAACAGGTAGTTACTGAAAAAAAATTAAATTGGTCAATAAAGATAAACATATGAAAAATATTCACCTTATTATCCAGTGAAGATAAACATTAAATCGAAATTTTTAATTTTTTTTTTTTTTACTTATTAAATGTACAATGATTGTGTGTTACTCTCTCCACCAGCAAAGGTACATGCTTTTACATGTTAATGAAAGTATGAATCGCTTTTTGGCTCTCTCACCAGCACCATGGCTGTTGGCAAGAACAAGCGCCTTACGAAAGGCGGCAAAAAGGGAGCCAAGAAGAAAGTGGTTGATCCATTTTCTAAGAAAGATTGGTATGATGTGAAAGCACCTGCTATGTTCAATATAAGAAATATTGGAAAGACGCTCGTCACCAGGACCCAAGGAACCAAAATTGCGTCTGATGGTCTCAAGGGTCGTGTGTTTGAAGTGAGTCTTGCTGATTTGCAGAATGATGAAGTTGCATTTAGAAAATTCAAGCTGATTACTGAAGATGTTCAGGGTAAAAACTGCCTGACTAACTTCCATGGCATGGATCTTACCCGTGACAAAATGTGTTCCATGGTCAAAAAATGGCAGACAATGATTGAAGCTCACGTTGATGTCAAGACTACCGATGGTTACTTGCTTCGTCTGTTCTGTGTTGGTTTTACTAAAAAACGCAAAAATCAGATACGGAAGACCTCTTATGCTCAGCACCAACAGGTCCGCCAAATCCGGAAGAAGATGATGGAAATCATGATCCGAGAGGTGCAGACAAATGACTTGAAAGAAGTGGTCAATAAATTGATTCCAGACAGCATTGGAAAAGACATAGAAAAGGCTTGCCAATCTATTTATCCTCTCCATGATGTCTTCGTTAGAAAAGTAAAAATGCTGAAGAAGCCCAAGTTTGAATTGGGAAAGCTCATGGAGCTTCATGGTGAAGGCAGTAGTTCTGGAAAAGCCACTGGGGACGAGACAGGTGCTAAAGTTGAACGAGCTGATGGATATGAACCACCAGTCCAAGAATCTGTTTAAAGTTCAGACTTCAAATAGTGGCAAATAAAACGTGCTATTTGTAAAAAAAAAAAAAAAAAAAAATCCCAGCATTTCGGCATAAGAATTCTGCCTGTTTAGTTTTGTCTAATTTATAAAACAGAAGCGAATAAAAGTTTGTAAATAAATAATTAGTTAATTAAATTATAACTTGTCCATGCACTAGAACACAATGCAGCCTTTAAAATATTACAGAAAATTATATAATTTCATTAAAAATTTCACAAATTTTATAATGAAAAAACAGGCTTTAAAATAATATAATTTTATTTAAAAAATTAATAATGCCTTTACTTTAGGTGGTTGAATAGAATTTCTTTGTACTGTACTTATTTTTATTTTTTAAATATTATTTTTTAAAGCAATGAATAATCATTACTGAGATTCTGAAAATAATTTAGTACTATATATGAATATAAAAATATGAAAATATTTTAATATTTAACATTTTAATTAGTTGATCTTGCAGCAACCTGGCCTAAAACAAATATGATATGTATACAAATGTTTAAAAGCCACAATATTACTTAAACTATTATTTGTAATAGTGAAAAACTGGAAACAACGCAAATTTTCAACATCATCAGTTTGGTTAAATAAATAATGGTGCTATCATGCTATAATATATTAGGCAGTTGTTAAAAGATGTTGTCAAATAATTTTAACATCATTGGGGAAATATGATACAATGCTAAGAGATAAAAGTTGGCAACAATATTGGTATAATATTCTGTAAGTGTATATTCTACATATAATGTACAGAAATGCATTGAAAAATTTTGAAAGAAAATGCAGTAAAATTTAGTAGTGATTATACCTAGGTGATTTTAAATTTTCTTCACTATACCTCCCTGAGTTTTCCCAAACTTTAAAACAATAAGAATTGAAAGAAATAGAGTTGGAAAAGTGAAAAGTTGGTTATGAAGACTGTGCAACAACATGAAGATCATGCATGATGAATGAGAAAGTCGAAGACAGAATTAGAGAGGTACCCTCAATATATAGATGGAAAATTTGTGTTCCCCCAAAATTCATATGTTGAAGTTCTCATGTCCAGTGTGCTTGTGGAGACGGGGGCCTTTGGAAGTAATTAAGGTTAAGTGAGATCATTCTGGTGGAAACTTCATCAAATAGAGTGAGTGTCCTTATTGGACAAGACACCAGATAACTTGCTCTTCCTCCCTTTCTGTGTGGATGCACTGAGGAAAGGCCAGGTGAGGACACATCAAGAAGGTGGTGGCCAGGCAGGGTGGCTCACACCTGTAATCCCAGCACTTTGGGATGCTGAGGTGGGTGGATCACAAGGTCAGGAGATCGAGACCATCCTGGCTAACATGGTGAAATCCCATCTCTACTAAAAATACAAAAAGTTAGCCAGGCGTGGTGGCACATGCCTGTAGTCCCAGCTACTTGGGAGGCTGAGGCAGGAGAATCACTTCAACCCAGGAGGCGGAGGTTGCAGTGAGCAGAGATCACACCACTGCACTCCAGCCTGGGCAACAGACTCCATCTCAAAAAAAGAAAAAAAAAAAAAAAGAAGGTGGCCATTTGCAAACCAGGAAAATAACCCTCAACAGGAACTCAATTGGTTGGAACCTTGATGTTAAGCTTTCTGGGCTCCAGAACTGGGAGAAAATAAATTTCTGCTGTTTATAGGTGATAGATGGCAGGCCATGAGAACAAGTCCTAATGCTTCTGGTGGAGCACATGCCCAAGGTGGGCCACCCATGTGTGGCTTCCCTACATCTGGGGTATTGGTGCCTGATTTTAAAAGGAGGTCGTTGGCCCTTCAGAGGAGATTAGCAAGGTCTGTGAAGACTCTTTCAGAAACAATATGTGGGCTGGTGTGGTGGAGATGGAATTGTGTCTCCAAGTAATTATACTCAACACATTTGGCATTCTCTTTCACCACTAAGATTCCCTTAGAAATTCTTTTTAAATTTTAAAGTAACAGATAGGCATTTTAGTGATTATATATCAGACTTCAGCTTTGTTTATCTTCCTCCATTCTAAGTTAAGGAAAGAACAGAGGGTTTCATTTTCCATTTTTGTAATAAAGTGGGGCAGGAAAAGAGCTAAGAGCATCACCTGTAATCTTATTACCTGGCCCAACACGCAAGCCAGTGTAGATTCAGAAGCTCCCGGGAGCGAGTGCGAGGGCGTGTCAGGGAGGAAAGGCGGCAGATGTTGGCACTTGTGAGAGTGGATTGCTTACCAGCCTATCATGGTATCCACATTAATGTGTCCTTCCCAAAAATCTCACAGCTTGTTCATTAAGTGGATAAAATTTCAATAACAATATAATCTGTACTTTTGCAAATTAGCCATTAACCACCTACTTTCTCACCAATTACTCAATATTTTTTATCTTCCTCTAAATGTTACTGACCTAAAAAAAAATTCTGATGAAAGGCTGTGGAAATTGTAAACCCCGAAGCAAGTATTAAATTGGTCCATGCTGTGTCCTGTGCTGACAAATTGTTATACTGTAGAGCCTGACGACCCATGAGCGTCTCACTTAGAGGCATGGATGTAGCAGCAGTGTTATAAGACACTGGAGCAGCAGTGTCTACACTTGAGTTAATTCCTTTAAAACAACAACCAACCTGCCCAGCTTCCCCAAAGCCCCCCAAACCTATTAAATAGAAATATCTTTCCTTCTGTACTCCAGAGCTGATGTGAGGGTGACTGCATCTCCTGGGGAGTCGTGTTACAGAAATCTCTTCCTTATAACCAGCTTCTTCTGCATTCAGGTTTCTCTTTATGTTGTGAAGATCCATGCATTTGCATGGAATCTTCTTCTTCATCTGCCTCACCCCTTCTTCCTCAGCCCATAACAGGCCCTGGTGCACTGGACCTTATTGGTTGCGTTAAGGAGGGCTTACAGTGAAGAACATGATACTGTATGTCAAACTCTGCCAAAGGAGAGGAAACTGAACCCCCTGACATCTTCTAAGCCATGGAATTGACTACGCTAAGGAACAATGGAAATGGAATGTTATGGCAAAAGTAATTTGGCACTTGGGAAAGGTTACCATTGTTTTGAGAAGTGATCTGTTTGATGTGACTAAATGTTAGCTTTCACAAAGGATTAAAGACTATTTTATGCATTCCTGCTGTATGTACTATCGCACCAGACGCTGTGTGAGACACAACATAAATGACATGTTACTTGTTAGGTTGAAAAGAACTACTTTCTGTCTGGTTCAGCAGAATACATTATATTACTATTTTTGTTCAGTGAATTCAATGAACACACAGAGGGAACTGGTGGTTTTGGTACAATGCAGACTCTTTTATTTTTTCTCTTCTTTTCTTTTCTTTTTTGAGCCTCTGTTGCTCAGGCTGGAGTGCATGCTCATAGCTCACTGGGGGTTCGACCTCCTGGGTTCAAATGATCCTTCTGCATCAGCCTCCAGAGTAGCTGGGACTACAGGTACACACTACCATACCTGGCTTAATTTTTTTCTTGTTTGCCTACTGTATGCTTCTTAGAACTGTGTGTATCTGTGTGCAGGACTGCACACACACACACACACACACACAACGTAAACTTTCTGAGAATCTAAATGACAACAGAACTTTTCTGACATCTAGTTTCTCTGACAGCCAATAACTGAAACAGTCAGCTGCAATTTACCTGTACAACAGAGTTCTGACTGTTCATTGCTTTAATAGCCATTAGGACAGGCTGTTTTGCTTGAAAAAAATTAAATCTTTTGTTTAATATCTATGGAGTTTCTGCCTGGTGCATAGGGAGACCTAGTTTCCTGTGCCTGCAACAGTGCTGTTAACAGCTTCCACCCCACCCAATGGGCTCTGTAAAACACCTCATTCAACCTCTTCATTCTGACTCCATGGTGAATCTCTCCAGAGGGAATCTGAGCCACTCATATTTCTCTGTGCTGGTTCTAATTCCCTTTTGTTGCTGCCTTTCTATCACTCTGTTTGCATTGTCTTTTCGGTACATGACCGACACTTATTTTGGGATGTGGTTTCTCAGAAGCTCACTCCTTGCCCTACCAGATCAGGGTCTCAGAGCCAAATCAGAGACCCGAGCTTCTGACTACCTCAGAGAGGAAGATCAGACATCGACATGCATTTTAGTCCTCACTATGTCACACAGCCTACAAATGCGAAAATGGGTTTCCTACCATCTTCACATTTGCGTGAGACTTAATCATGCAAATGAAAGATCTGTTACATCCTAAAAGGACAACCTTTTAATTCTTTGAGGTTTGTGGAAGAATTATGAAAAACACAGTGCCCGTGATACCAAATGAAGAGGCTGGTGGGGAGCGGTGGCTCAAGCCTGCAATCCCAGCACTTTGGGAAGCTAAGGCGGGTGAATCACCTGAGGTCAGGCGTTCGAGACCAGTCTAGCCAACATGGTGAAAACTGTCTCTACTAAAAATGCAAAAATTAGCCAGGCATGGTGGTGTGCACCATAATCCCAGCTACTTGGGGGGCTGAGGCAGGAGAATCGCTTGAACCCAGAGGCGGAGGTTGCAGTGAGCTGAGATCATGCCACTGTACTCCAGACTGGGTGACAGAGTGAGACTTTGTCTCAAAACAGAAACAAAAACAAAAACAAATGAACAGGATGGAATCTCACTGTAGACACATGCTGAAATACAAGGACCTGGGGTTCAAGCGGAAAGGGAAGTGAAAGTTTTTCTCCCTATTTGCCCCGTTTGGCCAGTCATCCTTTTAGTGATATTTTCCATTTAAAGTATATACAGGAAAAGCCACCAGGAAGAAAATAGAAGCAGGGCCATTTTCTTTAGCAATTTTAGCAATCAGGAAAATCAAGCCTTAACTCTCAAGTACACACCTCCTCTGCCTTGTTTAGAGGTTCTCCTAGCGGCTGTGTCATTCCCTCTCACCTTGCTGGTTTCCTTGGTATTGCTTGCTGCAGAGGCATGAAAAGTAGAAGGCCCACATGGCCCTATCTCTTCCAGTAAATATCTGACAAATCACTGGGGTTAGGATGTATGACCAACAGTTTGTTGTGAGGATTAAAGGAAACAGTTATGTGAAAAACACCCAGCACATTAACTGCCAAATAGTGAGACTCAATACATTCTACCTGTTTGTTTATGTATGGATTTGTTTATTTGCTTGTACATGTATATGCCTACCATGATTCCAGAGAGGATTTAAGGCAGCTTACCAAAATAATCACAGAGTCTAATGTGATATAAGATTCTGAGCGCTAGAGTTAAAATACAGAGAAGATTCTCTCTATGTTTTTCCCACATCTTACCATTCAGCACCACCAATTTCTGCTCATAAATGCGTCTTGCAAGGCATTTTCTATTTAAGTTAATATGTCTGTGTTTACAAGAACGGCCCTGAGAGAAGCCATCTGCACATTGCATAAAAGTTCCAAACAGAACCCCATTGACTCTGTCACTATTCCTGGGATTTAGGTCCTCAGAGACAATTAACACCACCATGGAGAAGGCAGACTCCATAAATATTAAGAGATCACCAAAGTATACCTGTGTCCAACCAGACAGTATATGCCAAATAGAATATAAGTATTGAGATAATCCAAGCCATGTGTCTGAGAACGAAATCAGGTGTAGGAAGCAGTACTTCCAGACATATGAGCTGGGGAACTTCGTAGTGGTCCCCTGAGATGGAAGGAGATGATGAGACATTCAGCTTCCTCTTCACATGGCCAGTCTATTCTGCAATGCAGCCATAGACAAGTAGGCCCAAATCATGAATATGGGGGTGCCTTTAGCTCCCCCTAAACATATTCATTCCAGGAAAGGAATCTTAGACATAGAGCAGTAGGCCAGGCTCTTTGCTAATTCTGCACTGAGCAATTAAGACCAGGTACCAAATTTTTAATGAGACTTTATTTGAAGGTTCAGTGATGATAGAAGAAGCATTTAACACAGAAAATCACTTACACTACTACATAGGCTCAAACCTGCCTTAGATGACTAGGTGGGGCTCACTTCCAACCTCATTCCCAGCCTGCCATGTGGCTATGGAAGCTGATCCTCTAATGGGGCTTCTTTCAGCTTTTGGAACCCTTGGAGATTCAGCCATACTACCTCCCCGCCCTAGAAAGAGGTGAATTTTTTTTTTTTTTTTCAGACGTAGTCTCACTCTGTCACCCAGGCTGAAGTGCAGTGGCATGATCTTGGCTCACTGCAACCTCCGCCTCCAGGGCTCAAGCAATCCTCCTTTCTCAGCTTCCCAAGTAGCTGGGATTCCAGGTGCCCACCACCATGGCTGGCTAATTTTTGTATTTTTAGTAGAGATGGGGTTTTGCCATGTTGGCCAGGCTGGTCTTGAACTCCTGACCTCAAGTGATCCTCCCGCCTTAGCCTTCCAAAGTGCTGGGATTACAGGCATGAGCGACCGCACCCGGCAAGAGGAGAACTTTTCTTTAGTGCTCATTCCCTGCTTCAGGTTTAAACTCTTTCCAGGATTATTTTTCCCAGGATAACTTAGAGCGCCCATCCCTTTCAGGGTAGACTCCATGCCCAACCACGTGGCCTTGATTTCTTTAATTAGATTCTAAAACGATCACAACTAGGCTGATCATTTCCCAAAGGGAATTTAGTGGTGTCTGTGGTTTTATTATACCAACTCTTTATTCTTCACCTTGGAATAATTCTTGTTTAACATTTTATAATCACTTGTGTTTAACAGTAAACAGGGCTTTTACAAGCATTCTCTCATGTGATCCTTTCCAACAACACTGTGAGCCATACGTTGTCCTCATTTTACAGATGGGCAAACTGAAGCTTAGAGAACTTAAGTGGCCTGTCTCACTGCTCTTGGACGGATGTAGTGAAATTTCTGTTTCATCACAGTTGAATACTGCCTTGTGAGGAAATGCCAGTGATATACTATTTTATTTTTTTAATAAGAAAATCATGTACTTATTAGAATAAATTACTGAAGTACACTTAGTAGAAAATGAAACACCTTCATCTCCCAGCTCATTTCTCTTCTCCAGAGGTAAGTCCTGTTAACAACTGGGGATTTGTCCAATCTAATATTTTTCTATTCACTTAAAAACATAGAATATATACATATATAATTTTTAAAAATATGTAAATAGGGATATTATATAAATATTTCTACCACTTGCTTTTTTCACTTAAAAATGTATCATAAAAATCATTCTTTGACATTGTGGTTGGACCTACATTTTGTAAAAGAGATCTATATGTATTCCATAGTGTAACTGTACCGTGATTTACATGACCACTTTCCTACTGATGAACTATTAGGTTGTTACTAATAGTTTGGGCTATAAATACAAAATACAAAAATTGCTCCAATAAACAACTTTGAATCTAAATAATTGTGCCTAGGTATACATGGAATGTCTTGGTCAAAAGACAAGCAAAATTTTTTTTTTCTTTTTGAGACAGGATCTTGCTCTCTTGCTCAGGCTGGAGTGCAGTGGAGTGATCACGGCTCACTGCAGCCTTGACCTCCTTGGGCTCAAGGAATCCTCTCACCTCAGCCCCCCAAGTAGCTGGTACTATAGGCACGTACCACTGCCTGGCTAATTTTTGTATTTTTTGTAGAGATGGGAGGGGTCTCACTATGTTGCCCAGGCTGGTCTCAAACTCCTGAGCTCAAGTGATCCTCTTGTCTCAGCCTCCCAAAGTGCTGGAATTACAGGAGGGAGCCATGGTGCCTGGCCTGGGCTTGCATATTTTATAGTACTCAGTAGATACTACCAAACTGCCTTTTCACTTAAAGGGTAACAAGCTGCGTATGAGATTACTTGTTCTCGAAACCCTTGTCAAGCTGAAATATTATCAATCTTTATTGTCATTTTTACAGGCAAAGAAAGCCAATGCATTGTTGCAGCACCATCTTTCAGTAACAGTTCTTAGTCATTTGCTTGATCAGAGCATATTTTTATAAGTAATAACATGGTAAGAACAGGGATTGCTGCGGTGGCCTAGGGTTTCCTATATAGGAAACTCTTAGAAGTGTCAAGCTAGCTGGGATGGGTTTGTGGCAAGGAGGCGGCACTAGAGCTGTGCTTGCTAGGAGGCAAGTTTGTTCTTTATATTGTATGTTTTGTGAGTTGGCTTTGGGTACATTGATGAAGATTCTGGAATGGTTCAAGCCTCCCCCACTTTCCATTCTCCTTCCACTTAGGCAGACATGGTAGTTTTAGGAGGGAGCCTGCCACCATGTCCATCAGTCCTCTAAAATAGAAAGTCTTGGTGATGAAAAGAATAACCTAGATCTGCCTCTATTCATACCATAGTAGCTCCCATTTCTGGACAAAAAGATTTAAGATGGAGCGTCAAAAACACCCAAGCATTCTATTTTTCATTTTAGTTCCAGGCCTGGCTACCTGGAGGTGGCTGATGCTGGAGTAGTTTCATATCAATTAACTTAGTTCCTATTGGGGATACAATTTTGCACCAATAGAGAAAACTGTGGACTATGTTATCCCTACACAGCCTGGTGAACATTACAGTTCCGAAAGGTGCTTTGAGGTTTGATGTGGCACTAACTATATCTAGGTCTGAGCAGGGATAGCCACCAGAGTGGCCTACTTCACTATTAGTTTGAGAAATTTACCACCCAGCTTGAACCAAATGATTTGGGGAGAATCAGAAAGACGACATCTGGGATTTCCCTTGCTGTGAAATCAAAACAACTTCCAAGTACTTCTTTTAATCCTGAACACAAACTTCATCCTAATTACCCTACTAGTGATAACTGAACAGTGTGAGATCCACTGTGAAATGAATATTACTGATGTAAAAAAAAACCCCAGCATATCCATCATTTTCAAATTTAGTATCTTAATATGATCCATGACTTAGTCACCTTTTGTACTGCTTTCTGTTTGATTATAATTTTACCTATTAATCATGTTAATCCAATAGAATCTGCCTTAATCAAATGTGAGTCAATTACCCAGTTCTTCAAATTATATTTTTTAATGAAAGACATTTTTTAAAATTGAATGCCAATTAGAGCCAAGCCAAACTTCTCAGGAAAGTTTGGTTTATGACAGAACAGTATGAGCCCTTGCCCATACCTGAATTTCCAGCTCCTTCTGATGAGGGCGTGCTGTGTGCTTTTAGACACAGCCATTAACCTCTCTGTAATTCTCGGTTTTCCACCTGTGAAATGAGGATAATGATATTTCTGGCTTGGGAAATGATTTTATGACTCTTAGTTGAAAAATGCAGCCAGAATACCAATTTAAAAAAAAAAAACTCTTATGTAATTTTGCTCTTAATTTCTCACCATAGGTGGTTTTGTTTTTCCTTAGAACCAAACTGCTTTTCCACATCATTAGAGAACCATACATAAATCCAGCCAGGAGGAAGTCAGACTAAGAAGGGTTTATCTGAAACAGATTTTTTTTTGTACCACTGATGTTTATGGACAGAGTGACAAATATGTTTTATCCACAGGCTTGCTGAAATTAATTCTGAGAGGCTTCTAGGAGCCCTGTGCCAGCAAAGGTTGTAACATTGCTTCCTAGTTCAACAGAATAGAGCTCCATGCACCATTAATGAGACCTGTTACAGACACAAGATGGGGAGTGATGGCACGAGTGGAGAGAGAACTGGCTGATAGCTAAAGGGGCTCCATGGAGGGGCCTCTGTAAGTCTGTGTGGTTCACTGATATGGTTCACTGGTATGTGGCAGAAGCCTGTGCATATGCACATTTCTCTAGAATAAAAGTCTATAGTTACTGATTGTCAGTGAGATTCTAAATGGAGTCTACAAACCACTGCTTTATTATCAAATCGATTATGAGGTCAGGGGCCCAAACCTTGGACTGGGACTGATGCCGGAAGATCATCTCCACCTGTTCTGGGGGAGAAGAAAGACATCTCATCAGCAGATAAGTGTCTGTACTTCTGCCCTGCAAAGCCAGCTGCCATTACACTGTCTGAAATTGGGGATGTGGACTTCTTGGGAAGAGGACACTTTCATGCTTGTTGAAATTTAGGGAGTTAATGATAGTTATTTCATTCTCTTTCTTCTCTGCTCCAAGTGCCCTACTCCTCTGGTATTTAGCCCTTGTAGTTTAGCTGAAATCATGTCAGTGTATTACAGGCTGATCCAGTCAAGTGCATTCTGCAGAGAAATGACAAGTGGCCTGGTGGTGGTAAAAGCTATCCTAATGGCAGGTGGCGGCATGGTGCATTAGTGCTTCTTGATGGACAGCTAGGGATTCAATGTCAGTTTCCAGGTTCTGTGTCACCATGGTTCTAGAAAATAATTTGTATTAACTATCACCAAGGAGAAGCTACCCTGGCAGAGAGCTGCTGTTTTGTAAGGTGGCCTGGACACCTGCATAGGTAAACTGAGGTATTTTGACCCTTCTGTTAATAACCCCTACTGGCCATTTGGCTTGAATTGAAGCCCCACATTTGGCTTGAATTGAAGCCTCACATTTCCAAGTGGCTCAAGGCCACTTGGAACCAAGACTGTACAGGAGTAACTATTTCTGAGTTAAAATGGTACCATTAAGTGTTCCTGCAACGTTACTATTAAATGTTCATGGGCAGAGCTCTCAATTTGTGTAGGATTAGAATAAAGATGTTTTGCATTCCAATCTGTGGATCATCTGAGATTTTCTTTCTGTGTTCTGATCAGGCCCAGATATGGACTACTGCTGCAGGGCTGCAGGCTCCCTCACAATCACTGGGAATCATGAAACAAAACAGCAGGCAAACATCTTGTGTTCTGTAATTCTCTAGTACTCTTCTTGTTAACTCTGAATGCTTGAATTGTGGGTTCTGTCTCTCTGCCCAGTTTCTCTCACTTTAGTTAGTTCCCAGCAAGGATACCAAGAACATCTTGAGTTAGAAAAAGAAAGGCCTTCCTATTCTTGAGTTAGATAATAAAAATTTCTCCTCCAAAATTTATGATTCTTTTAGATAGATTTTTAGCAGCAAAATTATTACGTGAAATAAAATGACTCTTTTGACTATCAAAAATTGGTTCCAAAGTATTGTATCAGTATTAGAGTTTATTTCTAGTTGGATTTCCTCCTTTGAAAATTGTCTTTTGGGAACTTTGTCAGTTTAACCTACATGAGTTTTAGCTTTTTTCTCTCCTATTTGTGCGAAATCCTTAAAGCCTAAAGATGATGGCCCTCTGCAATATTAAAAAGTTTTATTTATTTATTTGTTTATTTTTATTTTTTATTTTTCCGTAAGTTATTGGGGTATAGGTGGTATTTGGTTACATGAGTAAGTTGTTTAGTGATGATCTGTGAGATTCTGGTGCACCCATCACCCGGGCTGTATATACTGCACCATATTTGTAATATTTGTAGTTTATCCCCCTCTCCTCTCCCACTCTTCCACACAAGTCCCCAAAGTCCACTGTATCATTCTTATGCTTTGTGTCCTCAAAACTCAGAATCAGTGAGAACATATGATGTTTGGTTTTCCGTTCCTGAGTTACTTCACTTAGAATAATAGTCTCCAATCTCATCTAGGTCGATGCAAATGCTGTTAATTCATCCCTTTTTATGGCTGCATAGTATTATCACAGTTTCTTTATCCACTCGTTGATTGATGGGCATTTCGGTTGGTTCCACAACTTTGCTATTGTAAATTGTGCCACTATAAACATGCACGTGCAAGTATCTTTTTTGAATAACGACTTCTTTTCTTCTAGGTAGATACCCAGTAGTGGGATTGCTGGATCAAATGGCTGTTCTACTTGTAGTTCTTTAAGGAATCTCCACACTGTTTTCCATAGTGGCTATACTAGATTACAATCCCACCAGCAGTGTAGAAGTGTTCCCTGTTCACAGCATCCATGCCAACATCTACTGTCTTTTGATTTTTTGATTACGGCCATTCTTGCAGGAGTAAGGTGGTACCACACTGTGGTTTTTATTTGAGTTTCCCTGGTCATTAGTGATGTTGAGCATTTTTTCATGTTTGTTGGCCATTTGTATGTTTTTTTTTGAGAATTGTCTATTCTTTTGTTGTGTCTCTGCCAGGCTTTGGGATCAGGATGATCCTGTATTCATACAATGAGTTAGGGAGGATTCCCTCTTTTTCTATTGATTGGAATAGTTTCAGAAGGAATGGTACCAGCTCCTCTTTGTACCTCTGGTAGAATTTGGCTGTGAATCCATCTGGTCCTGGACTTTTTTTGGTTGGTAAGCTATTAATTATTGCCTCAATTTCAGAGCCTGTTATTGGTCTATTCAGAGATTCAACTTCTTCCTGGTTTAGTCTTGGGAGGGTCTCTGTGTCTAGGAATTTATCCATTTCTTCTAGATTTTCTAGTTTATTTGCATAGAGGCGTTTATAGTATTCTCTGATGGTAGTTTGTATTTCTGTGGGATCGGTGGTGATATCCCCTTTATCATTTTTTATTGCATCTATTTGATTCTTCTCTCTTTTCTTCTTTATTAGTCTTGCTAGCAGTCTATCAATTTTGTTGATCTTTTCCAAAAACCAGCTCCTGGATTCATTGATTTTTTGAAGGGTTTTTTGTGTCTCTATTTCCTTCAGTTCTGCTCTGATCTTAGTTATTTCTTGCCTTCTGCTAGCTTTTGAATTTGTTTGCTCTTGCTTCTCTAGTTCTTTTGTAATGTTAGGGTGTCGATTTTAGATCCTTTCTGCTTTCTCTTGTGGGCATTTAGTGCTATAAATTTCCCTCTACACACTGCTTTAAATGTGTCCCAGAGATTCTGGTAAGTTGTGTCTTTGTTCTCATTGGTTTCAAAGAACATCTTTATTTCTACCTTCATGTTGTTATTTACCCAGTAGTCATTCAGGAGCAGGTTATTCAGTGTCCATGTAGTTGTGTGGTTTTGAAATAGTTTCTTAATCCTGAGTTCTAACTTGATTGCACTGAGGTCTGAGAGACAGTTTGTTGTGATTTCTGTTCTTTTTCATTTGCTGAGGAGTGCTTTACTTCCAAGTATGTGGTCAATTTTAGAATAAATGTGATGTGGTGCTGAGAAGAATGTATATTCTGTTGATTTTGGGTGGAGAGCTCTGTAGATGTCTATTATGTCCGCTTGGTCCAGAACTGAGTTCAATTCCTGGATATCCTTGTTAACTTTCTGTCTCGTTGATCTGTCTAATGTTGACAGTGGGGTGTTAAAGTCTCCCATTATTATTGTGTGGGAGTCTAAGTCTCTTTGTAGGTCTCTAAGGACTTGCTTTATGAATCTGGGTGCTCCTGTATTGGGTGCATATATATTTAGGATAATTAGCTCTTCTTGTTGAATTGATCCCTTTACCATTACGTAATGGCCTTCTTTGTCTCTTTTGATCTTTGTTGGTTTAAAGTCTGTTTTATCAGAGACTAGGATTGCAACCCCTGCTTTTTTTTTGCTTTCCATTTGCTTGGTAGATCTTCCTCCATCCCTTTATTTTCAGCCTATGTGTGTCTCTGCATGTGAAATGGGTTTCCTGAATACAGCACACTGATGGGTCTTGACTCTTTACCCAATTTGCCAGTCTGTGTCTTTTAATTGTGGCATTTAGCCCACTTACATTTAAGGTTAATATTGTTATTTGTGAATTTGATCCTATCATTATGATGTCAGCTGGTTATTTTGCCCTTTAATTGTTGCAGTTTCTTCATAGCATCCATGGTCTTTACGGTTTGGCATGTTTTTGCAGTGGCTGGTACCGGTTGTTCCTTTCCATGTTTAGTGCTTCCTTCAGGAGCTCTTGTAAGGCAGGCCTGGTGGTGACAAAATCTCTCAACATTTGCTTGTCTGTAAAGGATTTTTATTTCTCCTTCACTTATGAAGCTTAGTTTGGCTGGATATGAAATTCTGGGTTGAAAATTCTTTTCTTTAAGAATGTTGAATATTGGCCCCCACTCTCTTCTGGCTTGTAAGGTTTCTGCTGAGAGATCAGCTGTTAGTCTGATGGGCTTCCCTTTGTGGGTAACCTGACCTTTCTCTCTGGCTGCCCTTACCATTTTTTCCTTCATTTCAACCTTGTGAATCTGAAAATTATGTGTCTTGGGGTTGCTCTTCTCAAGGACTATCTTTGTGGTGTTCTCTGTATTTCCTGAATTTGAATGTCAGCCTGCCTTGCTAGGTTGAGGAAGTTCTCCTGGATAATATCCTGAAGAGTGTTTTTCAACTTGGTTGCATTCTCTCCATCACTTTCAGGTACACAAATCAAATGTAGATTTGGTCTTTTCATATACTCCCATATTTCTTGGAGGCTTTGTTTCCTTTTACTCTTTTTTCTCTAAACTTGTCGTTTCGCTTTATTTCATTAATTTGATCTTCAATCACTGATATCCTTTCTTCCACTTGATCAAATTGGCTATTGAAGCTTGTGCATGCATCACGAACTTCTCGTACCATGGTTTTCAGCTCCATCAGGTCATTTAAGTTATTCCCTACGCTGTTTATTCTAGTTAGCCATTCGTCTACCCCTTTTTCAAGGTTTTTAGCTTCCTTGTGATGGGTTAGAACATGCTCCTTTAGCTTGGAGAAGTTTGTTATTACTGACCTTCTGAAGTCTGCTTCTGACAACTTGTCAGTCATTCTCTATCCAGCTTTGTCCTGTTGCTGGCAAGGGACTGTGATCCTTTGGAGAAGAGGCACTCTGATTTTTAGAATTTTCAGGTTTTCTGCTCTGGTTTCTCCCCATCTTTGTGGTTTTGTTTATCTTTGGTCTTTGATATTGGTGACCTACAGATGGGGTTTTGGTGTGGATGTCCTTTTTCTTGATGTTGATGCTATTCCTTTCTGTTTGTTAGTTTTCCTTCTAACCGTCAGGTCACTCAGCTGCAGGTCTGTTGGAGTTTGCTGGAGGTCAACTCCAGACACTGTTTGCTCGGGTATCACCAGCGGAGGCTGCAGAAGAGCAAATATTGCAGAACAGCAAATATTGCTGCCTGATCCTTCCTCTGGGAGCTTCATCTCAGAGGGGCACCCACCCATATGAGGTGTCTGTCAGCCCCTACTGGGAGGTGTCTCCCAGTTAGGCCACACAGGGGTCAGGGACCCACTTGAAGAGGCAGTCTGTCCATTCTCAGAGCTCAAACGCTGTGCTGGGGGAACCATTGCTGTCTTCAGAGCTGTCAGACAGGGACGTTTAAGTCTGCAGAAGTTTCTGCTGCCTTTTGTTCAGCTGCCCTGCCCACAGAGGTGGAGTCTATAGAGGCAGTAGGCCTTGTTGAGCTGTGGTGGGCTCCACCCAGTTCGAGCTTCCTGGCTACTTTGTTTACCTACTCAAGCCTCAGCCATGGTGGATGCCCCTCTCCCTGTCAGGCTGCTGCCTCACAAGTCAATCTCAGACTGCTGTGCTAGCAGTGAGCGAGGCTCCTCGGGCATGGGACCTGTGGAGTCAGGCACAGGAGAGAATCTCCTAGTCTGCCAGTTGCTAAGACCATAGGAAAAGCGCAGTATTTGGGCAGGAGTGTCCCATTTTTCCAGGTACAGTCTGTCACGGCTTCCCTTGGCTAGGAAAGGGAAATCCCCCGACCCCTTGCGCTTCCCGGGTGAGGTAACGCACCTCCCTGCTTTGGATCACCTTCTGTGGGCTGCACCCTCTGTCCAACCAGTCCCAATGAGATGAACCAGATACCTCAGTTGGAAATGCAGAAATCACCCATCTTCTGTGTTGATCATGCTGGGAGCTGCAGATTGGAGCTGTTCCTATTCGGCCATCTTGGAATGGACCCCGATGCTAAATTCTTAACAAAATACTAGCTAACTGAATCCAACAACATATCAAAAAGATAACCCATCATGACCAACTGGGTTTCATACAAGGGATGTAGGGATGTTTTCACATACACAAGTCAATAAATGTGATACACCACATAAACAGAATTAAAAACAAAAATCACATGATTATCTCAATACATGCAGAAAAAGCATTTGACAAAATCCAGCATCCCTTTATGATTAAAACTCTCAACAAAATCGGCATGCAAAGGACAGACCTTAATGTAATAAAAGCCACCTATGACAAACCCACAGCCAACATAATACTGAATGGGGAAAATTTGAACGTATTCCCTCTGAGAACTAGAATAATACAAGGATGCCCACTGTCACCACTCCTCTTCAACATAGTACCAGAAGTTCTAAAAAGAGCAATCAGACAAGAGAAAGAAATAAAGGGCATCCAAATCAGTAAAGAGGAAGTCAAACTGTCACTGCTTGCTGACAATATGATCGTTTACCTTGAAAACCCTAAGGACCCCTCCAGATAAAAGAGAAACTCTACTGATAAAAGAATTCAGCAAGGTTTCCAGATACAAGATTAACGTACACAAATCAATAGCTCTTCTATACACCAGCAGGGACCAAGCAGAGAATCAAATCAGGAACTCAACCGCTTTTACAATAGCTGTGAAAAAAAAAAAAAATCATATACTTAGGAATATACCTAACCAAGGAGTTGAAAGACCTCTATACGGAGAACTACAAAACACTGCTGAAAGAAATCATAGATAACACAAACAAACGGAAGCACATTCTATGCTCATGCATGGGTAGAATCAACGTTATGAAAATGACCATACTGCCAAAAGCAATCTACAGATTCAATGCAATCCCCATCAAAATACCACATCATTCTTCACAAACAATTCTAAAATTCATATGGAACCAAAAAAGAACCTGCATAGCCAAAGCAAAAATAAAAATTCTAGAGGCATCACACTACCTGATTTTAAACTATAGTATACGGCCATAGTCACCAAAAAAGCATGGTACTGGTATAAAAATAAGCACATAGACCAATGGAACAGAATAGAGAACCCAGAAATAAACCCCAATACTTACAGCCAACTGATCTTTGACAAAGCAAACAAAAACATAAAGTGGGGAAAGGACACCCTTTTCAACAAATGGTGCTGGGATAATTGGCCAGCCACATGGAGGAGAATGAAACTGGATCCTCATCTCTCACCTTATACAAAAATCAACTCAAGATGGATTAAGGACGTAAACCTAAGACCTGAACTATAAAAATTCTAGAAGATAACATTGGAAAAACCCTTTTACACATTGGCTTAGGCAAGGATTTCATGACCAAGAACTCAAAAGCAAATCCAATAAAAACAAAGATAAACAGCTGGGACCTAATTAAACTAAAGAGCTTTTGGATGGCAAAAGGAACAGTCAGCAGAGTAAGCAGACAACCCACAGAGTGAGAGAAAATCTTCACAATCTATGCATCTGACAAAGGACTAATATCCAGAATCTACAATGAACTCAAACATATCAGTAAGAAAAAAACAAACAATCCCATCAAAAAGTGGGATTACCAGGCTGGATAGTGAAGGACCATCAGGTGGGGGCAGGGCTAGGCATGTCTGAACTCAGACTCTCCTTGGGTGGGTCTTGCTGTGGCTGTTGTGGGGGATGGGGGTGAGATTCCCAGGTCACTGGAGTTGTATACCTAGGAGGATTATGGCTGCCTCTGCTGAGTTATGCAGGTTGTCAGGGAAGTGGGGGAAAGCTGGGAGTCACAGGCCTCATCCAGCTCCCATGCAAACCAAAGGGCTGGTCTCACTCCCATCATGCCCCAGCCAACAGCACTGGGCTTGAAAACTTGCCCTGGGCTATCTGCCTCCCAGGTGTGAAAGCAAAGGACTTGGTTCTTCCCTGGCCTGTGGAGTCTGCACACCGGATTTGCGCACTCCCTCATTCTGGCCAGGAGGCTTCTCGCTCCATTCAAATTGTTACAAAGTTCAGCTGGAGATTTCCTTCTCCCTGTAGAGTTTTACCCCCTGCTCCTCTGGTCATCCTCCCAATGGATCCCTGTGGTGCCAAGCAGCACTGGCCTGTTATGAGACGCAGCGAGCTCCCAGGGCCTTTCTGCTGCTTCCTCTACCCCTGTATTTTTCTCAGCTCTCTAAATTGACTCAGCTTCACATAAAGTCAGAAACTTCTCCCACAAACAGACCTTCAGCTTCCCCAGTGGGGGTGCGTGTTGAGGAGAGGCGGGTTTCCCTTTCCCACTTTCGCAGTTGGGGCACTCACAGTATTTGGGGTGTCTCCTGGGTCCTGCAGGAGCAGTCTGCTTCCTTCAGAGGTTCTGTGGGTCCTCTCGGGAATTGCTGGTTTGTTCTTGCAGTCGATCTCGAGCTAAAATTCACAATGCGAGCTTCTGCGAGCTGCTCTCTCCGGAGCTGCAGTCTAGTCCTGCTTCCCATCCGCCATGATGATCCAACCACCACTCAATCTTTTATAAGTTTTGTTGCAGTGAGTCAGATTTGGAAAGTTGTCTTAGACCACTGGAACTGCTATAACAAAATACCATAAACTGGGTAGTTTATAACCAACAGAAATTTATTTCTCACAGTTTTGGAGGCTGGGAAGTCCAAGATGAAGACTCAGGCAGAATGGGTATCTGGTGAGGGCCTGCTTCCTGTACAGTGGTCTGTCTTTTCACTATAACATAAGATGGAAGAAGCCCCTCTGCAATATTTACTGCAGATATTTTCCTAAGGCTTTTGGGAATTTTCTTGACATATGGAACTTTTCACTTTTATGAAATCAAGTCTACCTTCTTTTGTGACTTTCTTAGTCATTTTATTTCCATATTTATTAAGTGCATATGATGTGGCAGACATTGTGGTGGATTTAAATATAAGTAACATACTGCCTCTGCCTCCATGAGCTCGCAATCTGTATGAAGATATAATGGCATAGAAAATTTCAGCATAGTGGGTTGGGGGCCTTCCACTTCTGAAATTATGGTGGGCTAGGTACTCCAGGGAACCTTTGACTGCGGAACAGTGAAAGAGGCCTGGATTTAAGCCCTAGAAGAGTAATACTCTTGGAGATATTGTTAATTATACAAGACGTAGAAGTCTGTAAAGATCCCCGTCTTTCAAATAGAAAAAGTAACAAAATGTGAGCTGGGGTGGGATGAAGCCAAAGTGGGTTAGCAGCAAGAGGAGGGGTGGTGACCTGAGGACAAATGCTAACAGCAACTCTGCATGTTATGTGTGTCTATCTGGCAGTTTTAGGCCCAGGTAAGAGAAGACCCTCATATCACAAGCACATGCACACAACACACACTCACAATATGTTAAAGATACGTGCTTAGCACCAGCATAGCATGACCAAGTCCTGTGTAGCCACCTTTGTGACTAACTCCATTAAGGTCCCAGAGAAACAAACCCTTGTGCTTGTTTGAGCAGCATCTAAACACAGGGTGATAAAGCCCAGATATGGTGAGGTGTGGATTGTGACATCACAGATCCTGGAGATAGATACTGCTTTGGAAGGTAGAGAGGATTTGAGGAATGGAAACTTTTAGAATAAAAAAAAAAAATGAATCACCTTGTTAAATCCTTTTTTTCAGACTGAATGCCATAGATTCTCACACAATAAAATATTGCTCAGTATCATGTGTTTTGTTTTGTTTCTTTGCTTCTCTTTTTGTTTCAGTTTGTGGTTTTGAAGAGACTCACAAATCAGCAGTAGTATTTGTAACAGATGCCCTCACCTGCAGAGAAAATTTTCCAATGTTAAACAATTTGTATTAGTCTTTTAGTGTTAGATCTGCAGGTTTGATACACCATGTATGAAATGGGATAGATAAGGATTCTTTACATTAGAAACTACAGAGACATTGAACACTAAATTACAAATGATTTTATGCTATACAAATAGATAATATTTAGTAAAATTTTCAAAAATTGCATTAGAAAATTTTAGTTTCTGAAAATAATTTTGAATTAAGTGTTTAATTTGATGGATTATATTTGCATGTACGCTGTGACTGCAAATGCATTTTATTTTTAATCATTAATGTTAATAGAAGACAAATTATGTGAACATCTTGATTACAACATAGTAATTTTTCTGAAAGGAAGGCAAGAAAAACAATTTTAGGATAGAAAACCTATAATAATTTGTGAATTATGTAAGCCCCCATTTTAGTTATCAGCCAAGCCTCACTAGCCTATCAGAAGAATACCCAGGTATGTGCAATAATAATTCACTTCAGGCTGGACATGGTGGCTCATGCCTGTAATCCCAGCACTTTGGGAGGCTGAGGCAGGTGAATCACTTGCGGTCAGGAGTTCGAGACCGGCCTGGCCAACATGGTGAAACCCTGTCTCTAGTAAAAATACAAAAATTAGCTGTAGATGGTGGTGCACGCCTGTAGTCCCAGCTACTTAGGAGGCTGAGTCAGGAGAATCGCTTGAACCTGGGAGGCAGAGGTTGCAGTGAGCCGAGATTGCACCACTGCACTCCAGCCTAGGCAACAGAGTGAGAATCCATCTCAAAAAACAAAACAAAACAAAACAAAACACAAAAAACCTCAATTCTTTTTAGTATTTTGTCAACTTTTAGTCATATATAAATAATAGTTTAACACACAATTTTCTACCTTGTTGTATGAAGGAATACTTTAAAAGTACAAGGATAGAACATATTTTATGTGTCAATTTGTAAGCTTGATTTATTATTTGTAAGCATTTATACATAAGTTATGTAGGCATCCCACTTTCGCGCTTTCCCTGAAAACCACATAAGTTAGGGGCGGGCTTAGCTAAATTTTCAAGGAAGTTGAAGTGCTAGGGTTTTAAAAATGTCTGTATCCCCATTGTTTCTAGGAAACAACTAACTTGCTTTTGATTTTACAGGCTCATGGTAGAAGGGACTTCTCTTGTCTCAGATGAGACTTTGGACTCTGGACTTTTGCATTAATGCTGAAATGGGTTAAGACTTTGGCAGACTCTTGGGAAGACATGATTGGTTTTCAACTGTGAGGACATGAGATTTGGGAGGGGCCAGAGGTGGAATAATATGGTTTGGCTCTGTGTCCCCATCCAAATCTCACCTTGAATTGTAATAATCCCCACGTGTTGTGGGAGGGACCCAGTGGGAGGTAATTGAATTATGGGGACAGGCTTTTCTCATGCTGTTCTCATGATAGTGAATAAGTATCACGAGATCTGATGGTTTTATAAAGAGGAGCTCCCCTGCACATGCCCTCTTGCTGCTGCCATGTAAGACATTCCTTTGCTCTTCTTTTGTCTTCTGCCTTGATTATGAAGCCTCCCCAGCCATGTGAGTCCATTAAACCTCTTTCATTTATAAATTACCCAGTCTCAGGTATGTCTTTATTAGCAGCATGAGAATGGACTAATACAGATATTGAAAAGAAAAATAAAGAGACGGATTTGCCCCATAAAGACTTATTAGGTTGGGCATGGTGGCTCACACCTGTAATCCCAGCACTTTGGGAGGCCAAGGTGGGCAGGTCACTTGAGGCCAGGAGTTTGAGACCAGCCTGGGCAACATAGTGAAATCCCGTCTCTACACACACACAAAAATATATACATAAAGTTAGCCGGGTGTGATGGTGTGCACTTGTAGTTGCAGCTACTTAGGAAGCTGAGGAGGGAGGATCACCTGAACCTGGAAAGTCGAGGCTACAGTGAGCGTGATTGCACCAATGCACTCCAGCCTGGGTGACAGAGTGAGACCCTGTTTCAAAATAATAAAAATACTTATAATAAACTATGGCAATTCATGCAGTGTAGTATTTAACACAGGGATAGGCAAATCAACCAGTGGAACAGAAATATACCCACCTGCATACAGAACTTTAATATATTACAGAAATGACATGACAGATGAGTGGGGAAAGGAAGGGCTAGTCAATAAATCATGCTGGTTTGGTGTAACGTGGTAGGTTCAGGGAACTAGGAAAGGCAGACTCCTGATCTCAACTTCCAGCAGGCAGAGGTGGGATGGAGACCTAGAGGAGATGACAAGCATGGCTTCCTGGAGAAGATGGCGCATGAACTAAGTCTTGAAGGATGAGTGCACATTAGCTAGCCAAATAAGAGGTTAAAGTGTTCCAGAGACAAGGAACTGTGAACCAGCTTGGTGTTCACAGGGCATTTGAAATTGTTATTGTTATGGAATCTTTGGGGTGTCATTTTCTGGCTGGAAACCTGTAGCTGGTGGCAGCTTTGCCTGAGTTTTGCTTGGGAGTCCTGGGCTTGTTCCACCCACTTGGTCTGGCAGGCTGTGCCTGGATCACACTACCGGCCTGGATCCCAAGCCTCCAAGGGAGACTGTGAGTCAGGTGTGGAGTGGCAAGGGGTGTGTGAGCGAGCATGGGGTCCGGCCACTGTGCAGTTAGACATGCTGGCTGCTGCCATGGAGCAGGCAGATCCAGGTGCTGGCGTGGGTGCCAGCTTTCTACGAGACTGCAGCTGGATCAGGCTCAGTGTAAGCAGCTTCCCTGGCTGGCACTGGGGAATGTGGTGGTGCCTGGAAGCTTGGAGACACCAAGAACCAAAGACCCCAAAGAGGAAGCCACAGCCCTGGCTCTGGGAGCTCCCCAGTCTGGGCTTTCCAAAAGGCAGCAACTCTTCTCTCCTTCTCTTCACCCACAAAATGGCAAGAAAGGAACATGTTTCAGGCATGTTGGTTTCACAGCTTTTTTAACCCTGCCATTTGAGGGGTCCTGAATTATTGTCCTGCAACCAGGAAGAATGAGGTATGTAGACAAGTGGAGGTTATGCAAGATGAAGAAGAGCTTTATCGGCGATAGAGCAGCTCAGAGGAGACCCGCAGTGGGAAGCTCAGAGATCTGCTTTGGGAAGCTCCGTTCCCTTCTGCAGCCAGGGTGTCCTGATGAGTGTTCAGCTCCTAGCAGAGAGGAAACCCTGGAGTGGGAAGCTCCTCTCTGCAGGCAGGTTGTCCTGTCATCTCTGCAGCTGTCAGCAGAAAGGACGCCCTGGAGTGGGTGGCTCCTCTCTGCAGCTGGTCGTCCTGATGTCTGCAAATCTCAGCAGAGAGGAGGCCTGGAGTGGGTGGCTTCTCTCTGCAGCTGGTCCTCCGGATGTCTGCAGTTCTGGCTGAGCCCAGGGCTTTTATGGGTCTCAGAGGGGAGGAAGTGCATACTGATTGGTCCATGGGTGGCCATGGGTGGTCCTAGAAAAGGCATCACAAGTTCCTACTCCTGGGGACTGGCAGCCCAGCCCCCAGCCATTAGGCCCTCCCTGGCCTTGAAGGTAGGGCCTCACCAGGGTTCTGCCTCCTTCCACCCAGGAACCTGTCTACCTCCTGCTGTGTTCATGGAGCCCAGGTTGTAGGTGCCAAGGGGTGCCTGCAAGCCGGCCCCCAGCTGCTCTCAGGACCCCCTTGGCTTTCCTCTGTATTCTCACGTGCAACTTCTCTAGGGGGTCAAGGCAGCAGGGGGCTGGTGTGTCAGAACTGCCTTGAGTGTGTGCACACCTGGAAAGGCTGTGACGGTGCCTGGGCTTGGCCCTGAGATCAGAGTGGGCGCTGACATCAGGGAGAAGCTAGGCAGCTGGAGCAGGTACTTCCAGCCTTCAAGGGCGGGGAGGGAGGTGTCGGGGGAGGCTTTCCGGGTCCCCAAGAGTAAAGAGATGTCTGGGTCTGTAGCCGCAACTTGCGCCGCTGCAGCTGTGCCCGGGAGGGTGGGGCTCCTGCCTGCTCCCAGGTCCCAAGAGCACAGGAAGTCTCATGTCTGCAGCCGTGGCTTGGGTGGCTCCAGCGGCACCCAGAAAGCTCCCACCCCGACTTGGGAGGGGAGGGGCTCCCACTTGTCCCTGGCTCTGGGTGGCTCCATGGAGAGTGCAGCCCCTGCCGTGCCTCCCTGCTACAGCCGGCGTGATGGCAGTGGCCACTCCAGACGGCCTGCCGCTGCCATCATTATCCGGATGAAAAGTATACAATGGGAAGCAATGGAAAATGAGGATAGAAAAGGAGAGGATAAATATTAATACAAAATTCGAAGTCCAGGCATTTTCTTTCTCCTTAAGATATTTGATACATATTTATTTTTAACATTCTGTCTGTGTTTGACTACAAATTTTAATTTGAATCCATCCAAAATTTATTTAAGTGTATGATGTGAGACAAATAAACAAGCTCATACACACCCACACATGCACTTCCCAAATAGCTAACTTACAGGTCTCTCACTATGTCCCGTATTTGATAAACCTTTCCCTGTAGTGAAATTAAAGATTTTATTAGCAGGAATTTTTATTACTGCATGCTGACTCAGTGACTTTAGGCGTATCCCTGTTAAACACAGATAAAAACAGATTTTGATGCTGACACTAAGAAAAATTAAAGAGAGAGAGAGAGGAGAGAGAGAGAGGCAGGCAATCTTTCAATTTAAGTTAAATTTAGGTTTAAAATGAGTCCATTTTATTTGAAGAGCTTGTGTCAATAACTTACTATTCACCTATCTTTTTAATGAGCATAGTGACAGTTTAATTATCATGGACAATTAAAACAGTTAGTATTATTTTGAGTTTTTTATGTTATAGTAGATTATTTCACATTAAATATTAAATACCTATCAGTTTTCATTTCCTGTTAATAAATTCCTACATTCATCAACCTTAAGTAGTATAACATTTTCTAATACCACACACACACACACACACAATCACACACACACAGGGAGATAGAGAGTGAGAGAAAGTGTGCAAGCAAACTGTTTTAGGCATTTGCAGGAAAATTATTCAGGCAGCTGTTGTCTTATTGGCGGTTTGGGTTCTGATTGATGACAGACAACATAATACATAATCTATTTACTAACTCCTAACACCTAAATAATGCCCTTATTTTTCACCATTACTGAATTGCCAATACCATATTGACAAAGTGTCATAGAGTTGTAGCTAAACTGACCTCTTGTCACCATTTTTCTTTCTATAGAATCCGTGAAGACCCCAGAAAAAAAACCCTTTTACTCTGATTAATGGAAGGTACTAAAGGTTACCATTGAACTTGGTTGTATTTGTTTATTTACACTTAATTCACTGGTAAGGGGCAGATGGATGGAATTCACTTGGTAATGAAAAACACACTAATTTTTTTCTTCTCTCCCACACAGGCTACATAAATGATTGCTTTGCCAATGTAGGGTGCTTACTGGTGCAGACAACTTCTAATTCCCATTCCAAATGGCTGGAGTGGAATTTGTGCAGCACAGAAATAGAATCTTCCCAGGGCTGAGCACAAGTATTTTGCCCCATAAATATTTGTTGATTTGGCTTGGAAACCATAGACCCTGCAAAGTAGATGGTGACAGGGAATAATCTTCCATAATTTGGAAGAAAGCAAACATTAATAATCTGTCTTCCCGTGCCTTCCAAAACAACTGTTTAAAACCAGTTAAAACAAAAAAATCCCTAGTCTAGGTTTACGCAGTGGCCAGGGGATCTTCTGACCTTTGCCTCTATAGCAACTACTTTAGTTCTGGTCCTATCATTTCTGACACCTCTGAAGTCGTCCTCCTGTCTGTAACATAATCCTTCTCTGGATTCTGCAATCAGAGAGTCTTTCCAAAACTCAGCTCTGACCATGTCCTCCTCTTACTGAACAACTCTCATGGCCCCAGTAATTTACAAGCAAAGTCCAAACTTCTTAGCCTTTTAAAATGCTGTCTGCCATTGCCTTGTGCACTGTGCCCTCCTTTTTCCTCTTGACAGACTCTTTGTCTTTTCAAACTAACCTCAGATGTCATGTTCTTAGCGAAGCCTTCCCTGTCTCCCCCGGCGTGAGTTACACATTGCTTTCTTTGTATTTCCCATGCCTGGGTATCTGACTTCACCTTAGTGCTCATCACACCAGGTTGTAACCACTCAAATGTCTAATTCTTTCCATAACCACAGACTAACTTCCTCCTTGAAACCCCAGAACTCACACTAATCCGGCTCCAGAGTCCAATGTATTTTGGGACCTGATTTGGTTCTGTCTTATTTCTGTAATTGTTTTAGATCTTCAAAGTCTTGTCTCCTTAATCAGTAATAAGAAATGTAATTGGGCTAGTTTGATTAGTGATTATTCCTATAGTGCTTCAAAGAGTTTGTCATTCTTATGGATTGTTTTTCTGCAGCAATGCAATCTGCAAAAAGATGTGTATTTCTAGGGAGGACACTGTGATGAATAAATATGAATTTGCTGTAAATTTCTCCATCATATTTTTAATCTAGCAAGTTCTTGGGCTCAGTATAATCACTTATTAAGAGTCTGAAACTGAATAAACTTGAAGGTGCGTAGAAATCTAACTTTAAAGTGTGTGTGTGTGTGTGTGTGTGAGAGAGAGAGAGAGAGGGAGAGAGGGAGACAGAGAGAGAGAAAGAGAGACAGAGGGAGAGAGAGAAAGTTCGTATTTATTCATCAGTGTCCAGTGTCCTCTCTAGAAATACACATCTTTTTGCAGATTGCATTGCTGCAGAAAAACAATTCATAAGAATGACAAACTCTTTGAAGCACTATAGGAATAATCACTAGTCAAACTAGCCCAATTACATTTCTTACTACTGATTAAGATTAATCTGGACCTGCAAAAATTTGGTTGCTGGGGTGGGATTTTATAGTTGTATCACTATAAATTTATACCTGCCATATAAAAATTGTCAATGTATATAATTAACTGCCAAAATATTCCCTGGGGTTAACTGTCAATTGAATTAACTAAGCAATACAGTTAAGTTTTAATTAGCCATTTTGGAGCCTGTAGAATTAGGTGCGCATAGCTGGGTGATAGTTTTATATTTAAAAACCTCTTCTCAACTTTTAGTTTCACATGAAATCCTAAATACATAGATATATATTTCCCAATGGAATCTTCCTTCTTTCCTTTCCCCTTCTTTCTCTTCCTTCCTTCCTTCTTGTAGTTTTGTTTGATTTTTCTTTGAACAGGAAAAAGTGAACACTTTTTAGAAAGGAACATTTCTGAGGGAGAGATATCCCACTATTCCAAAGCCTGGAATTTGAATATTATTACTAAAATGTTTATTGGAGAAAATCTGTCTGCCATCTGTGAGTGGAGTTCTTTTACTTATCTTAAAAACAATCTTATTCAAATAGTTAAGAGTTCATAAATTTATAAAAGCAATTGGTCATGGTTGTTACATAGTATCTAACTCAAAAATGCTTTTTGTTTTTGTTTGTTTGTATGTTTGTTTTTTGAGACAGAGTCTGCCTCTGTCGCCCAGGCTGGAGTGCAGTGGAGTGATCTGGCTCACTGCAACCTCCACCTCCTGGGTTCAAGTTATTCTCCTGCCTCAGTCTCCCAAGCAGCTGGGGCGACAGGCATGTACCACCATGCCCGGCTAATTGTTTGTATTTTTAGTAGAGATGGAGTTTCACCATGTTGGCCAGGCTGGTCTCAAATTCCTGACCTCAGGTGATCTGCCTGCCTCGGCCTCCCAAAGTGTTACAGGTGTAAGCCACCATGCCTAGCCAAAAATGTTCTTTGTACATCTTTTGAAATCTTTGACCACAGCTAATCTATCACAACTGTCTCATGTCTTCCCCAACACACACATGCACACACACACACATACGCACTCTGACTGCACTAATAAATCAATAAAATACCACCCACCTGGCTATGCCTAAGCTACATTTAGAAGTGATAGAAATTTTAATTATTTTATTGCATAGCATCTGGCCACCAAGCATCAGAATAAATTATGGAAGGGGCAGTTTATTTCAAAAGAATGAAGCTATTCTGACATTTTAACTGATGGTTATTTGATGTACTCTCGAATAGTAATTGACTTGATCCCAAGCCACTGGTCATCTGAATACTGAATAAGTTGAAAATAAGACATGTAATATCTCATTCTAAAATCCTCTTTGGGTTTAGTTACCTGTCTTGAATAAATACATTGATCAAATAAACTAAAAGATGAATATACCTCCTCTTTGTACTGTGGAGCCAACCTGAGAATTTTTAAAAGATTATTTCAAGTATTTGAAAAAATTGATATCTTTCTCTGCTTTTGTCTTATTAAAAAAAGAAATCAGGATTAATGTGTTTTTATCAGGAAAGTTCTGTGACTTGGCAGCTTCTTAGGTATAGGATTTGCTTTTGTATGGGTCCACAGCCCACCAAGGGGACATTATCCCTCCCTGAATTTCAGGCAACAATTGAAGACTCCAGTGACCAGGGTTTGACATTCAGCTGTGTAGTCTTTAGTGAATCACTTAACCTCTGTGAGCCGCAATTTTTGTACTTATGAAAAGGACAAAATGGTATCTTCTTTAAAGGGTCATTTGGAAGAGCAAATCAAATATATGAAGTGCTTTGCAAAACATTATGCTATCTAATTGCAAAACTGTCAACAGTATGTTGTTATTATTACTTTTCTTTCAGATATTACTTCTCAAGCCATTTCCCCACCCCCAACCCCGCCCAGTGCACACTGCTCAAATAGTATGTGATAATTACCTACGCTTATTAGAAGAGGGAGATGTTACTTTTCTCTGGACCAATAGCCTTATCTACTTTTAGAATAGCATTTAATACACTCAATTTTCTTGACTTCAATACTCTCTACACTTTTTTGACCAATTATAAATAAAAATTTGGATGGCACATGCAACCTAATAGAGTATATATTATAAATTTGTATATAAATATCAGATATTCATATATGAATTTTACACATTTTAATATATTATCAGCATTATAAAACATATCCAGACAATAGTCAATTTAAAAGGATATAAGAGGTTTTGGGTTTCTAGATGAAAACATAAAGCCAGCTCTTCTTTTTCTTCTTGGAAACTACTCAAAAGCAGTAAGGAGAATGAGAAAGAAACAAACGAACTCCATTTCTGGTAAAACAAACAAAAATAGCTAGGACACCAAACTATAAAATAAATGCAAGTGTTACCAAAGTAGTGGAGATGATTTAGGAATGCATGAAGATAGAAGACATTGCTGAACAGATTTTGGAAAAAGACAAAATACACATCTCAAAGGTAGGGGTGCACCCTGAGAGGTGCAGAACTTAACACCTGGTGTGCAATAGCAGAAACAGAGTGTACGTCCTGGCAGTAGGAGTACCCTTATACCTGGTTTTATTTCATAAACATAAAAAGTAAGGCTAAAAGAGAAATCACAGACACAAATCATACTTGCAGGAAACAGTCTATCTCTGTGAGAGGGGAGAAAAGTAACTTTGCTTTGGAAAAAACTCATAGCTACTTCACCCCATCAACTTGAGAGAAACTTACTTACACAGCAAACTCTGCAATATAAGAATAGCTAGTTGGCTCTGGTTCTTCCCCAACATGACCTTTTGCAAATATTCGGTCCAGGGAAGAGTCATCTCACGCAGATGAAAGTCAAAAAGAAACCAATAGTGGATGATATAATGACAGGAAAAAAATAAAACAAGTGGTAGGCAAGCACCAGAAAATTATCTTCATAAAGTAGATGAAAATTATGACCAAACCTTTTGCTATTAATCTAAAAAATGAAGCAATTGATTCTATGAAGAAAGAATCAGAGATACAAGAACTCAAGAGAGGCCAGGCACAGTGACTCACACCTGTAATCCCAGCACTTTGGGAAACCAAGGTAAGAGAATTGCTTCAGCCCAGGAGTTTGAGACAAGCCTGGGCAACATGGTGAGATCCTATCTCTACAAAATGATTAAAAAAAAAAAATTAGCTGACCTGTGCCTGTGGTCCCAGCTACTCGGGAGGATAGCTTGAACTCAGGAGGTCAAGGCTGTGAGCTGTGATCACAGCATTGCACTCCAACCTGGGTGACAAAGTGAGACGCTATCTTAAAAAAAAAGCTCAAGAGAGAGCTCATGAGGCAACAGAGGGGAGGTGAAATGTGATCTAGCAGAACTCGGGAGAAAGATTGAAGGAAAAAAATAAAATCATGACAGAAATGAAAGTGAAATTGGAAGAAGCACCAAAATGACTAGATGCCACTAAAATCACAGCAGGGAACACAAAGGATAGAAGTGGAAGGAAAGGCCGGGCACGGCGGCTCATGCCTGTAATCCCAGTATTTTGGGAGGCCAAGGTGGGAGGATCACTCGAGCCCAGGAGTTCAAGACCATTCCTGGGCCACACAGCAAAACCCCATCTCTACAAAAAAAAGAAAAAAAAAAATTGCCGGGCATGGTAGTGCACACCTGTAATCTCAGCTACTTGAGAGGCTGAGGTAGAAGGATTGCTTGATCCCAGGAGCTCAAGTTTACAGTGAGCTATGATTATACTAATGTACTCCAGCCTGGGTGACAGAGGGAGATCCTGCCTGAAAAAAAGAAAAGAAAAAGAAGAAAAGGAAATGGGGGAAAGTCAAGACAAATGAAGTAAAAATCGAAGACAAATGAAGAAATATAGAGTTAAAAGGATTAAAAGGAAGAAGATACGAAGATAAGCACAAGGAGATTATATATACACATATTTCAGGTTGCTGAAGAAGAAAATGTTGAATTATAACTAAATACTTAAAAATATAATTTTAAAAACTTCCCCAAAATGAAAGAAGACTTGTATCTACATAAGAAAGAGCACACTATATTCTAGGGAAATTGGCTCAGAAGAGCCAACTGAGACATATCATAGGAAAGTTACTGGACTTCAAAACAACAACTAAACAACATTTTTTTTGGCATCTGGGCAGAGTCATTTATAAAAGAAAAAAGTGGCCTGTAATCCTAGCACTTTGGGAGGCCAAAGCAGGTGGATCACGAAGTCCGGAGATCGAGACCATCCCGGCTAACACGGTGAAACCCCGACTCTACTAAAAATACAAAAAATTAGCCGGGCGTGGTGGCAGGCGCCTGTAGTCCCAGCTACTTGGGAGGCTGAGGCAGGACAATGGCATGAACCCGGGAGGTGGAGCTTGCAGTGAGCGAGATCGCACCACTGCACTCCAGCCTGGGCAACAGAGCAAGGCTCTATCTGAAAAAAAAAAAAAAAAAAAAAAAAAAGACAAAAGTGTGCTGGCCCCAGAGTGCTCCATAGCAGTAATCAATGCCTAAGTCAGTGAAGTAACACCTACAACATCTTCAGGGAAGGAATGTGCAACCTAAATATGTTATTTGGCTATAAGAAAAAGAGTCAAGGTGCCGGGCATGGTGGCTCATGTCTGTAATCCCAGCACTTTAGGAAGCCGAGGTGGGTGGATCACAAGGTCAGGAGGTCGAGACCAGACTGGCCAATATGGTGAAACCCTGTTTCTACTAAAAACACAAAAATGAGCTGGGTGTGGTGGTGCACACCTGTAGTCCTAGCTCCTCAGGAGGCTGAGGCAGGAGAATCACTTGAACCCAGGAGGCGGAGGTTGCAGTGAGCCAAGATCACGTCACTGCACTCCAGCCTGCGTGACAAGCAAGACTTTGTCTCAAAAAAAAAAAAAATCAAATATTTTTGAATATCCAAGAATTCAGAGAATATATTCTTAATCTCCTCTTGAGGAATATCCTAGAGGCCAAACTTCAGCCAATCAAGCCATGAGAGGAAAGGAACCTGCAGGATCCCTGATTGTAACAGCTCTAAGACGAAAACAAATGTGTGGTTAGAATTACAGAACAGAAAGTAAGTGTTAGATGCAGTAAAAAAGGAGACAAGATATAAGTAACATAAGTTGGGAGGTAAGTGTTAAATCAGCTGGAAAGTAAAGGCTAAGCAAATTTATATCCATAAAACTGTGATGTGATTTTCTCATCTTTAGTAGTTGCACATTAAAGAATATCATCTTAATATTAAAAAATATGGGCAAGAGTAAATCTAACAGTACAAAAAAGAACACTAAGAAAGATAAAATAATTTACAAAAATTAGATGGTAGTGGCTGGGTGCTGTGGCTCACACCTGTAATCCCAGCACTTTGGGAAGCCAAGGCAGGAGGATCACTTGAGCCCAGGAGGTCGAGGCTGCAATAAGCTATGATCATACCACTGCACTCCAGCCTGGGTGATGGAGTGAGACCCCATCTCTATTTTAAAAACAAGAAATTGGATGGTAGAAAAAAGAATAGGAGAAAATATATACATAGACATTTCTTTATTCTTGGAATAAGTAATACATGTTGCCTAAATAAATCCAAGATTCATTATCAGGCAAACTTACAATTTAAGGGTAAATATTTATAAAAATGTAAAACTTCCTATTTATCATGAAAAATAAAATGTGTGAAGTAGAGCATATGTTAAAAATTTTATAAAACTATAAAATAGAAAAACACAATATAAAATTGTATGACAGAAGCAATACAAAACTTGTCATATCAGTTACCATACATGGACTAACCTCACCCATTGAAAGAAAATAACTTTTAGAATACATCACAAAGAAAATCTAAAGTTTATGCTGTACATAAGAAACACCCCTAAAGCAAGCAATTCAGAAAGTTTGAAAACAAATGGATGAGTGAAATATACCAGACAATGCAAACAAAAAGAAAACAAGTTAGTCATTTTAATATCAGACAAGGTTGAATACAGGACAAAGCATTAAATAAGTCAAAATGGGCTTTCAATTTTGTTAAAAAGTGCAATTAACAGTGCAGATAGAAGCACTGAATAACACAATATCAATATTCACAAAGGTAAAACTACAGGAAGTACAAGAAAAAAAATAAACACTTGTGCTTTGTTTTATTCTGTCTATGAGAATCAACTCACTAAATCCAGCCCACACATAAAGGGAGAGGAATTAAGTTCCACCTCTGAAAGATGTTAAAGGCTAATTTATAAAAAAGTATTGTGCCTTCCATCTTAGCCTCTCTTTCTCATTTTTGAATCACTGTCTCTGGGGAAGGCCAGTTGCCATGTCTTGAGGATACTCAGGTAGCCCTGTGGAGAGGCCCGTATGGTCAGGAATTAACTGAGGCCTCTAGCCAAGAGCCTTTGAGGAATGCAGGCCTCCAGCTAATAGCCATGGGAGTGCACCTTCTTGGAAGTAGATCCTCCAGCCCAGTCAAGCCTTCAGATGACAGCAGCCTCAGCCAATAGATTGACTTAAATTTTATGAGAGATCCTGAGTCACAGCCATCCTGCTAAGAAACCATCTAAAAAGGAAAACATAAAATCATCACATTTGCAGTTGATATGATACTTGAAAAACCTAAGAAGATAAATGGAAAAGCCATTAAAACTGAATTCAGTATGACTATTCAGAAATTAGTTGCTTCTGTATATATAAATATCAACCAGTTAGCAAATAAAGGAAGAAAAATCTTATTTACAATAGCAATAAAAATGTAAGATACTTAGACATTAGCTTTCAAAATTTGTAAAATACATATAAGATACAAACCTCAAAGACACAAAAAGGATATTTAAACAAATTGAAAGACATGTTATAGTCTTAGATTTACCATCATAAAGATGTCAATTATCTCCCAGTTAGCCTATAAATTTAACCTGATCCCAAAAAATATATTTTCTTCTCAAGCTCCAATGAGCTATAAGGGGCACCACACTTTGGAGACCACTGCCCCAGATCTGTACTGTTCAACACAGTAGCCATTAGCCACATGTGATTTATTGAGCTCTTGAAATGTACTAATCCAAGGCTGGGCATGGTGGCTCACACCTGTAATCCCAGCACTTTGGGAGGCTGAGCTGGGCGGATCACTTGAGGCCAGGAGTTTGAGACCAGCCTGGCCAAAATGGTGAAACTAAAAATACAAAAACTAGCTGGGCATGATGGTGCATGCCTGTAGTCCTAGCTACTTGGGAGGGTGAGGCAGGAGAATTGCTTGAACCCAGGAGGTGGAGGTTGCAGTGAGCTGAGATTGCATCACTGCACTCCAGCCTGGGTGGCAGAGTGAGACTGTCTCAAAAAAAAGAAAGAAAGAAAGAAAGAAAGAATGTACTAATCCAAATTGAGATGTGTTCAATGTGCTGGATATTGAAGACTTAGAACAAGGAATGAAGAATGTAAAAACCTCTCTTTAGTAATTTTTATATCAATTACATACTTTGGATACATTGGATTAAACAAAATATATTGTAAAAATTCATTTCACTTGTTTCTTTTTGCTTTTTAAAATATGACTATTAGAATATTAAAATTACATAAGTGGCAGGCTTGGTAATTTTGCTGGACAAGTGAGCTCCTGGAAAGTGAAGGTCATGGTCTATTCACACCCGTATCCACAACTCAAACCTACCCATTGAGTAATTATACCAGAACTAAATAAAATTTTGCAGATATCAGTACAATTTTGCTAAGAAGTAAGCTAATTCTTTTAAACTATCAGGGACTGAATGAACATAGGACTTGAGTAAAGATATTGCTTAAGCTAGTTTATTCAGGAAAGCCGCAAGAAGAAATGAAGTGAAAACATGCACTGTGAGGGTGGTTTATTCAGCACTGTACTCAAAGATTAGGCTGAATCTCTGCATTAGAATTGAATATGTTTCCAAAATCACTTTAAAAGCTGGCATTTAGAAATTAGGGAGGAGCTGGGAAGGAAAGAGGATAATTTCCAAACCCTCGTCAGTTCTCATTCAAGCGTGAGCGACGCGCAGAAGACGGGTGATTTCTGCATTTCCAACTTAGGTACCGTATTCATCTCACTGGGGAGTGTTGGATAGAGGGTGCAGGACAGTGGCTGCAGTGCACCGAGCATGAGCCAAAGCAGGGTGAGGCATTGCCTCATCCGGGAAGTGCAAGGGGTCAGGGAATTCCCTTTCCTAGTCAAAGAAAGGGGTGATAGATGGCACCTGGAAAATCGGGTCACTCCCACCCTAATATTGAGCTTTTCTCACGGTCTTAGCAAACGGCACAGCTGCAGATTATATCCCATGCCTCACTCGGAGGGTCCTACGCCCACGGAGCCTCACTCATTGCTAGCACAGCAGTCTGAGATCAAACTGCAAGGCGGCAGCGAGGCTGGGGGAGGGGTGCCCACCATTGCTCAGGCTTGCGTAGGTAAACAAAGCAGTCAGGAAGCTTGAACTGGGTGGAGTCCACCGCAGCTCAAGGAGGCCTGCCTGGCTCTATGGACTCCACCTCTGGGGGCAGGGCATAGTGAAACAAAAGGCAGCAGAAATCTCTGCAGACTTAAATGTCCCTGACTGACAGCTTTGAAGAGAGTAGTGGTTCTCCCGCACACAGCTGGAGATCTGAGAACGGGTAGACAGCCTCTTCAAGTGGGTCCCTGACCCCCGAGTAGCCTAACTGGGAAGCACCCCCCAGTAGGGGCAGACTGACACCTCACACAGCTGGGTACTCCTCTGAGACAAAACTTCCAGAGGAACGATCAGGCAGCAACATTTGCTGTTCACCAATATTCACTGTTCTGCAGCCTCCGCTGCTGATACCCAGGTAAACAGGGTCTGGAGTGGACCTCCAGCAAACTCCGACAGACCTGCAGCTGAGGGTCCTGACTGTTAGAAGGAAAACTAACAAACAAAGGACATCCACACCAAAACCCCATCTGTACGTCACCATCATCAAAGACCAAAGGTAGATAAAGCCACAAAGATGGGGAAAAAACAGAGCAGAAAAACTAGAAACTCAAAATCAGAGCGCCTCTCCTCCTCCAAAGGAACACAGCTCCTCACCAGCAATGGAACAAAGCTGGACAGAGAATGACTTTGACGAGTTGAGAAAAGAAGGCTTCAGATGATCAAACTACTCCGAGCTAAAGGAGGAAGCTCGAACCCATGGCAAAGAAGTTAAAAACCTTGAAAAAAAATTAGACGAATGGCAAACTAGAATAACTAATGCAGAGAAGTCCTTAAAGGACCTGATGGAGCTGAAAACCAAGGCATGAGAACTACGTGACAAATGCACAAGCCTCAGTAGCCGATTCGATCAACTGGAAGGAAGGGTATCAGTGATGAAAGATGAAATGAATGAAATGAAGCGAGAAGAGAAGTTTAGAGAAAAAAGAATAAAAAGAAATGAACAAAGCCTCCAAGAAATATGGGACTATGTGAAAAGACCAAATCTACGTCTGATTGGCATACCTGAAAGTGACGGGGAGAATGGAACCAAGTTGGAAAACACTCTGCAGGATATTATCCAGGAGAACTTCCCCAATCTAGCAAGGCAGGCCAACATTCAAATTCAGGAAATACAGAGAACGCCACAAAGATACTCCCCAAGAAGAGCAAGTCTAAGACACATAATTGTCAGATTCACCAAAGTTGAAACGAAGGAAAAAATGTTAAGGGCAGCCAGAGAGAAAGGTCAGGTGACCCACAAAGGGAAGCCCATCAGACTAACAGCTGATCTCTCAGCAGAAACTCTACAAGCCAGAAGAGATTGGGGGCCAATATTCAACATTCTTAAAGAAAAGAATTTTCAACCCAGAATTTCATATCCAGCCAAACTAAGCTTCATAAGTGAAGGAGAAATAAGATCCTTTACAGACAAGCAAATGCTGAGAGATTTTGTCACCACCAGGCCTGCCCTATAAGAGCTCCTGAAGGAAGCACTAAACATGGAAAGGAACAACTGGTACCAGCCACTGCAAAAACATGCCAAATTGTAAAGACCATCGAGGCTAGGAAGAAACTGTATCAACTAACAAGCAAAATAACCAGCTAACATCATAATGACAGGATCAAATTCACACATAACAATATTAACCTTAAATGTAAATGGGCTAAATGCTCCAATTAAAAGACACAGAGTGGCAAATTGGATAAAGAGTCAAGACCCATCAGTGTGCTGTATTCAGGAAACCCATCTCACGTGCAGAGACACACATAGGCTGAAAATAAAGGGATGGAGGAAGATCTACCAAGCAAATGGAAAACAAAAAAAGGCAGGGGTTGCAATCCTGGTCTTTGATGAAACCGACTTTAAACCAACAAAGATCAAAAGAGACAAAGAAGGCCATTACATAATGGTAAAGGGATCAATTCAACAAGAAGAGCTAACGATCCTAAATATATATGCACCCAATACAGGAGCACCCAGATTCATAAAGCAAGTCCTTAGAGACCTACAAAGAGACTTAGACTCCCACACAATAATAATGGGAGACTTTAACACCCCACTGTCAACATTAGACAGATCAACGAGACAGAAAGTTAACAAGGATATTCAGGAATTGAACTCAGCTCTGGACCAAGCGGATCTAACAGACATCTACAGAACTCTCCACCCCAAATCAACAGAATATACATTCTTTTCAGCACCACACCACACCTATTCCAAAATTGACCACATGGTTGGAAGTAAAGCACTCCTCAGCAAATGTAAAAGAACAGAAATTATAACAAACTATCTCTCAGACCACAGTGCAATCAAACTAGAACTCAGGATTAAGAAACTCACTTAAAACCACTCAACTACATGGACACTGAACAACCTGCTCCTGAATGACTACTGGGTACATAACGAAATGAAGGCAGAAATAAAGATGTTCTTTGAAACCAATGAGAACAAAGACACAACATACCAGAATCTCTGAGGCACGTTCAAAGCAGTGTGTAGAGGGAAATTTATATCACTAAATGCCCACAGGAGAAACCAGGAAAGATCTAAAGTTGACATCCTAACATCACAATGAAAAGAACTAGAGAAGCAAGAGTAAACACATTCAAAAGCTAGCAGAAGGCAAGAAATAACTAAGATCAGAGCAGAACTGAAGGAAATAGAGACACAAAAAACCCTTCAAAAAATCAATGAATCCAGGAGCTGGTTTTTGGAAAAGATCAACAAAATTGATAGACTGCTAGCAAGACTAATAAAGAAGAAAAGAGAGAAGAATCAAATAGACGCAATAAAAAATGATAAAGGGGATATCACCACCGATCCCACAGAAATACAAACTACCATCAGAGAATACTATAAACACCTCTACACAAATAAACTAGAAAATCTAGAAGAAATGGATAAATTCCTAGACACAGAGACCCTCCCAAGACTAAACCAAGAAGAAGTAGAATCTCTGAATAGACCAACAACAGGGTCTGAAATTGAGGCAATAATTAATAGCTTACCAACCAAAAAGAGTCCAGGACCAGATAGATTCACAGCCGAGCTATACCAGAGGTACAAAGAGGAGCTGGTACCATTCCTTCTGAAACTATTCCAATCAATAGAAAAAGAGGGAATCCTCCCCAACTCATTTTATGAGGCCAGCATCATCCTGATACCAAAGCCTGGCAGAGACACAACCAAAAAAGAGAACTTTAGACCAATATTCCTGATGAACACTGATGCAAAAATCCTTAATAAAATACTGGCAAACCGAGTCCAGCAGCACATCAAAAAGCTTATCCACCATGATCAAGTGGGCTTCATCCCTGGGGATGCAAGGCTGGTTCAACATATGCAAATCAATAAATGTAATCCAGCATATAAACAGAACCAAAGACAAAAACCACATGATTATCTCAATAGATGCAGAAAAGGCCTTTGACAAAATTCAACAACGCTTCATGCTAAAAACTCTCAATAAATTAGGTATTGATGGGACGTATCTCAAAATAATAAGAGGTATCTATGACAAACCCACAGCCAATATCATACTGAATGGGCAAAAACTGGAAGCATTCCCTTTGAAATCTGGCACAAGACAGGGATGCCCTCTCTCACCACTCCTATTCAACATAGTGTTGGAAGTTCTGGCCAGGGCAATTAGGCAGGAGAAGGAAATAAAGGGTATTCAATTAGGAAAAGAGGAAGTCAAATTGTCCCTGTTTGCAGATGACATGATTGTATATCTAGAAAACCCCATCGTCTCAGCCCAAAATCTCCTTAAGCTGACAAGCAACTTCAGCAAAGTGTCAGGATACAAAATCAATGTGCAAAAATCACAAGCATTCTTATACACCAATAACAGACAGAGAGCCAAATCATGAGTGAACGCCCATTCACAATTGCTTCAAAGAGAATAAAATACCTAGGAATCCAACTTACAAGGGACGTGAAGGACCTCTTCAAGGAGAACTACAAACCACTGCTCAATGAAATAAAAGAGGATATAAACAAATGGAAGAACATTCCACGCTCATGGATAGGAAGAATCAATATCGTGAAAATGGCCATACTGCCCAAGGTAATTTATAGATTCAATGCCATCCCCACCAAGCTACTAATAGACTTTCTTCACAGAATTGGAAAAAACTACTTTAAAGTTCATATGGAACCAAAAAAGAGCTGGCATTGCCAAGTCAATCCTAAGCCAGAAGAACAAAGCTGGAGGCATCACGCTACCTGACTTCAAACTATACTACAAGGCTATAGTAACCAAAACAGCATGGTACTGGTACCAAAACAGAGATACAGACCAATGGAACAGAATAGAGCCCTCAGAAATAAGGCTGCATATATACAACTATCTGATCTTTGACAAACCTGACAAAAGCAAGAAATGGAGAAAGGATTCCCCACTTAATAAATGGTGCTGGGAAAACTGGCTAGCCATATGTAGAAAGCTGAAACTGGTTCCCTTCCTTACACCTTATACAAAAATTAATTCAAGATGGATTAAAGACTTAAATGTTAGACCTAAAACCATAAAAACCCTAGAAGAAAACCTAGGCAATACCATTCAGGGCATAGGCATGGGCAAGGACTTCATGTCTAAAACACCAAAAGCAATGGCAACAGAAGCCAAAACTGACAAATGGGATCTGATTAAACTAAAGAGCTTCTGCACAGCAAAAGAAAATACCATCAGAGTGAACAGGCAACCTACAGAATGGGAGAAAATTTTTGCAATCTACTCATCTGACAAAGGGCTAATATCCAGAATCTACAAAGAACTCAAACACATTTACAAGAAAAAAACAAACAACCCCATCAAAAAGTGGGCAAAGGATATGAACAGACACTTCTCAAAAGAGGACATTTATGCAGCCAAAAGACACATGAAAAAATGCTCATCATCATTGGCCATCAGAAAAATGCAAATGAAAATCGCAATGAGATACCATCTCACACCAGTCAGAATGGCGATCATTAAAAAGTCAGGAAACAACAGGTGCTGGAGAGGATATGGAGAAATAGGAACACTTTTACACTGTTGGTGGGACTGTAAACTAGGTCAACCATTGTGGAAGTCAGTGTGGCGATTCCTCAGGGATCTAGAATTAGAAATACCATTTGACCAAGCCATCCCATTACTGGGTATATACCCAAAGGATTACAAATCATGCTGCTATAAAGACACATGCACATGTATGTTTATTGCGGCACTATTCACAATAGCAAATACTTGGAACCAACCCAAATGTCCAACAATGATAGACTGGATCAAGAAAATGTGGCACATATACACCATGGAATACTATGCAGCCATAAAAAATGATGAGTTCATGTCCTTTGTAGGGACATGGATGAAGCTGGAAACCATCATTCTCAGCAAACTATCGCAAGGACAAAAAAACCAAACACCGCTCGTTCTCACTCATAGGTGGGAATTGAACAATGAGAACACATGGACACAGGAAGGGGAACATCACACACTGGGGCCTGTTGTGGGGTGGGGGGAGGGGGAGGAGTAGCATTAGGAGATATACGTAATGTTAAATGACGAGTTAATGGGTGCAGCACACCAAGATGGCACATATATACATATGTAACAAACCTGCATGTTGTGCACATGTACGCTAAAACTTAAAGTATTAAAAAAAAAGCTAATTCAAATATCTTAGCAGAAAAAAAAAAGAGACGATAAAATAACATGAATTGATTGGATTCATGTCTATCAGCATATAAGCAATCAAAGGAATTACTATGTATGGACCCCCAAAGCAAAATAAATGAATGGGGACTAAACCCAGGACCTGAATTGTTTTTGAGTTCTCAGTAGTTTCATATATTATATGCTTTTTTTTTTTTTTTTTTTTTTGGTCAGGCTCTCATTTGTTGCCCAGGCTGTAATCCAGTGGCACAATCATAGCTCACTGTAGCCTTGAACTTCTGGGCTCAAGCAATTCTCCTACTTCAGCCTCCCATATAGCTAGGACTAGAGGACTACAAGCCACTACACATGGCCAATTAAAAAAAAATAGAGACAGGGGTCTCACTGTGTTACCCAGGTTAGTCTCGAATCCCTGGCCTCAAGTGATCTTCTCGCCATTGCCACCCAAAATGTTGGGATTATAGGCGTGAGCTACCACACCCAGTCTTACATGCATTTTAAATTTTTAAATAATTTTTTTTTTTGCATTTTAGACTTTAAAAAGTGCATGATATTGGATATCTGTAGAATGCCCTGATATTTTCTATTCTTCAATATGTCTTCCTTTCCTTAATTGTCTTTAGTAAGATAGAAAGTATTTTACAACTATTTTTTAATGCATTAGTTCTCAACTGGAAATGATTGTGCCCTTCCCTAGGGGAGATTTGGTGATGTCTGGAGATATTTTTGGTTGTCACAGTTGGGGTGGGGAGTGCTACTGGCATTTAGTGGTGGAGGCCAAGGACATTGCTAAATATCTTACAATGCACAGGACAGCTCCATAACAAATAATTATCTGGCCAAAAATGTCAATAGTTTCGAGGTTGAAAACCTTTGCTTTAATCTGAAAGAGATTCCATTTTTGGTTCAAGTTAATTTTCTCTGGCAGCATACTTTAGGAGATCATCTGAGCCTGCAAATTTTGGTGTTGGCCTTAATTCTCAGTCTCCACCTATGCACCTACATATTCACTCACTCATGCTTTCGCTCATTCACTACTTCCTCACTTTTACAGAAAAAAAGCACATCATATGGAGGTTAAAATATAATTTATTGTCCAAACTGGGACACTATTGAGGGTTGTTAATAAATAATCTGGACAGTGGAAGCAAATCAACAATGTCCTGAGTTAATCTGATTATATGGTAGCTGTAACTGTATGGCAGCACGAAAAAATGTCCAAAATGACAAATAAAACATAGAAGCCCGGGCACAGTCGCTCACGCCTGTAATCCCAGCACTTTGGGAGGCTGAGATGGGCAGATCACCTGAGGTCAGAAGTTTGAGACCAGCCTGGTCAACATGGCGAAGCCCCATTTCTACAAAAAATACAAAAATTAGCTGGGCGTGGTGGCATGTGTCTCAGCTACTCGGGAGGCTGAGGCATGAGAATCGCTTCAACCTGGGAGGTAGAAGTTGCAGGGAGCCAAGATGGCACCATTGCCCTCTAGCCTGGGTAGCAGAGCAAAACTCTGTTCCCCCCAAAAAATAAATAAATAAAAATAAAAATAAAAAAACAGAGACATTTCTTATGACAACCAATTGGGAAAATGGGGTTTCAGCGATGGAACTGAACATCAAAGCTGAAGTCTAAGCTCATTTCTGATTTGTGTGTTGATGAGATCATGACATTAAAAAAAAAATTCCAGTACATATCCATTACAATTGGCTTAAAAAAAATTCTATAGAGATGTGGTCTCACTATGTTGAGCAGGCTGGTCTCGAACTCCAGGCCTCCAGGGATCGTCCTGTCTTGGTCTCCTAAATTGTTAGGATCATAGGCGTAAGCCACCATGCCCACCCTGGGGTTCATTTTTGGAAAGAAAAAATAAGCAAATAACTCAGGATAGATACAGAATATAAACCCTATTAAAGGTATTATAACGGGCACTTTTCAAAAAGCACCCATATAATGCTTGCACATAGTAGGGGCTCAACAGATGACTGCTGAAGAATAAATCTACATGGTCTTGTCTGACATGTGGGGAAACTGTCTCCATTTAAAGTGTATATTATATTAATTGGAGTGATTTTCTGGATACACAAAGTAGGGCCACCACCCCTTCTGCCCTACGACAAAAAATCAGAAATGTTGGATTTGTCAAAATACAACAAAACTGTTCAGGCAATATAAATAATTATAAATGCCAGTAAAGTCACTTTTCTGTTTTGCTTTTGATCTGTAAGGTTACTAGTGGATGAGATAATCTTTTATTTATATTGCATGTGGTAAAATTTCGAAGCAAGATTGTTGTGCTCCTCACACCCTCCCTTCATAATTAAGCCCGTAGGGCTGGCCGGCTGGCTGATATTTTTTAACGCAGAGCTTGTCAATTTCTGTTAATACTAATTTAGAGTTCATAGCTCCATATATCATGGAAATGTACGGGCAAAACAAATTATATAAAAAATATTTTGAGAGGAGTTGAACAAATGGAGGATCATTTCTGCATTGACTAGTGAGCGTTTCTGTTCTGATTACAGCACCAATTTATGTACAGTGGCACGGGGAGCTCACCTTTCATGATTCCCAAATTGGATTTTGCCAGGTTCCTTTCTACGTGCCCTCCCGCTATAAATAAACGCTTTCCCCCGTCTCTTTACCATGTGTTGTCTTTTTAATTATTCCCCAAACTCTAATATAGTCAGTCCAGATCTTGTTTTGCCATTAACTCAGGAAGAAAAGAGGCTGCCTCCTGCATTTCACACGAAACATTACAAGGGCAGGCCGGGGGCTTTTGTCTCTTACCACCTTCAGGAGACAGAACAATAGGCAGCTATATAATCTTGTGACACCCACAACTAATTTATCCAACCAGAAGACAGGTAGCACTCGGCTCTGCCGCTCCTGTCTGAATAGGTGCAGTAAATACTCAGCTTAATAGTAGCTTTTCAGGCAGAAGGGCAACACATCACAGCGTGGCGTTTTTGTAATCTTCCTCGCATGCCGACAGCCAGGGGCCCGCGCATGTTTCTCCTCGGTGGGGTTTAGGATGCATGGAACTGTTAGATGGTGACATATTGTGCCTTTAAGCAAGTTTAACTGTTTTATATCCCCTCTGATCTGCAGCTTTGTACATCTGTTAAGCTGCCTCTTAAACTTCTGTGGGCACATCTGTGGATTTGCTACTTGAAGCTTGGCGTGTGGTGCAGGCCATGCGGGATTTCCTTGCGACTGCCTCCTGTTTATCTGTGAAGAGTTTTTCTGTTACACTGCAAGGCCACAGTTAAATACATTGTCTTGGCCAAAAAGATAATAATAACCTTGCGACAGTCAGGAGGAATGTACTTAGCAAAGGCTGAACAAAAATCTTATCTGGAGAAGCACTGATTAAAAAACAAATGAAAAAAAGCAAACTTTTTTTTTTTTCACCATTTATTTGTCACATATCTGTGGGTCATCTAGGACTCAGTTGCTCTGGCTCCAAGCCAGATCTAGGATGTACTTCTCTGCCTGTCTCCTCCTCCTTAAACAAGAGGTTACTCAAGGCTTGTTCTTGCTATAGTGAAGCTAATGCAACCTTGCTTCAAGACTTACATCATGTCTGCTAACAGCCCATTGGCCAAAACAACTTACAGGGACGGCTAAGCCCAGGTCAAGAGGCAGGACAGCACACTCTACTTACTATGAGACCAAAACAAGTCACAGAACCAAGCTCAGCATCAAAGGGACAGGGAAGCACATTCTTTCCAGGAAAGTGGGAGTGTGAGAGGAGGTGAATAGTTGCTGTATCATAATCTAATCTACAACCTTGTTTCTACCTGCAAAATGAAGAAAGCACAGCTATCTGGTAGATAGTGGAATTTTGCATACATTGAATCCATCAATATGGGTTCCATTTCTGAAAGATGCCCAGGACATCATGATAGGATGAGCAACCAAAAAATCTTGGTCATGTTCAAGAGGTCACCCCTACGACCTGTCAGAAACACGCACTAGGGGATTTTGAGAGCTTGATCCTGATTCTTCAGGTTGTGGAGAAATATTCCACGGTTTGAAAGTTTATCTGCAAGGGGAATGAAAGGGAGACACTACTTGACAAACTCAGTTTTTAAATATTTACCTCTTTTTTTGATATAAACTTTGTTTACTCAACAGACCTGTGTCCTATTCTCTTAGCACTTTTGGTGCCTAAATACTTGAAGAAAATAAATGTGCATGAGGGTGTCTGGGCTTATATCAGGACTGGTATTCATCTGCACACACAAGCATGATATACTGCTAGCATCCATTCTGATTGGCCAACTGACCACTCGGGTTGGTGTCCTTGCTGGATGGTTGGTTAAATATTTTGAATATCGCCGTTAGCTGACATATTTACAGTTCTGTGATTCTGGCTCTTTGTTAGGCATGTACATTATGATTCCCTATTGGGGTTCATCGATTCTTCTAAGAGAAACTATCTCACTCACAGCTTTTGCAGAACATCAGCCTTTGGTTCAATCATGGAGCTCTATGTCTCAGCCACCCTCCCACCCTGGCCATAGCTAATTAGACTAGGGATAGGCACCTGACCCAAAGACAGCCAGGGATCATGATCAGGCTGTTATTAGGTTTTTATTTAAATGTGTTGAACCAATTAAATTTTCTCTCTTAAGATAATGAATCGGGAAATATGGAAGTATTATCAGTGGCTAAAAATTTATCTGGAAGAATGACATTTTGCACTGTATTTAAAAATCAACTTGTTTGAATCAATCTGTATTAATTATCTGTTGTGGCATAACAAAATACCCCAGAACTTAGTGGTTATACACAACAATAAACATTATCTCACAGTTTCCAGTTATGCACAGCAGGGTCCTCTGCGTTAGGGTCTCTCATGAGGCTGCAGTCAGGTGTTGGCTGAAGCTACAGTCATTTCAAGCCTTAACTGGAGTAGGATCCAGTTCTAAACTCACGTGGTTATTGGCAGGCTGCAGTTCTTCACAGGCTGTCGGACGGAGGACCTCAGTTCCTTTCTGGCTCTTTGCTGGAGGTTTCCCCCAGTGTCTTGCCAGGTGGCCCTCTACGTCAGAGCAGCCGTGCTAGAAAAGCCAGGGAGAGAATGCAGGCAAGTTGAAAGTCACAGTCTTATCACTTTATCTCAGAAGTGACATGTGTATCAGCCTGGGTTCAACCAGAGGAACAGAAGCAGTAGGAGATAAATGTGAAGAGATTTACTGCAAGGAAGTGGCTTACCTGATTGTGGGGGCCGGCTAGGCACATCGGAGATCTGTAGGACAGGCCGTTAGAAAGGAACTGTTAGCATGGGCTGAACTGCTGTTGACAGGTGGAATTTCTTCTCCTTCAGGGAAGCCTCAGCCCTGCTTAAGGCCTTTCAATAGATTGAATCCCATTCACCTCAATTATGTTGTATCATCTCTCTTACTTAAAGTCAGCTGATTATGAACTTTAATTACATCTGCAGAATACCTTCACAGAAACACCTGGACCAGTGTTTGAAGTTGACACAACAAAAAATTCCATCATAACATCCTTTCCGTTTTGCCATATGTTATTCAGTAGAAGTAAGTCACTGGTTTAACTCACACTCAAAGGGAAGGTACTACACAGAGTGTGAATACCAGGAAGCAGGGATCATCGGGAACCATTTTACAAGACTATTCACCAGAGTCACTTTTTATTTTACTTGCAAGATAATTTTGCAAGGGCAAATGACTCTAAAAAGGTTCTTAAGTGAAAAAATCTGCACCACTTATATTTGCTGAGTGAATTATGGTTAAATGAATAAGGTCTTGTTCAGTGGTAATTACACAGGTTTGGTGAGTAAACATAGTTTGTGTCTCCCATTCTGTACGACAAACAAATCCAATTCTGTACAACAAAAATTCTAATAAATGTGGTTTTCACTAACAAATATTTATAACTTCAAGGTTACAGGTCAGTGCTCCTCAGAACTGTTATAGCAAATCTCTGAATATCATACGAAAGTCCTTTGGTCTTCTTAGTTTAAATGTAGATTGAAACTTTTCAGTTGACGAAAATACAGAAAATACATATGGATTTACCTTAAGGTTAGTGAAAGTTAGTATGTAAATATAGGCCAATCTTCTTTATCATTTATTTTTTATTTATTTATTTTTTTGAGACAGGGTCTCACTCCTTTGCCCAGGCTGGAGTGCAGTGGCACAATCTCAGCTCACTGCAGCCTCCACCTCCCCAGGCTCAGGTGATCCTCCTGCCTCAGCCTCCCAAGTAGGTGGGACTACCAGTGCATACCACCACACCTGGCTAATTTTTGTATTTTTGGTAGAGAGAGGGTTTCCTTCTCTTTTTAAACAAAAGATCATGGCTATCCTAGTATTTTGCATTCTCAAAATCTCTTGTGTCAAACAGTTCTTCACTTAAAGTATTTTATTAAAGACTGTTGAAAGGTATGACAAATGGACTCAATTATAATTTTAACCAAGGCTGAATTAAATAATTTGGGGCTTATAGCTCTATTTCTACAGTTGGGGGAGAGAAAGGCCAACGAGACATTTGGGACTGTGAAGCGCCAAAGTTATGAATAACTAAAGGCTTGAATGAGCAGAAGCTTTGAGATAGAATGAAAGCCAGTGGAAAAGAGGCAAGCAGACATGCAAGGGTGGAGATGGAAGGAGAGTGCAGGACAGCGGCTGGCAGGGCCCCAGAAGACCCAGGACCTTCGGCTGCTGAGGCTGCCTTGAGCCCACTCCCTGTCTCCACAGGGCCTGCTCTGACCATTGTTCCTGAGTTCCTCCTCTCAGTTACTGACCAACTCCCCCCCCAACATCCCCCATTCCATCATATTACTTGCTTGAGTGAGTTTCTGTTCTTCTCTTCAGGAAAATGGATGGTACACATTTATAAAACAGTACCTTTATAGTTTGGCTCTAATGCAAGTTACCTAAAATCAAGGGGAGGGCTTTTTCACTGGTATGCTTTATCAGATTTTCCATGATTAATCTGTTCATCAGTTCGTACATATTTACTAAATGAGAGGTGTCAGGGTAGTCATGATGAACTAATGCCTAACATTTATTAAACACTTCTCATGGGTGAAACACTGATCCAAGAGACCATTCCACTGTGAGGTACCACCAAACGATCACGGAATTATCAAGAATTTTGCAATTTAGTTAGAGACAAGATACTTGTCCCATAAAGCTTAATCTGCAACACAAAACACCAATAATAAAGATGCTAGAATTACTTTCCTGACAAACATCTCAAAGAGCCATATAGACAGTAAGTGTTGTGCATCTGAGGGACTGCTCCAGGGTGGAATTATCTGAAAAGGCTGGAGGACTTAATCTGGGATTTTAAGGATGGGCAGTTTTCAGAAAGGTAGAAAGACCAGAGAGAGCAATGGATTATTCAACAAATATTTATTACATGCTTAATCATGGTCAGGCTCTGTGCTAGGGGTTGGAGACATGAGGATGAACAAGACAGTCCCTTCAAGGAGTTTGTAATCTACAGGGGGATAGACAAGTAAATAGGGAGTAGCAGTAGGCATCAAGGTGGGAAAATGACAAGCTATGTTTCTAGGAAAATGTAGCCTTTGTTATCACTATCACAAGAAGTCTGGCTAAGAGACCTACCACTTGGAAATTAAGGCAGCCCTTGCAGGTTACTCTGGCATTGAGAAGATGTGTCCTCATCAAGCCTCACAGACATAACAATCATCCTATGGGATAGAGAAAGGGCAGGCTGCTCTTGGGTTACCTCCTGCACTCTTCAAAAGCACTCTTCAAAAGACCCTGCAATGCTCTACTTTCTGGAGACCGCTGGCTGGGGGCAGAAACTCTTGCCTCTGCCTAGAGAGGCAACAACACTGATCAGACAAGGGGGAGAGAAAGAGGCTGAAACCCAGAGGGGAAGAATGGATCTTGCAGATGGAAAAAGGGTGCCAAGCCACCATGCTATAATCCTTCATGGAACAAATCTCAGCTTTGCTTAATATTCTCTGATCAAATAGAGAAAGCCTGCAGAGGAGAGATGATAACATACAGTTTATTATACAGGCATGTTTTTGTTTGCTTTTAATTAATTTACTTTTTTTCTGTTTTAAACCATGAACTGTTGGTTTACTATAACAGTGTTGAAAATGAATGGTTGCTTGCTCTATAGTCGAACGCTGAGAAAGTACTCTCATTTCTAATAACCCAAGTTTTAATGACTCCAGAGGGATGAGTAAACAGTAACAACAACAACAAAAAAACTTTAGCTAATGTCACGTAATAATAGCATTAACTGGTCCTCTGCTAGGAAGGTCTGAAGTTGCCATCACATTTGATTACCTTCTTGCTTTCAATCCAGACTTTCTGAGCATTTAGAATATACGTTTCTGGGCTGTTAAAATGAGCGCTACTTAGTTCAGTAGCAAAACAGACCCTTCTCTGGTACAAAATCTCTACTTTTTTTTGGCAGGCTCCAGGGAGATCGTTCCCGGGGGACTTGTGTCAGAGCAGCTTTAGGAGAAAGGAATCTGAACTTGATCCAATATAAGCTTAGGGAATGGGAAGGGCAATGAGGCAGGGGCACCTGTTTATTTCACTGCCGTTACATAGTGATGAGGTCCTTATCTCTGCTGTCCCTTCAAGCTCCATAAATCCTTACAAGGGGGTAGTGGGATCAAATCACACATTTAAATTATTTTCAAAGATGTCAAGCAATTCCAACTTCTTTAATACAGCAACCTCCCAATAGAGAGATAAATCTCCACATCGAAGAGAGGTTTCCCCTTACAAATTTCGGCTGTGAAAAACCTGTTATGTATTTAAGCTTTGGAATTGTGTAAAGCTTTGTTAGGCAAATCAGTGACCAAACCATCTCTCCTAGCCCAAAATCTATGGTTCCTATTTATATACAATGAATTTTCTAGGACTTGAAGAACAGATTTCTTAATGCGGACATCGCCAGTGTTTTGCTTAGCATCCAGGGAGCCGGGAACTGGGTTGAGTTCACAGCAGACTTTTCACTTCAACAAGCCTCACCACTATAATGGAAATTCAAAAGCCTGGAAAGAACGTACACAGCTTCCCTGACTAATTTTATTATGCAGACACACTTAATGGCTCCTGTTACAGTCACAGCTGGGGTGGGAAACAGTACTGGATTGTGACAATCACACTAAATCGACAAGGATTATCAGTCATTAAAAAGGGACCAAATTAGCATCGAGCAGTAATATTTTATACTTATCAAATCTTCTGCTGGTCAAGGTCCATTACTGTATGACACAATAAAGGCAGAAGCCATCAGCTCATTCTCCAGAACGTTTAAATCTCCATTGTATTTGTGTAGGATATAATTTCTGGTCACAATAAAGCCTAATAAAGGTTACACCCCAATGAATAAGGTGTTAATAAATTGACCCATGACATTTAAATGGATAATTATATTTGAGATAAAGGAAGAATCTCTCGTTTCAGTAAAGAAACGAGTTGGGTTTCAAGTTGTGCCCAACCCAAGTTACCTATCAACTATAGGAGGGTTTTACATAGCTTTACAGTGATATAAAATATTAATATGCTCGTTGCCATTGTAGTAGATTAATTATTCATCAGGCTTCCCAACAATTCCTGTCTATCAGAATCATCAAGACTAAATTGAAGATGTTTCCACATGCTAAGGAATTTTATAGAAATTAACTCCTCCCTGGATTTGTAAGCATGGGTTAGAAACGCTAGGATTTCTCTTTCCCTCGACCCCTACCCCTGCCACAGTGTGGCAGCCTGTCACTAGACTTCATCTTCACATGGCAGAGCAGTATAAAATAGAATCAGGAAGTGATTAGGAGGAGATGGAAAGAGTTGTTACTGCACGTGATGAATTAAATCCAACTGGAACAGTTGAACATATGTTATGTACTGATGTCTCTCAGTTCTCATTACAGAACCAGTGCCACAGACAGCTAACAAAACCTATGGAGCAGGGACAAAACAAAACGAAACAGAAGTACTGCAGGGGTTGTAAATACAGCTCTCTTTCAGTCGCTTGGATGGCTTCTCCTCTATATTTCTTGTGCTGCATTAGGCTCAGTAAAAGAAGGCTCAAGTATAACACAACCAACACTAATTGGTTTCATTCATCAATTAATATTTAATTCATGCATTTATTCAAAAAACATTTATGCACTTACATTATGTAACTGTTACACTCTCTTTTGAGAGAATATTGGTTATATTTTCTCAGGCAAATCAAACATATAAAACGTTGCGTAAAAAAAAAATGTTGTGTATTCCTAAAAAGAGATCCTAGGGAACTGGCCACCAAGATTGTCATTTTCTTTTTTAAAGCAGGGACTGGGTTTTGTTATTGTTTTATATGCCAGTGCTTAACAATGAATCTTCAGACTGTAAATGAATATAATTTGTGTTCAAAGGAATTTCCTTTCCAATATGGTGGAGTAGAAACCCTGAACAGATCTCCTTGTGTAAATTACAAACAGCCTGCTTAGAAATGCATTGTTGAGCTGGAAATAAAGTAAGGAAACTTCAGATGCCCCAAATACAGTGGAAGTGGGAACCCATAGAGCAATGAGCTCACCTTTCTTTCTGGGGAGCTTCTGATGTATTTTGGTCACTTTGAACTTTCATTTTGACTACTGCATGGAAAAAGAGGAACAGGAAATAAAATTTATAGCTTACCTAGGATGAGTCTAATAGGAGGTCCTTGCATAAATCTGGGATCCTAAAGAGTTATAATTATCAGAGAAACAGTGAACTACAAATAGGACCTGCTGAGGGGGACGAAAAGAAAGTTGCCTTTCCTGACTTTAACAATGGTCAGGAAAGAGGGTAAAAAAAATCTTTCGTAACCATAAATCAGCCCACATTCAACCCAAATGACACTTTCAGAATACTCTGAAAAAGGTCAAGTCTAAAATTTAATTTAAAATTGTGTAAGGCTTCCGGGCCCAGTGGCTCATGCCTGTAATCCCAGCACTTTGGGAGGCTGAGGCAAGAGGATCGCTTGAGCCCAGGCATTCCAGACCAGCATGGGCAACATGCGCTTGAGCCCAGGCATTCCAGACCAGCATGGGCAACATGGCAAAACCCTGTCTCTATAAAAATTAGCCAGGTGTAGTGGTGCATGCTTGTAGTCCCGGCTATTCGGGAGGCTGAAGGTAGGAGGATCTCTTGAGCCCAAGAGGTCGACACTACAGTGAGCCAAGATCATGCCACTGCACTCCAACCTGGGTGACAGAGCAAGACCCTGTCTCAATAATAACAATGAATAAAATAAAATGGTGTATGGCAACTGGATGAAGCAAATGTTAAACCCTCTGTAGAAGAACATACCTTAAACCAAGGCTTTCAAACTCTCCATGAAATCTGAGCTCACAGTAAAAAGATAATAATAATAATAATAAGCAAAAAAACCAAGATATTGTGGATGACAGCTAAGAAAAATAATGATCAACAGAATGTTGGAATTTCAGGTTCCAAATAAAAATAATTGCATTTTAATATGTTTAATATAAAAATAAGGCACATGGAATCTTAAAAATGATCATGTAGATTTGAAAAAGAACCAAATGGAATTTTTAGAAGTAACACATCAAATAACTGAAATAAAAACTGAATGGATAAATTAGATACAGCTAAAGAGAGAACTCGTGCAATGACAGAGTTGAAGAAATTATTCACAATGCAGCACAGATGAACAAAATGATTTTAAAGGATTGAAAATATTAAAGCGAAAGTGATGCAGAATATGGGATGAAAACATTTTACTTATACCTAATCAGAGTTATGGCAAGAGAGGTGAAAGAAATGTATGAGAAATTCAAGACAGAACGGCTGAAAATTTTTCAGAACTGACAAAGTACACCAACTGTCATATTCCAAGAGCCTAAGGAATCTCAAGCAGGATAAACAAGAGGAAATTTATATGTGGACAACAAAATAAAATTACATAACATTGAAGACAAGGAGTTATTAAAACCAGCTATGGAAAGTATTCCCAAAGGAATGACACTTAGATTAACAGCTGGCTTTTCAACCCATAATGCAATCCAGAAGACTACAAAATGATCTAATGCTCTGAAAGGAAAAAATATATTAAAATAGAATTGTATACCCAATAAAATTAACTTCCAGGAGCAGAGTAAAGATATTTTCATCCTAGCAAAATCAGAGTTTTCTATTAAAAGACCATTAAGAAAGAAAATTCCAAGTGATATCCTTCAAGCAGAGAAAATAAATGATCCCAAATGAAAGTACAGTTTTCAAGGAGAAAAGATAAGCAAAAAAAATCCTAATAAATATACAGTCAAAACTCAGTGGAAATTTACTTAAAAAATAATTGTCTAATTTGTGGGATCAGTAAAAAATAAGATAAAATTAAAATGTAAGTGAGGCAGGAGAATTGCTTGAGTCCAGGAGTTCAAAACCAGCCTGGAAAACATAATGAGACCCTGCCCCTATTTTTTTTCAGTAAAAAAATTTTTTTCTTTAAATTAAACAAATTAAAATATAGGAAGAAAATAGGAAATAAGCTAGGGTTGAAATGATCAAAATTAAAATAGTCTAAGTTCCTTATATTATTTTTGAGAAGGGTAAAATATTAACTTTGTATTTTAAAAAATAATTATTTATATTAAAATGTTCAGGTGGTTACTAAAAGTATATACATAGAGTATACAACTTCCAACTTAGAAGAGAATAAAAAGAGAATGAGCAAAAGAGAAATATGATTAAAACCTTAAAAAAGGCAAGGAAAGAGGAAAAAAAGGAAACAGAATTGGAAGGACAAATGAAAAGCACAAAATAAGGGAGCATAAATAAATCCAAACCGGGTCGGGCACAGTGGCTCACGCCTGTAATCCCGGCACTTTGGGAGGCCGAGGCTGGTGGATCACGAGGTCAGGAGATCGAGACCATCCTGGCTAACATGGTGAAACCCCGACTCTACTAAAAATGCAAAAAATTAGCCGGGCGTGGTGGCGGGTGCCTGTAGTCTTAGCTACTCGGGAGGCTGAGGCAGGAGAATGGCGTGAACCAGGGAGGCGGAGCTTGCAGTGAGCTGAGATCCCACCACTGCACTCCAGCCTGGGCGACAGAGCAAGACCCCATCTCTAAATAAATACATAAATAAATCCAAACCAATCATTAATCTCAATAAGTACACAAGACTAAACAACCCAGTTAAAAAACAAAGATTTTTAGAGCGGATTAAAAAAATGTGACGGCTGTAACAATTCTTAATAACTATTTACTTAATAATGTGGCTTCAAGACATATAAAACAAAAACTGATAAACTTACACAGAGAAACAAACAAAAATCCACCTTTATCTTTTTTCCATTAGTCATAAGACAGAAAATAAGTAACTGTGCAGTTGATCTTCCAAGTGTAATTAACAAACTTTATCTAATGGATAAATAATATACTGCATCCAATACTTGGAAAACACACATCCTTTTTGTTTCAGTTTTTATTGCTGCCATAACAAATACCACCAAATCAGCAGCTTAAAACAACGCAAACTTATTATCTCAAAGTTTTATAGGTCAGAAATCCGTACAGGTCTCACCAGGCTAAAACCAAGGTACCAGGACTGTTTTTCTTACTCAGAGCTTTGGGGGAGAATCTGCTCCTAGCCTAATGTAGATTGTTGGCAGAGTTCAGTCCCGTGCAGTTGTAGGACTGATGTCCCTGTTCCTGCTGGCTGTTGGCCTGAGGTTGTTCTAAGCTTCTAGAGGTCACTTCACAACCCTTCGCTCATAGAGCCCTATGTCTTCAGAGGTAGCAATGGTGTTTGAGTTCATACACTCATCTCTCTTGTCTTCTCTTCTGTCACATCTCTGATTAGCAGAAGACGTTTCTCCATTTTCACAGGCTCATATATTTAGATTGGGCCCATCTGGATAATCTGTGATAATCTCCCCATTTCAAGGTCTGTAATCTTAAACACATCTACAAAGTTTTTATGTGTGGTATATATTATAACATAATTACATATTCCAGGCATTAGGGCATAGGCATCTTTGGGAGATCATTATTCTGGCAACCACACTTTCCAAACTTACATAGAACGTGCAAAATTGTACTCACACATAATCATAAATAAACGTCTACAAAATTCATGTTCTGTGAGCAAAATGTAATTGTGTTACAAAGTAACAAAAGGATAATTAGAAAGCACCAAAAGTTTAAAAATTAAGAAATATAGTTCTGCATACTCATGGACCAAATAAGAAATCAATTACAAGTGGAATAAATAAAAGTAATCCATACCCAAACCTGTGAAGTATAGCCAAAGAACTACTTAGAGGCAAATTTATAGCTTTATATGGTCAGAGGAAGGTTTAAAAATATCTCACACTGTTATCTCTCTCAAGATGTTAGAAAAAGAAGAACAGAATAAACACCAACTAAACGAAAAAAAAATACTGAAGATCCTAGTGAAAATTAATGAAATAGAAGATAAATACTCAACAAAGAGGATCAACAAAGTCAAAGATTGGTTCTTTGAAGATAATTAATAACATTGACAAACCTTTAGCAGCATTGACCATTAAAAAATGATAGATGGCATAAATAAATGTAATTAGGAATGAAAATGGAGACATAAATACAGGAGCAGCAGAAATTTAAAAGATAATGAACAGCCTGATTATTAAATATATGCCAATAAAATTGCAAACTTAGATAAAATGGACAAACTTCCAGAAAAATAAACTTACCAAAACCAAAAACAAACTCAAAAAACATCTTAAATAGTTTTATAAACCTTCCAGAAATTCAATTGATAGGTAAGGTCTATATAAAGAAAACACCAGGCCCATTGGTTTTTCAGAGAAGTTCTGACAATTATTTACGGTTCAAATAAGTATACTTTTACTGAAATAGAAAATAGAGCAAAGTATAGGTGGGAAATTCCTTAATATTACAAGGAGTACTTATACATAATTTACAGTAAATATCATACTTATTTGTGAAAGATCAAGAGCAAAATAGTGATATCCTCTTACGTACCATTTTTATATAACGCGTTCCTGAAGGTCTTCCTAGCTAACAAGGCAAGAGAAAGATATGCTAAAAAGTTTAAGAATGAAAAAATGCTCCTAAATGGTGTTGGTTTTTGTACACAGAAAAGCTTATCTAAGAAATTATTAATATTAACAAAAATATAGTGGGTTTCTAACAAATCAATGTAGAAGTCAATTTTATTTCTCTATACAAGCAACAAATTTAGAAAACACAATTTTAAAAAGATAAAATCTGTGAAAATAGCAAGGATATAAAGGTTTTAGAAATGAATGCAACCAAAAAGTGTGTAAGCTCTTTATACCAAAAAGTATTAAAGTTTATTAAAAGACAATTTAAAATAAATATGGGGGTATTCTATATATGTGAATAAGAAAATTAATGTATTATATATGTCAATGCTCCCAAATTGACCTGTGTAGATGCAATACAATTCCAATAAAAAAGTAACTCATAAAAAAGGTAGTGGGATGAATGATTATCCATATGGAAAAAAATTTAATTTGAATCCTTGCTTCATAGCATACACAAAATGAATCCCAGGTGGATTAAATACTTAAATATGAAAGGCAAAACTATGATTATTTTAGAAAACAACACAGGGGAAGATCTTTATAAATCAGAGACAGGAAAAATTTCTTTTACAAAACTCTAAAAACATGCATTCCATAGTGGAAAATATATGTTTAAATCACTTCAAATTAAAAAGTTTTCATCAAAGTCACTATAAAGAAAGTGAAAGGCAATTTACAAAGGATTAGAATCCAGACTCTAGGAAAATCTCAATGAAATACCACTTTACACTCTCAGGATTAAGAAACATTAAAAATCTTGAGATATTGGCAAGGATGTGAAACAATGGAAACTCATATCTTTTCGGTGGGAGTGTAAGTGGTACAGCCACTTTAAAAGACAATTTATTGCGGCATTATTCACAATAGCAAAGACTTGGAACCAACCCAAATGCCCAACAATGATAGACTGGATTAAGAAAATGTGGCACATATACACCATGGAATACTATGCAGCCATAAAAAATGATGAGTTCATGTCCTTTGTAGGGACATGGATGAAATTGGAAATCATCATTCTCAGTAAACTATCGCAAGAACAAAAAACCAAACACCACATATTCTCACTCATAGGTGGGAATTGAACAATGAGAACACATGGACACAGGAAGGGGAACATCACACTCTGGGGACTGTTGTGGGGTGGGGGGAGGGGGGAGGGATAGCATTGGGAGATATACCTAATGCTAGATGACGAGTTAGTGGGTGCAGCGCACCAGCATGGCACATGTATACATATGTAACCAACCTGCACATTGTGCACATGTACCCTAAAACTTAAAGTAAAATAATAATAATAATTAAAAAAAAGACAATTTTGAACTTCAAAGTAAAGTTACAGATCGCATACCCTACTGTCTGGCATTGTATGCCTCGGTATATACACCAGCAGTGGTTCTCAAAGGGAAGGTCAGTGGACCACGTGCATCAGAATCAACAGGGAGGCTGCAAGATGCAGATTCCTGGACTCCATCTCAGAAGGAGTCAGAATTCTCAGGGATGAGTCTGCGACGTTTGTAGGTGTTCCAGGAAATTAAAAGGCATGCTGAAATTTGAGATCTACTGCCCTAAGGCATCTCTAGCACGGAGGTAGTGTGAGACACATACAAAATATTCTATAGCAGCACTGCCTAAAAAAACAAAGGAAACTACCCAAATATGCAGCAATGTAGAATAGGTAAATAAATAATGGTAAATTCACACGTTTTAAAACCATATAGCAGCAACATGCATCCACAGGGTAAATCTCAGGAACATAATAACATGGGAGGAAAAGCAAAGAAGACCTACAGTATCCTTATATTTATACTAAATACAAAAACATGCAAAATCAAACAATATGTAATCATATGACTTAGGGATACATGCGTATAAAATTCAGGGATTATATAAGGAATAATAAAAATAAATTTAAAATAGAGGTTTCCTCTGTAAGAAGGAAAGGTTGAGCAGTAAGAAGGATCACACAGGGCTTTTGGGGATACTGGTAATTTTATGAATGAGTATTCATTTCATTATTTTTCTTTACATCTTACACATATGATATAAATATATTTTTATATGTATTCAATATTTAATACAAAATTTTTTGAAAGAAAAAAAGGATAGTTGAAGAGATGTTGGTTAAAAGTTGATTGCTTACATAGCAAACAGTTGTTAATGCCTCTGAAACTGTTTTTGACAGCTCTTTAAAATATTACAGATGGGCACGGTGGCTCATACCTGTAATCTCAGCACTGTAGGATGCTGTGGCGGGAGGATCGTTTGAGCTTAGGAGTTCGAGACCAGCCTGAGCAACATGATGAAACCCCATTTCTACAAAAAATACAAAAATTAGCCAGGTGTGTTGGTGCACACCTCTGGTCCCAGCTACCAAGAGGCTGAGGTGGGAGGATCATTTGAGCCAGGGGGGTCAAGGCTGCCACGAGCCATGATTGTATCACTGCACTCCAGCCTGGGTAACAGAGTCAGAGCCTGTCTCAAAAATTTAAAAAAATAAATTCTTACTGACTATTGCTGCTCATCAATTTTGCCTCTAGGGCAGAAATTATGGAAAGGGAAAGCCAGTGGGGAAGAGGCAGAGAGAATAATTTTGCAACATTTTGACAACTGGCATTTTGGAAAACATCTCTTAAGTTTTCAAACAACTATATTGATCTGTCAATGCTTCAGGCAATTAAGGAGAGTTCCTAGAGAGGGTGAGCCATGTATGATTACGTGTGCCCTGTCTATTTTTGATCACACTGACCAGGAGCAAGCCAAGTGCCAAGCAGTTAATAGGATGTTCTCAAAGACCACCTTTCCCATCGTGCCACCTGCCGTACTCCTTCAAAATAAGATAAATATTTTCGTAAAGTGTCCTCTGACACCACTGAAGCCATGTATTCCAAGCTATTTGTGTCCTGCTAAATAATGTGGCTTCTCTATATTTCTGATTTAAAGAAGACACATTGAAATTCCATAAAACCCTACAATCTCCAACACGGACTTGGCTTCTGAGTTGCAGTTTCAAAATAACTCTCTGTGGAGCTTAAGTAGGTCTATTCAAAGCTGATAGAGTTGTGAGACTTGATTTGTAGGTAGCATTCCAAAGATGCCCACCCGTTTCATTATGATGAAAAAGATGAAGTCCCAGAGAAAGGGATGCAGCAAAAAATTCACATTAAAATAATTCTTGAAAATAATTCACACAATTACAAATGCATTCGACAAAAGGTTGGAAGCTGATCCAAGCTTAGAAAGAAGCCTGACAATTCACCAAGGGTATAGAAAAGATGCCTGCTTCATATGGCAAGTAGCGTGGTGAAAGAAGAGAAGCGCTTTTCAAACTACTTTTGATAAGTTTCTTATAAATAAAGTACTTTAATTCTCAATGTTTCTCATGTTTTAAATTACAGTGTACTAAATACATATTAGTTTTACTATTTTTTGATTTCCTTATATGTTTATAATTGATAGTATGATCAATTTTAGCGCTTTGACAAAAAATTCTTAAAAGTCAAAAATCAATCATATATTTTTTTACAGTTATTAAGAATACTTTGTGGGGTTACAGCTTCTTGGTCATTTTTGTAGTTCTGCTCTGCCATGCTAAGTAGGGATTGCCCGTATAGCATGTTGATTTTGCATATGTGTTTCACTTAAGGAATTTCAATGTAAGGGAAAAAAAACATTTTTAATTCGGTTTGTTTTCCTTAGGCTTTATATTCTTTAGGAGGCAGTTTTGCCTATGACAAGTTGATTAAAACTAAGTAAGCTTATTAATATCTAAAAGGACTGTTAACTGTAGAAAAATAGTTTCTTTATTGAAGGGTTGTCGGCACGTCTAATTTATTAGCTTTGTCATCGTCTGTGAGTGAGAACATAAATCTTGTTTAGTGATCAAGATGAAAAACACTTGGAATACCTACCATAGCAAAATTCTCCACATACTTTCCAAAGATAAACACATACATCACCTTAGGCTCCTAAGTGGGAAAGTTTGATTACCTACATCCAAAAATATGAAACCCTATTATAGATGTCACATGAATGAAAACTGCACAGCAGAACTTTCCATTGATAATAGCACTATGATTCCAAAAGTGGGCTAAAAATTCAAAATGCCAACAAAAATAAACAAGCAAAATGCCTTTAAATATCTAAAATAGTATAAAATGTGACCAAACATGGTCGTCTTAGAAATAAGAGCTAAAGGGTGGTGTTTACTCAAAAAGTTAGGGGCATCAGGTCTTTGGGATGAATTTGAGGTCTTATTAGTGAGTCAGTCATGTCCAATTCAAACTAGCTTGAGAAACGCAGGAATAGGAATTTATTGGCTCAACGTACAGGGGCTGTAACTCAGGCATGGCTCACTCCAGGTTCTCCACACCGCCTGCAAATTTGCACGTCTCCATCTCTCAGCTCTGCTTTCCTTTTCGGTGGCTCCCCTCTCAAACAGGCAAGATAATTTCTGAAAGTTCCAGACCTGCATCCTCTGGCTTAGCAACTCCAGCCAGAAGAGAGCTCTTCTATTCATACGGGAACGCCCAGAGTTTCAAGACTGACTCACGGCCCCGGGTGCGGTGGCTCACGCCTATAATCCCAGCACTTTGGGAGGCCGAGGTGGGCGGATCATTTGAGGTCAAGAATTCGAGATCAGCCTGGCCAACATGGTGAACCCCGTCTCTACTAAAGATACAAAAAATTAGCCGGGCGTGGTGGCATGTGCCTGTAATCCCAGCTACTCAAGAGGCTGAGGCAGAAGAATAGCTTGAACCCGGGAGAGGGAGGTTGCAGTGAGCTGAGATCGCATCACTGCACTCCAGCCTGGGTGACAAGAGCGACAATCCATCTAAAAAAAAAATAGCCAGGCGTGGTGGCACATGCCTGTAATCCCAGCTACTCGGGAGGTTGAGGCAGGAGAATCGCTTGAACGCGGGAGGTGAGGTTGCAGTGAGCCAAGATAGCACCACTGCATTCCAGCCTGGGCGACACAGCGAGACTCTGTCTCAAAAAAACAAACACAAAGACAAAATAACAACAACAAAAAAACCCCCTGACTTTTGGCTCGTTGGATTAGCACTGGTGTCTCTACAACTAGAACATATGCCCATCCTGGGGCTGGAGAGGAGGACAACATGAGCTCTTGCAAACCACACTGGCTGGCTGTGTGAGGGGTTGGTTTCCCCTGAAAGAAATCTGGGATCTCCAAGAGCAGGATAAATAAAAAACAGGGCAGGTAAAAGGGACAGATGATCATAACGGAATGACACAGAGCTTGAGAGTTTGAAAGATTTTCGAGATTAAATTCTAGGCTAAGTTCTACCAAGAAGAGATCTAGGTTACAGCCTTCTGCAAGGCAATGAATCCATTTCTGCTTTTCTTCCCACGTGGCCAGAAAGTTAATTCTGTGGATGAACAATTCCGGATGTTTGAGTTTTTATACTGTTGTTCAAATCTACCTTGCTGCAGTTTCTACTGTGGGCCCAAGTTCTATCTCCAGGAACACCAGAGTAGCAAATACTTAGTCCTTGAACACAGCTACTATCATCCTTCCCACCAGGGTTCTGAAGGCTGCCTCCCCACCGCACACACATACACAGCCAGAGGAAGATTAACTGTGAAGCGGTCACAGTTCAGGCTTCAGGGCCTCTCCCCACTGCAAGCCCATGGGTGCTGAGAGTTAGAGAGATTCCTAGGAGGGGAGGGGAAGCCAGGCTCCCACCAGGAAGCCATTTCTGCCTACATATCTCTGGTAAACTGCCTAGAGCTCTCAAAAGGAAAGTGACCTCAATCCTTAAGTCTCCAATGATTTATTGTGATCTGTTTTCTCATTCAAAATAAGCAGTCAAATTCCCATTTACTTTGGTCATTGTAATTTTGCATTCATTTTCTTGAAGGAGATTCTCCCCTTCTCACTCCTACTGTATTATACCAGGTTTAGACCCCACAAAACCTGGATCTGCCACTGTATAGAGCCTTTCCCCTTTCTCTTCTGTCCTTTTAATGCTGTAGCTTCCAGGTATTTTTCTATCTAGAGCAGCCTCCAGCTTTTTAAAGTTGGATGTCTAGAGCTGGAAAAAATGCCATGGATATGCTTTGGCTTGCAGAGTCAGGCAGGATCTCATTCTCTTCTCCTGGTGCCTGTGGTTCCATTAATGCAGGCCTGGGTGGTGACAGCCTCACTTTCACAGCACGTGCCTCACATGGCTTGTTCATTTCATCTGGGGTCTGTGCGGAACAGTAGCTCTTCTTCACTCTCTACTGTTTTGAGTACAGGTTTTGTAGTTAATGGATAGGTAACCAATTGTCAAGGTTGGTTGGAATTATTACTTCTAATGTGGCCATCATTGCCTGCTTTGAGGGACAAAATTTTAAATGTAACACAAATGTCCAGAATGCAGGTTTTTGAGGAAAAGGAAAAATGAAATCTTACTTGAATCCATCCTGTCTGTCATCCACATCATTTTGGTGTAACTTTGTCAGAGTGTTTATAAGTGAACATGTTTTAGCCAGGCATTTGTAGAGACTGACTCATAAAATGAAAATCCAAATGGAATGTAAGCACCCCTGAATGTACCTTCACCTTTTAACTTTTTTTTTTTTTTTTTTTTTTTTTGAGATGGAGTTTCGCTCTTGTTCCCCAGGCTGGAGTGCAATGGCTCGATCTCAGCTCACCGCAACCTCCGCCTACCGGGTTCAAGCAATTCTCCTGCCTCAGTCTCCCGAGTAGCTAGGATTATAGGCATGTGCCACCATGTCTGGCTAATTTGGTATTTTTAATAGAGACAGGGTTTCTCCATGTTGGTCAGGCTGGTCTCGAACTCCCCAACTCAGGTGATCTGCCTGCCTCGGCCTCCCAAAGTGCTGAGATTACAGGCGTGAGCCACCATGCCTGGCCTTAACATTTTTTTAGTGTGACTATCCAGTAGTAGTTTCTATATAGTTAACATCTATTAGTGATATTTAGATTTTTAAATTTGTGTTATTTCCAAACCGTATATAGAGCTGATGAAAACGGAGCTTCAAGTATTTAACAAATGAAGTTTCTCTGCCATATAATATAATTTATATGCATGGAAGCACTAAAGGAGTGAATTGAAGTGGATTTGTACTCATTTCAGTATGGCCCTTTGTTGTGGCATTATTGGAAACACCACTATGTTTTCTCCACATATGCTGAGTGAGTAAGCGTTCATATAGCACAGAGGCAGCAAATAGGTTTAAACAAGTAAGCAACTTTTAATTACTGGTAGTAACTGGAAGCTTTCTGATAAGAAAGATTCTGAGGCCAGGTCTAAATGCATCAAGAGGTCTGTGATCAATTAGCATTGCCTGTGATGAGCACAAGAAGCAGAAGTGGCAGCATTCATATTTTATGTTTGCCAGCTGGGATCAACTAGTTTATAAACCCCTTGAGATTAAAGACCTAATTCATGTGTTACATGGCATTTGGCAAGTAGAAATTCAAGATTATTGAATGAAAGATCATGGAGTTTTGCCAACTACCATTATGCTTTGTAAAATGCATACAATAAAGGCTCAGTTAGCCAAAATCCAATTAATTACAATCTCAAAATATTAGATTTTCCATTTCCAGAATCTAATAAGAAAAAGAAACAAAACCAAAACCTATATATTTAGAAACTAACCTTCAGGGTTTCAGTCCAGATTAATGAATGCAATTAATTGCCTAGTCTTTCTGGATCCACAATCCTAGTTCTTATACAACAATGAGTGATGCTCAGAATTTCAGTGTAGGGTGAACCCTCAGTTATCAATTTTCAAAATCACCAGACTATACTTATTAAGTTTAGGAAGTGGGCCCAAACACTTCAAACAGTAAAGTTTTATCTGTTTTTATTTTATTGTGTAAAAGAGAAGAGCCTCTTGTTAGATAAATGCTCACAAATGGTGAACTTCTTTACTAGATTGTAAGCTCCTAAAGGGTTCCAAATGTTTGATGATGTTTGATTTGCCGCTATATTCCTGCATCACCTAACACTGTTCCTCAAATATTGTGCTGCTCAGAAAGTGTTTGATGTAAGAACGAATGAATGAATGAACAAACAGATTTTTCTTGGAATCTTCCTTCTGCCCCTTTGCCTTTAAGGATTAATGTGAGCATTTTCCTCCCTTTCCTCCTTACTGTGATATGTGAGGTATCTTGGGTCTGGGCCATGGCTACACTTTTCAGAGCTAATGAAGAAAGCATTGCCAGGCATGGTGTCTCATGCCTGTGATCACACCACTTTGGGAGGCTGAGGTGGGAGGATCACTTGAGCCCAGGAGTTCAAGACCAGCCTGGGCAGCATAGGAAGATCCTGTCTCTACAAAAAAAATTATAAATTAGCCAGATGTGATGGTGTGTGCCTATAGCTCCAGGTACTAGGGAGGCTGAGGTGAAGGGATCACTTGAGCCCAGGAGTTCAAGATCAGCCTGGGCAGCATAGGAAGATCCTGTCTCTACAAAAAAATTATAAATTAGCCAGATGTGATGGTGTGTGCCTATAGTTCCAGGTACTAGGGAGGCTGAGGTGAAGGGATCACTTGAGCCCAGGAGTTTGAGGCTGCAGTGAGCCATGATTGCACCACTGCACTCCAGCCTGGGTGACAGAGCAAGACCCTGTCTCTTTCTAGAAAAGAGAAAAAGCATTGGCAGTTGAGTGGGGCCTGAAGTTCACAGACTCTGGTTTGAGGCCTATATTTTGCTTCCTCTTTAAATTTCAGTTTACTCATCTGTACAATGGAAATAGCACTACTTTCTTCTTCTTAAATTTGCCACGAGGATGAAATAAAATAAAAATTATGAAAGTCCTTTGAAAATGATGACATCTCCATAAAAACAGGAGACATTAGGTCTCCTTACAATTCTGCAACTAAGTAACAACATGGCTTTGGGCACATCCCTCCATCCTTCTCACTCTCAATTTTCTCATCTTTAAACGGAGAGGGTTGAATGACATGCTCTCTAGTGCACTTTCAACTCCCAATGTTATGTACACACAGCTGGGGCTCTCCGCTCTGGAGAGAGGAAAGAGCGGGGCTGAACCAAGCTATTTCCTGAAATGACTTAGACAAGCCATTCAATGCTCTTTGCCCATTTACAAGAAGCAGCCATTTGAGGCTACCAACTTTCATTCTGGAGAATGGGCCAGAGAAAAATGCACTTTGGATGATCAAGAGCCCTCCATTTGGTCCTCATAGAGCTTCATTTGGGAGTTTGAGAAGTTCAGAAGCCAAAGAGGTGCTAACAGGAAAGCGAAGAACATTGATGATTTTAGGCTCCTACTGACTCAGGTAACCTGTTAGGCATTGTAAGCATATTAACTCATTTAGGCTTCACAACAATTTTTCAAATTAACTATGATAGCCATTTCCCAGAAAAGAGCTCACTAACATTTGGAGATGTTGCATAACTCATGGAAAGACTGAAACTCGGGGCTGTTTGGCTCCCATTGTTTTCCTTATATTATTCCACTCCTAAGGTACCCAAACCACAGAGCGTTCTGAAGCAAAATTGCCTGTGGATCTGGAGGCAAAGACTGTGGCAGTGTCTACAAACCTCTGTATGCAGGAAACACAAGGAGGAAAACAAATAAACACCAAGGGCTTCCTGGAGATGCTGAGAACTGACCCTGGCGAGCATCTACCTCTGATGTAAAATACATGTGGCCAATGGCATGCACCTGCACCTCGGGCTTTCAGGTGCGATGCTGCGGCAGGTAGGTTCTTTTCCAAACACTTCTCAAGGTGTGGATCTGCTCAGATACCCACTTTTCCAGGCTGCAGCCTTCCATGTTCACAGTCCTGCTGCCAAATCCCCAGAGGGAATTTCTAAATTACTCAATTCCCTATGCCTGTATTTATATCTTAATGATAGGACATTAAGATGCAAATTAAACAGAAACTTAGTAAGCAAATCATGTCACTTTCTAATGGATACATCAATAAAGGCATGAACAGAGGCACCACACTGTTGCCAAGCCCCGAGGAAAGATTTCAAAGGCCCACCTGCAAGCCCCAGGCATGCAATGTGTTAGAAATTCTATCTGGCCAAAGTATTTATGGTCAGGGCTTTTACCCCACCCCAGTAGCTGAACTTTTTGATGCTATCCTTTCACCCCCTTTCAATGCTGACTTGGCTCTGCAGATGTGCAGGTTCCCAAAGGTGTTGATGTTCTTTGCCGGTGTGGTTTACAAGGTTACAAAGGGGAACACAAACCCCTCGGAGTAAAACACTCAAACCACCAAAACATGGCTCAATTTCTGCTCTACATTTTTACTGTTGCCATTTGTCTCCTTTTTCTGTTTTCCTGTTTTTTCCTCTCAACAATTGCCTGTGATCCCCTAAACTAAGGTTTTTTGTTTGTTTGTTTAGGCAGAACTTGCCCATATAAAAAGCTACTTTATTATCAAATCATTGGCTTCTACAATCAAATTTACTTTAGCTGCCATATCTTAGAAGGTCAAGTTGTATATCATACATTTCAGCATCTTGGACACTTAGCCAAGGACTGGTACAGAAAACAGTAGAAGCTTAATAAAATGCTTGGCCGGACGCAGTGGCTCATGTCTGTTATCCCAGCACTTTGGGAGGCTGGGGTGGGCAGATCACTTGAGGTCAGGAGTTCGATACCAGCCTGGCCAACGTGGTGAAACCTCATCTCTACTAAAAATACAAAATTAGCCAGGCGTGGTGGCACACACCTATAATCCCAGCTACTTGGGAGGCTGAGGCAGGAGAATCACTTGAACCCAGGAGGTGGTGGTTTCAGTGAGCCGAGATGACCTTGCCACTGCACTCCAGCCTGGGTGACAGAGCAAGACTCTGTCTCAAAAAAGAAAAGAAAAAGCTTAATGAAATGTTTGGTGGAGAAATATTTTAATCCCCTAATTTATCATCAAATTCTTACTAAGATGATTGTGCTCTTGGAAGGCCAGAAGCTCTGGGTTCTGGTCATAACTCTGTCCCTAATTAGCTGTGTGATCTTGGGAAAATTATAACCCCTCTCACTGGGTCTTGCTTTCTCCATCTACAGAATGACCAGGGAGGTGGCCTCTGTAGTCCCTTCATTAATTTGGGTGAGGACAGGATTCAGGTCTGTCATGTTCATTTTTGCAAAAATCTAGATCTGTAGGATCTAGCACACATCTGAAATATAGCAAGCTCTCCATGAATATTTGCTGAAGGAAAACATTCAGAATGCTGTAATGCTAAATTTTAAATTGATGTCAAGGTGTACTTTAAACTTGTATTTGCTGTTAAAAACCAAACAAAACAGTTCCTGATTGCTTCAAGTTTTTGTGGTTTCTTTCTACCCAGGACTCAGGTGTTTTCTGCACAACTCTTGGAAGCATTGAGTCCTTTCATAAGCAAAACTCCACACCTACTTTCAAGCAGACTCACTGCCCTCCTGGGGTGTTTCTCACCAAACCAGACACAAGTGGTAGGGTTTTACAGGGCAGCAAAGACATGGTGCCCATGTGAGGAATTCAAGTTCATTCATCTCAAAAAAAAGTATTTATTGGATACCGAGTGACACCTTACATGTAACATTAGTATGGGGCAAAGGCAATACCAAGAAAGCCTTGGAAGCCAAGGATCCAGAAAAGGCTCATCTGCATCACACAACCCCTAGATCATATTTTTAGAGATTGTTTCAATGTTGGTCACTTTTTCTGAAGTCCTTCTAGTGTTTACAGTAAGTTTATACAAACTGACACATGTACTGTTTAATTTAGCTCCTGATCTTTTTATTGTTTTCTTGTTTCTTGTTTATATTGTTTATTATTTTTCATTTATTTATCTAAGTTGGGGACTTTTAAAGTCAGGGTCCAGAGATAGGTTTCCAAATGGTGGTGGTGGGGGGCATGAGTACTGAGAATTATGCATGCACAAATTTTTATGTGATGTGCGTTTTTCTGTGAGAGCATTCATAGCTTTTAACGGATTTCAATGGATCTGTGACCCCCAATACATTAAAAGCCACGTGAATTTATATCTCCAACTCCACTTCAGCCAGAATCATGCTTTCTAACGCCTCCCTTTCCCTCAGTATCTAACCTTGTGGTGGGCATCCAATATTCCCCCAGACCATTCTTGCTACTGCAAGCTCTGGGAAGGGTTGTTTGATATTGAAAAGACATCTTTATTGGAGAAGATAGCCCCATGAGTCTCCCTCTAGTTCTTCAGACTGTTCAAGTTGATTGTACAAAGATTCAAATCTACCAAGTGAAATGAAACTCCAAGAAAGCTAGCAAATGCCAACTTCTCATATTCCCTTAAATACTGAGGAATAAGGGGGACTTTTTGTTGGGAATAATATTAGAATCTGCAGAATGCCTTCTTACCAGATTTTACAATGTATGTGGGCAAAGGACTTGGGTTAAAGGCCTGGGACGACCAGGTAGACTGCTGAAACTGAACAAAATATTGAATCCAAGAACTTGGATGCAGTAGTGGGCTGGTGAAGTGGAGGAGAGGGCATCTGTGATAGAAGAATCATGGCCAGTGAGATCTGCCTAGGGTGGTCATGCAGAGTGAATCAACAAGCACACGAAGGACTCCAGACAGGTGGCCCACATCTCTTGTCTTCAGAGTTTCCATAGCCAATAGAATTATGCACAGAATGGTGCACTCTCTTTTTCTCTTTTGTAGTGTAAATTATGATTTCAGGAAAGGAATCCAAGGCTATTCTTGGAGGAAAACCTGTAGACAACAATATCTTGTAGAAATGGTAGTATGATTTTCTCACAAAGGAGAGGAGAGCACTCTGGAGAAAAACCTGGACTTCAAGGTGGGGGTAGACTTGGCAGACAGAAGAAACAGGAGTTGTTCAAGGTCAGCTCTCTACCTAGCTGATCCTCTATCTTTAATTCAGGGTCTTTAACCCACACTATTTATAAAATCTAATAGGAAGGAGTCTGGGCATTCTGGCTTCATTCCCAGCAAGGTCCTCGGTCCCTCTGCTTGGTTCGCTCCTCTGCTTCCCTCACTTCCTTAGTTCCTGGGCCTACCTGGCTCCTGACCTTTTGACTTCATTTCCCACTCCTGGTTCTGCTCCTACCTCTTGGGAATTATGACATACTTGGCTAGTCCAGTTTTTCAACCAACTTTGACTGTGTGCATTCTCTTAAGGACATGGTGGGGTCCTGCCAGCTACTCTGTTTCCTGCCATTCCATCCAGGAAAGGCAAGGGCACTTGGCAGAGCCCCCCGTGAGTGATGAGGCTCCTATTGGTCAAAAGGGATTCAGAAGAATCTGAATAATTTGAGGGTAGGCTACAACTTTGCGATGTCAAAAAATAAAGTGGCCTAGAATGTTACGGATAGATGTATATCAATTAGCAATTAGCAAGCAAATTCTGTTGGAATATGTATCCTTTGGTAGTTCCACCCCATCTCATCCTCCACCACAAACACACAAAGCCATGCTATTAAATTAATGACAGCTCTATCTTCCAAGTATTTGGAAGTATTTCCATCTTACAATGGAAGAAAATATAGTAAACATGACATTTCTACAAGCCAGGATGCTTAGGATGTAAGGAATTCTGAATATCTGAAATTTCTAGTAGAACTTCTGGTTGGAGATACACATTCTCTATCCTTTGATACAATAAATATATTTTAAATAATTTACTCTGAGAATACAATTAAAGATGTATAGATATTGCAACATGATGTGTATAGTAATGACTTTATGCACAGTGAAGAACTGACATACATATGACACACCTGTTAGGCATGGGAGCCAGTGGAGAGCATAACGCCATTTATGTCACTTTTTGAAAGTTTGGCAGGGTTGTGCAATCAGTCATGCTTGAAGGGTGATAATGGATCTTTTCGTTGGGTTCCTCTCATTCCCTGCCTTCACACCCTGATCTTTACTCTTGCTTCCTGTGATTGCACTCACGAACAAAAGTGTAGCACATAAGCCCTTCTCGGGTCTGCTTTCTGGGAAACCCAGGCTACAACAAAGAATGCAGGAAACTAGTGGTTCTCAGTGGCCTTTGGGTAGGGGTGTGTGTGTGTGTGTGTGTGTGTGTGTGTGTGTGTGTGTGTCTGTGTGAGAGAGAGAGAGAGAGAGAGAGGGAGAGAGACAGAGAAAGAGAAAGAGAGAATTTTGTAGGGAATTGAGAGAGAACAGGTTTTTTCTCCCATTTTGCCTGTCGCATCTCTCCTCTTTCTCCTCTGTATTAGTCAGGGTCCAATCAGGAAGTAGAAACACCACCAATTGTTCAAACAGATAAATCTTAATATAAAGATGTGTTAACTAGTAAAGGTGGTTAACTAGGAAAAAGAACAAGATGAACCCTAACGGGTTTAGAAGTAGCACGTTCATAGAGCAATAAGAAGAAGGAACTAAGAACTTACCCCCTGCAAGAGGAAAAGTCAGCCTGACGGTGGTAAAGACCCTTGCCAGAAGTTGTGGGCCAGAAGTGGGCTGTAGGAGCAGCTTTCCAGGTGCTGGAGAAACTCACCAGAGGCTGCAGATGGGAGCTGGTCCATAGCAATGGTCCGTGGATAGTGAAGACATTTGCTGGAGGGTGCAGACTGGCAGAGCTTGTGCACACAAGATACTGAGCTGAGCAGTGCCCAGCTTCCTTCACACTGCTCTGCTGGCTCCGAGGCCATGAACAGGAAGGGTAACTCCTTCCTTCTGTTTGGCCTTGAATGCTCACTCCAGACCCTCTCTTTAACAAGCTTAACATTAAGCCAGCTGGAAAAAGAGAAATGTTTACAGGACCCAGCTCCAGTATCAAGTGCAGAGCAGAGATAAATAAATTTGAAGTTGAGAGGTAATAAAAGGGTGACTGGCACATTCACCTTCTCTGTGTAAACTTTAAACTCAAAAGCATGAACAGCACTCATTCTATAATGGCAAGTTTAAAAATGGGAAATAAAAAATATGCTATATAAATAAAATACCAGTGGTTACTATTTGATAATGCAACTACATTTTATTTCTCAGACTTATCTGTATTATTCACATTTTCTAAAAGAAAATGTGTATCTATTTTTATCTGGAAAAAAGGGTTATTTTAAAAGATTTTCAGCCCTGGCACGGTGGCTCATGCCTGTAATCCCAGCATTTTGGGAGGCCGAGGCAGGCAGATCACTTGAGGTCAGGAGTTCGAGACCAGCCTGACCAACATGGTGAAACCCCATCTCTACTAAAAATACAAAAAATTAGCAGGGCATGGTGGCGCATACCTGTAATCCTAGCTACTTCGGAGGCTGAGGCAGGAGAATCGCTTGAACCTGGGATGGGGAGGTTGCAGTGAGCTGAGATTGCACCTGAGTCCAGCCTGGGTGACAGAGCAAGACTCTATCACAAACAAACAAACAAATTTTCATTTATTACAGAGGTACTAAATTCTTTTAGTAAACGTGTGACCCATTATTAAGCAAACATACTGGTAAGTTTGAAAGGGGCGTATACACATCCATGGGTCTAAAGGACAGTGCTTTTGAGGACATGCCAAGCAGGCTTCAGCTGGATTATCCCAGAGTCTCTGTCCCTCCTGTAAGCTGGGCCAGCATTCACCCTTAAGCTTCTTGTCTACATCCCACATTAATCACATAACATAAAAGGCACAAACCAGTGGTTCTTGCTCTATAGTCAGAACTACTGATGCTGATGCCCTTGTAAATTTTTTGGTGCCTTGAACTCTAAAATCTGCTTACATAGATCTTTGCAACCTGTTTGTCTTTGCTTTGCCTAAAAGTTCTTGAATTTTGCATCTTCTTTCCTACCATTCCTAGGGAGCTTATCTGATCTCTCACCAATCTCCCTAGGCTTTGAAATTTAGCAACAGCAATATCAAATGACAGGTAGGTTCCCGCTGCCCTGCCTCTCCCATTTTATTCCTCAATCTTTCCCCCCTTCCTCTGGTCCTTTGTTCAGGACTCAATATCTTTGTCCATGCCAGTCCCCTGCTGAACTGGCCTTCCCTTCCTTTCAACCAGCTACCCCCGATAGTCCTTCAAGAGTCAGTTCAGGTGTCACTTTTCTAGAAAAACAACACCTGTAAAAGATCCTTGGTATACTTTTTTGCCTAGTGCATTCTGCATTATTTTGAAATTATTGCTTTAGGTGCCTTGCCTTCCAGGAAGATGGGCTCTGAGAGCATGTCGTCAGAGCTTCCTCTTGGCATCCTCAGTATTGAACACAAGCTGGCACAGAGTGGGCATTCAATACCTCTTGGTGGAACTAAAATGTCTCCAAATCCTGTCTTCCCAGTCCCTTCCCTGTCATGTGCACCCTGGCATGATGGCGCCTCTGTCAGAAGGAGAACCCCGGGCCAGAGGAGCCAGGGGAGGAAGTCTTATGTTCTGGTGTTAATGCCAGCTCCTTATCAAGCTTATATCAATGCACGTTAGGCAGATCTATAGAAACAGACACATATACTCCTAAAAAACAGATTTTCATTTAAAAATATAAGAACAGAAAAAAGCAGATATCACTCCTTCTAAGCACTGTAGGTGATATCTACAGGTTCCATCTGACACACTTAAGAAGCCAGGGGAGTGAGTGGGAGTGTTATTTCATAGCCATGTCCAAATATCCCTTCCCTTGCACTTTCACAAACTCTGCCTTCAGGCACAAATAATTATCCATCTATCACTTTCACCAAAAATATGTATGAACAGGTGAAGCTGAAATGAGATCATATGCCTTGAGTTCTCATTACCATACCGTCCATTTCCCACACTAGAGACACCATTGCTCACACAATGGCACATGCTCCTCTGGCCTCCACCCAAATTACAAAACCCGTTCACATATGTTAGCTCATTTGATCATCACCAAAATACCACGTGGGTAAGCAAGGTTCATTGATCAGGTTATTAGGAGCAAGGACCGGGGGTGGATGAATGTCACAGGTAGGTAATGTGCTCATAGTACCCATAGTACGCAGGCAGGATTCGGTCACATGAGCTGGTGAGGTTGCAGCTTCCCCTTTGTCTGTATTTGCTTCTCAGGGAAGTCTCCTTCACAGAACCATAGTCTGCTCCTAACACCTGCTGACATATGACACCCAATAGGTGCTTAATGAATAAATGAATGAGTAAATGAAAACTGATTTCTCTTTAAGTACCTTCTATTAAACTAGTTATATCAGCTCAGCCTGAAGGATATAAACCCTGGAGAAAAGAATTTTTAAATCTAGGCATAGCTAGGGCCCTTTGCAAGCTCATAGCAGAGGATAAAGGAAGCCGGAGAAACACATTTAACTCAGCCAGGTACAGCCTGTCCTACCAACTGCTTCCCTCTCTAGATAGTTCAATTCCCCTTCCCCCATCCATGACTCAAAGAGTTCCTTCATGTCCTTAATGTCAGACTCTAAATGTAAAGGTGACATCTTTTCTAATTGTCTATAGTGCACCCCGTGTGAGACCCATGCCAAGGGAGCTTCTGTCATTTTCTAAAGAAAGGACAGTAGAATGCAAACTCCCTAAATGCTCACCAAGCATTTGAGGACTTTGCATTCTCCTGCCCTTTCAAAGTTTTGTTGTTACTATTTTAGGGAAATTTAGATTTCCAGGCCTACATCTGGCTAGTCTTGCTTAATGGAATGTAAAATCCTGTTTCTAAGGTGATTATGATTATTCAAGATCTTTGTTCATTAAATGGAGGATCTTGATCTTAGAAAGAAAGAAAGAGCCTGGGTAAGGAGGTTCATGCCTATAATCACAACACTTTGGGAAGCCAGGGCAGGAGGATTACTTGATCCCTGGAGTTTGAGACCAGCATGGACAACATGACGAAACCCCATCTCAACAAAAAATACAAAAATTAGCCAGGTGTGGTGGTGCACACCTGTAGTCCCAGCTACTTGGGAGGCTGAGGTTGGAGAATCACTTGAGCCTGGAAGGTTGAGATTGCGCCACTGTACTCCAGCCTGGGCAACAGAGTAAGACACTGATTCAAAAAAAAAGGAAAGCAAAGAAAAGAAAAGGAAAAAGGAAGGAAGGGAGGAAAGGAGAAAGGGAAGCTTTTTCCAAAGCACAAAGCTGTCCTCAAGTATCCTAACATTCTGTCATGGAGTATCTTGAGGATTGAAATGGATCTCATGGGAGGAGCAGTGGTGAATCTATGGAACGTTTTCGTAAGAATCATCGCTGGGATGATTAGCTGTCAGAATGTTACCAGTATGTGCAATCACCTTTGAAAAAATACTGGAATATGAGGTGAATTGCATAAATACTCAATAAATGCATAAATAATTACTAATATTTAATATTTTAAAATAATTGTTTTAACTTGGCATCAAGCATCATTACTATTGACTTTACCTGGTAGAAATTTCAAAAAGACCCAGATAACTTGAAAATCGGCCTTAGACCCCAGCCAGCTATCATCATGTGATATACATGGGTCACCATTTTCCCTTTGTTAAACAAGAAGCTCCTCCTGGGCTCTTCCACTCTCTTTTCATGTCTTTTCCACTTTTGCATCGTTGGTCAGTGTCCAGTACAGAATTAAAAACTTAATAAATGGTTACTGAGTGAATGAATAACATGTGAAAAGAACCATGAGTCTGAGATTCCAGTTCCAAAATGGCTGCTGAGTTTCTATGCCATTTTGAGAAGGTCACTTTACGTTTCTGGGCCTCAGTTTCCTTATTAATCAATGGAAGGGATAGTTGGCTGACATTAATAGTAGCTAACATTGACTAATCTTTTCTTATGTGCCTGGCATTGTTCTCATTGCTTGCCTGCATTAGCACATTTAATCTTCACGGTGCAATACCCAGGGATTCTCTCATTCAGGTCACCTCACACACAGCTCTGGAAAAAGCACCACGCAGGTGCCCCAGGGGTCTGTAGGAGTGTTTGTAGGAGGAGCCAAGCATACATTGGTCTCAACCAGGTCACTTTTGAGCATGGAGCCTTATGCTTTAGATTAGCCAACTGGAAAAATTCTTCGGTTTGCCTATCTCAAGTTGGCTTAAGCTTTCTCTTATTCAGTAAAAATTACAGGTAGCAGAAGTGTGTGGGGAGAGCGGTGGGAGAAAATGGCAAAGAAGAGAAAGATGGCCATAGCTGGCCTCTGTTTCATTCTGCTAGGGTGAAGTGAGGCAGAAATCCAGAAATCCACCTGACAGAGACTCCACTTGGCCCCCTGTGATCCAAGTGCATAACCAACCCGTGTAATTGCCAGCCCTAAGATGAATTACTTCACCTGCTCTCTTGCAGGCGATGCCCTCCAGGCTAACAGGTGTGGGACGTGGCCAGAAGGGATGTGGATTAAAGAAGATGCCATTCCCAAGCTGCCTTGAGGAGGCCAGACCTTGGGCTCCATCCAGCCATCTAGGAGAGTCAGGCAGGGCCAGCTTCCCTCTGACTGGGTGGTCTTGAATCTAAGCTATGAATCAAGAATAATTTTTGCCTAATGTGAGAAGAGTCTGCATCCTTGAGGATTCCAGAAACGTTCTGTTTCTTCCCAGTCCTGTATCGTTTCCTTAACAGCCTCCTAAAACATGCTTGAGGCTGCTGGGAGAAACAGTGGGGGGAACACGTCTTTCTTTCACAGAGCTTTCAACTAATTGAGAAGATATTTGTATAGTGACTTCACTGGGAAGCCTGCTGTTGGAATACTGAACAAATTTCACACTCATTGCTTCAATATTTGCCATGAAATTCTTCCAAATTCTAATGAGAGACTGTCACTCTCCTCAGGCCCCTCTTTCATGGATGAAGAATAAATATATTTCTTCTTTTCCTCTATTTACTGTACCAGAAGCTATTTTGGAGAGAGCCAAGGTTAGTTGTCAGTCACCAAGATGCAGATCTGGATGAAAGTGGATGATTGTGGTACGTACTGGTAATAGCTATGACACCATGGGCAAATTTCTTACTATCTCGAAATAACATTTTCCTCACCTATGAACTCACTCCAGTACCTTTCACAATTAAAAAATAATGAAAAAAGAAAACACCATAGAGGGTTGTTTTGAAGATTAAACAAGCTATGCATGGAAAGCATTTAGCCCAGTGCCCAGTACACAGAAAACAGTTGATAAATCATAGTTGTTATTATTAATATCTTCAACTTCATCCAGCCTCTCATTCCTGCTGGCGTGGGACCTGGTGGCTTGGATGAGAAGGTTCAAAATGTCAAAGTCAAACTGAAATGGATTTGCTTCCCATATTAAGTATAAACACCTCAAATGGAATTACACCTTGTAGAACATATTTAGAAGATAAGTTAGTACATTGCTATGGTTTGAATATTTGTGTCCCTCCAGGATTTGTGTTAAAACATAATCCCCAAAGAGATAGTATTAAGGTGTGGAGTTTTTAGGAGGTGATTAGGTCACAAAGGATCCATGAACGGGATTGTGCCCTTTTAAAAGGGTTGAGGGAGGCTGTTTGGCCCCTTTTCCTGCCTTCCGCCCCTCCTATCATGTGAGGACACAGTGTTCATCCTTTCTTCCCTTACCTAAGGACACAGCAAGAGGCATCATCCATGAAGCAGAGACGGAAATCTTCACTAGACACTGAATTGCAGGCACCTTGATCCATCATGGACTTCTAGGCCTCCAGTGCTATGAGAAATAAATTTCTATTATTTATAAGTTATCTAGTCTAACTAAGACATACATTGCACTTTTGTATTTTTCTATCCTGAATCACATTCCAGTATGGCCTTCCTGGATTTTTCACAAGACATACAATTTCAAATCTCCTGTCTCATTGTGAGACTATATGAAAATGAGCCTCAGCCACTGGTATGGAGAACATGATCCCTCTCTGTCCCCGTCCAACACCATCTTGCTTCTATGATCGGCTTTCTCTGAAACAGGGTAGTTCTGAGGGTTTGGGGAATTGAGGTGATTGCCTTGGAACTCTTTTCATGGTCTAACTTGGAAATCAGAGATAACTAGGTCAGAGTCAGGAGCAATGACAGCTTTGGGAAGAAAGGTTTGATACCTCTACAATCATGCTGCAGTTGCTTATGCAAGGGGATTTTCCCTACCCTCCCTCTCTGGTGGATGCAAACTCTGGAGAAAAGAGTTTCTAAATCTACACCAATGAGGCATAGCTAGGAACATGAAGAGTCAAAACCACTCTCAATTTGCGAAGTAAAGTATGAAAGGCAAGCTCCCAGAGGTCTGGAGCTTCTGGAATTGCTTGTGCCATGTACACATGGCACTGGACTCAAATTACTCTGTTTCATCACTAGAAATGTCATAGGACAACATGACCGGATCAGTCAGCAAAGTCCCCCAAAATCAAAGGAAAATGGGAATATATAGAACATATAACTCCATATGTTAAACAAACAGGCAGCAAAACCTGCCCATTCTTAGCCCTCATAGCTTTAATCATAAAGCAGGGAATTCCAGATTTCTCCATTCTCAGAGCAGCAATCCACAAAAGAATAGGTGAGGCCTGAGATCTTAATTTAAACCTTACTCCCCATGCTTTCATATTACCAGATTCTTTTCTCTCCCAGCGAAATAAAAATACAGAAATCACTTCGCCTGATAGTTCCTGCCTTCACACCGGCTTGCCGTAATGGTAGCATCAATCATTGTACGAAGAGCAACCCAGGGATTTGTCAGACACAAAGAGGAGGTTTCCAGCTCTGACTTCCACAGCCAGACAACTCTGGAAGTCACCCTCCGTGGGCCGAGCTAGCGCACAGCACCCTGTCTGGCCCCCTCCACCCATGTTCCCGGCTCTGCTGAGGCAGCCCAGGTGAAACTAGCTGGCAGCCCAAGGCTGGCCCTCTCAGAGACCCCTGAGCTCAAATCTGAGAGAAGCCAGGCCTCTCCTGCTGGCTGCCCTGTCCTCTTCCCACTCCTGGTACCCACAGAGGTAGGGCTGGTTCTCACAACTCCTCGTAAGAAGATGTGTTGGGTCTAGGCTCCTGGGTTCTCAGTCCCAAGAACTTCCAGCTGGAATCTTTTCAGAAGCACCTGTGTTTATTGACGTTCCACTCTTCTTCATTGCCCACCCCTTCCTTTTTAGCGCACTGGACTCTTTCTAGGCTGTCCTAGGTGTTTCTGTCATTATGCAGCTAAATTGAGTGAATCAGCAACAAACATCTTAGCACAAATTAAATCAATGTGTCACTTTCCCCAGACATTTGCATTTTAAAAGAGATCCAAAGAGTGAGGTACCCAAAAGAAAGGTGGACTTTCAGCCCACTGACCTTAGATGGGGTGGAGCTCTGAGCAGAGGAGCCCTTCTGATCCCTGCATAAAACCTTTTCATTTTAGTGCGGTAGGCAATTGTGTCTTCTGCCATATGAAGGGCAGTCATTTCCTAGGAGAAGAATTGAATGAAGACCAATCCTCCACAACATGAGGCAGCATCAAGTAAAGGAAGTGTCTTTTTTTTTTTTTTTTTTTTTTGGGATGAAGTCTCCCTCTGTTGCACAGGCTGGAGTGCAATGGCACAATCTGGGCTCACTGCAAACTCCGCCTCGCTGTTTCAAGTGATTCTCCTGCCTCAGCCTCCTGAGTAGTTGGGATTACAGGCACATGCCACCACACCTACCTAAGTTTTTTTTGTGTATTTTTAGTAGAGATGGGGTTTCACCATTTTTGTCAGGCTGGTCTCGAACTCCTGGCCTCAAGTGATCTGCCCACCTCAGCCTCCCAAAGTGCTGGAATTACAGGCGTGAGCCCACCTGGCTGGAAGTGTCTTTTAAGATGCTCTTTTTATTTCATTGCTCTTATGTCATCGTACAGGTCCATGGGGGAATTGCAAATTGATATACGAGGTGCTAGGTAGTAAAAACAACACAAAATAACTAACCTGAGTTCTCACCCAGGACTCCAAAAACCCTGGACTGAGGGCAAGTCACCTAACCTGTCATGACCACCCTGAGTCTCATTTTCCTTATCTGCACAATGGCATGACAACACAAGAAGCCTCATAAGGGCACTAAGAGACTTGAATGTAATAATCTATATAAAACTGTGTTGTGGGCCAGGCACAGTGGCTCACACTTGTAATCCCAGCACTTTGGGAGGCAGATGAGGGCAGGTCACATGAAACCAGGAGTTCAAGACCAGCCTGATCAACATGGCAAGACCCTGTCTCTACTAAGAATTCAAAAATTAGCCAGGCATGGTGGCACGTGCCTGTAATCCCAGCTACTTGGGTGGCTGAGGCACAAGAATTGCTTGAACCTGGGAGGCGGAGGTTGCAGTGAGCTGAGATCATGCCAGTGCACTCCAGCCTGAGTGACAAAGAGAGACCCTGTCTCAAAAAAAAAAAAAAAAAGTACATGTAAATTGAAAAGCACATGATATGTGGTGTTATTATCAAATTCATGAGTGGTTCAACATTGAATGCTTCCAAGTTTTCAGCTATGGACATGAGTCTGTGAAAAACAGAGTTGGGGAGAGGTAGGAAGAAGGGGAGAGGTAAGAGCAAATGAATTAGGGACTTCAAATATGTTTGCATTTCAGCCACAGTATGAATTAAGTTGTATCTTATTTTGAGAGAAAAAAAAAGACTTGCATTTTGGTTAAATCAGTTTTCCTTGGTCCCAAATCAATGCTTTAGAGCTTATTGAGCGCATATGCTGACAGTGCATTATTTTATCAGAAGTGAATATACATCCCTCTCCATGCGTAGCAACAGACACTGTCAAGTCGAGTGCCAACAGCTGGCACTACAGATGTCATCAACAGCTGCATTCTGTCATTCCAGGATGCATGAGTCCCAGTTCCTCTTCCTCTCTCCTTGTTCTTAGAAATTTTGATGTCTATGTATAATATTATTTTACCTTCCTGGTTAAACTCATTTTGCAATTACACCCAGATGTATCCAGTCACTTTTACAAAGTTAGGTTCAGTTTGCTCAGAAATTTGAAATGAAAAAGGAGCACTTATATCAAGTTACTAGTAAGAGAAACCTCAACTGAAGTCATGATCCAGTTTGCTAATCACTTCTGGGAAAACATCTGAATAATATGTCAGCTAGCTAAGCCATCCAGCCCCCACAGAGATATTTCAGCAGGAAATCTCTAAATAAAATGGAAATTCAATATTTCCCAGTGTATTTGTCTTACAGCAGGTCTATACAGCAGGGCCATGACTCCATAGATGTAGGAAGGCAGCTTAGTTAAAGATGAAAACAAAGGAAGATGTCTGTCGTAGTTGAACTTAATCTGTAAATATGTTGAATCTTATTCAGGTCTGGCCAGTTGACATCGTCTCTCTTCAGGTGTTTGTTTCATCCATCACAAAAGTACCTAATGCAGTGTTACTCACAGACCCCGTTCAAAATGAAATCCAAACACCAAACAGATTAGAGTAGCCACTGACTTACACACACATGCTCCTGGGAAGAATGTGTGAGAGTGACAACCTACAGGGCAAAGTCTTGGCTGTGCATGTGCTGGGACCTGACTATGTGTATTTGTTAAGTGAATGCACGTTCACAAGCTGTGGTTGTTTTGCCTGGACACCCATGGCTACTGGACACCATCTACTGAAGGGATGAAGGGGGCAGGAATGAAACAGGGTTATTCAGATGCTCTCTGATTCAGGGGGTTTATCAGTAAGGTAGGGCCTGCCTATTCTGTGAAGGACTAACTTACCAGCTTAGTTTCTGCCCATACCTTCTGCTCACTCAACCCAACAGAGAGAGTTAAGGAAGAGGCACATGTGAAAAATACTACTAGAAATAATCATACTGGGGCCTCTCCACTAAAAAAAAGCACAGGTGGAGGCGGGTTCAGTTGCAGTTTCCATAGGATCACCTGATCTGTTTTAAATACAGTCAACTCTTAATTGCCTTATGTGGATGATGACCACAGTGCCTTTCTCTTTTCCAGGACTAACCTGTTCATCTGAGCTGTCTGCAAACAGGATCACCACCTCTACTCGAAGACATAGCATGTCACCTTACTGAAGATGCAAGTGAAGCATTTATGTCAAAACACATCCTACGGTGGAGGCACCAGCTGCAGTGGTTTTGTACTGCATTTGTTTGTTCGGACAATGGAACTTATGGAATCAAAATATTTAGCAGGAGTTCACAATAGTACAAAATGCTGGTGCTCTGACCAGAATGCTTCAGATTCCTTTTTACTATGTGGTGTATGTGGCTGTGTGGTGTGTGTGACTGTGTGTATGTGTGTGTGTGTGTGTACGCACACGAGAGAGAGAGACGGACAGAGACAGAGAGAGAGAGACAGAGAGACAGAGACAGAATGGGAGAAATACAAAGACAGGGACAGAGAGAGACAGAGAAAGACAGAGAGATGCAGAGACAGAGAGAAATACAGAGAGAGAAAGAGATAGACAGAAAGAAGCAGAGACAGAGAGGACACATGCACACAGAGAAACAGAGAGAGACACACGGAGAGAGAAGACAGAGAGAGAGAGAATCTTCAGGCTGTTAGGTTTTCACTGTTGCCAGCCAGCACCTTCAGCTGTTTTGGGGAGACTGTCCTCAGCCTGCTTTGCTTTGTACTGGAGAGCCAGCCCTGTCTAGGTATTTAGACCTTCCTGGGGCAGCTCTTGGCCAGTAGATAGATGGATAGAGGGATGTGAAAGCTTCAGCTCCTCCGCCTCAAGTTAGTACAGTTCTGAGACATAAGTCACATACCAGAGGTCCCCAGTGGTATCAGGCGGAAGCTGCTCTCCACGGGACTCTGCCTGAGATTGTGCCTCTGTCTGGCTTCCTCCACTCCCCTGAAAGAGGGGAGACTTCCCTCAGTTGGCAGATGTGGCATCGCTTCTCCCCAGCATGGAGTGGAGGACAGCTCTGTGGGATCAGGGATTCAGGAGACTCATCGGCCCCTGAGTTAGGCGTTGAAAGTTTGGCATCTTCATTCTGCGGTGGTCCTTGGGCATCTCGGGCAGTAGGCCCTCTCTACATTCACATGTAAATGAAACAAGATATTTTAAAATCATTTCCATTGCATTCTCCCATGTGAATAAATAGTAGTAAGTGAGGTCATAAGAAACAGTATGTGTCCCGAAGAGAACTCCTAGAAAGTGTCTTAGTCAAGGGTCTAGAAACAAGTATTTAGATATTGGTCATTGATTTTGCCAGCTTTGCATAAGTTCCTCAGCACAGCAGGAATTCCCTGTAGCTTGCACCATGGAACTCACTGTTTCCAGGCTCTTCCCTCCTGAGTTTGGTTCTGATCCACGCTCATAGACAAATTCCTGCCTCCCAGCACCCCCAGCCCCCAACTGGGCTCTTCTTTTCCTAGACTTAGACTCTTTACTCTTTGGACCTGACACGCAGAAGAATTACTTCTTCCATTGACAATTCCAGACCTCTTCTCGGCTCTGTAGGTCAGGATCCCTTGGAGGAGTATTCCTACCGGTTTGGATATTGGGACTCTCCTGCTTTAGAATTGATCCACCAGGATTATTTACTCTTTCCTGCTGCATTTGGGCAGATGAGTGAAGGGATATGCCCTTCTCTGCTTTTCACAGCACTTTCCTTCACTTGGCATACTATATATTTCACTTATTCATTTGTCCTTTCTCTCTCCTTCTAGAATGCCCATGGGAGTACGATTTTTTTTATTTCTTTTGATGTCCTCTACGTTCTCAGTTGCTGGCACATAGTAGATGCTTTTCTTTTTTTTTTGAGGTGGAGTTTCACTCCTGTTGCCCAGGCTGGAGTGCAGTGGCACGATCTTGGCTCTCTGCAACCTCCGCCTCCTGGGTTCAAGCAATTCTCCTGCCTTAGCCTCCTGAGTAGCTGGGATTCCAGGTGCCCGCCACCACGCCCAACTAATTTTTTGTATTTTTTTTTAGTAGAGATGAGGTTTCGCCATGTTGACGAGGCTGGTCTTGAACTCCTGACCTCAGGAGATCCACCCACCTCGGCCTCCCAAAGTGTTGGGATTACAGGCATGAGCCACCACACTTGGCCATAATAGATGCTTAATAAACATCTTTAAAAATTATTTTTTAAGAGATTAGTAAATGAAGAAACACTCTTATCCTCTTAAGGCCCTCTTTTTGCAGCACAGCCTGTTTGGGGTTAAATTTTTAACTTAAACGTAATAATTACTTAGGTTCTGTTTTCCAACATTTCAAGACAAAGAAGAGGGCTGTGAAAGAAGAGAAAATAAGAAATGCTTAAACAAAGCATACCTGTGTATTAGATGTCATTTTCAAGATCAATAGAAAGAAAATAAACTATGAGTGAAACAACTTGGACCTGTAACAGTATTCCTTAAGAGATGGTATAGTCCCGGAGAAAAATATGTGTACACAAATTACTCTTCACACTTTGGCATATGGTGCTTTTTGTTTTTCTTTTTCTTTTCTTTTTTTGAGATGGAGTCTTGCTCTTTCACCCAGGCTGGAGCGCAGCTGTGCGATCTTGGCTCACAGCAACCTCTGCCTCCTGGGTTCACGCCATTCTCCTGCCTTAGCCTCCTGAGTAGCTGGGACTACAGGCACCCACCACCATGCCTGGCTAATCTTTTGTATTTTTAGTAGAGATAGGGTTTCACCGTGTTAGCCAGGATGGTCTCAATCTCCTGACCTTGTGATCTGCCTGCCTCGGCCTCCCGAAGTGCTGGGATTACAGGAGTGAGCCACCGCACCGGCCATGGTGCTTTTGTTATGCAAATCATTAGATATAAAAATACATCAATGCTCCACAGAAAATGTAGAGAAAGAAGGACTTCTTCTGACAGTAAAGATTGTCCAGTTGCTTGCCACTGTAGCCCCTATTCCACACACTTAAGGGTTAATAGAATATTGAGTGAGTTGACCTTCATCAATGCTCCTTTGGGGGGTGCACTGTGGCAAATTCTTGTCTTCATTTCTAGCTTGTTTCCAACATTCACTGTTGACAATTCTAGATGGAATGGCCAATCCAAGTTGCTGACTGAAGGCTCCCAGGCAAGCTGAGCTGTATAATATAAATAGCTACATAAAAATGTTCAGAGTCTCTACTCTAATGACTGGCTGAGCAGCATGTACCAGACCAACCCTTACACGTTATAAAAGCTGGCTACAATTAGAAAGAAGCAAATAAAACCAGTTACGTTAAGGCATCAGAGCACAACCAAGGCAGCAGGGCTGGAAGGAACATGGAAACGCCAGCAGGGGAATTTGAAAGTGGTACAGGGAAGGGAATAAAGCCAATAATTGTGCCTTATTGTGTAGTTACCACAGTAAGCAATTGGAGCTCAGTCCTGCTGGGGAACTCCGAGAGTCTGTGTGGAATTGAGTTATCCCAAGTAAGGAGCAAGGGATCTGGTGTTTGATCAACCAGATTTACCTATTGAATGTTGCTTCTAGTGTTGCCTCAGTTAGTTCAGGCTGCTATAACAAGATATCACAGACTGGGTGACTTACATTTATATTTACTTCTCACAGTTGTGGAGGCTGGAAGTCCAAGATCAGGTGCCAGCAAGGTTGAGTTCTGGTGAGGGCCCTCTTCCTGGCTCACAGACAGCCTCCTTCTCCCTGTATCGTCATATCGTGAGACTATATATATATATATTTCTCACTTTTCTCATGTCTCTTCTTATAAGGGCACTAATCCTATTCATGAGAGTTCTACTCTCAAGAACTAATCACCTTCGGAAGACCCCACCAAATATCATCACACTGGGGATTAGGGTTTCAACACATGGATTTTGAGGGGACACAAACATTCAGTTCATACCGTGGAGAGTTATTTTTCTGATACCTCTGGGCTCGTGTGGGCCAAATATTCAACAATGGCTAAATAAAAGTCTCTCAGCAGAGAGATGCCTGTGTTTTCAGCAAGCCACTTCCGGACCGTTGAGGTAAAGGCCAAGAGTATATGGTTAGAGTTCGTGTCTGCTACACCCTTCGACCCGGTATTTCCACTTCTAGATATATACTCAACAGAAACGCATATATCTGTGCCCCAAGTAACAGCTATAAGAATATGCACAGGGACATTACAATAGCTCCAACTGAAAGCAACCCAAATGACCATCAGCAGTTCAACAAATAAAGACAGTGTGGTGAATGTTTGCAATTTCCACTGCCCCAGTGCTGCTCCAAGCTACCACCATCTCTTGCTTAAAGCACTGCTGCAGCCTGTTAACTTGTCTTCCTGCCTCATTTTTGCTCCTTAAAGTTCTTCCATAAAGCAGCTGGAGTAATCTTTCTGAAGCGTAAGTGAAATGATATGCTATTGCCCCTACTTAAAACCCTCGAATGAGGTTTCACTTTGCTTAGAATAAAGCACAAAGTCCCTGTCACGTACCCTGCCCCACTCTTTGCCCTCCTCTCTGTCCTTCCCCATTTACACTCAGCCACACTGGCCTTTCTCTGTCCCTCCACATAACCATACATGCTCCACTGATCATCTTCAACTTTGCAGCTTCTGTTACTTGGATGTTTCCCCAGACCCTCTTAAAATGGCTACTTCCTTCTTGTCATTTTTTATTGAAGTCTAACATGCATACAGAAAAGTGAACAAATCTTAAGCAATGAACAGGCACAGAAGGACTTTAGGTAGAGGTTACAGGGTCTGCTTTGAGTTTTAGCAGGATGGCTCCTGCAGCAGAGAGGGAGGAAAAGGGAATGGAGTGAGGAAGCCTGGATGAAGAGAGACATGTTTTAAGGTGTTTGTCAGAAGTGAGATGACACATAACTAAGACCTGAACAAAGACATTGTCTACAGGAAGGGAAGGAAGAAGCAAAGATTCAAGAGAATCTACCTAGATTTTCAGGCTATATGTAGTGGCTATAGTGACTTTGACCACCTTATTGTAATCAGTTTATGGATTTACTCCAATGTAAGCATAGGAAACTCTCTAACTATAACTTGGATTATAATTAGTGTTTTTCACTAATTAGACCTGATTGTTTTTTTTTTAGGAAGCCTAAGGTCTCGGCCATGTTAACTCTTTTTCTTTTCTTTCCTCTTTTTTTTTTTTTTTTTTTTTTTTAACTCCCGGGCCCATTTAAAAACCTTATTATTTTGATGCACTATGTTACTAATAATTCCTTCCTCATCTTTGATCTCAGTCTTCCTCTTGCTTTTCCCAGACAGTATATGAATAAAATATTGAGCTGCTGATTAATGACCCTATATGTGCCACTTTGAGATGTCTAAAGAAATTATCCAAATGCCCAGACAGCTCTATAATGTCACATTTAAATTAGAGACTGAATCTTTAAAAGGCTATCCTCTGTTGTAAAAGCTGTGCTATAAGGATGGTAATAAGACCTAATTTCCTTTTAAGAGAACGGGTAGAAATATTGTCTTTTAATGCCAAGAAAAGAGCATGAGATACACTGCTTAAAACAGGCAAATATGTAAGTTGATGCTTTCACTTCAGCTACACTTACCCTAGATTTAAAGTGTGCCTTCTCAGGAGAGTCTAAGAGTGGATAGAGATTCTGGTTTTTGTTTTAATTTTAATTGCTTTTGTCCTACTCTGAAATGATGTCACTTTTTCCCCGCTTTGGCTTTGTTATGGGTGTCTTACTGACATTGTATTTCTTCCCAGAGAGGTCACTAATAGTTGACATTGACTGTTTTTTACAGAAAAACATGCCAGTGATCAAGGCTATAAGCAATGGGTAGAATCTTTGAACTGCATATAACTGGGTTGCTATATGGAAATACAAAGCAGAGCTCTTAGGTTCATAAAAAGGTCTCAGTCACCCTGATCCTGAGCAATAAACAAAAATATATAATAATAGCAGCAGGAGTAATTGTACTAAAGATAGGGATAATCTGGCTGATATGATAAAGCATTTACTATGTGCTGAGTTCTTTACATACTGCCCTCATTTAATCTTCTCAACTCCACAAGGCAGGTGTACTGTTACTATCCAAGGTCACAATACTGGAAAGGAGCAGATTGAAGACCCAAACCAATGTCTGTTTGACACTAAAGAACATGCTTTTTGCCACTTTCTCATACTGCAAGCTGGGCTACTATATGGCTTGATGTTCAAACTTAGTCCATGATGGCTTTCTCCAAGTAAGTAATGTCTTGGATGGTTTAACCCATATTAGAAAGATACAAGGCTGGGTGTGGTGGCTAATGCCTGTAATCCCAGCACTTTGGGAGGCCGAGGCGAGAGGATCACCTGAGGTCAGAAGTTCGAGATCAGCCTGGCCAACATGGCAAAATCCCATCTCTACTAAAACTATAAAAATTAGCCAGCATAGTGGCAGGCACCTGTAATCCCAGTTACTCGAGAGGCTGAGGTAGGGAGAATTGCTTGAACCGAGGAGGCGGAAGTTACAGTGAGTTACACCACTGCACTCCAGCATGGGTGACAGAGCAAGACTTTGTCAAAAAAAAAAAAAAAAAAAAAAAGGAAGGAAAACAAACACTACTTAGTCGGAATACATACTGTAAACAGAATGTCTGAATGTAGTGTCTGCATGACCGATAGTTATGCACATCTCAAATTTCCCAGGGTAGTTCACATTTATACTATTATTTGCCTGTGTTTCTATAAATATTATTCCACCTTTTAGACCATGTGTTTCAATTGTTGGATTAGAAACAATGGTTTCAGTAACCACATTGATCTTTTTAAGACATGAAAAGGGAACATTTGCTTTTATCTCAAGACACTTGTAAAAACAGTGATACATAATATTTGTACATATTTATGGGGTACACGTAAGAGCCTTTAGGACCTAAATGTTACTAAGCCTCCTGCCTCGACTGGTGCTGTGGCCATGCACCATCACAGAGGCCCGGGGCAACTTAGGAGTGCTTTCATGTTGTGATATACTACGTCATCCCAAAGCAAGTTTTAATATTATTGCAAAATTTCAAAGCTATATAAGCTAAACAGCTTACGTGAAATGAAATCTTTCCTGAAAGTGACAAAATTATTCTAAAGTTTATCTTGAAGAAAAAATGTGTTGAGAGAAAAAAGGTTTTGGTATTTTAAAATGTATTTAAAAGTTTTAATAATTGAAACAGTATGGCACTTGTGTAAAAACAGATGAATATAAATTGATATATATAATTTATATATAAATATATATCAATATATCTGTATCTATATTGAACATATAAAATGAAGGACACACCAGTGAGAAAGTGAGGGATTATCCCTCCTACATTATGAGAAAAATTGGCTTTGGGAAAAAAATTTTTAGATTCTTAAACTATAGCCCTAAATATATTCCACTTGGTTTAAAAAGTATGAATATTTAAAACTTAGTTTTATTTTAAAATTTTTAAATTAAAAGAAAATATATGAAAACATTTAACTCTTCTTAGATTGGGTAAGGAATTTTTAAGCACTAAAAAATGGATGAAATCATCAAGGAAAACGCAAATAGATTCGACAACTTAAAAAATAAAAATGTCTGACACTAAAAAACCAAACGAATACCCAAACACTCTAGAAAAAGTATTTGAAGCAAGCTCAATAGACAGAATTAAAGTCTTTAGCATACTTTTAAAACTTTCAGATAAGTACATTGTACCAGAATAGAAAAAGGGCAAAATATACGAAAACTAACAAACATATAAACATTAATGAACTGAGCTGTTCAATCTTACTTGCCATAGATTTACTTATCATATTAAAAATTAATGTCAGGATGAATGCAGTGAGATACACATTCTCAAACACATTAGTGGAAATCTATGTTATTACTACCTTTCTATACAGCAACTTTACAAGATATGTTAAAGGCATTAAAACGTTTACAATCTTTGTCAAAATAATTTCAAGCCTAGTAATTTTTGATAAAACTCTTATGTACAAAGGTATTCATCAAAAGATTATTTATATCATTCCTGACTAAAAAGAACAAAGGCTCCTTGGAGAAATGGCTGATTCCAGAGCAGAGGCAGGAAATGATAAAAAAAGCCTGAGGCACATCAAGCCAAAAAGCAAGGAAAACCAAAGACTAACAGAGAGATGCCAAGAGACCTGGAAGCCAGCTTGGAGGGGTGCCCAGTGGACAGCTTGAGCATCAGAAAGCTATTATAATTGATTGTAAAACATTAAAGAAAAAGCCATGCATCTACAGTTAAAAAAATAGTAGTGGCTAGGTATAGTGGCTCATGCCTGTAATCCCAGCACTTTGGGAGGCCAAGGCAGGAGGATTGCTTGGGTCCAGGAGTTTGAGATCAGCCTGGGCAACATGGTGAAACCCCGTCAGTATTTTTTTTTTTTTTTGAAACAATCTCACTCTGTCTCCCAAGCTGGAGTGCAGTTGCCGGAACTTGGCTCACTGCAACCTCTGTCTCCTGTGTTCAAGCAATTCTCCTGCCTCAGCCTCCTGAGTAGCTGGGATTACTGGTGTGTGCCACCATGCCTGGCTAATTTTTGTATTTTTAGTAGAGATGGGGTTTCACCATGCTAGCCAGGGTGGTCTCAAACTCCTGACCTCAGGTGATCTGCCTGCCTCAGCCTCCCAAAGTGCTGGAATTACAAGCATGAGCCACCGCACCTGGTCTCTATTCTTTTTTAATTTTTATAAAAATAAAAATTTTTATAAAAATTAAAATTAAAAAGTAGTAAAATGAAAGAAACAAAAACTTATTTATCCCACACTTTAGTATTAAGAACGTAAGAAGTAAGCATTTGCCCAGAATTTTGAAAGAGAAAATCCTTCTTTCCCGAGGAATGGCATCTATCAAAAGTAAGTAAAATGACAGAACTAGAAAAATCACCATTTGCAACTCCCAGTGAAATGATTGGTTTAGGCAAGAATCACCAACGATGCTAAAACCACTGGATGGAAAAATGTTAGGGAATAGGATAGTCTTGTGGTACCAAAGAAGCACCCCATAGACTATATACTAAGTGCAAAGTGAAAAATATACCTTAAGTAAAGAAATCTACTGGTTACCACCTTAACCAAGTAATCAAACATTACATCTCTGATCATGGGACAACCTGTCGTTATATCCTTCTGAGTATGTAATCACCTACAAAGTGTCCTTGCCAAATTATTTACCTAAATCTAATGAAGACATTGGACCTAACTTACAGTTTCAGGAAATCCAGGAACTGGAGAAACAAGTTAAATGACACTCTAAGGGAACGATAAGACAAACCCAGAAAATGGAATGTTCTTAAAAACAATTGGCCTGATATCTTCAAAAAGTCGTTAATAAGCCAATACAAAGGTGGGTCTATTCTAGACTAAAAGGAATTAGAGTTATAACAACCAAATGCAGTTAATCTTTTCTGGCATTTTTGGCAGAAAAAAAAGCTAGCTATAAAAACATTTTGGGGACAACTGGGAAAATTTGAATACAGACAACATATTAGATGGTGTTAGAGAATTACTGTTAATTTTCTTAGGTATAATAAATGTATTGTGGTTATGTGTAGAATGTCTTTACTCTTAGGAGAGTTATACTGAAGTCTTCAGAAGTAAAATGTTACAATGTTTACAATTTCCTCATTGCTTAATTTTACAATATATTTTTTAAAAATTTATGCTGCCTTGGCCTCCCAAAGTGCTAGGATTACAGGGATAAACCACTGCATCCGGCCAACAATTTACTTTTAAATGGTCCCACAAAACAGTAAAAAAAACAAACAACTCATTACATGTATCTATATCCATGCAGATCAGACACACACACAAATAAAGAGAATAAATATGGTAAGCATTTAAAATACATTAAAAACACGGTGCCCTGATATGCATTGTACTATCCTTTCAACTTTTATGCTTAAAAATTTTCATAATAAAAAGCTGGAGATATATTATTTATTTAAAAAAGTTAACATCATGTATATTCTCAAAATTATGATGGTTAATTAGAGAACACTCAGAGTTGATATTTTGCAGCAATTAAACATATTTTCCCCCTCATGTGGTGGCTCATGCCTATAATCCCAGCATGTTGGGAGGCCAAGGGGGGCAGATCACTTGAGGTCAGGAGTTTGAGACCAGCCTGGCCAACATGGCAAAACTCTGTCTCTGCTAACAATACGAAAATTAGCCGGGTGAGGTGGTGCACGCCTGTAATCCCAGCTACTCAGGAGGCTGAGGCAGGAGAATTGCTTGAACCCGGGAGACAGAGGGTGCAGTGAGCCAAGACTGTGCCACTGCACTCCAGCCTGGACGACAGTTAGGAAGAAAAATAGGATGCAAAACTTAATAGATGGCAAACATAGCCCGATCTCACTTTTTATATTTGTCCAACACGTTTATTGAGTATCTATAATGTGCCAGGAACTCTTCCAGGTGCATAAGAAGTAAACACACTTAAAAGTTAATAGGATTGTCCCTGGCTGTTAAGATTGTAGGAGATCCTTATTAGGTTCTGATACTTTTCCAAACATTGCAAATTATATGCAGTGAGTTTTACAGTAAAAGTAATACACAAGCATTTTATTTAAGACCAGTCATCAGAAATTTGATGTAACTAATAGTCAATGTTGACTGTGCCCTTGGCAAGTGACAAACAATCCCTCTTCTCTCTGCTGTACAGGGACAAATCCATTTTGCCCTTCCAATAACTCTTTGAGGTGAGTATTACTATCCCCCATTTTACACATACAGAAGCTAAGCACTGAGAGGGTTGGTAATCTGCCCCCAAAGAACACTTGGCAATGTTTGCATTTTGGGTTGTCACACTGGGTGTGCGTGTAGAGGAGGGCGGTGATTAAGATAGAGGCCAGGGATGCAGCTAAACATCCTAGGATGTACAGGATAACATCCTCCCTGCTCAGCTTATGAATAGCTCCAAATGTCAGCAGTGCCAAAGTTGAAAAACCCTGGTCTCGGATCACTTTGCTGGTAAGTGGTAGAGCCCAGTGCTGAGGCCAGGCAGCCTGACTTCCAAGCCCACACTCACCATCATCCTATACTGCTCTTCAGTACTCTGACATACTAATGTATTGCTATTAAGTGTTAGACTGTTTATTGAAGGTAATTGTTGGTAACGTTATTGCTATCATATATGGTACTTTGTGATTTATCAAAAAATTTAAGGCAAATTATGAAAACAAATTCTTTTTCTACATGTTCAAAAGACACCTTTATCAAATTGACTAAAATGGCACTTGATGTAGTAGAAGGGCATTCTTATGCAGTTAAGGTGAAAATTGGTGGAATTCATTGAAAAATAAATGTGCTTTGCATCAAAATCTTAAAATTATTTATAACATTTGATGCAGAGATTCCACTTTGGAGAATTTATTCTACGAAATATGACAAAATCCAGATGCACAAATATATACCTATCTTTTTTTTCTTTTTCTTTTTCTTTTTTTTTTTTTTTTGAGACAGGTCTTGCTCTGTTGCTGAGGCTGGAGCACAATGGTGCGATCACAGCTCACCGCAGCCTCAACCTTCTGGGCTCAAGTAATTCTCCTACCTCAGCCTCCTGAGTAGCTGGGACCATAGGTGTGTGTCACCATGCCTGGCTATTAAAAAAAATTTTTTTATAGAGTTGGGGTCTTGCTATGTTGCCCAGGCTGATCTTGAACTCCTGGGCTCAAGCAATCTTCCCACCTTGGCTTCCCGAAGTGCTGGGATTACAGGCGAGAGCCACCACACCTGGCCTTTTTCTATAAAAGTAGAAAAATGGGGAGAAAGTTGTCTAAATGTTTAACGACAGAAGAGCTTAATAAACTGGGCACAGATGCTTGAGATAATCTATGTAAGGGTGTGAAAAACCCATGTTAGCATAATATCAGGTGAACCAAAGAGAATAGAAAATCACGTACTTATGTTTGCAAGCAGGTTAACAAGTAGCATCATTTAAAAGGAAATACTTCATTAGAGGTGCTGAATTATCCTAGTAAAGAGTGAATTTTTAAAAACTTTTTTCCTGTCTTTTATTATGTCTGAAACATAGCGATGCATTTTTTATGGAGTAAAAATAATCAAAATATGTTTAGGTGTACTTAAATCCCGGGAAGATCATATCTTTTTAAAAGGAAGTCTCTTTCTAAAACTTGAAATACGTGTAAATAAGCTTATGACCTAGATCTGAGCACTTTAACAGTAGAAACAAATCTGAGAACGGAGCCAACAGTCCGTTCTCAACACATTGAGAAAGGACAATCTCAACACATTGTCTATATCGATATTAGATGACAAAATCTTCTCTCTGGCAATCTTAATGTCTCCTTCTCCCTCCATAATGACTCGATGCATAAAAATTAATCTTTTCCCTCCGCTTTGATCCCCAAGCTCCTTAGCGAAGATTCCATCTTGCTCTATAACACACGATGAAGCATTTTCCCTGTTATAATGTGACGATGGCCCTACTGAGCACAACAATTTGAGTCGGAATGTGCCACAGCCAAAGGAGAAATCTTAAGAGGCAATTCCACCTAGAACTATTTGGCAAATGCATAAAAAAGACATATTAACACAGTCTGAAAATTGTGCCCTTAACAATAAGAACACAAAACAGAGCTGGAAATGGGAGAGAGAGGTGGAGAGGGTTGGAGAAAAGGAAACGCAGAGGCAAGATGCTCTGGTGCTTCCAGTCCCAAAAAGTGCTGGTCATGTAGATCAGTTTCAGCCAAAAAAAAAAAAGCACTTTCGAAACTTTCAATAGAAAAGATTTTTTGTCAAGGCTAGGCAAAAACATTCTTTAATTAGTTTACTCAAATATTAAATCTGACATCTAGTATCTCAATATTAGCAAAAATGTGATAATTATAGCTGGAAGGGTTTTTTATTGAATGTAAATTCATGTATAACACTTTTAGCATATCTCACTCCCCATTGTTATCTTCCATACACTGTTCACACTTAACTGGAAGCCTTGGGCTCCACTCTGAAATGTGATCTCAAATTCACAGTCTCCATAATTCCTTTTAATGCAGTCGCAGTTCAGTAATGACCATGACAAACGACATGTCATGTCTACCATCCCCAGGGAAGACAAAATCCCAAGAGATCCTGCCTGGCTAAGGGGAACCTGAGCTCCCAGGATGCCCAGGCTGCGGCAGAAGGGGCTTTCTGTATTCACTAGAGACCCATATTACATCGCTTCTCCACAGGGAAGGCTCTGTGTGCTTTTGGGCAGCAAACATTTTGACTGGGTTGGCTGTCAGTGCAGTGAAGGAGCTTCCCAGCTCAATCTTATTATTGGCTTGAAGGAGAACAGAAGCAGGCAACATGTATTGAGTTAGGTCTGTGCAAATATGCATTTGTTCATTTTACCCTTGCAGCATCCTTGTCTTATAGAGAAATACTGGGACTAGGAGAGGTTAAATGGCATGCCCAACATCATGGCATTTGTGAGGGCAGGCACTCATGGCTCGGGCAGCATCTGAAATGAACACTCTGCCCTCTCTAGGGCTTGCTGAGGCGGGAGTGAGGAGAATGTATGGCCACATAGTGAACCGTGGACACCTCACCCCACCACAGAACTAAATTAATAAGCACATGCTCATGTGTAGGCTGACTCATATACCCCTTCTCCCAAATATTGACATATCACTGTGGGTTCTTATAATAATATTGAGAAGTGCCAATGTTTTTATTTGTTTGTTTGTGGTGACAGCCACTGAACAATCTCCTAAGATTGGAATCTCAAATGCCTACAACAGCCAAGCTTTTCTCAAGACATCAGGAAGAGGCGGGGATCATGGCAGCATGGCCTGCAAATGCCCCTTCTGAAAGGACCCACCCGTAGGATTGGTAGCTCCTGTCACTATGGGCAATTGCATGCCTAGTTTGCAGAGCTTTGGATTTCTTCAAAGGATGCCAGAAACAAGGATTTTTATGTGAACTCTCCCAATTTAAAAAGATGGCAAGAACTGGGCGTGGTGGCTCACGCCTGTAATCCTAGCACTTTGGGAGGCTGAGGTGGGCGGATCATTTGATGTCAGGAGTTCAAAACCAGCCTAGCCAACATGGTGAAACCCCGTCTCTACTAAAAATACAAAAATTAGCTGGGTGTGGTGGCGCACGTCTGTGATCCCAGCTACTTGGGAGGCTGATGCAGGAGAATCGCTGGAACCTAGGAGGCAGAGTCTGCAGTGAGCTGAGATGGCGCCACTGCACTCCAGCCTGTGCAACAGAGTGAGACTCCATCTCAAAAAAAAAAAAAAAAAAAAGATGGCAACTATTAAAAAGATTTTTTTTCAATTGTGTGAGCCAAATAAAATATGTCCATGAGCCTGATTTGGTCTGAGCCTTCTGCCTTACAACTTCTGGTCTGGAGGATATGTCGTACCAGAGATGATTTTGCATAAGAAGTACCTCAGGCCAGCCTTCACAATAGTGAAGACACAGCTAAATCACTCCTTCCACACAGCCAGTGAAGAAATGGCCTGTCCACTTTGACAGTCTCTGTCATTTAATAGTAGTATTTGAAGAAAGGAAACGATGACCAAAAAATCCATATTAAAATATGTCTCAATTTCAAAATTGATGATCAGAGAAATGAGCAAAAAGTGAGAGGAATTTTACAGTTTAACAAAATAGAAAAACTAGCAAACAAACAAAAAGGCATGGGTTGATATTAAACAAATGCCTAAGAGGAGTTCTGTTCCAACTCTCAAGGAGAGGTCCATCACAAGGTTTCCTGATGGAATTATTTTTTCCAGATACATTTCCTACTATCCATCCTTTCCACCTCATTACCATCTTGTTTCTCAGGACACTGATTTAGACATAGACCAATTTCAGCAGCATTTTATTACTAAAATCCCCCTCTTGCAAATGAGGAATTCAAATGTGGAACATAAGGCTGGGCGCGGTGGCTCACGCCTGTAATCCTAAGAATTTGGGAGGCCGAGGCAGGTGGCTCACCTGAGGTCAGGAGTTCGAGACCAGCCTGGCCAACATGGCGAAACCCCATCTCTACTAAAAATACAAAAATTAGCCAGGCATGGTGGTGGGAGCCTGTAATCCCAGCTACTCAGGAGGCTGAGGCTGGAGAATCACTTGAACCTGGGAGGTGGAGGTTGCAGTGAGCCAAGATTGCACCACTGCACTCCAGCCCGGGCAACAGAGTGAGACTCTATCTCAAAAAAATAAATTAATAAATTAATTAATTAAATTAAATTCAGTGGAACATAACCTGGTGCCCCCATTCATGCTGGCTTAGGCACCCCAAAGTAGTCTTCAGACAACCTCACTCTCTAGCAAGATGAGTGCTGTCGTGTGGAAATATGCTTTAGAGAGAAGGATTTGAATGCACTTTTTTTGCTTACGTAAACGTGCAGATGCAGGAAAATCTCATGGTGCTGTGTTGAGAAGTCAGTGCGAAGAACAAATTGTAATGAACTCACAGAAACGGGAGAGTACTTGTGGAAATCCTACATTATTAGTTTGCTGTTAATTAAAAAAAAAACTCTCTCCAACTGAACACTGCCTTGATAAAGAACCTAAATTCCAGAAGAAAAATAATCCTAGTAAAATAGCTCAGGTATATATATTTCTAAGTCTAAACACAGCCACTTTGCTGCTATGTGTGGTAGGAAGGCTGTGGTGTTATAATACATACCGGTCTTTGTCCACGGTTTCTGGCTGATAGCCATAGCCCTTATTGCAGTCTTTTGTTATAATGTTGGGTGTATGAGGCCACATGGGCAGCCTCTGACCTCCTCCTGCCCTCCTTTCATCTGCTCCAAGGCAAGACTCTACTTTTCCCCTGTCTTTCTGATTGTGGGTCCTAAGACCCTCCCATGAGAGGGTCCCACCCCTCTATACCTTGGGGAAGAAATGCTTACATCATGAAGCTTCCATAAAAACCCAAGAGGGCTGGTGTCAGTGAGCTTCTGGATAGCCGAACTGCAGGTTCCTCCAGAGGGTCCAGGGAGGGCATGGACCCTCTGGAGCCCTTCCCCCATTTCCTGCCCTAAACATCTTTTCATCTGTATCCTTTGCAATATCCTTTATAATAAACTGGTAAATGTAGGTAAGTGTTTCCCTGAGTTCTGTGAGCTGCTCTGGCAAATTATTTGAACCCAAAGAGGGGATCATGGGAACCCCAACTTGAAGCCAGTTGGTCAGAAGTTCCGGAGGCCCAGGCTTGTCACTGGTGTGTGTTAGAGGGGGCCAGTCTTGGCTGGGGACTGAACACTCAACCTGTGAGATCTGACGTCGTCTCCAGGTAGACAGTGCCAGAAATGAATTAGAGGACACCCAGCTGGTGTCCACTGCTTGGTGTGTGAGGAAAAAAAACCCACACATATAGTCACAGAAGTCTTCTCCTGTGCTGATGATTATTGTGATGTGAGAACAGAGGAAAAACATGGTTAGAGAGAGTTTTCCCTACACGGAAGCTGTCTTCTCTTTAGTTCGTCGGGTAGAAGCAAAGAATTCCAAGTCTGGGCAATTTGTTATCAAGTGCGACTTCAGCTCAGGTCCTTGATTCTGTAGTCTGTTATTTCAGTGGCAGCAACAGTTTGATTAAAAAGGTATGGAACCCAGCTAGAGGACTTGGGTTCAATTCCCCACTCTGCTGCTTATTTGCTCTGTGACCTTGGGCAAGGCCACGCTCGTCAGGCTGTAATGGAATGGAGAATGTGTCCCAGAGGAAACTGAGGTGAAATTTCAACATCTACTCCACTCTTACAGGCTGTGTGAACCTTGGGCAAATTCCTTAAGATCTCTGAGCCTAATTTTCCTTGTCCTAAAAGTAAAGATGAAGATTTTAAAAATCACAAGAGCTGGCCGGGCACACTGGCTCACACCTGTAATCTCAGCACTTTGGGAGGCCAAGGCAGGTGGATCACCTGAGATCAGGAGTTTGAGCCAGCCTGGCCAACATAATGAAACCTGTCTCTACTAACAATACAAAAATTAGCCAGGTGTGGTGGCACGCACCTGTAGTCTCAGCTACTTGGGAGGCTGAGGCAGGAGAATAGCTTGAACCCGGGAGGTGGAGGTTGCAGTGAGCTGAGATTGGGCCACTGCACTCCAGCAGCCTGGGAACAGAGCAAAACTCTGTCTAAAAAAAAAATTAATCGTTAACAATTAATAATACTATTGATATTAATAAGGTTAACAAAAATGGACAATAATGCCATCTTCATAGGATCATGATGATTAAGTGATAGAAAATAGGAAGTCTTTTTGTCAACCAAAAAGATATATTCATGTTAATTATCACATGTAACAAAATTTTAGAAGCATCTAGAAGAGTCCATGGATTACAAACTCTTATCTGTGCCCTGTAATATCTTTATGAAAAATTAAATTACCTTTTACTGAAAAATTGCTACAGAGTTTAAAACATATGGACCTGGAATCTCTATTTGAGGATTTTAGTGATCTTGATAGTATACCAAGGCATTAGTGATGGACCATGTGTCTTTTCCTAAGCCTGTTTTGCTCTGGCAGAAGGTACAGAAAGAATGCATGGTTCCTGAAATTTGGGGAGGGTAGGCAGAGCAGACAACAGCCTGTGCCGCAGAGAGGAGAGATAATCTCTACGTGGCATGATGCAGAATTCGTGGCTGGGAGGGCTGCAGGCGAACTTGGCTGGCTTTCAGAATGGACTTCTCTTAACAGACACAGAGGAAGTTGTTAATTCTTAATAATACTAATAACAATAGCAGAACAGCTGCTTCCTCAATTATGGTACAGGGTGTTTCATTCTATCATCTAGTCTTGTGCAGCTGCAACACCAGCATACCAGGACAATTCCATCAAAAGTACCAACTTCACATTTAAAGAGGTGAGAAAATGAATCTATCAAAATGTCTCCTTGATTTGGACATCAATACATTGGAATGTGTGGTGAGGGTTAGGCTGATGTTCCCCTTTGCTTGGCAAACTGCCTCTTCATTGATAATGCAAATTATGACTGCAAACGGCATCTCTGGGGGGTATTTAAAGTGCTTAAGGGAACATGCTGCACACTTCAGAAGCGCTCCTTTTATATGCAATTAGTCTGTTCATGACACATCATTCTTATCATTCATTAAAGTAAGTCCCTGGCTTAGTTGGATGCATTTTATGGATTTATAGTATCACAGGAGCTCAGAACTGGCTAGGGCCTAAAGGTCATCAAGCTCACGACTCCTCTGTGGGTCATCCACATCCAACATCCAATATCCAACATCCGTGCCTGGGCTACTTGCATTTCTGCCCCAGTCCAGTGAGAGGCCACTCTGGATCTCCTCAGGCAGCCCTTGGAAAGATCACAAACTCTGGAGTGGTGAGGACCTGGATCAAATCCCAGCTTCATCCTTTACCAGTTACAGGAGCCTCTGTTCCCTTATGAGGGTTGTGTGTGCTGTGCCTGGCATATGGCATATTTTTTTGAGACTCTTTTAGCTCCAAAAGAGACTGATGGTAGATTAGTGGTTGCCAGGGAGCAGGGGGTGACTATAAATGAATGTGAGGTTTCTTTTTGGCTAATGGAAATCTTCTCCAGTTAGATTGTGATGATGGTCGCATAACTGTGAAAATTTACTTAAGTCATTGAATTGTACATGCAACACAAGTGAATTTTATTACATGTAAATTATGCCCCCATAAAGCTGTTAAAAAAAGATAAAAAATATCTAGCAACATTTTTTTTAATTACAAAAATACCCAAGGTGCTAAGCATAGTATACATAAGATAAAAGCTAATTTGGGGTGTTGCAGGAGGAAGTATATGCAGTTAATGAGCAAAAATAATTTTAGGGAATCATCTGCTTCGTATTCTCAAAAAAAATTAAAGAAAAATTGTCTCTAGGAAAGATAATTAAAGGTAAGATCATAGAACAGACTGGGGAAAATTGAGTATAGATCCCAAATCCCTTTAAAGAAATCCATGAGACCAATCTGTTTAAGAATGCAGGATTTTTTGACTTTTAGAAAGGTAATATGGGGCATTTTCCATAATTACATAACACCCCCAACAGGGTATGTGGCAGCATCTCATAATTAAACATATTAATATTTCTTTAGTGAAATGTATGAATATTCATATTAAGTAGGATAAATGCAAGGCTATAAACAGACTCAGGTCAGCTCAGGTCCGGATTTGCCATCCAGTGAGTTTGCTACAAACTTCAGAGTATGCTTGGCTTGCCAGACTTTTGGATCTCAGGATTGGAGAACTGGGGCTGTGGTTCATATTGTTATCACACACATCATGACCTTGCCTTTCCTTTCTCTCCTTCTTTCTCCATGTCATAACTCTAGGGACTGGGACAGTCTCTCCCAAGGGAGAGCCTGAAGTTGGGGACCAAGCTTGAGGTTAGATTGGAATTTTTTGCTCTGTCACTACTGAGCTTAGATGAGAGTGAGCTAGTGAATGAAAAACAGAGTAAAATGGAAATTTAAAATTGGAAATATTGTCCAGGATGAGATGGACAAAGAGGAAAGAACCAAACGTTTTTTTAACATAGGATAACAGATAGATAGTGTACCCTTAAATAATAGCACAGAAGCACAGGCAGCAGAAAAAGATAATTTTCAGGTTAGATTCATTAATAAATTCTGTATTATTTACTTGGTTTGTTTTCTATTTGCTTATTTCAAACTTACTTTGCAGAAGTTTTTGAATCTTGCAAATGATTTACCACCTGTCCTTTAAACTCTTTGATGCACACTCTGTGAGTGGCCCCATCCTTCCATCTCCCCTATGGGACCCTGGCCCAACAGGAGTCCAGGGTACTTGTCACCATGCTCAAGAAAGTGTGGCAGCCGGGTGCAGTGGCTCACGCCTGTAATCCTGGCACTTTGGGAGGCCGAGGCGGGCGGATCACGAGGTCAGGAGATCGAGACCATCCTGGCTAACACGGTGAAATCCCGTCTCTAGTAAAAATATAAAAAACTAGCCGGGCGTGGTGGCAGGCACCTGTAGTCCCAGCTACTCGGGAGGCTGAGGCAGGAGAATGGCGTGAACCCAGGAGGTGGAGCTTGCAGTGAGCCGAGATCACGCGGCTGTACTCCAGCCTGGGCGACAGAGCGAGACTCCATCTCAAAAAGAATAAAAAATAAAATAAATAAAGTGTGGTGATAAGTGATGTGACCACAGTCTAGTGACAGTGATGTGACAGCCTACCATGGCCAGGTGGACCATAATGTACATCCCTGAGTTTCAGAGGAGCCCTGTTCCACTAGACTCCAAACTCCTTGAGGGCAGAGACTTTGTCAATGTTCTCTCTCCAGACCCCAATGAGCTGCTCAAAAAACACATGTGGATTAATCAAATATATGACAGGTCAAATAAATCAAATAACAAATAAAAGCAGTTTGATAGTTTACTATCTTGCTGATTGCCAACCCTTGCTCTAGGATCAAAAAATAGTTCATAGGAAGGGTGCTTTTCCTTGGGGTCTCCTCCTTCTCCCTCAAGTGATATGGGTTCTTTGAAGCATCTGTTTCTCTTTGTTGGGTTGATATCCCGCAGCCATAGCTGCTGGAGGCAAGCTGACCCTGGGGATGAATGGAACGGTATGCTCTCTTCCTAAAAAATGAACATAGCTTCTTTTTTATATGTAATTATTTAATGACACAGGAAATTTACATGTTATGAAACAAGCTGATTACAAGTAGTAGATAGAAGATTACTTCATTTTTGATAAAAAAAATTAAAGAGCATGAACAGGCATATAAAAATTAGATTATGTACAAAATACCAATAGTGTTTACTTCTACTCAGTAATTAAATATTCTTCCCTTTTCATCTTTTTAGAAACATTATTTCTGAAATAAAAAAGGAAAACATGATCCCGGAGAGAGTTATTACACACCAGAAATTAGGAATCCAAGAAACCAAGCCAGGAGCCCAGCAGTCAAGGTTGGAAACCCAAGACAGGAGCCCGACAGTCAAGGTTGGAAACCCAAGACAGGAGCCCGACAGTCAAGGTTGGAAACAAAAGACAGGTCCAGCCAGGGTGATGACGGTCAAGCCCAGAAATGAAGATTGTTCTCTTCTTTTCCTACTGGAATGTTCTTTACCAAACAGTTCCCTCTACATTTAATCTTCTCAGTGCACTTACGTTTAATGGGATCCTATGATTAACCGGCACAAGAGCAAAATGATTCTAGCAACTTTAGTTTTAAATTGCTACAAAATGTACTATTTTGTAGTTACATACTATACAAAACACACTTGAAATCAAGTGCTCCTACAACAAAAAAACCCATCTGACTAAATCACCAATTTTGGTGTTTTTTTTTGTAATTTTGTTCATTTTCAATCTTCATAGCAAATGCATTTTTTTGCTTCGGGGCCTAGAAGAGGTAATTTTTCTCAAAAATAAGCTAACATTAATATGTGCTGGGCACTATCTGATGGCTTGGCTTTAAGTCCAAGGTAGTTGGCGGCCTTGTCTTCTAAGTACTCTGTAGAGTGAAAAGGCTTACCAAAATCCAAACCACCTTGAAATAAAGAAATCCGAATTAGGAGCATCACCATTCTTTGTGTTTTTTTAAAGTCTTTGCTATGTTACCAAATGAAGAAATGCAGTATATTACACCTCTATCGATGGAAATGAAGCACTATATTACACCTTTATTGATGGAAATGAGGCTCAACCATCTCAATTTCACCGTTTTCCTACCCCCCACCTGTCGAATGTTATGACAGCTAGTGACACTTTATACAAAACACCTGAGAAAGGCTCATTGCTTTAAAATCAAAAATCTATAAAAGCAATGCCACCCTAATCCTAAGGTGCTTCTTAGGTATTTCCCAAATCTCTTTGCTCTTTTATACTGCAGCATTTTCAGGAGGAGTCATGAGATACTGTCAAGGTTCATGAAATAACTAAAAATGAAAAATAACCTTAGACTCTTCTCTGCATTACCACCAGCTGCCTGGTACACTAGGTCACCTTTTACAGGAGTTACATTAAAACAATAATGTACATTGGTGTGTATGTGGTTGGGGGGATATTTAAAATATTATATAATCACAAGAAAGACCAGAGATTTATTGCTTTGCCCTTGGGCAACTAAGAAATTTAAAGCCTGTTTTATATCCCAAAAATAAAAAAGAGACTTGATAGAAGTAACAGTGCTCAGTGCTTGCAACCCAAGTCAATTTACAGAAATCTTGTTTAAATTCAAGGGGGAAAAAATTCATTTTAGGACGAAGTTATTCAAGATGAAAGAAAGGCGTGTCTTCAGTGAGAGAACTGTCTGCTGTCAGATGATTTCTTGCTAACGTGTTTAAAGATTTTGGACTTCTCAACTTTCTTGGTTTTCTGGTAGCCAAATTCACCACTGCCTCCTCACTTTTTCTGCTTGCCTTCATTGCTGTTGATGTTCAGATCAACAGAGGGAGGCACCTTGAAACCAGATGACAGAGCAACTTATCATTAAAGATCTGTTTTAGAGAATGGGAATCCTAGGCTCGTGTGTATGACTTATATGCTTCCTGGGCTGCCTTATGAAGAAAGCAGTTCTTTTCAATTAATTTCTCAAGCTGAGACTGAATGTCAGAAATTTTAGACCAGGAAAAGTCAAATTCACTTAATGGAAACTTGGATTGTTTCAAGTAGTGAAGGAACCCCATTTCTTCTGGGCACAAAATGAGCAAGACATGACCTCTCCCATTTAGACCTCTGGCTGTTCTGCTTACACGATGAATATATTCCTTAGGGTCATCCAGAGGGTCATGCTGAACGATCCAGTCGACTTCAGGAATGTCCAGTCCTCTTGCTGCCACATCCATACACAATAGTATTCCTGAATCTGCTTTGCAGAACTGGAAGAATGTGGTTGTACCCTTATTTTGCTTTTGCTTTCCATGAATGGCCAAGATGGGCAAATCCATGTAATTTAGCAACTCATAGTGATATTTCACAGACATAGAAGATGAAAAGAAGACCATAATCTTCCTCTTTCGGTTCTTCTTAAGGACAGCAAAGGGCAGAAGGAATCTTTTTTCAGAGGGACAAACAACGTATCCCTGCTCAAGACCATCCACTGTTGCATTAGCTTTACCATCATCGCCAACATACAATGGCTCCTTTTTTCAGAGAAATCCTTGCCAGGTCTTCAACTTTTCGAGTTTGGGTGGCAGATAAGAGCATAGTGTGTCTGCATGTTGGCAAAAGTTTAATAATTTGCTTTAATTCCTCTTCAAACCCAACATCCAAGATTCTATCAGCTTCATCAATAACCAAATATTGTAGGTTTTTATACATAAACCCTGGTGTATTCTGCATATAGTCAAGCAGATGGCCTGGTGTGGCCACAATGATGTTAATCCCATTAGCAAGTTTCTGTGCTTCAGCAGATGTGTTATCGCCACCCATTATCAACCCATAGGTATGCATGTGGTGAGTATTAGCTCCTTAAGACCACCAAAAATTTGCATGGCTAGTTCTCTAGTAGGTGAGAGAATAAAGACCCCTGGTCTATTCGTGGGCATGAACTTTAACTTAACAGTGAGTTCAACTGCAGGAATGAGAAAAGCCAGGGTTTACCACTGCCTGTTTTTGCAGCTGCTAGAAGATCCCTGCCTTCCAGGAGTGATCTGATGGTTTTATGCTGAATTTCAGTCATGTTCATAAAGCTCATTTCTTTTATTGCCTTCAAAGTGTTTTCATTGACAAGATTAGATAGAGAAGCAAATGAAGTATCGTCAAAAGCTCCTGTCAGTCTCAGGCGCAGGCTGGGCACCTCACGGTTATCTTCCTCATTATCTGGCTTCTCCAGATTATTTTCTGTTTCTTTGGGAGTCTTGGCACTTTCTTCTTTAGATTCCCCTTTGTTTTCAGTTTTTGCTTTTTTTTACATCAGGCCCAGCATCATTCACCATTTTTCCCTTTTTCTTCTTTTTCTTTTTTGATTCTGAATTGGGAGACTGCATTGCTGTCTCTCCGTTTGTTAATACAATGGATTTCTGAGGAGATTTTTGAACTTTTACATTTTCCACTGTTTCTTGAGACACATCTCCATCTTGAGCTTCTGATAACCCCACATTCACAGAACGTTTTGATTTTTTAACCTTTCCACCTCCCATCGTTTCTTCAGACACACCTCCGTTTTGAGTTTCTGATAGGGTCAGATTTGAGGCCCCCGGCAACTTTAGGTTCCGGTGTGCATTTTGAGGTTCTGCTTCTTGATCTTCTTGCTCAGGAGTTTCATCAGCAGGTGAGACATGCTGTCCAAGAAGTGCCAAGACCACAGTGCCACACAGTATGGCTACTCAGCTCTCAGGGCTCATGTTGCACACAGCTTCTTAATACCTCACTCTCATTCAGGGAGTCACTAACCAAAGGCAACACTAGAACAGAGTGTGCACTTTTATCTTCAGGATATTCCCATCACCCTGACCAAGTTCACTAAGTTATAGGGCAAGGCAGATCTTAATTTTCTACATGAGAAGTGTTTAGAGACTAGAGTGGGGGCAGGTAGGGGACTTGTGTTGATGCCAAATCTCCACAGCAAGCAAATAATTTGTGCTTTCACTGTCTATTTATCTGGGTTGTCTTGGAGACACTGATGAAACTAGAGAGACTGTTGAGGCCTCCCCAGCCAAGCTGTGGCTGCTGCTTTAGAGAAAAGCAGCCTACTCCATTCACAGGCCAAAGGCATTTAGATAGAGTGCCATTATTCAAAGTATCAGCTTTTTCCTTTGAGTTTTGTTTACCTTATCACCATGCCCCCCTACACTCATAAACTCCCAATTTCATAGGCTCTCAGATTCAGACGAGGCCCTTAAGAAGAAAACACCCACCTGTGGTTTTAATACACTCTCTAACGTAAACTCCAGGATGGGAAAGCTAACATTTATAGGGTTCCTGATATATGTCAGGCATTTAATGCATATACATACACTTTATTGATATTATTGCATATCCTTACAACTACTCTGCTCAATCTTCCCCTCCTTTCTGTGGACAAGAAAACCGGGAGTCAGAAACATCCTGTGGCTTCCATGAGGCACACAGTTAGTAAGCGTTAGAATGAGATAAAAACCCAGAGAAACTCCTAGGTCTGTGTTCCTTCACTAAGTCTGAGACCCCATGGCCTGCCAAGGGGCTGAGTGAAAATTGCTGTCCTTGAAGGTTTTGCCCATTGCCTGTGTGCCTGGTTCCAGGAGGCCTCAGAGCTCAGAGGGAACTACTGTTGTTCAGGCCAGCCCTCCAGGAGTGAGGATGGATCCAGGTGTCTCCCTGCGATGAGGACAGCAGGGTGTACTGCTTGGACAGGCTCTGATCTATAGAACATGTGTATTTTATGCCAGAAACATTTTCATATTGAGGACAGCAGGGTGAGGACAGTGTGAGGTGAGGGGAGATAACCACCAATACATGCAGATGGTACAAGCAGTTGATTATTTGGTGGCTGCAAAAGTGGGAGAGAAATAGCTTCGTCTTTTGAGATCTATGATTCTGAAGCTTGTACCTGAAAAAGCTGCTCATCTCTGTTCCTCGACTTCTGAGAGGAGAGTCTTTTTAGGTGGAAGACAGACAGGTCCGTACAGGATGGACTGGGAAAACCTCCTGCCCTCCCTACCTGCCCCTCTGACTACCAGAGCCACAGATACCTATCATTTTCCTACCTTCCTTCCTTCCTTCCTTCCTTCCTTCCTTCCTTCCTTCCTTCCCTCCCTCCCTTTCTTTCTTTTCCTTCCTTCCTTCCCTCCCTCCCTCCTTTCTTTTCCTTTCCTTTCCCTTCCTTTCCTTTCCTTTCCTTCTTTTCTTTCTTTCTCTTTCTTTCTTTCTTTCTTTCTTTCTTTCTTTCTTTCTTTCTTTCTTTCTTTCTTTCTTTCTTCTTTCTTTCTTTGTTCCTTCCTTCCTTCCTTTCCTTTTTTTGTTTCGTTCTTTCCTTTTTCTCCCCCTTCCACACAGCATTGCATTGGAGGACAAATTCCAGTGAACTTGGAATCTACAAGTCTGGGTTCAGGTGTAGTTCTGAGATTCACCATTGGGGTGATCTTTGCTAAGTTACTGCAGCTTCTTGAGACTCAGTCACCTCCCTTCTGGAAGGAGGATTAGAATGACCACAGCACCCAGTGGTAATTATTGGACTACAGGAGGAAGTACTCTGGAACCACAGATACTTTGAAACACAAGGGATGATTATTCCATGAGTGGAAGGAATGGGAAGCACCACAGTCCCGGGCTTATTTCAGGGGTTCTTTGAACATGCTCAAATATTATCTTACACAGTCCATGAGCCTGGCCTGCCATGAGGGCTTGAAAAGATGTCATCTGAGGCTTTCATTTGCCATTTAGTCATGAAGAGGGAGGACAGGACCTGGGAACACTGTTTTGGGTAATAGTATTGAAAGACTTCCATTCATCTTGTGTGGATAGAAACACATTAGGTAAGTTATTAAACTAAGTAAACGTAAGCAATGATACATCCATTCAGTAAGTTACCATGCAGCTATAGAAAATGATGTTGTAGAATATTTAATGACATGGAAAGGTCATCCCAATATTTTTAAGTGAAATAAGCTGGTCACAAAACAGAATATACATTATAATCCTTTTGCAAGCCACATAGATTTACATGGGGAAGGATATATCCCAACCTCTTTGCTTTTGCTATCTCTAGTCAATAGAACTGTGAGTGAATGTTATTTCTTTTTGCTTGTTGGTGCTTTTTCCAATTTTGTACAATAAAGATGTATTGCCTTTTTAATAAAAATATTTTTAACATAAATAAGTTCAAAGAAGTCCAAATCAGCTCATTCACTCCTTTCTCATTTCCAGAGCATTGTGCTCAGCCCAATTACCTTCTTTCAGTTTATCCACTCTCTAGCGGCTTCATGGCTGCATGTCTTGTAAATAAACAGCATTCTTACCCATGAATTCTAAGAGATCCAGCCCTATCTCAGCGTCTGCTGGGAAGTAAATCACTCCCCTGGAAATCACTATCTGCAGAAAGTTCGCAGATAGGCAGCATCAACAATTCTACATAGGGCTGGTTCTGAAACCTGGTAGAAATTCTCAGCCATATTTATAATGCACATATGGATACATTTCCATGGGAGCAAAGGCGATTAGTAACCATTCTTTACAACGCACATATTTGTGCATGCATATGTATTTACACTTGGCAAATTATGAATTCACAGTGGCTATTAATATAGATGGAATCTACATAGAGTGATGGAAGTGGGGTTTAGAAAAAGGCAAGTGGACTGAGAATAAAATACGTGCTCTGGCTATCCTCTGCAACTTGTTCAAGGCCGGTTAGCTGAATGTATCTCAGTTTACTCAGCCACGTGGGAGCCATGCTTGGCTCAGCGATGCCAGCAAAAACCTTTAAATCAGACAGAACTGAGTTTGAATTCCAGCTATGTGCCTTGGTGGTTATGTGTCCTTAGGTGACTTACTTAACTTTGTGAACCTTGGTTTTCCTCTCTGCCCAATAGGCAATAAGGGCTACCTCATGAGGTGTTATGCCTGGCATATAGGAAGTCTTGTGCAAAAGACAGGGAGAATACCCTGGGAATTGCATCTTTCATTGGAATGGAAGAGAACTGGGTTCTTTTTCATTGCCTCATTGAAGTTCTACAGAGTGCTGCACAGGCACAATGTTGAAGTATCAGCAACAAAGTGCATTGCATCACCTGGTATGCACCTCCCACGAAAGAATCTCGGCTGGGCGTGGTGGCTCATGCCTGTAATCCCAGCACTTTGGGAGGGCGAGCTGGGCGGATCACCTGAGGTTACGAGTTTGAGACCAGCCTGACCAAAATGGTGAAACCCTGTCTCTACTAAAAATACAAAAATTAGCCGGGCGTGGTGGCAGGTGCCTGTAGTCCCAGCTACCCAGGAGACTGAGAAAGGAGAATTGCTTGAACCTGGGAGGTGGAGGTTGCAGTGAGCTGAGATCGTGCCATGGCACTCCAGCCTGGGCGACAGAGCGAGACTCATATATTCAGCCGCATCAAGCAACAACCTACTGTGGAGTTATGATTGATCATGGAGCTTCCTCTTTCCAGCAATGAAATTTTAAATGCTGACAATTCTAGCGAAAAATATTTCTAAAATGTACTTTACAATAATTACCCATTATCCTGACTTTTTAAGCTAAACATGCTGACTTGCAGGTAACCATTCATTGATGTCTCAGTTCCCCATTATTATGCCATGGGGTGGCAGCTCGCTACCTGTGCTAGAGTATGCAACCCCTCCCTTCCTAGGCTCTAGTTGTTTCTTTTGTTGCTACTGCACCTACCTTGAAAAGTGCTCCTATCACCTAGCTGCAATAAAATCAGTGCTATAGGATTATCTAGTGCAAACTCCCTCTTTGAGAAATAAGAAGCAAATTTGGAGAGGTGAACAGATACAATGAAGATAAGGTCTCAAGGTATTTGATCGACTATGGATTAGAGAACTGAGTAAAAATTCTGAATAGCAATTGCAAGGTAAATAAAAATCAGTAAGGATCATTGTGAAAGTCTTCTAAAAGAAGCACATGGCTGGAGTCCAGCACTGTACAGCACTTCCTTTTCAGAGACCCTCAGAAATCTTTTCCGTACACCTTTGGGATCAAGAGGGGTGGGAAACTGACCTCCAAATAAAAGAAGTTGTCCATACGCACATGTGTGCACACATGCACATTCTATATATGCACACACAGAGACACACCCATACACAAACAGAGGGTGGGACTGGGTACCTATACAGGCTGGTTCAACAAAATAAGCCCTATTTAACCCCTATTGGCTTAAACAGGTCTTGTTTTAAACGATGCACTTTGAGATAACCCGCAGGAGATCTGTGCACTGAATGTGTTAAAGGGCTTGAGAGATCTACACCAGAGGGTAGTCAAATCCTTATTCTCATTTCCTGCCTGTTCCTGCAGCAACTGCTTTGAATGCCTATTGGAGAAACATGCCTTTCTCCCCAATACCACAGAATGCCTGCTAGCAAAGGAACAAATACGAAAACTTTAACAGCATCTCAAGAGTGTTCCCCCTTTGCTCCTCACCAACTACCGACAATCAATGTAAAAGTAATCCTAGTTTTTATTTGAAGCTATCTTGGCTTTAAAAGAACCTTCCAAAAAATGATTGATGTGATGAATTAAACCCATAGGTAACCCCTGAAATCTGCTTTGAATAGCAAGAAATTCCTAACAATATCTTCAACGCCTGCAACAACGAAATCTAATCTCTGAACTCCTAAAGGTCAAGATTTGCTGTCTGGTAGCACGGCTCAAGAGTAAATGCTCCCTAATGCTGTGCTAGGCAATTGCTTTGCACTCCAGACAATGTCAATTTTGTCCAAGTAGCTGCAGATGTGTCTAGCATTAAGTCAGAATGGTGTCAAGGGCCCTTCTTGAACACTGGCTGATTCTCAGAGAAACTGGTCCTAAAGCCCTAGTCTATTACAGCCCATGCCCAAAAGACAGATATTTAGAGCTTAAAGGAGGATGGAGAATAAAGCTGCATTAGATTTTTTAATGTTTCTGAATCAGGAGACCCAGGGGAAGAAATTCTCCCGTGATCCAAATGTCCTTCCCTCCCCCTCCCCACCAGCAGCCCTTTGGATTTCCTGATTAAGGTACTGCACAGTATCTATGAAGGCCTACCCTTGAGCTACTTTCCTGATAAACCATTCATCACTGCTCTGGCCAATTCTAGCTATGGAAAAGCTATAACAGACTAATGAACTCATTAAATTAAGAAATGTATGTTACAAGAAGTAATGTGCCAAGAGAAGGCGTGGGGGTAGGGTGGAGGGAGCAGAGATTGAACCAACCTCTAAGCAGAGTACTTAACATAATGAAGTCTGCAAATGCATCAGCCCCTTAATCCCCAATCCTGCAAGGAAGACAGTCCTCCACCCCCCGACAACTATGCTTCTGTAGTTTAACGTGTCCCCCCAACCCCCACTTTTTAAAGCAGGAAAACATTATAACTGATTTGAAGACATACTTAAACTAGAATATCTGGATGGAGGTATTTTGGTTTTAAAAATTAATAAGAGCCAGAGGAAGGTATTTTCCTTTTTAAAATTGATAGGGAGTATAAACAAAATAATATTTCTCACGTTGCACTGGGAAACCCATTCACCTTTTCCCACCTATCTATCACCAGTAGTACCTCCGCTACTCTGAAGCAATTCATTTTTAATTCCTTTCCTCCTGTGTTCTCTTCATCTGCTGTAAGCCTTAAAATAAGAAAAAAGTCTACCTGGAGCAGGTTGCCATGAGTTCCATAAGCATGCCTTGCCAGATTGTAGAGGAAACAGTTCTTAAGACAGGGAAATCAGAATGTTGCTTTTTTCTGTGTCAAATAAAAGACTGTGTTGTCTTTGGCAACACATCTCACATTTTCACTTGGCAGCATCCATAACCCAGAAGGACGGAACATGCCACGTAGTTTCCTAAACTTTCCCCAGTCTACTCCTTGGTAACAGATATGTAACAAGTGGCAGAGGTTACAAATGATTCACTCTGGACTGTCTCTGCTGAAAACCACAGTGCATTTCACAGATGGAATGCCATTTGTTCTGTGAAATCAGCAAAGAAGACAAGCCTTGTTTTTCTGCATCTGGAAATATGTTATAGAAAACCCAGGGTTTGATTTTCTTCTTTACCTCTCCTTTGATTGCATCAGGCTTTTGGCCCTTCTTTACTGCCAATAACTTGCACTGGATGTCAAGTATCACCTGGGAGGGATACTAATTTAAACCAGGGTTGTAAACTGCAGAACCCAGGCAGGCAACACAAGTGACTGGAAAGAGCAGGCATAACACAACTGTGAGTGTGGAACTGGGTGAGCTGGAGGCAGTAGTTCTTCATCTTCAGCCAAGTGTTGCTGGGTAGAAATGCTTGTTTGCATTGCTGGATCATCCAATTTTTTTAAGAGAAGAGAGAAATTGGATTTTATTGTGGATGAAATTTCCAAATTGTTGAATATTGGCTCAATTTTTTTAAAACATGGTATAGGCAAATAAAACTTGGCTGCTTAACAGATCTAGCCCTTGGAATGCCAGATGTGATCCCTGCTTTAAACACATTTACACCTCCGCTCAAATGGGAAGTCACCTGATTGATTAGAAATGTTGGTAGGGAGGTCAAGAGTGTTGCAGAGACAGCATGAGATCTGCCTATAATTGGATGGGCCAACTGGAGGAAAATCCAACCTGCATGTTGAGTCAATCCCAGGATTTGATGTAAGGGAACAAGTCCAAAGGCCTCTTATTCTAAAATTGGGGGGATGAGGGTAATTAGTGCCAAAACAGGTCAAAAACTAGGAGATGTGGATAAAGAGGCTAAGTAGGTGAATTGTGAGTGCAGATTGCTCAAGGTCTAAACCAGGGATGCTAAATTGGATTCCTCGCACCTGCCAAGTCCAATTGACTAGGCTGATAGCTGTCAGGAAGGCCGGGAGGCTGAAAGGAAAGCATACTAAGGATAGGGGAGTCTTGAGTGCAGTTATCTTGCCAACCCTGGTCTGAAAAAGCCCAAGATTTGAGGGACTACCATACATTTAGCTCTCTTCCAAGCAGGCAGGGGTTCCAGGTCTGCGTACAAGACAGCAACATAAACACTGGCCTGCTTTGTATCTTTAAGTCATGTTTATAGAGATTCTATAGGCTACATCAGAATTGGAATTTACATCATGCATTTGGAAACAACAAAGAACATTTATCATACTGGAAGAAAGAGTTTAAAATACAGATTCTAAACTGAATGACTCAGTATTAAAAGAAAAATATTAAAAGATATAAAATTTTTCTTTTATATCACTTTAATACATATAAGTGATAACATATATGAGAATCTATCTGCCCACACTTGGCCTTTAATATTTAAATATTAGGGCCAGGCATCGTGGCTCACGCCTGTAATCCCAGCACTTTGGGAGGCTGAAGTGGGTGGATCACAGGGTCAGGAGTTCGAGACCAGCCTGGCCAATATGGTGAAATCCTGTCTCTACTAAAAAAAATACAAAGAATTAGCCAGGCATGGTGGTGGGCGCTTGTAATCCCAGTTACATTGGAGGCTGAGACAGGAGAATCGCTTGAACCTGGGAGGCGGAGGTTGCAGTGAGCTGAGATCACGCCACTGCACTCCATCCTGGGTGACAGGGCGAGACTCTGTCTCAAAAAAAAAAAAATTAAATATTAGGATTACATGAGCCTTGTTTCCACTGTTTGAAAATCCACCGAAGTGTATGCAGTGGTATGCTACTCAAATTCCCCTTCAGGACCTAGCAATTCACTTTCCCAGCTGCTGGGAGTGTTGGCTACTGATGGCTCACAGCTGAGTCCTCTCCAGAAACTGTCATCAGCCACAGGCTCCTTGGGGCAGCTGCCATTCAAAGGTGGTCAAAGGAGGCTATAACCTCCTTACCTCAATTGGGACAATGCTGAAGGACCATCCATGTTCCAAAGCTCCCAAAATATCACTACATGGCAGTTTACCTTTCTCCTTTGCCCGATTCTGCCTCCTTCATTCCCTGCTCTGTACATAAATCTCAGAGTCTCAGAATCTGTTTCCCGGGAAACTGACCTACAACAAGGACCTAATTGAAATGTAGGCATATAATAGAATACCAAAGATTCTGTATGTCAGGCTAATTTTAAATGACTTTCACAATGATGAAATAAAATTGCAGATTTAGGGAAGCAAGAAATAAATTATGTGAAGTTTAATGAAAACATTTCCATTTGTCAATAGCATTTAGCTTTACCTATGAGTAGGGCATGTATGTCATTTTGATTTGTCTAGGATGCCGCCCTGTTTCTTTGGGGGACTTCTCTGCACTCCAGTTATCAGTGCTGAAGAGCAAGTGCCAATTGTGATGCCCAGCTTTCTGAAGACAGGAGTAGGCAAGTGAGCATGGTCTGGCCATACCCTGTCTATTCAGATTAGGCCAAGAGAAGGGCATGTGACCAAGACTGAGCTAATTAGAGTCATTTCATGAGATTTAATAGAACACACCAAGAAAGACAGACTTTTTTTTCCCCTCTTACATCATGGGCTATGATAATGTAAGCCTGGAGTGCCTAGGTAACTGTGGACCTCAATGCGCATCTACAGTGGAAGAGAGTAAGGCCACCCCATCGGGAGAAGCAGAGCCAAGAGATAAAGAAAAAGATGGCAATGCTGTTTATGCCCTTGGGTCCTACTGTGTTTGTAGTCAAAACCAAACTTGGACATCTCAGTTACATGAACCACAACCATTTTTCCATTCTGCATAAGCTATGTTGAGTTGAGACATACATCACTTGAAACTGCAAGACTCCTGACTCTTTCACTGCACTAATCGTTCAGTCAGAGACAGATTAAAACAAAGATAAGGCCAGGCGCGGTGGCTCACGCCTGTAATCCCAGCCCTTTGGGAGGCCGAGGCGGGCGGATCACGAGGTCAGGAAATGGAGAGCATCCTGGCTAACATGGTGAAACCCCGTCTCCACTAAAAATACAAAAAAGAAAATTAGCCAGGCGTGGTGGCAGGCGCCTGTAGTCCCAGAGTCCTAGCTACTTGGGAGGCTGAGGCAGGAGAATGGCGTGAACCTGGGAGGCGGAGCTTGCAGTAGCCGAGACTGTGCCACTGCACTCCAACCTGGGCGACAGAGCGAGACTCTGTCTCAAAAAATAAACAAACAAACAAACAAACAAAAAACAAAGATAAATAATGACCCTATGGGATAATAGCAAAACAGAGGTCCCTAGCATCAGGAGCCAAGAGCTCTACTAAATTTCCACAAAGTAATGCATCCATGAAACAGACAGGATGCATTTTGGGGGAACTTCTTTGTCAAAAAAAAAAAAAAAAAAAACAAATCTAGAAGCAGAATTAATATAGGCAGAATATAGGATAGATAGAATAGTGACAGAAATAAAATGGGGTTTGCAATGTAAAAAAAATCAACTGATGACTCCCGAAAATAAAAACAAATGGGAAAAAAAAATTGCACCTGGTATTCTTGGAGGAGAGGAAACAGTGTTGAGTTAAGGTCAGGAGAGATGGAGGAGGGAGGCCTGATCTGGGCTCAGGCAGAGAAGTCTGATGGTGGGGAGGCCGTGTGGGGCCTGGCAGTCTGGAGGAAGGGATTGGCTGACTCACATTAGTGCAGGGGGCTTCCAGGTCAAGGAGGAAGCAGGTGATTGGTTTACCCACATCCCACAATTCCTAAGCAGCGGCTGATTAGCTGTGAAGCTAACAAAGATTAAGCTTTGAGGGCCCTCACTTGCAAAATCCCTTCCAAGATCCTGTGAGGGGCTCTTGCAATTTGTTCCCATGGTCATATGTGCTTGTAACATTTGCATAACAAGTGGTTAAGTCACTTACTGTTTCTAACCTAATTTTCCCTGTATCCTACTGCCCCTCATGATGTGTGGTGTTAAAGTGGTCACGAGCATCTTGGGGGATCCAGCTAAAAGGAAGTTGATTTGGAGATCCATTTAAGTTGGGTTCTGTGGATCATATTAATGTAGTTCATGGTCTCTTCTATGTAGTTAAGATATTGCTTGCCATCCTGGTATAGGGTTGTCTTCCAGGAATGCTACTACCCAGGAATGCTAATGCTACTGTTACTCACTTTGCTGGCTTATAAAGATGCAGAGCAAGAGATGCTAGAGCAAGGCCAGGCACAGTGGCTCACGCCTGTAATCCCAGCAGTTTGGGAGGCTGAGGCGAGTGGATCACTTGAGGTCAGGAGTTTGAGACCAGCCTGGCCAACATGGTGAAACCCCATTTCTACTAGAAATACAAAAATTAGCCAGGCTTGGTGGCGTGCACCCATAATCCCAGCTGCTCGGGAGGCTGAGGCAGGAGAATCGCTTGAGCCCAGGAAGCGGAGGTTGCAGTGAGCCAAGATCAAGCCACTGCACTCCAGCCTGGGTGACCGGGCAAGACTCTGTCTCAAATAAATAAATAAATAAATAAATAAATAAATACAATACTAAAAATCTATGTGATGTTATCAATTATAATTTATAAAGATAAAAAAATTCAAAATAGACAATAAGTGAAATTCTTTCTACCAACCATATTAAAGACTGAATTATCTCTGTGGTTTCTATATAGAAAATATTACAAAATTGTCACTTGAGAAGGCAATGAAAATGTATGCAGCTGGCAAATATTGGGGAGAAAATATAGAAACACATGAAGCACACAGTGATGAGCTTAATCAATGTGACGCTTGTGGTTTTTGTTGGTATTTAACATTTTGTTGCTTATTTTTATTTATATTGTTATTCTAAATAAATACAGTTGATCCTTGAAAAACACAGACTTGAATTGTGCAGGCCACTTATATGTGGAGCGTTTTTCAATGAATGTATTGGAAAATTTTTTGGAGACTTGAGACAATTTGAAAAAACTCACAGATGAACAACTACTCCTGAGACAGCAGATCAACCTCTCCTCTCCCTCCTCCTCAGCCTACTCAACAAGAAGACAGTGATGATGAAGCCCTTTATGATGATCATAATCCACTTTTATTTAATGAATAGTAAATACATTTTCTCCTCCTTATGATTTTCTTAACGTTTTCTTTTCTCTAAATTACTTTATTATAAGAATACAGTATATAATACATATAAACATACAAAATACATGTTAATTGACTGTTTATGTTATCGGTAAGGTTCCAGTCAAGAATAAGCCATTAGTAGTTAATTTTCTGGGGAGTCAAAAGTTATACATGGATTTTTTGTATTACACAGGGGTCGACACTGTTTGAGGGTTAGCTGTATATACCCACTCATGCCTAATTTTGTGTCTGTAGTTTTGTGTTTTTTCACAGGGCCCTTCCCCTTCCCCACCCCACCCCACCCAAGAATGTGTAAGCTTTCTTCAAGCCCCACAAAATCTGCCCCTGCGGTTGGACTTCCTCCACTGGACAAGGGACAAAGGTCAGAGGGGAAGACATCTTGAACCAGCCCTCCTAGCCCCACCCAGCGACCTTGACAAGGATCTAAATTTTTGTAATCTGCATTAATTATCAGTTGATGAAGTTTTATATTATTATTATTTAGACGGAATCTCACTCTGTGACCCAGTCTGGAGTGCAGTGGCAAAATCTCAGCTCACTGCAACCTCTACCTCCTGGGTTCAAGCAATTCTCGTGCCTCAGTCATCCTAGTAGCTAGGATTACAGCTGTGTGTCACTACGCTTGGCTAATTTTTTTATTTTTAGTAGAGGTGGAGTTTCACCACATTGGCCAGGCTGGTCTCGAACTCCTGACCTCAAGCAATCCACCCACCCAAAATGTAGGCATTACAGGTGTGAGCCACCGCACCTGGCCAGTTGATGAGTCTTCATGCTAGTTTGCTTCCTGAAATATCTTTCTACGTGTTTGCTGAAATCTAACTGGCGCCTGGGATTACTTTAGCAGGGCTGAGTCTTATTTTTCTCCAATTCAGCTTAAACTGCAAATGCTTCATTTAGTTAAACCTTCAGGATAAATTAGCTTCGTTTTTCCCTGGTCTTGCAGTATGGGGCAGGGGAGGACTAGGGGGAGGGGAACAGAAGGATCTGGATAGGGAAGAGGAAGAGATTGACAAGGGAGCAGGAAGGAGCAGGAACAAGAATGAGTACCCTCCCCACCTATGAGATATGGAAGGAGGCAGAAAAGCAAAGTGTGAGAACAGAGAGCAGCCTCCCAGGTGAGCAGCTCTTACTCGTTTTCCTCCAGCAGACGTGCCAAACAGTGGCTGTGCACCGAAGGTTGCCGGCAAGCCGCTACCAGTCCGGACAGCTCATGCTGCATGATTTATGAAGTGTTTTTGAGCCCAGCCCCATATCCTATAAAGAAGGCTCATTCCCTGGGGATTCGTTAATCAAGGAGCACTGTACAAACACCACTTCCTGTGGGATGTTAATAGTGTCTGTAAGCAGGAGAGGGAGTGAGTGAGAGCAGGGAATCATTGTTTAGCAGAGAGAGAAATTAGCTCACAGCTGAAAAAGAGAACTCGCCTTGATGTAGAAAAGATTCCTTTGTTAACAAGTGAACAATAAGCAACTTATGTAAGCGTTTTGAAATTTGAAAAGTGGATGCTGTAGTTAACTAAAAAGTAAATACTTTCTTCAAGCTCCTAGGCTGCTTGCTGTTGAAGTTTTTTGGGATGAGGGAGCAAGCTGCTATGCCTGATCCCAGCCTGAGAACCAACTTTGGCTGCTTATTTACATGAGTTGTTTGTTTATGTGGCTTATTATGGCTGAAGGAGAAAAAATGGGACTTTTAAAAAAAATGTGTTTCTTTTGGTACACAGGCAAGAGAGAGGAGAGAAATGCAGACAATGGTGTGCCAATTTTTCCCCAACACCCTCCCCTGGCTTTCAGCCCTGGTGGGAGGAGTGGGGCCAGGAGTGAAAGGAGCTCTCAGCAGAAGCAATGCTGTGGGAGGCCTGGGAGACAAAAAAAGTGCAGGGTTGGGGAGAGGAAAAATCTTCCAGGTTTGGAAGCATCGGGGAGGAATGCCCTGGCACAGATGTCGGAGTTCTCAAGGTGCACTGTCAGCAGAGTGGCACTCACATGTAGCTGTGCCACTAGGATATTGACAAGGAGTCCGAGCAATGGAACAGGAGAGGAGAGAAGGCCTTGTGGCAACTGAGCTGGTAGAGTCATGAGCCAGACTCCACGCTGGCCAGGTGGTCTCTTTGCCCTCATCCCCCTTGACCCATCCCCTAATCTAGATCCTGCCATTTTTAAGGCCAAGAAAAAAGAAATTCTTAAGGAAAAGAAGAGAAGAGGCCATGTGTCTCCCAAGCCTAAGACTAATTGCTTCTGCATTCCACTTGAAGAATAGAAGTCACACTGCTTGGAGGCAGCTCTGGGTCATCATGTCACACCAGTCACAACGTCAGAAACAATCTGGATTTTGAGGCAATGAGACCAGGACTCTTGGAGCCTAAATACAAACAGGGAATCCAGTGAGATATATTTTAACAGGGAGACTCCCCTCTCGATGTCTACACTTATCAGTTCAGGTTGCTGTAACAAATGACCATAGATTAAGTGGCTTAAACCACAAACACTTATTCTGAAGGCTAGGAAGTCCAAGATCAGAGTGTCAGCCGATCTGGTGTCTGGTGACAATCTTCTTCCTGGTTTGCAGTTGCCATTTCTTTGTTATGTCCTCACATGGCAAAAACCAGTTGGACGGGAGAAAATTTTTGCAATCTATGCATCTGACAAAGGCCTAATATCTGAATCTACAAGGAACTTAAACAAATTTACAAGAAAAAAAACAAACAAACAACCTCATCAAAGAGTGGGTGAAGGATATGAACAGACACTTCTCAAAAGAAGACATTTATGCGGCCAACAAACATATAAAAAAAAGCTCATCATCACTGGTCATTAGAGAAATGCAAATCAAAACCACAATGTGATACCATCTCACACCAGTTAGAATGGTGATCATTAAAAAGTCTGGAAACAACAGATCCTGGCAAGGATGTGGAGAAATAGGAATACTTTTACACTATTGGTGGGAATATAAATTAGTTCAACCATTGTGGAAGACAGTGTAGTGATTCCTCAAGGATCTAGAACCAGAAATACCATTTGACCCAGCAATCACATTACTGGATATATACCCAAAGGATTATAAATCATTCTACTATAAAGACACATGCACACATATGTTTATTACAGCACTATTTACAATAGCAAAGACTTGGAACCAACCCAAATGTCCATCAATGGTAGACTGGATAAAGAAAATGTGGCACATATACACCATGGAATACTATGCAGCCATAAAAAAGGATGAGTTCATGTCCTTTGAACTCATGGTTGAAACAGTTTCACATGGATGAAACTGGAAACCATCATCCTCAGCAAACTAACACAGGAACAGAAAACCAAACACTGCATGTTCTTACTCATAAGTGGGAGTTGAACAATGAGAACACATGGACACAGGGAGGGGAACATCACACACTGAGGCCTGTCGGGGGGTGGGGAGAAAGGGGAGGGAGAGCATTAAGACAAACACCTAATGCAAGCAGGGCTTAAAACCTAGGTGATGGGTTGATGGGTGCAGCAAACCACCATGGCACATGTTTATCTATGTAACAAACCTGCACATACAGCACATGTATCCCAGAACTTAGAGTAAAATTTAAAACAACAACAACAACAACAAAAAAAAAACCAACTGGACATGGGAATGGGACCAGCTCCTCTTGGAGCACACGGACTGCAAGTGGGAGGTGGTTCCTCAAAGGAAAACTAGGAGGTACTATCAAAACAGGAGACGAAAAAGCTGCACAAGTAAAAGCAGATAGGTACTATAATTATTAGATGTAAGATCTAAAAATGAGCAGAAAGGGCAGGCTTGAAGGGGAAAGGAATTACCAAAAATACTCACAATGGCCATTTGGAAGAGAGAGGAGCATTCTACAGCTATTTTGTGGCAGCATAAAGAGTTACATTATGGGCCAGCCATGTCCACCCAAGTCCCAGATCTCATATGGCATCTACCGGCAAACAAAGTGGCCTTCTTCAACTACACCTCTCCCCTACTGGCTGTCTGCATGAGTCATGGGCTGTCTACTCTGATCATGACAATTAAGGTGTCTGTCATACCATTGTCACTTGTTAGCTAGGATTTCCCTGTTTCCAGCCCCCTAAACAAAGAGGCAGTGCTGGACTCTTTCTTGTCCAGGGGTGGACCCAGACTGGACAAGAAATAAGAATATGACGCAAAGGTGGTTCATCTATGAGCTAGCAGGTAATCCCATGAAGTACCTTGTAGGCAACAGTAACGAACGAAACTGATCAGACTGGGAAACTGGGAAAGTGCCTAGCTCCTAAGGCAACCTCTATTCTTGGTGGCTTTCTTCTTTCAGTACTACTTCCGGTCCACATGCTTCCTTACACTAACTGCCACTGCCTTTTTTCTTGGGTCTTAGGAAGGGCTATGGTTTGAATGTTTGTGCCCCTCTGCAAATTCATATGTTGACATACTAGTCTTGAAGGTGATTGATATGGTTCGGCTATGTCTCACCCAAATCTTGTCTTGAATCGTAGCTCCCATAATTCCCATGTGTTGTGGGAGGGACCTGGTGGGAGGTAGTTGAATCATGGGGCGGGTCTTTACCCTGCTGTTCTCGTGATAGTGAATAAGTCTCATAAGACCAGATGGCTTTATAAATGGGAGTTCCCCTGCACAAGCCTTCTTGCCTGCTGCCATGTAAGATGTGCCTTTGGTCTTCCTTCACCTTCTGCCATGATTGTGAGGCTTCCCCAGCCATGTGGAACTGTGAGTTTATTAAACCTCTTTCCTTTATAAATTACCCTGTCTTGAGTATGTCTTTATTAGCAGCGTGACAACAGACTAATACAGTGATGGCGTAGAAGGCAGGGCGTCTTTGGGAGGTGATCAGGTCATAAAGGCAGGATTCGCATGAAGGGAATTAGTGCCTTTATAAAAGAGACCCTAGAGAGCTAGCTAGCCCCTTCCACCTCGAGAGGACACAACTACAAGAGGACATCTCTGAACCAGAAAGCAGGCTCTCACCAGACAGCAGGCTCTCACCAGACAGCAAATCTCCTGGAACTCTGGTCTTGGACTTCCCAGCCTCCAGAACTGCGAGAAATAAATAATTCCTATCGTTTATAAGCCACCCCATTTATGGTATTTTGTTATAGCAGTCTGAACAGACTAAGAAGGGAAGTTTTGTAACTTCAATTTAAACCTAATCGCAGATCAGAGCAACAGTTCTCCACACCTTGGGGACAGAAGCTTCACTTGCCCCAAATCCTATTTGGTGACAGGCAAAGTCACACAGAGCAGTCCAGAGTGGGATATGAGTGCAGTTAAACGCTCAAGGTTGTTTTCAGGAAACATGGATACTCAGGATGGCAGCCAACATGGTGCACATACACAGTGGGTGTTTTGTGCTCTGTCCAAAGAGCAAACTCTCTCCAGGGCAGGAGAACAGCCCAGAATGCCTGAGAGGGTGGAAGGGAAAAGAGATCAGGACACCCAGCAACACACAGCCTTTACTACGAAAGGGATCCAGGACAATGGCTTGTTAAAAACATCACAGCCAAAGCAGGATGTAAAGGTGCTTCAGGCCTCCTACCTTTGCCCAGGAACATGGGTGTCCTTCTAGGGGAGGGGAAAGCTATGGATAAGAACCACTATAATAAATTAGAGAGAAAGCCATAGCTCCCAGCCATATAATATATGAATTTCCTCCACTTGTCAGCTTGTCAAAATGGAGTCCTGATTCCTCTCTGTCAATGTCAAGCCTTTCCTGCCTAGTTAACATTTTTAGGTGGAAGCAGGAAGAAGTGAGAGTGGCATTTGATAAGTGCTGGGGGAGTATTGCTTTAGAAAAGCACATTAACCCTTTTTGCCTGTTCCAGCTCCTGTGGGGGAGATAGAACAGGTGGGCTTAATTGGCACTGAACAAAGTCCCTGAAATTCCCTAGAAAGCTATGCAACCAGATGTCACACTCTGGTGCTAAGTGTTAAAGAGGCATCTTTGTAACAAGCCCAGGGAAAGGTGGATGGCAGATTTGCCTTAATGAAACTAAGCTCCTGCCCTTGCTTTACAGGCATTTTAGGACACCTTTACCCAGAAAAAAATGACAGCATAGTCCTTGCTGTAGAAGTTTACAATTTAAATTCTAAGTGTACAACATAAGGGTTGAAATGAAGTTAAAGAGCATCTTGTCAAAACAGTAATATCTATCAGAGTTATTCCCCCTCCCTACGTTCTCTCTCACATTTCTCTTTTTTATATATAGAGAGATGGGCTCCCACTATGTTACCCAGATTGGTCTAGAACTCCTGGGCTCAAGCAATCCTGCCTAGGCTTCCCAAAGTGCTAGGATTACAGGCATTAGCCACTGCACCCAGCCCTCCCTCACATTTTCTGGTTTTTAGGGTTAGTTCATGTTTTCTTATGGCATCATGGAATAATCACTTTACCAGGAGACAAAAGTCCTGTATCTGAGTTCTGTTTTGATTATTCACAATCCTGGGCATGTCATTTATCTACTCTAAGCTTCCGTTTCCTTTACCATCAGGTGAGATAATGCTATGTCATGTCTGTTTCACAGGATTGCCTTAAGGACCAAGTGTTTTCATTTGCCTGACTATCTGACAGACACCTACCTTGTAATGGAGTGGGTATCCTGGTGAGGGGGATGTGAAGGGATACAGATTTGGATGAGACGCAGTCCTGACCTTGGGGAACTCACTGGGCATTCAGTGAGTAGGAATGTACTCTCTCTAAACTGAAGAGCACTTCACAAAGTGAAGCCATTTCCATATTTACTGCACAACCTGTTACTGTTCTCTGGAAATTTTGCCAAGCTCTTGTTCTCCTAGGTAGTTTTGGTGTACCCCCCTTGGTCCCAGCTCCTTTCTTTTAACTCAGGTCTAAGTTACGGTTTCTAAATGAGCTTTCCTTGCAAGTAGAGAAGTTCTCATCTTTTCTTCTAGGATAATCTTACATAATCCTTAGGAGGGCAGTTCTTTTACTTTGAGATTCCACTCTTGGATCTAGGATAAATTCTTGAACCAAGATAAGCTAACTTACAGATGTAGCCTTTATCCAGAAATTCAGAATTAGGACATTGAAGGAGGAACTTGGGCAAAAAGAAGCAGTCATGTGCAGGTGTGGCATGTGAATAGAGAGCTCCAGAATGGAAGTCCATCACTTTGACAGTTGTGTCACCAGAGCCATCCCAGTGACTATCTGGGAGACTTTCCTGCACTGTTTTATTTACATTAGTTTGAGTTGATTTTTGTTTCTTATGAACAAACAATTTTTGTCTGATCTCCTCTCCAGACAAGCATGGCCCTAGGGAACTGGCCCCAGGCAAGCCTGCCATGTGCCAGATGTCTGGGTTTAACCCTGCAACGAGCCATATATCTGTGTGCTGCAGCATATAAAGCCATTTTTAAGTGGAAAACATGAAAAAGAAAAGCTATTTAGGAGCTAACCCAGTATAAACAGTTCCTCAGTGTAAAGAAGCAGCCGAATTGGTGTCAACAATCTTACTGTGGGTCAAAAACATTTAATAACCACTCAGTCAAAACCCAAGTTGACATTTTTACAAGATACAGTGCTGATTCAGGCTGTGAGATTGACCTTCTGCCTCAGTTTCTCTGTATTACACTCCACTCTGCCAGTATTACCAAAGCTGGGCCTTGGACTTTCAGCCAATCAGCAGGGGTCTTGAGGCTTTATTGGGCCTATGCTCACTCCTTCTTCCAGGAGCACACCCCATACCTGCGAGCGGGAGGCCCACCATTCACTCATTCTTTCATTTAACAGATAATTATTTACCATCTATTAGATAGCAGGCTCATGCTTGGCACAGAGCACATACAGGATACAGAAATGAAAGAAACAAAATCTGTACTTTCAAGAGCACTCTGGAACGCAGAAGAAACCTGCCTTTCAATCAATAATTACAACACAGTGTGTGCCAAGAACAGCATTAAACGTGTTCAGGATGAAGAGCTAACACAGAGATAGGAGTGGCTGGTAACATCAGGGAGGAAGGCAGGAAAGCCTTTCTAGAGAAATACAGCCTTTCTGGATTTTGAAAACCAAATAGTTTGTCAGAAAAATAGAGTAAAGCTAGAGAGGAAGAAAGAACAATTGAGACAGAAGGAATGGAGCATCGGCTAGGCTCACAATCCTTCAACTTCTACCCCTCACCCCGAGGACCACTCACCTTCCTGCCTCCTCTGGCCACCATGCTCTGCTTAATGAAATGGGGCCCCTGGACAGCACTGGAATTGACCACATCTTCCACTTCTGTGGATTCAGTATTTTAATTCTTGGCCAAGCTTACAGGGGCCAGCAGTCCCAGCCACAGCCAGACTGTCTCAGATTCTGTCCATGGTCCTGAATCATTCCTCCTCCCCTGGTCCTTTAGTTGCGATCCCAACAGGTGCTGCTTCCAAATTCAACTAAATTATGTCCCCAAGGATGTCATTGAACACTTCCTGGATAAAGAATACTTCCTGGATGAAGAGGGGGACAGAAAGTAAACTGGACCTGGAGGATGATAAGATTTCAGTGGGTGAGAGAGACAAAGAATTTGAGGTGGGGGTTGGGGTGTAGAGAAGGTAAATCCAGCCTTGGCACTGTGAGGGAGTGGTGTACTCCTCACTGAGCAGAATGAGGAGGAACTTAAAAGGTGAATATTTACATTGGAAAACACACTATTTCAAGCAGAAAGTTTCCAAGCAAACTGTCACATAAAGGCACCAAGGGCATGGTGTATCCAAACAATCCTGAGCATGAGACCTTGTCCCACCATGGGTCAGAGTTGAGCAACATTCTGAAGCTCCAATTTGTCCTAAGTGAACCACTGTGCAGAACTAACGAGGTCATCAATTTTTCTTCCAGCTAATGAGCTCGTCAGGAAGGGCGTGATGTGGGAAGATGATGAGATGAGCAACCAAACCTGATTAAATAGTTTCACCTTCATCAAAGAATCAGACACAGAGCTGAGGCCCCATTATTCACTGGGAAGGGATAATTACATAGAAGAGGCTGCCATCAGAAACACCTCTCCCCTCACCCAACTGGCTCTGCTCCCTCAAGTACAGGGAGTGTGTTGGACCCAGGAACAGACACTCATTTAATTCAACAACTATTTACAGGCAGCTTGCTCCATGCCAGGTGTGGACCAAGAACAAAGAATGAAGATGAATAATACCTTGTCCTTGCCTTTAAGTAGTTTATGGTTGATGTAGTATGGAATAACAACTAACTGAAATATGCTATGGAATGTCCTCCCAGCATTTCAAACAAAGTGCTGTGGGCATAGAGGCGAGGAAAGGAAAAGAGAGAACCAGGGACGTTGTCTCATAGGTGGTCACCCTTGAGTTGGGCTTTAAAGATGAGTAGGGCCAGGTGTGGTGGCTCACCCTTGTAATCCCAGCACTTAGGGAGGCCAAGGTGAGAGGATCACTTGAGCACAGGGGTTTGAGACCAGCCTGGGCAACATAGGGCCTATATTTTTGCAGCCATTTTCTCTTTTGGTCATTTGGTTATAGCAGTTTAACTTAACCTTAACTGATGTAGAAATTGATACCATAGGTGAGGTGCTGCCATAACCCAAACCTAAAATAATAGCTACCACTATTGTCATGCTTTATTCCTTCACTGTTCTTTGCTTTTTTTTTTAAATTTTATTTATTTATTCTTTTTTTTGAGATGGAGTCTTGCTTTCTCGCCCAGGCTGGAGTGCAATGGCGTGATCTTGGCTCACTGCAACCTCTGCCTCCTGGGTTCAAGCGATTCTCCTGTCCCAGCCTTCCAAGTAGTTGGGATGACAGGCATAAGTCACCATGCCCAGCTAATTTTTGTATTTCTAGTAATGACTGGGTTTCACCATGTTGGCCAGTCTGGTCTCAAACTCCTGACCCCAGGTGATCCACCCACCTCGGTCTCCCAAAGTGTTGGGATTACAGGCATGAGCTACGCTTGTTGCCTTCTTAAAACATATCATATTCTGCTTTGTAACTTTTTTTGCTTCCTTGATGAACTCCACTACTAGACATTAAGTTCTTTTAGGGTATGGACTGAGTCTTAGTTACCTCTTCATTCTTGCCACATCCAGCCTGGTGTCCTCAGGTAACAGGCAAAAAAAGTTTCTTGAATCTACTCTGTACTCAGAAGTCTTGAGACACTATGTATTAGTTTCAATTCAATTCCCCTTTAGGGAAGAAAAGTTATGTCCTTAAATAGCTATTTCCTCCAATGCCTGACATACTATGAGCCAGTAACTCTGACGTGCATTCATGGCATGATATTAGATTCTTGTGGCAAGGCATTGCATCACAAACATAAATTTACACAACAGTTCATTTAGCAAATACTTTTTGAACATATCCTGTAATAGGTACTGGTAACCTAATATTGAACAAGCTGAGATGGGTCTTTGTCTTTGAGGAACCTATAATACAGCCTGTCAGAGAACCATCGAACCCATCACCAATCATGATCACTGATTGAGAGCCCATTATGGACCAGGCATCATGCCACAGAGACTGTGTGTTTGCTGGAATGTGGAGTGGGAAGTATCCAGAGATTGGTCACACACAGAGGTTGGCATCCAGTTGGAGATATAGGACATATTTTTAAAAGACAACTAATAAACACCACATCCTCCTTACCAACCAGGATGTTAAAAATTAGTCATCAGGGATGCAGGTCTTTGGAGGTGGATTTCTTGCTAGGGCCAGGTGAGTCTGGAAGACTTTGTGAAAGTGGAAGGGTTTGTTCTTGACCTTGGCAAATGTCTAGGACTTGGCTACATGGCGAAGAGCAAGTAGGGAAGCATTCCAGGAAGTGAGAGAAAAATGTATGGTGAGTTTAAGAAAGAGAAAAAAGTCAGCTTTACAGAAGCAAAGCATTCACTCATTCTTTTTGTATTAATTCAGTGCTCACAATGTGCAAAGCCCTGGTAAGATGCCAGGAGGTCTTCATATACATATAAGGTGTGGCCCCTGTTCCAGAAGAGTTAAAATCTAGACATGCTCAAAAGGAACCAGCAATAAAGGCAGTATTTCACCTTGTGTCATTCCATCATTTGCTTTGAGTTAAATGAGGATGGAGAGTGTTATCTTCAGGAGACCACTCTTAAAAGGCACTTCTGCTTCCTGGGGATAAAGAGAGGATGCCAAGGAGGCTGGTACCCACGAATTACTTTATCCTGTTAGCCAGGTAATAGGACATTAGTGATGTTTAATAGAGAGAGGGGGTCTAGCTAGATATCCAGGGGCCAATAAGATGGATGGAGATCTCAAACTTTCCTCTCTCCACTCTACGCCTTCTAGAATTACTGGCTATTTCCTCCTTCTTTCTTGGATAGCTCTTCCTGCATTCTCCTTAGTCATGATGCAAAGGACTTAGAAGAATAGAGTTACTCTGGAGGCATTTCTCAGGGCAATTCCAGAGAGGATGATGAAATGTCAGACGAAATAATGAGTTGTCTTAGTTCTGAAACACCTTCTTTGAGGAGAAAAAAAGTAATCAACACCCCAGTAAGACAGCAGCTGTCATGTATATAGAAAAATGAATTCCCTCATTCTCTGTGTTCTGTCTAACCATTTTTGCCTCTGTCTGGGCAGGGTCAGTTGATTGCCTGAAGGGGCATTTTTAGTGTTTGACCAATATGTTAACTAATTTCATATACTTTAGGAGCCTGTAAAGCTCTATTAATTTTCCTTGGCTCTTTCTTTTCCTACTTAAATGTGGTTGGTTATTCCACAAGGAATTCATTATGTTTCTAAATTTTGATCAGAATTATTCTAGAATAACATACATTCTCATGGATTGCCTCCTGTGTCTTGAAGAGATCATTTTCTTGATAAGTCCCTTGACTCTCTTTTTGCAAGTCTGGCAGCATGGTTTATTGGCTTTGTAATATGAAGCTCTCACCATTAGGGACTGAGCTAAGATCACCAAACTGTTTCCCATACATCCTTAGTTGGGCGTTGAATCACAAAAGTAGTAGAAGGCCCAGCATGATATCTTCTCTGAAATGAGCAATCCCTTAATTAAACAGAAGTAAATAGAGGTTACAACGTGTTCCTTAATTAAATAGATGTAAATGCCCAATCGCTCTGCTTTCCTCATACATCAATTTTGCACCATCTCATATTCCTGTTTGCCCAGTGGAAATGGAAATTCTGAGGCTCTGTGTTGGCCAAAATCTCCCAAGTGTGCGTGCCAGGCTGGGTGTTTAATCATGAATATTTACCTTCTGGTTTATAGAAATCTGCAGCTCGTGTCTACTCTCCCTTCCTTTTGCATTGCGGGCTTAGGAATTGCTATGAGCCTGACATAACTGGACCTTCAAAGTGCAGCAGCACTGCTTTTGCCCAGCAAGGCATCTTGACTCCTGCCTTAGGAAAAACATACCTGGAGGCACAAGGTGAAGGGTGTGGCATGGGCACACTGATGTCAATACTGAACCCTCTGTGCTGGGTGGTACTGGGAGACCCTGAGAGTCACAATGCCTCATGCCTGCTGCTTTTCTTTACACCTAGTCTCAGACTTGGCAAGTTTCTGCTGGGGATTAAATGTACATTTCATCAACATATTTCATGAATACAGTAGAATATATTCTGTGAAAATAATTCATGGAACTCATGATGATTAATTTTTTGTGTCAGCTTGGCTAGGCTGTGGTGCCTAAACATTAGTCTAGGTATTTCTGTGAAGGTATTTTGTTATTAACATTTACAATCAGTTGTCTTTGAGTAAAGAATATTATCCTAGATAATGTGGGTGGGCCTCATCCAATCAAGTGGAGACTTTAAAAGCAAAAACTGAGGTTTCCTGGAGAAGAAAAAATTTTGCCTCAATACTGTAACATAGAAGTGTGTAGTGCAGGCCAGCACTACACATTTCAGACTTGCCAGCCCCTCGAATCACATAAGCCAGTTTTTCAAGATAAATCTCTATGTACATACAAATGCTATTGGTACTGTTTCTCTGGAGAACCCTGACTGATACAGGATCTGTCTGAATAAGATGAGAACGTCTTACTTGCAATTCAGAGAGAGTAGTCCAATCCAATCACAGCTCAAAGCAAACTAACAGATGGTGCCCCTTAAAATGCTAAGATGGGGTTAGGAGTAGGGTGGAGAGAAGAGAATCGTGTCTACACCTGTCAAAGTGGTGACTATCTTTAGATAGCTCTTGTTCTTGCTAGTTCTGGCTAGGCCAGCAACTTGCCATCCATGAATTGGATGGTTATCAGAGGACAGCAGTGGGTTAACAACACTTTGACTGAGTCAAACTGTTAATTGGAATAGAATCCATCTCAATTTATTCCTAGAAACAGTTCTGCTTTTCTGAGGCATTAGGAATAAATTGAGGTGGATCCTGTTCCAATTAGAATTTATGATTAAGACCATCATCGCAGAAGGACAAGCTAAGCAAAGCCACGAGCATTTGGAAATCGACATGACTGAGGGGTCTTAAGTAAAAAGGTTAGTTGCTGAGAAGAAAGTCATAACGACCCAATCTCCTTGGTGATTTCTTCCCACTTCCTGAATTTCCGGCAAAGTGGCCGACATTTGAAGGTTAGGTCAAGGAGCATTTTTCATTGAATCATAGGATTTCGGAGCTGGGAGGAATATTTTTTTAAATGAGGAAACCAAGCTCAGAGAGGAGAAATGACTTGCTCAACAAGGATAACAATGGGGGAATCTATTTCCTCATCTTCCTGCAGTGCGATAGGTGCGCCCTACATCTCAGCCTCAGGAGCAAAATGAGTCAAAGGTTGAAACAATTCTTGGGTGGTCTCTGCTGTGTTCTCTAAAATCATTGCTGAAGAGCCAATGTGTATTTTTCACCTGTGACTACAGAATCAGTGGGTAGAAGGATCCCATGCCAGAAACCTGGCTGTTAGGTTCAGTTCCATCATTTGGAGGAAAAATCATGTGCATTAGGACCTAGCAGGTGCGAAGCAGTGTAATAGTAATTTAGCAGACATTATCAGTACACCTAATGTGTACCTAGTGCTGTGCTAAGTACTTTACAATAAATCTTTTCAACAACCCTATGAGGTAAGTCTTATTTTTACTTCATAACTCATTACACAAAAGGAAATTGAGGCACAGTGAAGTTAAATAACTCACATGAAGGCACACAGAGAGAAAGTGATGTACCTAAGACAGGAACCTGGGCAGTATGGGGCCAGAGTCAGCACTCTCACCACTGCCCTGTTCCAGGCCAGCTCTCACTTAATCTTCACTTATTTTTATCACTGTGATAGTATTCTCACTGTTTTTCAGATTAAAAAAACCAAGGCTTAGGAAAATTGAATAATTTGTATAAGACAAATACACTGGACATTCTATGGGCAAATCCGTCCCCAGGTACTGTTGCTACACAGCTCACCAGTAAGCTGTCTTCTGGTCATCCTTCACCTCCTTCCTTCTCCCTGCCTACACGCATGCCTTTGACAAATTGATTTCTTGGATTAATCTTTGAATTAATATTTCCAGGTAGATTAAAACCGGTTCTTCCTTTGCAGAGAGATCAGGTGTTAGGGCCCACATTTTATATGCTTCAGTCCTGAGGGCAATGCATGTAGGTCTTTCTCTCCCACTAGCATTTTCCAAGCTCCCTTGAAAGCAATCACATTAAATACAAACTCCAGGACCTCATCTCAGAGTTGGGTAGTTCTAAACTCCATAGAATGAGCCTGGAAAGCACCATGATTAACAAGTGTCCCCACATGGTTCTGTTCCTCAGGGAAATTTGGGAATACTGGATCAAATTGACCTTCTTGCTACCTCCTCTGGCCCCCAAATTAAATGGCAGCACAGTGTGAGATAGACCCAGCTTTTAATGTGTGGGCTTTATATTAGAAACACTTGATTTGGTCCCTGCTCTATTATTTACCAATGAAATATTCTCAGGTAATTTGTTTAGCCTTTCAATACCTCAGTGTTCCTGTCTGTAAAATGGGAATAATAACGATGTCTATGTCATGGTATTGTTCTGAAGAGTAGATGAGATAAAGCATATAAAGCTGCTAGTATGACACCTGTCATAGAGGCAGAGATCAATACATGTAAAGTACTTTTATTATAGTTATTTCTTCCTAGTTTAGGGAATTTACATCCCACAAGATTCAGTGCCCTCAGTTCTCAAAGGTGCAATTTCAGCCTTCAGCAGTAGGTTCAAGAGCCAATTCGTGGGGGAAGGGCATAAGAGTCTTAAGGTAGACTGAAATCATCCCACACACACCTTAGGAACAGGTGAAGCATAGGGGAGTGCACCTACACTCCAAGCTGCAAGAGCTCCCACTTCTCCCCGGGACACGGCTCACCTCCACAGGCCCAGTCTCCTCTGAGTCTGTCATAGTGACCACAGTTCCCATGAGGACTCGAGTTAAATTTGTTGACCTTAAAAAGCTCCCCTCTGGGACTAGAGGCCCAGGAAGGACTTTCTGCTCCTGGCTTCCTATCCTCTACAGCAGGGAAGTGCTGGGGTTGAGCTTCTCCAGCAGGTCTCAAGTCTGGCTCAGTCAGGAGCATGAGCCCCATACTCAAACCTGTAAGGGGGCATGAGGGCAGGCACACATCCATGCATTCACTTCCATAAAGCTTTCTTCAGCTGCTGTGATGGGCTAGACCCTACGCTAGCCCTCTGGATACCTGCCCTTCTGGAGCTTACTGCCTCACAGGTGGGACAAATACGCAAGGGTCTTCCAGCATGGGTGGTGAATGTAACTAGGGGGTAACTTCAGATGGCCTCAGAAGGTGTTTCCAATTCAGTCTTAAACCCTCAACACAGCCCACAAGGGACTGGGTCACTTGGCACCTGCCGACACTCACCAGCTGTGTCATATAGCCCTTTCCCACTTGCCAACTGCACACCAGCCACCAGGCTTCTTCGCTGTGCAGCAGACAGACCGAGCTCTTTTTTGTTGTTTTGTTTTGTTTTTTGTTTTTTAGACAGAGTCTCGCTCTGTCGCCCAGGCTGGATTGCAGTGGCGCGATCTCGGCTCACTGCAACCTCTGCCTCCCGGGTTCAAGTGATTCTTCTGCCTCAGCCTCCCAAGTAGCTGGGACTACAGGCACACACCACCATACCCGGCTAATTTTTGTATTTTTAGTAGAGATGGAATTTCACCATATTGGCCAGGCTGGTCTTGAACTCCTGACCTTGTGATCCGCCCATCTCGGCCTCCCAAAGTGCTGGGATTGCAGGTGTGAGCCACTGCACCCAGCCCAGACTGAGCTCTTTTTAGGCTCAGGACCAGGTTCTGCGCCCAACTCTACTCCCCCTTACATCTGGACATCTTCATGGTCTCCTTCCCAGGGAGTCAACCCTTGATCCCCAGACCAGGAGACTTAGGTCACCTTTATTGCATCCCCAGCACCTAGTATTGCACCTGGTGTATGTGGTACCAGCACCACATACATTCTTTTGCTAAATATAGAATAACTTGTTATTGATTCCCTCTTCCCTTTTGTCCCATAGATCCAGGCTGTAGACATGCTCACATCTCTGCTATCACTAAAAAACGTTTCCTTCTTCAATAGAAAGCTGTCTGCTCCAAGTTGCCAACTTTTTGCACAAAAATCCCAGCAGATATTATGAAATTACAGATATTCTCTTAGCACGAGCCAGCTCACACTCTTATTTTGGGGTCAGGTTGCCTCCCCCTAATATAAATAATAAAACATCACTTTATTAGAAATAGTACCACTCAGTTTTTTTTGTTATTGGTTGTGGTGGTGTTCTTAGCAATGAACCTTTTTCTTCCCACTACTCACTGGTGAGCTGGAGCCAATTATTAATGTTGAAGAATTGTGTGAGCTGATTGTAAGACCTAGACATTATTAAAAGCTATATAAATGCACAATTAAACAAATTACATCAAAAACAAATATAACAAATATTCAAAACTACTAATCACTTTCTATTTATTTTACTACATTTTACTATTATCCATGCACTTGAGATTATTTACATCTATCTTATCTGTAGAGTGGGTGGATGTACTGTATAATGGTGTGCCTGCTTATCTCTTCCCAACTCTACATTTAGTGACATTATGTTGTCATTGTAACTTGAAATTGATAGAGTGGAAACATAATACCAAGGAAATCAGCAAACACTACAAACCAGAGCTTTTGAAAAAGATAATTTATTTTATTGTTATTTTTTAGAGAGCTAGTTGTCAAGCATTTACCAACACACCATACCTCTACCCAAAGACAAGTAAGGTTAGTCCAAAATACCAAACTTTTGCAGCAAAAATTCCAGCAGATGCTATGAAATTACAGGTGTTCTCAGCAGTTTGCAACTCAGTAGCAGAAACGCATACACACGCACGCACACACACACACACACACACACACACACACACACACACAGTTAAGCACGACCCAAGGCAGAATGGCACGCATTAACAGAGCAGTGGACAGCAGCAGAGAGGGGTGGCTAGAGTTAGATCACCCTGGGACCTGATTGATTGGCCTTTAGATCAATCTTATTGTGGAACATAAGATGAAAAGGTTCACACAGGAAACCCTGAACATTTGCTTTGCCACCTAATTTTTTGGATGCTGATTAATTAATAATTCAGAAAGATTCTTTATATAGGCACCAAGTTTCAGTCAGTATTCAATTCATATGCTTATCTTAAGGCGAGTTGGTTAACCTCTCTCTCTGTCAGATGGAGATCAATACGTATAGGTCAGACTGCCTGAATATATCAGAGAGCCTGGAATACCTCCAAAGATGGGCGCCGAGAACCAGGCACTCAACATGGTTAATAATAATTTAGCCTGTTCATTGCTGGAGCTGAGTAGAACGTGTATTGATTTTTCTCCAAAAGATTAACCAGTTTGAAGCAGTAGCCCCTCCAAACCAAGATAAAATATATAAATTGTATTAAAAATGCACAGGACTCATTTTTGTGACTATAAAAAACAAGAAACTTAAAATTCTTAAAAGATGGGTGGGGGTCTACTAAGCCAGCCAAGCTGCTAGCAGCGACATGCACAGTGATTTCTGAGGTTTGGGTTAAAGAGAATGCTCCCAGTTTTGTTCCCCACCACCAATCTTTTGTTTTTTGTTTTAACTTTTATTACATGTGCAGGTTTGTTACAGAGGTGAACTCATGTTACAGGGGTTTGTTGTACAGATGGTTTCATCACCCAGGTGTTGATCCCAGTACCCAATAGTTATCTTTTTTGCTCCCTTCCCTCCTCCCACTTTCCGCCCTCAAGTAGACCCCACTGTCCTTTATTCTCTTCCTTGTGTCCATGAGTTCTTATCGCTTAGTTCCCAATTATAAGAGAGAACATGTGGTATTTGGTTTTCTGTTCCTGTATTAGTTTGCTGAGGATAATGGCCTCCAGCTCCATCCATGTTCCTGCAAAAGACATGATCTCATTCTTTTTTTTTTTTTTTTTTTTTTTTGAGACTGAGTCTGACTCACTCTGTCACCCAGGCTGGAGTGCAGTAGCATGATCTCGGCTCACCGCAACCTCTGTCTCCCGGGTTCAAGAGATTCTCCTGTCTCAGCCTCCCAAGTAGCTGGGACTGCAGGTGTGCACCACCACGCCCTGATAATTTTTGTATTTTTAGTAGAGACGGGATTTCATCATATTGGCCAGGCTGGTCTTGAACTCCTGACCTCATGATCCACCTGCCTCAGCCTCCAAAAGTCCTTGGATTACAGGCATGAACCACTGTGCCAGGCCAGATATCATTCTTTTTCTATGGCTGCATAGTATTCCATGCCCACCACCAATCTTAATGTGAGGGGTGTAGGGGGCATGTCCCGGATTGCTTTGTCGAATTTTAAACAGTCTTATTTCAATTTAACTTGTATGTTTGTGTATAGCATTTGTTTAGGAAAAAAAAATGCCAGCCATTACCAGTTTTAAATTATAGGCTGTGGTGGGAGGATTCCTTTAGTCTAAAAATATGAGGCTTCAGTGAGCTATGATTGAGCCACTGAACTCCAGCCTGGGCGACAGAGCGAGACCCTGTCTCTGAAAAGTGAAATAATATCTGCCAGGCACGCTGGCTCACTCCTGTAATCCCAGCACTTTGGGAGGCCGAGGCAGGCAGATCACGAGGTCAGGAGATCAAGACCATCCTGGCCAACGTGGTGAAACCCCATCTCTACTAAAAATCCAAAAATTAGCCGGGTGTGGTGGCATGCACCTGTAGTCCCAGATATTCGGGAGGCTGAGGCAGGAGAATCGCTTGAACCCGGGGGGGCAGAGGTTGCAGTGAGCCGAGACTGTGCCACTGCACCCCAGCCTGGTGACAGAGTGAGACTCCACCTAAAAAAAGAATAATAAAATAAAATAATATAATATCTACACACCTATGTGTGTATCAAGGAGTGAAAGGAAGAAACATTAAGGGACAATGGAAGAGTGGGAGGAAAAGGAAAAGAGGACAAAGGGAGGGGAAGAAAGAAAGGGACAGTGAGGAGGGAGAAATGGAAAGAAGAAGGGAAGGAAGGGCTGAAATAGTGGCAGAGAGCTGGAAGATGAGAAAGAATTCTGAAGCAAAGGAAAAGAGATAAAGAAAGGATGGGGGAGCAATCAAAGGTCAAGGCAGTGGGGGAAGAAAGAGATGGCAGAACAAACAGAGGGTAGGGAGAGGAACCCTGAAATCAGCTGTGCGAGGAGCGCTGGGCTAGACTTAAATCCCAGCTCTTCCACCTGCATCAGTTATTCTACCACTGTCAGTCTCAGTTTTCTCACCTGTGAAATTGGGGGCGGGGCGGGGGGCGGGGGTGGCAGTGAGAAAACCTACACGGCAGGTTTTCCATTGAAGTAGATGAGGTAAGCTGTGTAAAGGGCAGTCCGGCGTGTCCACTCGAGAAATGTCAACACAAGGGTGTCAAGTGCAGGCATGGTTTCTGTTATGTCTTTTAAAGAACACAATTTCTTCACATGGTCCTGGGTTTGGCCTCCCTGAGCCTAAGCATCCACCCACTGTAAAAGATAGCACCCTGCAGGGGCGCCAAGGCCTTTCCGCTGGAGAGCAAGGAGGATTCCTGTCGCTCCACCTGGTCCACCCGTCAGTCGTCAGCGCACTGCGGAGACACAGGCAGCCACCAATGAACTTTCCACAAAGACAGTTTGCTTCACACGGATCTCAATCCATAACCTTTACTGGTCTCTGTAGAGCCATTACGACCATTAGGCTGTGGACTCAGCACTGCTTTAGCTCTTAAGTTAATACAACTGAGACTTTTTTACTTTCCTATTGGGAAGGAACATGTGCAATTTTAGTGATTTCTTAGATCATTCCATAAGTAAATCAAATATTCTTTCAAGCCCAGTTATCAAAATTGTGTCCTTTGATACCACGTCTTCCATCAAACTGCAGTAATCCAGTTCAACACATTCTAAACCTCTGCTATCTCCTAATATCATCCCTACTAGATACAGTAATTAAATTTGTACTTTTTTTTACAAGTCGTACTCAATAAATCTGAATAAATTAACAACGCATTACTAAGACTGCTACATTAAATTTGCATAGTGCATTTAATGAATATGCAACTGCAAGTGAAAAGGTCTGCTACTGCGAACCTTCTACATTAGCATAACTACTTCCAGCATGTTTCTTAAATAATGCACTCATTTGCACATCACTGACTTGGCTAATTCTAACTTCAGTCAGGGTAGCCTTGTAATTAAGACTCTTGCTTTAATTTTTAATGAAGTTTATGTTACATCAATCCTGACAGTAATGAGGGGACATGGAAACAAAAAGGCCGCTAATAATTAAATTCACAAACCAGTTTGAGGGATAATAATTCCTGAGGAGAAATTACATGACTAATTATTAATTAAATATTCATACTATTGCGCAGCCATCTCCCTTAACTGCTCTTCTTGTTGGTAATAATATTGAGATGTGGATGCCTTTTGCCAACCATTCTGAGTTTAAGGTCTCTGGTTAATTTTAGTGCGCCATTAATCAATATGACACAAAAAATAAAATTGTTTTAATTGGTATCATTTTATTGTGTCTAAATATTACTACAGTTGGTTTAGTTTGTGGAGAATTAATCTAGTTAGTCGGTGCCTGTTTTATGGAAACATAAATCCAGTTTATATCCATAAACATCTAATGGCAGGACAACTTGACCTTTTTTTTTGTAACATTACTGTTTACAGATAATTACACCAACTCTTTAAAAGGTTATTTAATAGCTTTGCATTCATCACAGTAAAATGAAAAACATGCAATATTCTTTAACTCCAGCCTGTTCTAAGGAGGTCTCTGAGACCCTCATTTACCCCTGCTGAAAAGTAAGCAATATTAATGTGTGGGTTTTTAGGAAATGTCTAAGAGCATTCTTTGAATGTGTACAAACAGATTTACATGTTTGGGTCTGGATCTTTGAATGTCTAATTTGTAAATGACATGGGGGGTGTGGTAAGGAAGAAAATATTTCCCATTCTCACAACTTTTCATTGCTGGAAAACGAGAGGGTGGAGGCTTTATGACTCTGGATCTCAGAAATGGTATCAGTTTCCCTACAAAACCCAGTAAACAAACATTACAAAACTGGAGAAATTACTATGATGAAGCCTAATTGGTTGCAATATTTATTGTAGACACTTTTTTTTCTCTTCCATTTCTAAGTGTTGTTTGGGAATCTACATTTATAATGGAGAAAGTCCCTATCTTTAGGCAAGTTTAGCTAGGACAAGAAAAGATCTACAATATTTAAATGGATAACATTAATCATTCAATTAGAACAGGTCATGAAATTTGTTGAAAGCTCTGCTAAATTCAGGACAAGATGCTTTATGGAGACCACTTTGCATATTGCAAAATTAAATAGACACAGGAAAAAAACTCTTTTTTGTCCTACAGGGGCATTTGGAAATTCTGAATCAGGGCAAAGATTTCAGTTTATTTTTCTAATCATTCAAACTAGTTGATTCATCAAAGTGAATCAAATCTGTAACCATAAACCATGGGGGCAAGGATTCCCCTCAGCTACTTCTTGTCACTTTACTACAAACTGACAGGTTTGTAGGGCATTATTATTGGACTTGATGTGTATCAAGTGCTCCCTTTTAATAAACCTTCAAAATCTTTTTAACTTTTCTTTTTTATCTGCTCTCTTAAACTAACACCTGAAGGCAATTTGTAGAGACCACTCACCATGAAACAGTTCATTGCTGCAGGTCAGAGTAAAGATGTCACAGGAAGTCCTGGGTCCCTGGTCCTGCCTTCTGTTTCTTTCACCTGAGAAAATCCTTCTATGTGTGAAACCCTATGTGAATAGCAGAAAACCTCCCTGGGTACTGGGCAAAGTGTAGACCACAGAAGTGACTGGCTCTGCTGGCAGGAATCTGGGGTGCTTGTTCTAGAGAAATCTGCAGAGTCCTACCTCTTTTCCCTTTCATGACCAGGAATGTGTGCACCTGCCCCAGGTGGAGGACTTGGAGGAAACCATTCATCACCAAACAGACCCTCACTGGACTAAAGGACCCTGTCATCTCCTTTTAGGGAAGCAATCAGAGTGCCAGAAAAGCCTGGGGCTTGGACACCAAACACACCTAGGCTCTAATCTCCCTTGGCCTTAGTGAGTAGCTTATGTAATTTCATCTCTCTGAACAGTAGTTTCCTTTTCTGATTGGGGATGATCATGTCCCCTTTGCAGATTGTTGTGAGAATTAGCCACACGTGCAAGAGCTTAGCGCTAGGCCAGTCACAGGAGAGACCAGCACAAAAGGCCAGTAATTATTGTCACTGTTATATCTCTCAAGGAAGAGCATTGGAAGTTCTACCATTGAACAGTCATTCCTTTGAGATAAACACCACTGTCTCAAGGCTTTAAAAAAATGCAAATTGTATACTTTGAAAAGGGATCCCAGATGAGGTCACCATTATTCACCAAATCCTTAAGGCGAGTTATGTTCCAGTCCCCTTTTTCTGTAACAGGGTCATATAAGAGAATACCAGATAAGAGAATCAGAGTAGAGGAGGTTGGAGTGAAAGAGGAATGCTGAAATGGAAAAGGAGGATGTAGAAAGCGGAAGTGCAACTTGTGAGGAAAGAATGTTATATACGTCTGTGCTGCTCAATCACCAAGGTATGGTATATAGAACTCCAAGGAAACAAAACCAAAACATGCTATGGATGTGGATTTCAAAGTTCTTGAATTTAAAAGAAAAACTATTAAGGGCATGATGGCCATGTATCCCAATTTTTCTAGAACTGCTTAATTTTAGTTATTCTGCCCTGAATCTATCAGAATTTGGTTGGTTGAGGGAACAAGGTAGTCTATGTCGTAGATTGTCATCATCTAAAGGTCTCTTTCATAATGGAGCTTCAGAAGGAAAGAGCACACTATCTTCTGTAAACATTTAATGGGCGTCATCAGATACATGGTTTAAATACCAAGTGCCCAGAGGATATATGTATAGCCTTTTCTCTCACCTCTCTTCCCCACAGTACATAGTAAATTGTCAGGAAAGCACCCATATAGATCTTACCTATATCCGTACTAGGTTGAAGTAGTTTGAGGAAAAATTTTGGTGTTTGGCATTCTCTGGTCCTTCTCTGGGGAAGGTGTGGAAAGGAGAAACCTCAGATGTTGAGTTAAACAAATTTCATCACCTTCACTTTACCGGGTAACTTACCTGATCTTTCAGAGCCTCATGTAGAAAAGACGGAGACCACCATGCACCCCAGGACGATGTTGAGGTTAAATTACATAAGGCCCAGGTGCACAGTAATTGTCCATAGCAATCCCTTTCACCTACGCCAGAATCAAGCCGAAATCTCCTTTCGGCATGAGGACTTATTGCTGGAGAAGGGATTACATATGTATTTCAAAGTTCTTGAGTCTAGTTCTGTAATATGACATTTACCATGGGTTTTTGTGTGTGTGCTTTTTTTTTTTTAACCAGTCAATCCAGATTGTTGAGGTCAGCCCTTATTTCAATGCTGTAGAACAACGATCTGCCTAAATTGTTATAAAGATTAAATGAATCGGTATTTGTAAAACACAACAGTGTCTGGTACATAGCAAGTGGAAAGAAAGAAAAAAAATTAAAATCATGCTCGAATGGTTAGAGCCTATCCTCTAGAAACCTATCCATTCTCACCTGGCATTCCTCCTTCATTTGCCCACCACACTCCATTAGTCACTAAATGGCAGACAAATATGCTATTTCTCACCTTTGTGGCTTTGCAAATGCTGTTTTTTTATTTGGTTGGTTTTGGTTTTTTGCCACAAGTAACTTTCCTTTTCCACTTGGTGGCCTATTAAACTCTTATTCATCCTTCAAAACCCAGCTAAGCAAACACTTCTTCCAGAAAGTCTTCCCTCATGTCTCCTTCCCTCATCATTTTCTTTTCTGTGCTTCCTCATAGTGTGCCCACACTTCTATTATACCTTGCACACAATGCTATAATCTATTTATGTTCCTACCAGGGAAAGACTGCATGTGCTCTTTGTATTCCCAACTCCTAAGAACTTCAGGGCACATATTGGCCTCCCCAGGTGTTTGTTGAATGAAATGGAACTCAGGTGACAAGTACCAATTCTATGATTATATTTATATACGTGAAAATCAGAATTTCAATATACCTCTCATCATAATGCAGTAGTTAATGAACAAAGTGCTTTTCTTGGTTTTGCTTTTTCTTTCTTTTTTTTTTTTTTAAATCAAGAGGCAAGAAAATGATGGTAATGAAATGAGAGTGGAAAAGTGAAAATGGAATGGAGATAGGAAGAGATACGGAAGAAAGTGATTTGTGAATTATAAATGGCAATTTCCTACAGGTTAGGATCAATTCAGAATGAACTATTCATTGGCATTATCGATGGTTATTTGGTAACAAATCTAAAATTCCTGTCTGAATTTTAATTAAAAGAGCCACTTAATGTTCCAATTCAGTTGGCACATAGGTACTTTTTTTTTTTTCACGGTTATAAAATTGTCTATCATGATGTTGAGAATCGCCTGAACTCAAGAGAGTCTGTGGGCTGAAATGTTGATACTCCAAGAACCAGAAGGGTGCTCGGTATGTAGTCAACAACCAGCAACACTTATAAATCAAAATACACAAGATGCACCATACTTATCAGGCAAAATGTCCAAAAGGTAGACAGGTGGGTTATGCCCAAAGCACTGACCAACCACGCCATCTTCAGAGCACCTTCAGCATGCCTGAGACGTAATACGAGAAGGTTGCTCCTCTTTCTGAAGGGGCGAGAGTCTTCAGCAGCAAAGGCTTGTGAAGTCAACAACTACTGCTGGAGTTTAGAAGTCACAGGGCAAATCGCTGAGGATATAGTGCCCTTTGTCATCTTTTCTCTTAAAAAGGTCTTCACTGACCACCTCCCTTGAATTTGTTCTTAGCCTTCTCTTCTGTCAGGAGCAGCTGTTTGTAGCAGTTAAGGGCTCAGACTGTCAAGGTCAAGTTACTATATCTCCCTGTCTCATATCTAAGATATGAATTGTTAACAGAAAAAAGTGAGTAATATTTTAGTATATAACATTTTTTAAATTGGAAAAAATACCCCTATATTCTTGTGAGAATAGAGAAAGAGTGGTAAGATACAAATAATATATTAACACAGATTATCTGGGTGGGGATGGGCGAGGGAAGATATTTTCTTTACATCTAAAGAAAAAAGAATTTCTTTAAAGAATTCTAAAGAAAGGATTTATTAACATCCTTTAACCAGGTGTTAATATTTCTTTATTCGCTTTGATGTTGCAAAAAATGTAGAATAAAGTAAATACAAAGAATGGAAAATTGATGGATTCTTAGCTCTTCTCTTTCTAAAAAGGATTTCTGATAAACTGAAGGAAAAAATAGAAGTAGCATAGTGAAGTGAAGCTAGAGGCTAACTTAATACCAGGAATTTTCTGCAATAAACATGCATCACTCTCATAATATGAAAAAAATTAAAAGTGAATGAAAATTTCCACCACCAAATGATGAACTCTCTACATTAATCTTAGGTTTATTTTTAAGTCTTTATGAATTATAATAGCTATTTTTTTTTTCCTCAAAGAAAATCTGGGAAATTCACAGCCATGTAAAAAGAAGGAAAAAACATTTCACCCATGTCGACGTTTTCCAAAGGCAATCACTGTTGACATGGGAATGTTTTCCTGTCTTAGGGATGCCCTCTCTTACCACTCCTATTCAACGTAGTGTTGGAAGTTCTGGCCAGGGCAATCAGGCAGGAGAAAGAAATACAGAGTATTCGATTAGGAAAAGAGGAAGTCAAATTGTCCCTGTTTGTAGATGACATGATTGTATATTTAGAAAACCCCATCGTCTCAGCCCAAAATCTCCTTAAGCTGACAAGCAACTTCAGCAAAGTCTCAGGATACAAAATCAATGTGCAAAAATCACAAGAATTCCTATACACCAATAACAGAGAGCCAAATCATGAGTGAACGCCCATTCACAATTGCTACAAAGAGAATAAAATATCTAGGAATCCAACTTACAAGGGATGGGAAAGACCTCTTCAAGGAGAACTACAAACCACTGCTCAACGAAATAAAAGAGGACACAAACAAATGGAAGAACATTCCATGCTCATGGATAGGAAGATCAATATCATGAAAATGGCCATACTGCCCAAGGTAATTTATAGATTCAATGCCATCCCCATCAAGCTACCAATGACTTTCTTCACAGAATTGGAAAAAAACTACTTTAAAGTTCATATGGAACCAAAAAAGAGCCCGCATTGCCAAGTCAATCCTAAGCCAAAAGAACAAAGCTGGAGGAGTCACGCTACCTGACTTCAAACTATACTACAAGGCTACAGTAACCAAAACAGCATAGTACTGGTACCAAAACAGAGATATAGACCAATGGAATGGAACAGAGCCCTCAGAAATAATACCACACATCTACAACCATCTGATCTTTGAGAAACCTGACAAAAACAAGAAATGGGGAAAGGATTCCCTATTTAATAAATGGTGCTGGGAAAACTGGCTAGCCACATGTAGGAAGCTGAAACTGGATCTCTCCTTACACCTTACACAAAAATTAATTCAAGATGGATTAAAGACTTAAATGTTAGACCTAAAACCATAAAAACCCTAGAAGAAAACCTAGGCAATACCATTTAGGACATAGGCATGGGCTAGCACTTCATGACTAAAACACCAAAAGCAATGGCAACAAAAGCCAAAATAGACAAATGGGATATAATTAAACTAAAGAGCTTCTGTGCAGCAAAAGAAACTGCCATCAGAGTGAACAGGCAACCTACAGAATGGGAGAAAATTTTTACAATCTACCCATCTGACAAAGGGCTAATACCCAGAATCTACAAAGAACTTAAACAAATTTACAAGAAAAAATCAAACAACCCCATCAAAAAGTGGGCAAAGGATATGAACAGACACTTCTCAAAAGAAGACATTTATGCAGCCAACAGACATATGAAAAAATGCTCATCATCACTGGCCATCACAGAAATGCAAATCAAAACCACAATGAGATACCATCTCACACCAGTTAGAATGGCGATCATTAAAAAGTCAGGAAACAACAGGTGCTGGAGAGGATGTGGAGAAATAGGAACACTTTTACACTGTTGGTGGGACTATAAACTAGTTCAACCATTGTGGAAGACAGTGCGGCGATTCCTCAAGGATCTAGAACGAGAAACACCATTTGACCCAGCCATCCCATTACTGGGTATATACCCAAAGGATTATAAATCATGCTGCTATAAAGACACATGCACACGTATGTTTATTGCGGCACCATTCACAATAGCAAAGACTTGGAACCAACCCAAATGTCTATCAATGATAGACTGGATTAAGAAAATGTGGCACATGTACACCATGGAATACTATGCAGCCATAATAAAGGATGAGTTCGTGTCCTTTGTAGGGACATGGATGAAGCTGGAAACCATCATTCTGAGCAGACTATCGCAAGGACAGAAAACCAAACACCACGTGTTCTCACTCATGGGTGGGAATTGAGCAATGAGAACACTTGGACACAGGGTGGAGAACATCACACACCGGAGCCCGTCGTGGGGTGGGGGGAGGGGGGAGGGATAGCATTAGGAGATATACCTAATGTAAATGACGAGTTGATGGGTGCAGCACACCAACATGGCACATGTATACATATGTAACAAACCTGCAAGTTGTGCACATGTACCGTAGAACTTAAAGCATAATAATAAAAAAAGTTTACCTGTCTTTTCTTTTTCCTGGATGTACATGGTTTTGATAATAATACTGTGATTTACATTGTACCTGTTAACTCCTGGTTCTTGGCTGTCTTTCTTTTCCAAGCAGCCTCAGCCGTCCTGGGGAATGGGAAGAACAGGAAGATCAATCCATTCAATAGGCTGTTACAATTGCTACAACCCCTGCCGGCTTACATGGGAGGGGGCTTTTAAAAAAGGTGCCTTCCAGGTGGCAATTCCATGCATCTGAGCAGGTAAGGCCAGGTGCAGGGGAAAATATCTGATATGTTGCAACTAAACTAAGGGAGAAATGAAACCACAGGTCTGCTGTCTCCTGGCACATATGTACATGCTTTGTTCCGAGTTATAAAATTGTGTGTATGAAGTTGGGAATTATCCGAACCCAGAAGTATCCTCATGTTCTTCTTATGTCACTAGTCTCCCGTACACTCCTCCCTGGACCCAAGGTGGCTTTATCTTTAATTACCATTCACCAAGTTTGCACGTGGTATTTCTCATTAGAAGGCGAGTACCTCTTTGTCCAAGCCACTGGGAGTGGGGAGCACTCAGTATGGCCTATCTTGAAGCTGTAACCCCACTCAGGTAGCCCCTACGCTGTTCTTAGCTTTCTCACTCCTGAGGTCAAAAGAATACAAACTATTCCAGCTCTGCACATGTCTCCTTAATGTGTCTGTCTCTTTATAAAGTCTTCTTGGAATTCACATCTTTTTATAATTTACTAATTTAATTCATTTTATATCTACAAATCTACTTTTCTTTCCCTTCTCGAGTACAATAGATTATGACTTGAAATCTTCTCTCCAATCAATACTGTGCCCCCAACACCGTCTTCCCTCCGTTTGTCACTAGAACAAAGCATTTGCTTATTGTATTTCACAATCGTGGTGACACCATCTGTACTGGTTGTATAATGTTTGGTAGGCTTTGTCATAATTTACTTAAACATCCTCTTGTTTACTGAACACTAGGGTTATTCTGATTCTTCACTGTTGGGAATGGTACTGTAATAAACATTTTGGAACATGAACCTTTTTTTTACCTTTTAATACTTTTTTCTCCTTAGAATAGAGTTCAAATAGTGGCCATTTCCATGTGATAGCCTCCATTAAAAAGCAAGCATTTCCCACACATATTTATGCATGTGTTAGATTCTTTGGTGGGGGTGGGTAATGGAAATGATTCCTTTTCAGTCAAAGAACTCTTTTTCTACATTTCCCTTCTTTTTCCTCCTTACCTTACTTTCTCCTCTGATCCTGCCTAGAAATCAAATCCAGGACACCAAAGCATGAGCCTTAGGAGAGCATTGCCAGGGCTGCTACGAGCAATAAAGTTATGGGTGAGCGACTTTACATCGTTACTGATCCTTCTTTTTCATTCAGTCTTCTCTGAGATCCCATCCAGTGCTAACGATCTTTGAGTCCTTAAACCAGTCTTTACTCAGCTCCTCCATCTTCAAGTACAGCCCTCTCTGCTTTTGTAATTAGCAACTAAGAATGTTCAATTTGTTATAAGTAATTAATTTAATTAATTAATAAAGTTACACTTAAGAAAGACTTTTGGGCCAATGCTTCATCACACCCAAGTTCCTTTTCTACTTCTTTTATCTGGAAAAGTAAATTTAGGCTCCAAAAAGTTTTCTGAAAAGCTAACAATGCCTGCTTTTTACAGAGGATGGTATTTTTTTTTAAATTTACTTCTATACCCTAAAAAGTACTTAGAAGTCTAAGATTAAATTCTCAGAATGGTCCTGTCTTTGGTAGTCCTAGTTTTCCAGGACCAAAGAAATCATGCTCCTTGTTAATTTTGCAAATCATGACAATACAGTAATAATAGTTCCTGATTGCCTAGTACTTTTACATATGTTATATAATTTATTCTTCTGTACAATTCTATAAACTGGGCAATGTAGATTTGCTTATCTTTATGGATGAGGAAACTGAGACTCCAGAGGTTACTTGCTTAAGACACAACAAGCCTCTTGGACTTGGATCCAATGGCTGATCTGGAGATTCCAGGGAATCTCTAGAGCAAGCCATTTTATACCGTTCTTGGCAAGCTCTGATAGCTCGCAATGCCTTCCTTATTTTGGGCTAAACCTCTCTCCTGAGTTGACTTCTACCCACTCACTTGTCCTGGTTTTAGCTTTCAGGCTCCATAGAAAAAGTCTAATATTTTGCTTCCATGTGACATGAAATTTGGGGACAAAAGACCAAAGTGTCCTTTGGGTCTGCTCTTCTTCAGAAGAAAGAAGTATGTTCCTTCAGCTATTTCTCCAATGGCATGATTTTAGCCTCATTACCTTGGTGAACATGTTTGTTTTAAACTGAACGTGATTCTCCGATGGGGTCAACATACAGAATAGCAGGATGATCTTCCCTCCTCTTCTAAAAGTTCTAGACCTGCCTAAACTACCCATTAGCTTTCTTGCCTGGACACCTTTAGGTTATATTCAGTTTACAATCTACAAAAGCCCTCTACCCATTTCCTCCTCCCCTCCCTCCCTCCCTTCTTCCTCCCTTCCCTTCTCTTCCATTCCCTATCCTTCCTTCTTTTTTTTTTTTGAGACAGATTCTCTCTCTATTGTTCATGCTGGAGTTCAGTGGTGCGACCTACTAGGCTCAATAGATTCTCCTGCCTCAGCCTCCCAAGTAGCTGAGATTACGGGTGCGTGCCACCACCCCAGACTAATTTTTGTGTTATTATCATTTTTTCTTTTTAGTGGAGACGGGGTTTCGCCATGTTGGCCAGGCTGGTCTTGAATTCCTGGCCTCAAGCGACCTGCCTGCCTCAGCCTCCCAAAGTGCTAGGATTACAGGAATGAGCTACCACGCCCTTACCCATTTCATACAAGGTACTATTGAGTTATGTCTTCCCGGTATTGAGCTCGTGCCAATGTCTTTTTGGATCAACTACAAACACACGTTTTTACTTTTCCCTATGTTACTTCACCTTTTATTAAAGTAGATTTGGTTCCCAAATTCTAAGCTGTTAAGATTTGAAGACAGTTTAATTCAGATTATTGTAGAGAAATCTAATTCATTCTTTGTAATAGGCATATAATGACTCCTACAATCAATGAGTCTCAATTTATACAAGTATCCTCTTATTGATATATATGGGCATTGTCTTGATTTGAATTTGTTTTGCCAACTGTAAGCAATGCTACAAGAAACGTACTTCCATATATATACTGGTGTTTTATTTAAAAAAAAAATAGTCTTAAAAGCTGGGTCAGAGGATGTCTGCATTTGTAATCCTAACGGCTATGAATAGATTATTTTACCAAAGGTAACAACAGTACAGAGTAATGCTGGCAGCATGTGAGGTAGCAAGAAGAGTTAGAAATAGATTTAAAAACAAAAGCATAAAAGAGTAAAATAAAGCTAGGAGTAAAGTAAGTCTCTGAATTTTTTCTATACCATACGTGTATTCCTTTGATAAAAAGCTAGCGAAAAATTCTCTCCTAAAGCTTTTTGTTATTAAGCCTGTGGAAATAATGGTCTTTTTCTCTGCACTGCTGAAGTATTTACTATTTGCAAAACTCACTATTTGTTCCATTCCTGAGGCAATTAATCACAGAGGATCCCTGACCATCAAGCGTTCTATTGTTATAATGAGCTGTCATTCAGAGCTTTCATTGTCATCCACATCTTTATGACTTAAGAGGTCAACCTTGGAGTCAAACGCACCAGGGTTCAAATTCCAGCCATTTACCCACTTACCAAGTGTGTGGTTTTGAGGCATTACTTAGAAGCCTTAAGTTTCAGCTTCATCTGTAAAATGGGTATAATACTTCTTTACTTTCAAGTATTCAGAATTAATAATGTAATGTATACAAAGCCCCCTGGAAAAGTGCCTGGTACACACTACTACTGGATGATTAATATTTACACATACTACCACTATTGTATGGTTAGGTGCCAGGCTTTGCAAAGCACTTTACATACACTTTCCTAAAACCAGAACTATGGCTGGGCACAGTGGCTCGCGCCTGTAATCCCAACACCTTGGGAGGCTGAGATGGGTGGATCACTTGAGTCAGGAGTTCGAGATCAGCCTGACCAACATGACAAAACCCCATCTCTACTAAAAATACAAAATTAGCTGGGCATGGTAGCGCTTGCCTGTAGTCCCAGCTACTTGGAAGGCTGAGGCATGAGAATCCCTTGAATCCAGGAGGGAGAGTTTGCGGTGAGCTGAGATCATGCCACTGCACTCCAGCCTGGGTGACAGAGTGAGACTCCATCTCAAAAAAACAAAACAAGCAAACAAATTAAAATAGAACTATAATTCACACATGTAGCCACTCAACTAATGATTTCAGAATAAAGTAAGTACTATTACGACTCCATTTTGTAGATGAGAAAATGAGGATCACAGAGGTAAAAGTAACTTGTCTAAGGTCAAACAGCTAAAATAAAACCTTCATTCAATGAATGTTAATTATACTAATTACTACTAATCTTGAGATTGCCTCAATATATGCAGCTTGGAACATGAGACTGATGAAACTTTAGGGTAGCTACTGGGATAATGAGTGACTGAAGGAGCTAACCCTACTTTAGGCTGCAACCAGCACCTACGTCCCAAAGGGCTAGAGTGGCGTGGGCAGGCATTCTATCTCTCTGCAGAGTGTAGCCATAAAGTGGAGAGGGTGGGGCCAGAGCCGGCTGAGAGTGAACGTATCAGAAATGCCAGAAGGTGGCAGTGTGGGGTGGTACCTGGAGAGGTATGCCTGGGGTCAGTGAGATGGCTGGGCCTCACAGGGACGGGTTTGGCAAGGATTAAGCTGCATTCATGATGGGACTTCAGTCTTTCTGGGATTAGGGTTCAAATCAGAAACAGGATAAAGTTCAGTAGTGACAACACAGTCACAGCATGGGGTCAGAGGGGATTATAGCTCTCAGGGTCATGGAGGGCCCTGGGGACTCACCCCACAGGCTCATGGCCTGAGGACCCCCAATATCTGACCAACGGACTAGGGGTTGGTAAGCCAACAGCTCCCGGGCCTCTGTGTCTGCTGTCAAGGGAAAGCGCACGGGGAGGGAACCTGCATTCATTGGGCAGATTCAAAGCCTATGTTAGCCATGTTTAGGCCCCAAGAATACACGGACATTTCAAACTCAGGGTTCCTTCCCCTGTGTTCTGTGTTCTAGCACAACCGTTCTGCTTTTTAAAACCTTCCTGTAGCTCTCTTGATTCAAATGAATACATCACTTAGAAGTTAAAACCAAAGGACATAGCGTATATCCCAGATGAACAGCAAGGATGGGTCTTTGAGGTTTGCTTTTTCAACAGCAGTTTTGCCTCTGGTCTCTGCACCAAAATCGGGTCCCTTCCTCATCTCATACATTCTCTCTTTGCTTTTACAGTTCAGAAAACTGCAGCATGTGACCCTCAGTGTGTGTCCCTCTGTAAAGCATCCACTTACATAACTTTTCCTGCTATTATCTAAAAATATATCAGTGCACTTGGCTTGAGAATGTTTTTGAGACTTAAATTTACACTCAGCACTTCAAAAGCATCACAGTAAGCCTGTTGAAACTTCCAGTGTGAAAGCTCAGAAATTCTAATAAGCACTAGACTACACTCACAAATAAAAAACATTCTTTCCAATCCTCTCCTGTAGGACTCAGGGAGAATAATTAGAACAATAGAGATAATACTCTCTGAAATTAAGCCAATTTCAGCTCTCTCCAAAGGTTTTCATTAAATGCAGGGGAAAGCCAGAGATATGAGCTGGAATCTTTTCCTAGCCACTTGCTGGCTGTGTAATGTGGGATCATTTGGCTGATCTTCCCAAATCTCTGTTTCCTTATTTGTAAAATGGGAGTATTTGAAAACTCCAGGAGTCATTGGGAAGATCAAATTCTATTATGCACCTGCAAGCTACAAAGCTGTTGTACACCTCATAACTGAGCGCCTTCTTTTCCTTTTCCTTCTTTTTTTGTAATTTATGTATTTATTTTAATTTTTTTAAAGTAGAAATGGGGTCTTACTACATTACCCAGACTGGTTTTGAAATCCTGGGCTCAAGCGATCCTCCCGCCTCAGCCTCCCAAAGTGTTGGGATTACAGGCGTGAGCCACAGCACCCAGCTTTCTTTTTCCTTTTATCTTAATTGTGCTTTGGTTAGTTTTTGAGACTGAGACATTTGACAGGACTTTGAGATGGGCCGCATGGCAGAGGAAGACCAGGAACTGAGACTCTAGCGTGGCTCCACCTCTCACTGCATTGTCTCGGGAAAGCAACCTTCATTTCTGCATCTCAGTTTCCTTTTATCTGAGAGATGTGGATCTTGACCAAATAATCATCAATGTCTCCTCTCAATCTATGATTTAGGGTTTAACCTTTAAATTCGGCAGCACCCTTTCATGAATGGTCTGAGCCAATGACGAGACAGCAGCATTTCTCTTTTGGTATTGCCAGATTAGAGGTCTCGCTGGTGGCTTTTGACTCATACCTGTTTTCTTTCCTGCTTTGCTCTATGCTTTCCACAGCGGTGATCTCATTCAATTCTCACAAGAACCTCATGAGTCAGAAAAGGCAGATATGACTGTCTGCATTTTACAGATGATGAAAATGAAGCCTTGGGAGGGTGATAAATCTGCCCAGATCACCCAAGTAGTTGGAAAAGTCAGTTCTCCAGAGGTTGAAAGGGCCTCGACTCTCCAGGGACTGGGGAAACCCACAGAGAGAAACCCACTCCCCTGCATCCAGCCTTGTCTGAGCTCCCATCCTCTCTTGTAACAGCCTCATAACCAGTCTTCCTCCTCATGCCCTTCCCCTACCACACAGTTGCTTCTCAACACAGCAGCCAGAGTGGAGTTTTAAAAATGTAAGTCAGGGCTGGGCACAGTGGCTCATGCCTATAATCCCAGCACTCTGGGAGGCTGAGGTGGGTGAATCACCTGAGGTGTAGAAAGAGAGAGAAAGAAGAGAGAGAGAGAGAAGGAGGAGGTGTCACACACTTTTAAACAGCCAGATCTCATGACAGATCACTCATTATCTCGAGGACAGCACAAAGACATTTGTGGGGGGCTGCCTCCCCATGACCCAAACACTTCCCACTAAGCCCCACCTCCAACACTGGGGATTACATTTCAACATGAGATTTGGAGGGGACAAATATCCAAGCCATATCACTCCTCCTCTGCCCTCACTAATTGTATATAGTTAATTGGCCTACATGTCTTTCTTCCCTGATAAAGTGTGACTGCTAAAGTCACACTTGCAGTTCTGAGCGAACCAGGATGATGGTTCACCCCCACTGTGAGCTCCATAAGAGATCCTGTCTCACTTTTCTTTGTCTTTCCAGAGTCTAGGTGAGACCTGGAGCACCAAAGTGTTAGTTAAATAAAAAATGTACACATGCGTACTCCAGCTTTTAGAGGCTGGACTGTGTTCACTTTGAACTACTTTAAAATGAGCTCTAGGCTGGGTGCAGTGGCTCATGCCAGTAATCCCAGCATTTTGAGAGGCCGAGGCAGGCGGATCACTTGAGGTCATGAGTTGGAGACCAGCCTGGCCAACATGGAAAAACCCTGTTTCTAGGAAAAATAAAAATAAAATAAAGTAAAATAAGCTCTACACATCTTGGAAGAAAGTGAGAAATATCACTATGAATAAATCCTATTAGAAACAGGTCTTTTTATGCACCCTGGCAGGCTGGTTGGCCCGTTCAGACACACCTTGAAATGTGCAAATCGAATACACAGGGTGGCCCTCAGCCTGTAGTATCTTGCTGCTCAAAGCATGGTCCATGCACTAGCACCAGTGGTATTGCCTCAGAGCTTGCTAGAAATGCAGAATCTCAGGCCTTACCATAAAACTGCTGAATCGGAATCTACATTTTAAGAAGATCCCAGCTCATTCATATACATAGTAAATGTCAAGAATCGCTGCTTTAGGGCCCGTTAGAAATACCTGTGGATCCACATCTACTTTGCCAGCCTTACCCTTGCAAATGTTGCTTTGAAAGATTGCCAGGTAGTGCTCAGGCATCTGATTTGGAAAAAAAAAAAAAATGTTTATTCGCCAGGCGCGGTGGCTCACGCCTGTAATCCCAGCACTTTGGGAGGCCGAGGCAGGCGGATCACGAGGTCAGGAGATTGAGACCATCCTGGCTAACAGGGTGAAACCCCGTCTCTACTAAAAATACAAAAAATTAGCTGGGCGAGGTGGCGGGCGCCTGTAGTCCCAGCTACTTGGGAGGCTGAGGCAGGAGAATGGCGTGAACCCAGGGGGCGAAGCCTGCAGTGAGCAGAGATCATGCCACTGCACTCCAGCCTGGGCGACAGTGAGCCGTCTCAAGAAAAAAAAAAATGTTTATTTTGACATGCAGCAAAGATTGAGAATGGCTAGAAATGTGTTTTTCTTATTGCCCTTATTCCTGAAAATATGATACTTGGACCACCTGTATCTGGTGCTTGCAGAAAGGACTGATTTCCAGGCAATATCTCAGAATATGGAATCAGAATCTTAGAAGTAGGGTAAGGCACTGAAATTGGTATTTTCCATAAATTTTGTAGGGGATTCCTATGTATACCAAAGTTTAAAAACCTCTGCCCTAGGAAGAGGAATGATGGAGAAGTGATATGAGTGCTCCTGGGTTTTTTGCCTGTCTGGAATTCCTTCACTACCGCCAATACCCCCATTTTGTAACATTATTCTTTTGGAGATCCACTTCTGTTTTCAGTCCACCTGGATTAGATACGACCGACCTTTCCTCCTTCCAGAAGTGAGCATGTGATCTAGGCCTTACCAGTGAAAGAATTCCTTCCCCCTGCCCACAGCCATTGCTTAAAGATTGAGCACAACTCAGGGTTTATGAATGAGATTGGCACCATTTCTAGAATTATTGGGGGAAGAGATGCTCTTTTTGCTAGATTCCTGAGCAGAAGTCTTGGGCTGCTGGAGGTCATCTTTGCTAACCTTTGGGGGAACCTGTCAACACAGAAGAGGGCTGAGGCAGATGGAGGTGGCAAGAAGGGCACCCTGCCACTCACAAAGCCCTGAGAATGACTTGTGTGGATTCAGGCCTTTAAAGCTGACTGCAGCACAACTTGACATTAGGTATTAAATGAAGAATGAGCCTGTTCAACATGGTGAAACCCTCTCTCTACCAAATAAAGATATAAAAATTCACTGGGCATGGTGGTGCATACCCGTAGTATCAGCTACTTGGGAGGCTGAGGTGGGAGGATCACTTGAGCCTGGGAGGCGGAGGTTGCAGTGAGCCAAGATCATGCCACTGCATTCCAGCCAGGGCAACAAAGCAAGACCCCATCTCAGCAACAACAACAAAAACAAATCTGTGGTCAAATAGCTTGTGAAACTTTGCACTGAACACATTTCCACAGAGTTTATTTCTCAGGACTTCTCAGATTATTATTTATTTATTTATTTATTTATTTTTAGAGACAGGGTTTCACTCTGTCACCCAGGTTAGAATGCAGTGGCACGATCCTACCTCACTGCGGCCTTGGACTCCTGGGCTCAAGGGATCCTCCTGCCGCAGTTTCCTGAGTAGCTGGGACTACAGGCACATGCCACCACAGCTGGCTCATTTTTTTTATTTTTGTAGAGACAGGGTTTCACTATGTTGCCCAGGCTGGTCTGGAACTCCTGGGCTCAAGTAATTGTCCTGCTTTGGCCTCCCAAAGTGCTGGGATTACAGATGTGACCCATGATGTCCGGGCTCAGAGTCCTTAATATGTCAAAGTACATTGTAAGTTTCTAAGATGTTGCATTTAACACGGGTAGATCTAAAAAAAAAAGATATAGCGGGTTATGGTATAGTGTCCCTTGGGAAAAAAGGGCAGGAAGCATAGGTTAAATGGTTTACAAAGTATTTTCACACCTATCATTTTATTTAATGCTTCCAAGAGTTTTTGAGGGGAGCACTTTTGCCACAGATGAAGAAAATAAGTCTCAAGGAGTTGGGTGAATTGCCTAAGGCTGCCCAGCCAGCTGGCAGCTGCCCTAAATCCCCAGGGGTCAGTGGCAGAGTAAGATGCGGGAGACTTGGCAGCTCCTGACCCCAGCACTGGTCATTCTGATGTTCCCCTCTGCCGCCCGAGATGGCATTTCCTGGAATGAAAAGGAGCCAAGGTGGGTTGGTTGGTTGTGAGGATACCACAAGATTACAGTGAATTATGCATGTGTTAACTGATGCTGATGTGGTACAAATAAACTCATGCCCCCTCTCTTTTAGGTGGTTCTTCAAAAAGTCTTTGCAGAGACCATTACTGTTGGAAATTAGAAGCAAGAAAGGAGTTGCCCCAAAAACAATACAAGGGAGTTCTAACCTTTGTTTCCAATTTAATGAAGGCTCCCCTGAGATTAAAGAAACGTAGGTGCATAGGCTTGGAGAAGCTCCTCTCTCCAGACAACGTTATTCCCATCCCCTGGTGTTCCCACCTCCTGTTGCTATGCTAGTATAAGCTGACACTCTTGGGGAATGATTTTAAAAAAAACAATTTGGAAGTTTTAGCCAACTCAAACTTAAGAATGTCCTCAGATTCATAATGTGCTGAGGCTAGATTTATCTATCAGTTCATGAAACATTCAAAATTATAAAACCAGAAAGTAAAACAGTGTTTTTTGATCTAAACCTCATGTTCCTTCTTCTATATATACCACATGAGAAGAATTTACAGAGAAAAGACAAGGTTGAAATACCGGCTTCACTGAGATTTAGCTGCATGATTTTAGGCAAGACAAAAAACCACCTCTCTTGAGCGGTTTCCTCAGCTATAAAATGGAGGAAATGATGTCTATTCTGCAGGAGTGTTGTAGGGATGAAATGACACAAGTTATGTGGACTGCACTTTGAAAATTCTAACACGAAAAGCAAATGTTACTTACAATACTTGACCAAGTATTACTACGGCCACTACTACCTGCTACTCACTGTTACTACTTTTACTACTACTACTATTCTACAAATAATAATAATCTCACAGTAGAAATAAATAGTGGAGTATTAAACTGAGAGAAAGCAACAAAGAGAGAGATGATAACATTGAATCTCTTTCCCCTTTGTGTTGTCCCTCATCCAGATCTTGGAATAACAAAGTAATGTCTTTCTTAACTAAGACTTGATTTAGGAAAATGACAACAGACATTTCCAAAGTGTTTCATCATTGACAGAGTGAGTTCATGCCCATTATGTTGTTTCGTGAATTCACACAGTGTTTCTAACTATGCCTCCTGTGCCAAGCCCCGGGTTAAGGACCCGTGGGTCCTTTCATCTTCAAACACTCCCACAGTGAAAAAGGAGTGTGAGGCAGATCTCTGCCAGGCATCGGCCCTTAACACGGCAGGAGCTTGCCTTCATGTCTAAGCCCAGCACAGAACTGCTCAGTAAAATCATTTGTTTTGAAAAGAGTACTTTTACAAGCTAAAAGTACTGTCAGGGGACAATCCTGGTTCACATATTTTCCCCCATTTTCTCACCACGGGCCACACTTTTAGGCTGAAAACACAGCATAATTTTCATCACTTTGAGATTTCTTATATTTTTACAAATCTAATGTGGTATTAGCATCTACCTTTCAGCTCTGAGAGTCAAGATGCAGATACAGGCTCTAAGATGAACTTAGCAATTTTGTTCAATCAACATTTATTGAGTGCCCTTGAATGTGAGGCAAATTGTGAAGTGCCACGGCCTTTGCCACTTAGGTCAACAACCAAGTTTGGCCACACAGGTGCTGGAACACAGCCAAGTGAAGGAGCCTTCTTTGCTGGAGATAACATACAACCTAAAGGGAAACTTCAGTCCTTGTTATTACACGTCTTTCTTTTCTGCTGGGCCATGTGCACAGAGAAACACAGGAATCTTTTTTATTTTAATTGTGAAACATTCCAGCTAAAAAACATCCTCATGGCTGGCATGTTTAATTGCGCTCCTGAGAGGCTGTGTCGGTGAGACTTCAGGATGAATCACCCGCAGTCCCATTGGTCTCACCAAGAACCCATTGATGTTTCATAAATCCAAGTCGGTACGAATCTAATTGAGTTACCATGCTGAATTAGCTCACATCTAAATGGCATTCATGTCTACAAATGGAATAATTAGAGTCTAGAAAATGGGATATATCAAGTGGCATCCCAAGTGACAACAGAGAGGCATTTGTATTCATTCAATCAACTGCTTAAAAAAAAAAAAAAAAGCTGCTATAAGACTTGACTTAGGCCGATGATTAGATGCAGTGTTTGGGCATTTGGTTTCTTTCTTAATATTTATATTTACCTCCAAGAGGTTCCTTTACTCATTCTTCAGATATATGAAGAGAAAGGTCAGGCCTGAAGTTATTTTTGACCACGTGGTTTCAGAAACCAAAAAAAGAAAAGGAGGAGGGGACAGTCTCATTTCAACCTACAGATTTGTTTGTTTTTGTCGATTGGAAATGGCTTCCTTATTTTATTCCTTTTGAGCTTCATTTTTTTTTCTTCTACATTTGCTTCTAAGTACACTGGCTAAGATGAATTCACACCCTGGGAGGCATATGGATTTGGACGTGAATGCCAGACCATCCTCTCTTTGAGAAGTACCTAAGTACCCAATCATAAAAAGTAAAGCTTACTCTTTGGTCCAGAAAGGATCTCATTAAATGGCTTTATTTCCAAGTTACTTTAGTTCTGAAATTTTAGGATATCTGAATTTAATGCTCCTTCGATTAACAGTTCAACTCAGCAAATATTACAGAACAGGAAGAAGGCATTTTGACTAGGCAGGCTAATGGCCTCCTTCTAATTCACACAGTAGTCTTCAATCTAATTTACATGCTTAGTTTATTTATTACCCCAATTAAGTTTTGCAAATAGTTTGCAATGAGGTCCCCATGACCTCATAACTCACAATTACTCTTGGGATCTCCTGCCCACTTTGGCATGTTTTGAATAATACTGCAATATCTTCCAGGAAAAGATTGTACTTAGGAAATGATGGATGGTGACTGTGAGCACCTTGTCCATAAAAGACAGAATCTGAAATGTTTCTTGGACATTGGATTTTGGATTTTGGATTATCAATGCTCCCTGTGGCCACTCTTTTTCTCATAATCGCAGCTTCCCAAGTCTGTTGACTTTCTCATCAAAGACGAGGATGCTTTTGTGTTAGTAGTCTGTATCTGCTGTAAGGCCAGCTGTACATACACATCTGTGCATAGTATTATTTGATGGGGGCCACAAGACCTTATATCTATGACCCTATTCCAACTCAACAATTTACTCTAATTAGTCCATTAAAATTTGAACTGGTGAAATCCAAATTAAGTCTGTAGTTTAATATTATTATACCAATGTCAATTTCTTAGTTTTGACAAATGTACTATGGTTGTATAAGATGTTAACATTTAGGAGAAGCGGGGTAAGAGGTATACAGGAACTCTCTGTACTATTTTTGTAAATTTTCTGTAAATAGAAAATTATTTCGGAAGAAAAAGTTTAAAAATATCTTTGTATCTGCAATTAATCCCAAATGTTAATTATGTCTTTACAAGACCTTTTCTTTTAAAGTCTATTCAAGCACGGACCAAATGAAGACATTTGTTTGGGGTGGAAAGATTTGTGTGTGTAGAGGGGTGAGATAGGAAGAGGACCTGGTATGAGTCCCAGCTCTGACACGCACCAGCTGGGAACCTTAGGCAAGCCCTTTACTCTCTTTATGTCCCAATTTCCTCATCTGAATGGAGGTGTTATCAATAAGGTCATCATTTTAGGGCTCAGTAAGAAACAAATGTATGCTATTTCTGAGGCCTCTGTTACGTTACATTGGTCTATGTATCTGTTTTGGTACCAATACCATGCTGTTTTGGTTACTATAGCCTTGTAGTATAGTTTGAAGTCAGGTAGCGTGATGCCTCCAGCTTTGTTCTTTTTGCCTAAGATTGTCTTGGCTATAAAGGCTCTTTGGTTCCATATGAAATTTAAAACAGTTTACACCATGGAATACTAGGAAGTCATAAAAAAAGAATGAATTCATGTCCTTTGCAGGGACTTGATGAAGCCGGAAACCGTCATCCTCAGCAAACTAACACAGGAACAGAAAACCAAACACCGCATGTTCTCAGTCATAAGTGGGAGTTGAACAATGAGAACACATGGACACAGGAAGGGGGAACATCACAACCGGGGCCTGTTGGGGAATAGGGAGAAAGGGGAGGGAAAGCATTAGGACAAACGCATGAGGGGCTTAAAACCTAGATGACGGGTTGATAGGTGCAGCAAACCACCATAGCACATGTATACCTATGTAGCAAAGCTGCACGTTCAGCACGTGTATCCCAGAACTTAAAGTAAAATTAAAAGAAACAAATGGGAAAATAATGATTATGTTTTGGGAAGCTAAAAAATTGTACACATTTTTTAAAACACCTCTGATGGAGAGAGATGTCAAGGGTAAAATAAAGTTGGGGAGTGATCAACAATGTACAATAGAAATCATGGAAAGAAAGATCTAGAAGAGACTTTGTGATTAATGAGTCCTATCTACCTTTACAGATGAGAAAACAATATTGCAAAAAGACTAAGTGACTTTTCCAAGGGTCACGTTACTGGTCAGAAAAAGAATTCGCATCTTCTGATATCCAAGCCAGTGAGCTTTCCACTGGGCTGTGGTGTTTCCCAACGTTGTGTTTAAAACTGGCCCAAACAAGGGGCAAGCAAAGTGATCTGCTGGGTGTTTCCTTCCAGTTTTGACTTGAAAAGCACCCCCTGTCACTCCTAATATTTTATTAGTATGTAGCTATAATGAATTTCTAAACAAAAAGCCTTACCTATTAAGGATGGTCTAGTTATTAATGTAGAGAAAACTTATTAAAATAAATGCAATTGGAGTACTATGTAAAATTCAAAAAGCCTCCATCCTGGCTAACACGGTGAAACCCCATCTCTACTAAAAGTACAAAAAATTAGCCGGGAGTGGTAGCACACGCCTGTAGTCCCAGCTACTTGGGAGGCTGAGGTAGGAGAATTGCTTGAACCTGAGAGGTGGAGGTTGCAGTGAGCCGAGATTGCACCACTGCATTCCAGCCTGGGCGACAGAGTAAGACTCCGTCTCAAAAAAAAAAAAAAAAATTCTAATTGCCTGATGGTCTCCAGCTGCATAAAATATGTCCACAGATCTGTCCTGCAACATCTGAAATTCAACACCCTAAGATCCAAGGTCATCTAAGGACAGAAACACTTCCCACCCCATGGCCCTGTTTCCCTCAGCAGCGTCATTCCCCTCACATTTCTCAAGGAGCAACATTGTGGAGTCACTTTTCTCTTTTTCTGTCACTATTTTAAGTCAGTGTCTTATCTGGATCCTCATGGAAGCAGAATCTAAGTCTAATGCATCTTCACAAACTCCTCAGCACCTGACAAGATGCTTGATGCCTCTCACATATAAGGTGTTCAAGAATGCTGCATAAATATATCTATATAAACTCTTAGGAAAGCTTTCAAAAGCTCATGTCAGTCTTCCTCAAGGTCTCAAGGAAAGAGGATTTCTCTCTGCTTCTTTTCACACCTGAAATCATGCAATATTAAAGGACAAATTAATCCATTTCACTGCAAGTTGGGCTAATACATTGACTACCCTGCATAAGTTAGACCCCAAAAGAACACTCAGAAAAGAATCACCCCAACTTCCAGGTTAGTTGAGACTGCACTCTTAATGTTAAATATTCCCACTGTAAGTTACTATAAATTTCATTAACTGGTTACATGCTTCTTATTCTAGTCTACGGGTATGTCCATTTATCTCCATATTGTAAATTACCTTGTGCTATTTACCTAGTTTATGTTAACATCTCATTGGTAATTCAGTCCTTGAGTGGGTACTTTCTGAAATAATGAAATAATCAAATGCAAATTGGCTTAACATTTTAAATGCTGTACCCAACAAAAGGGCGGAGTATGGAAAAGTGACCTGGATGAAATCTTAAATAGGCTTTAATTCTAAACTGGGGCGGGGCAGGTAAGAGGAGTTTGCATCTAAACGAAATACATTTATTCTTTACCTGGACTCTCTGCATGGGAAGGCAGATGTGGGAACACTGGCTCAATCCACTCAGCTTTTGAGAGAAAAGTTTTCCCAGGAACTATGATCCAGTTTTGGGGAAAAGGCCATCTTGGCTGACAATAATTGAGAGAGTTCTGGTACAGTTTTGTGTAACTACTAAGTTCTGGATTCATTTATTCAAGCCATTTATTCATCTGAAAAATAGAGACATGGAATTAATTGGCAATATAAAAATTCCAGTGTTCATCCAGCACAAATGCAGGAAGTGTCCAAAGTTTTGGGTTGCATAAGGAAAAGAAGTAGTCCCTTTGTCAAGAAGAAAAGCTCCTGGTTTTTTTGTTTGTTTTGTTTTATTTTTATTTTTTATTTTTATCTTTATTTTGTTGTTGTTTGTTATTTTGTTTGTTTAGATGGAGTTTGGCTCTTGTTGCCCAGGCTGGAGTGCAATGGCATGATCTCGGCGCACTGCAACCTCTACCTCCTGGGTTCAAAAGATTCACCTGCCTCTGCCTCCCAAGTAGCTGGGATTACAGGCACCCGCCACTATGCCCAGCTAATTTTTTTGTATTTATAGTAGAGATGGGGTTTCATCATGTTGGCCAGGCTGGTCTCGAACTCCTGACCTCAGCTGATCCACCCACCTTGGCCTCCCAAAGTGTTGGGATTACAGGCGTGAGCCACTGTACCTGGCCATCCTGTTGCTTTTATTTGCACAGAACATGAACCTTAATTCAAGTGGCTTAATTAAAAAAAAAAAGTGTTACATGATGAGGAAATCCTGAGTTGGGCAGCTCCATCAGCAGCTGCTCAGTGTAGTCACAAAGTGCACAGGTCCCTTCCATCTCTTCCCATTGCCTTCAAGTTGATTTAGGATGCATTTCCGAAAGATGGACTAGGAGTGGGGTTATAGTTGATAAGTCATTACTTAATGTCATTGCATCCCGTTAGGAGGAAGAGGTATGTAGAGAAGGGTTTAGAAGAATCATAGAAAATTTCAAAAACAAGAATCCTGGTCATTGTTGTCCATGCCTATGTCCATGAAGCCTTCTGTGAAAAGGCTATCCTTACAGTGGGAAGAGGGCCTCATGCTATCTTAACTGAGAAGTTCTCCCTAATATCGACAAGCATCTGATAATTGGGCCTGTGTTAGCTTTTCCTACAGGAAATGAACGCACTGGGCAGGTCTGTGTGAGCATGCGGACCTCTAGACAAGTATCCTTCCCATTGTAAAGTATTAAATCAACTTCCTGAGAGTGTAACAGACACTAGGATTCCTGCTGTGTGTATCTAGGAGAGGAGAGCTATGTACTGGTACACACACCTGAATGCCTATAAATATATATATTTCAGTTACTGTCATTTTGCCCTGAAAAGATAGATCCACTCCAGGTCAGTGGACAAAATCCAAACATGCAGTCTCAGACCATGGTAAGTTCACGGAAGCAACTGTCACCTGCACACAGTCTCTCAGAAACAAGTCTCTCAAAAACACAGTCTCTCAAAAACAAATGTGATCATTTGTTTTTGTCTTCTATAATTAGGAATTCTGCAGATCATCAGTTGGTAATTAACAGAAATATTCTGATGATTTTTGCTAAGGCAAGAAAACTCTTCAATTTTTATGCTAAATTCCTTCAACTGATTCAACTTGACAAAATCTCCAAAGCTTGGCATCATGAAACCTCACTCGAGAAGTTCTAGCCTATAATTTTTATTTGTTTTTACTACTTTTAAGTTTTGGAAGAAAGAGGACAATCTGAGTTTCATTTTTAAAGCTCTTTCTCTGGGATCTATAAAGACTCAGTTCAACCCCCTGCACCTTCTCCATCTTCACCCACCAGATTCTGTGATGCTAGTTCACATCCAGACTGGGGAGCTGGCAGCTTGCAAACGTCTGTGAGCATAAAGAAAAAATTCAAATACTTTCACAAGACTAATATGAAAAAAATAATCTAAGAAGCATTTCAACAAGAATTGCAACCAAAAGTGTTTCTGATTAACTTTCAGGCAGCTTGTCAAAGCCCTGAGTGACCTGTTTCTAACGTAAAGCTGTTTGTGTAGCCACGCTATTGTTCTTGCACCAGATGGAAACTCTTCAGAAGGGCCTTCCCTTTCCAGGAGCTCTGTCTTTATTAAAACACAGTCTGTGGTCCTAATTTGTTCATATTTGCACTCTCTAGCCCCTGGCACACAGGGGGGTACTACTTATCAAATGGCAATGAATAGTCATTGCTAAAGGTTGTGGGATTTCCTGTAGGGATAAGGTGTTTCTTGCTATGAACCCACAACATGCAGGAAACCAAATGTCAAGACAGGTTCATTGATTAATTGAGAAAATTAACTTTTTCCCCCAATTTTTAAAGTGGAAGCAACACTGAAAATAACATGAAAAGAGCTGAAACATTGAAAATAACTGAAACACTGGAAATAACATGCCTACATCTCCTCCAGCATGGCTACAAAAGGAAATTGCTTGCATCCCTTTAAATTTTGCATAAAAATCAACATCTCTCTCCTAGACCTAACTGTGTCTTTAGACAAAACTCAAAGCCTCTCTTGTATTATTGTAAATAACATCTCATAAATCCAAAGCTAAGGCAAAACAGCAGAAAGCTCAGTGATATTTAAATCAGCAAAATGTAGACCACATGCTCAGCCACATTCACATTTTGTTAAAATTATATGCTTTAAAAACCAATTAGTAGAATGCATTATGTATGGACATAAATAATCTGTTACTAACACACCTGCATGAGAAGACCATGAGAAAAGCCACTGATAAGGACCCATCAGTAGGAGCCATTACTGCATCAGTTGTTGCCGAGGCTACCTGCTCAGGCATTGCTACTGAAAGTGGGTCAGATTTCATCATCAGGGAATGTAATGACAGCTTGGTCTCCATATCCCATCCTGAAGCATCAAAATCTAACTGTTCAACAGTCTGCTTCAATGTATGTGCTTGTTGCTCAAAGTGTGGTCCAAGAACCAGCAGCATCAACATCACCTGGGAGCTTGATAGACAGGCAGAATCTTAGCACACATGCATACTCATATGCAGAGAGGCGCGCGCGCACACACACACACACTCGCATGAACACACACCTCCCATACTGTGCTTCCACTGCAACCCCAACTACCACTTCCACCCACATCATCGTAAATTATAACCTGCCTTTTAGCAAGATCCTCAGGTGTTTCATATGCACATTAAAGTTTGACAGGCACTGGTGTTTATCACTCTAAACGTAAATAATTTTTCTTCAGCATCTCTTATTTTACTGGTTGCACCACAAAATGCACATAACCCAAGTGATTGTTTATCAGTATACAAAACACAGAGAGAGGAAATTTTCCCCAAGGAGGAACAGACTGAATAGTATTAACAGTGCTTTAAACTGTAATGAATTCCCAGTCTAATTCACGATGAGGTTTCAATTTATACCACATTTAGAGTACTACAGGTTCAAGTAATCACTGCAGTAATTAGCTTACTTCCAGTCCTCCAAAATAAACCCACTAATTTTTGCAATCAGCCTTCATTTGGTTAATCACCAGTTTAATTGATTTAATTAGTTTGATCTGCAAAATTAGTCAAGTGTAAATACTGTTTTGTAAACAGAGTTTAGCTCCAAGCTGTAAGATAGGGAATTCTAATTCAAACCTAGAGTTAATAACAAACCCACACATACAGAATTTTGTCGTGGAGTACAGCAGTTGCAAGTTTTTAAGAGGAAGGCCTGTGGATGTTCTGGTGAATTGGAATTGTGCTGTTGTAATTACAGTATTGTCTAAGCTAAGATATCTCTTCTTATCAACCAGCTCTAACACTATACAGTAATTGTGTTTCGAAGATTAAAAGGAATTCTTTGTCATTTTTCTTTTCAAATGATCTGGCTCAAATAACCCTAATGTTGAGAGAATTGTCCAGATTTGAATTTCAAATTATTTTTAGTGTTTTCAGTCTTGCCCACTAAAGGATATTTTAAACATTTCCTAAAACAAACGTTTTTGATTTTTTGAAGAGAACATGTCTACTTACATTACATTAACAAGATGTAGTACACACCGTGTGATGTAAAATACATCTTTACTTTTTACTAGGTTTTTGATAACAATAAATTTGACAAGCTAAAAGTTCCTTTTAAACCCCTCCCAGATGAATTCATTCTAAGTGCTAAATTCATTAGATTCTCTGTAGAATAAGACAGTCTTTCCATTTAAAGTCTCTGCCTGGAATATTGTAAATGAGTGGGGAATTAAGCAGGCAGGTACTTGTTTATAGACTGTATTTTCCAGATTGCTTCTCATTACTGAGCCACTGTTAGTGCTGTCTCCTTGGAATTTTCTACACCTTTGCGCTTGATCTCTTCTTTAAAATACTTAATTATTACTTGGATACTTTGGGATTCCTTTAGTTGTGCTACTAAGTGAAATATTTAACCTGGATTAAAAAGTATATTGGAAGAGTGGTGCCGCAAATATTTATCAAATTGTAATTAAGAAGGCAAAATAACCAAACTGGACCACCTACAATTTTTACAATGCAGTGAATGCCGTAACAGAGGCTGAGAACGGGGCATGGAAGCATGTAAATTTATGCCCTGTTAACTTCCATTAACATTTTAAAAAATCTGTTTATCAGTTTAGAAAAAGGGTGTGGTCTTTTTTGTTCCAGAGAAAATGTTGAATTTATCTGTAAACTATACATTTATCTTGTCTACAACCCTCATGGTGCTTCAGCAATGCTTTCTTCTAGCTCAGGATTTTTCTAGGATGAGTCAGATAGTAAATATTTTCGGCTTTGCAGATCATAACATCTCATCACAATTTCTGAACTCTGCAGGCAGTCAAGATGGAAATGAATGGTGTGGTTATATTCCAATAAAACCGTATTGATGGATACTGACGTTTTAATTCCATGTGATTTTCTCATATCACAAAATATTAGTCTTCTTTTGATTTTTTTTCAACCGCTTAAAAAGGTTAAAATCATTCTTAACTCATAGGCTATACAAAAGTGGGGCAGCCAGATTGTCCCATAGTTTCCCCTCCCCTTGCTAGCTGTTATAGGTCAGGTGGCTACTGAGTGTTCATAGAGACATTTCTGCCAGGCACAGTAGCTCATTCCTGTAATCCTACCACCTAGGGAGACCAAGGAGCAAGGATTACTTGAGGCTAGGAATTCAAGACCAGTCTGGCCAACGTGGTGAACCCCCCGGCTCTACTAAAGATAAAAAAAATTACAAGTGGTGGTGCACACTTGTAATCCCCGCTACTCAGGAGGCGGAGACACGAGAATCACTTGAACCCAGGAGGCAGAGGTTATAGTGAGCCAAGATCACACCACTGCACTCCGGTCTGGGCAACAAAACGCGACTGTCTCAAAAAAAAAAAAAAATTAAATTTCGAAATGTTATTTCCAACTATACCACTTCACAAGCCATTTCATTACCTGCCATTTCAAATTTTATGTCCATATCATAATATTGCTCCTTGCTTACAGAAGTTGCTTCACATGCTAGATACGAAAGTCACAGGGGCAACTGGGACTTAGTAGCTGGTGTTAAGGAAAGAGTAAAAAAGGCCTGGAAACATTCCAACATGAGGTCCAACCTGCATTCTTAAGAGGCTCCAAGGCAAAGAAAATTAGGACTTCCCTTCCACTTCCAGGTGCATTTAATGTTCATTTAAACTCTTTTGGTGACATTTTCCTTATTGAATATTGTTCTAAATTAATTTTACGTTTATTCGATTTTACTTGAAGTAAAATACTGTGGGGAGTGGGATTTGTTGAAACACTACAATATGATGTGTCCATTTCTGTTCTTCCCTAGAATGACTCTGAAATATCTTCTGGAAGCTTTTGCAGATATATAATGTGGATGTAATTTCTCATTTCCATTATCTCCAACAAGGCAGCTGGAACCATCAGCAATGGGGCCTGATGACTATGTTTCAATAAGCCCTTACTTTTCTACAAAAAGATGAGGATCCTAAAATGGTGTTATCTCAAATCATTTCACAAGTATTGCTAGAGAACTCCAAAAGACAGACAGCAGGGTTTTTTGTTTGTCTGTCTTAACAATGTAACTGTTTCATGTCATCAGCCACGGTAGCATGCTTAGAAGTTCTCACTGCATCTTAGTGGGCGCATGACTTTTGGAGGTCCTTCCGTTTTTCGGAACCACCTCTTTTCTGTAGTCTTTTCACCGAATGTGCCTGCCTTGCTGACCTTGGGACACTCCCACATGGAAAACTACAGGTAGAAAATGTTTGATAAAAGGGAGTACGATTCAAAAAGATGGGGTGCCATGGACACACATGGATTGAACATATTCTAAGCTTACAAGGCAGAAATGAATAAGTGGAAATCGAATAGGCTAATCGACCAAGCGTAGTGCAAGCAAATACTGTAAGAGTTGGAACCCTGAGTCCACAGCGGTGTGCCGCTGCCAGGAAAGTCTTGAAGAAGGGAAGAGAACTACATAAAAGGAGAGAAAGAGCATTGTAAGCATTGAGAAAGGCATTGCTTCATTGTGACATTTTTTTTTTGTTTTTTTTTTAATGAAGCCTTCCTGTTTCAGTTTGGCATATTTAACTTGTCTGAAATTTCCCTCTGCAGGATTTATATGATTAGCACCTTTTCCTAACTTCTTGCTGGACTTAGGCAGAGGTGACTGAAGAAGGAAACAAGTCAAAACCAGAGTCAACTGCTTTGAAAATCTCTTCTTATTGTTTCTCTAGGTTTGTTTAGATCCCATAAGATAGGCAATTGTTACATCTTATGACAGCTTTCCTGAGCTTTTTAGGTATAACTTTGTACCCATGAAACCTTCAAATTGTTTGTGTGGTGTCTACATTTCCCAACAAGGAAAAGGATCTACACTTGCAGATTTTAAGCATCTTGGATATTTAAAAATTCTCAGGGTATTTGTGTGAAATTGGTAAGGAATTCTGCGGGGAAAGAGGAAAACTGCCTCACAGATGAACCTGCCCTCCTGGGAGTTCCAAGTGCAAACAGCAGTAGGATTCAGAATCTTAACTTTTTTTTCGCATTGCAAGAAGCCCCCAAATTTATATGCCAGAATGTATCTAGGTTAGTACGTATATTTGGCCAAGGTACTCAGGGCCCTGCTAAATTCCCCAATGTTTTTAGAGTCAGTAAACTTTTCAGATCTTGGGTGCTAATTTGTATCATTTGCAAAAACAACCGCGAAAGCTATTTGGTGCTTGCAATGCAATTACTACTAAAGAGGTTTTGGGGTATTCTCATTAAACTGCGTCCCAGATGTTTTTGCCCTCGTGATTTGTGTTGATCTGTTCTTTGTCAGTTCTAATTATCGATCAAGATGAATGAATTAGTCATCCACTCGGTGAAAAGCCTCTTTATGCATATGATTGAGACCCAAGCTAAAGGATCCTTCAGAGGTATCTGTCCAGTCTTGGAATGGACCATTTCCTCTGCATGTGTGCACAAACAGTGGAACGGCATTGCTGTCTTTTTCTCGAATACATTTGTTGGGGATGTACATATAATTTGTGGTACGTGTGTGTGCACGTAAATAAGCATGCAGAAAGATAGTCGCACATTTCTGGACTGACTGTACATCTATACGTAACCCCTCCCTCTTCTAGTACAATATTTTATATTTGAAGGCTTTCATGTGAATAACATTTCCACGGGGAAATCTCTAATCGCTGAGCTAGGAGAAAAACAGTGCCCTAGGAATCCGATTACAATATTTTAGTATGCTCACTTCCCTTGGAGTTGCGACCGGTATGCTCTTAACAGAGATACAAACTACCCAGTGGGCACTCAGTACACCTCACAAGGGATTAAGGCACCTTGTGAATATGCATTACCTCGGCTGCCTGCTGTGTCGGCGGGCATGCTGGCCATCAGCATTCGCTAAAGCAATGCTGGCAGTATCACTCTGGCATGATGCCACCACATATGAAATGTGTGTGTCTTTTATTAGTTCCTCCCAATGCTCTTGGGAACACGTTGGCCATCTAACAAAGATTCTTTGAACTGGGAATTCAAATGGATTTGGATAGGCAAAAAATGTCTGTCTGGGAGGCAGATGGAGGAGGAAATAGCAGCAAGCAGCAGGTATAGTAATTTGTTAGCAAATGCCGATGCTTCCACTCATCAATGTATATTACAAAGGGGGAGAGGAGCCTTTATTTCTGCAGTGACAGCAGGTGACATCACCTATCCCAACTAAAGGAAATGTGACTGAAAATTGTGTGTGTTGAAAATGGAGAAATTAAATCTCCTTCATTGAAGATATATGATAAGCATCTTCATTGTGTTCATTGGAGTCTGATTGTGTGTGTATTTGTGTGTTGTGTTTCTATACATCACACACCCACACCCACACACACACAAACACGCCTATTCTCCAGATATCTGGGACACTTAACCAAAGAATTGTCATTCATGTACACTGACACTAATTTTTTTAAAAAACTATTTTTAGCATTTGGAAGATAGCTCTGGGGGAATCTTGCAGTCCTACAAACACATCCTTGGGATGTTAATTTGCCTTCAGGAATGGATGAAGCAGGCTGCACCTCTTCATGAAGGCCACCACTGGTGAGCCATTTTTCAGTATATAAAAATGTTTGTCTGTTTGGTTTCCAATTAGCTGAGAGGCAAACCCTTCCCCTGATATCAGACAGAGCCTCTGTGACTGCCACAGAACAGTTTTCTTACTGTCCCTTTAAAAAGGCCAGGGAACTTTGGCAATGAGCCTCAAGAAGCCTGCAAAAGGGCCAGGTGCAATGACTCATGCAGGTAATCCCAGCACTTTGGGAGGCCAAGGCATGTGGATTGCCTGAGACCAGGAGTTCAAGACCAGCCTGGGCAGCATGGCAAAACCCCATCTCTACTAAAAATACAAAAAAATGACCCGGGCATGGTGGCACAAACCTGTGGTCCCAGCTACTCAGGAGGCTGAGGTGGGAGGATCACCTGAGCCCAGGAGGGTGAGGCTGCTGTAAGCTGAGATCACAGCACTGCACTCCAGCCTGGGCAATCGGAGCGAGAGCCTGTCTCAAGAAAAAAAAGAAAAAAAAAAGCCTTAAAAAGTTTATACCCTTTGACCCATCTCTATCCCTTCTAGGAGCCTTTTGTAAAGAAACTAGCCTACATACCTAAAAATGTTTATGCATTTATGTTAGTTACAGCCTTAATAATAACAGTGAAAAATTGGAAAGAGATTCCCTTATTTTGACTCATTTAGGTTAAGTAAACTATGCTATATCCAGTGAATTATCATACATCTGTTAAATACATTTACAAAGATATGAAATATATTTACAAGCTTATATTTATAAATATATTTATAAATATATGTTTATATACTATAATTATTAATGTATTAGTATGTTCATTATTATATAAATATAATACGGTTAAGTGCATTTACAAATTTATATTAACAAGAGAAATATGTATGTTATAATGTTAAATTAAAATTGCATCTCTGGTCATTAGGGGGAAGCAGTTTCTAGTATGTTGGAAAAAATTTACACCTTATATAAAGGAATGACTGGAAGTCAGTGTACCAGTTTTGTCTCTAAGTGTGAAACTATGATTGAGTTTCCCCCTTCCCTCTACTTTTCTACAGTGTCCAAATAATCTGTGCACAATGAGTGGTGATTATAATATGGAAGTAAAGTTTAATTTTGGAACTAAATGGGCAAGGATATTTGCCTCTATTGCGAGAGGTGGGCAGCAGACAGACTGGAGGAGTTTTGATCTATTATTTGGTAACTCCATATAAGTCACATTCCTTTTAGGGCTGGGGTTGGGTCTGGGTGTGGTGGCAGCTCAAGGAAATCATCTTTCTATTTCTAACTCTGAATTAGTTTTCCATATGGGGTGAGGGATGGAGAACATCCAGTCGGAGCGAAAATTCTCAGAGAGATGCCCATAGGTCATTCTATGAGATAGGAACATAAGAACCTTCTTCGCCAGTCGTTTAAGAGCTCCACTTGCCTGTAGGTGAGAAGATGACACCCATGAGGAAAAGACAGGCAGGGAGCTGGCAGGGAAGGAGGCCAAGCAGTGGACCAGTGGAGTGGTGGGGCTTGGGGCATGGCTAGGAAGCAGCTAGCCTGGACTTGAGAAGTTTGACAGTTTTATATGTTTCTTATACTTCTTTTGTTCATTTCCTTTTGGCTTTCCCTTGGCATCTGATAACTGGCTTTAAGACCAGTCTCTCTCGAGCTATTGCCTGTGCTGTAACCAGAGAGTTGAGGCAGGACAGGTGGCAGGAACTGCAGACCAAATGCGCTTAGCCTCTGCCTGTCCTTTTGGAGGAAGCCAAAACTCATGGCTGTTTATATTGTCATCATTTGGTTAAGGCCAAAAGACCATTTTCAGATGTCTTTTAAGTTACTTTTTAATTTATACTTAAAATTACATAGCCATATTTTGCTAGAGAACAAAAAGTATATTCATAACTTGAAGTCTGAATTTTTGCTTAAGTTTGCGTCAAACTTGCAGAAGTCACTCGTCAAATCCTAATGGAAGTGTCCTAAAGACCATGTCTACAAGGGGTTGAATCCTTGGCTGACGCTTTGAGGTGTCACCTGCGCTGACACCACTGTGGCCTCCTGATTTGGGCCAGGGCCTCACCTCCTCTTGTGGGCACTACCTTTATAGCTCCCCTTCTCTGGGTTAATTTCTGATGAATTCTTACCAGCTTGCTGCTTGTCACCTGATTGTCAGGGTCGCAATGATTGGATGGAAACGCAAAATACAGGGAATCATGCAACCCCCTTTGATCAGGAGTCAGACCTCTCTCTCCCACCCCATCCTACCCTTGAAAAAAAAAGAGGCACACTGCGTAAGAAAATACATCAAGGCGATATAAAACAAGAGAGTGTGGGGGCAGGAGTGTAGTGATTTAAGCTTTTCAGAAACTATTTTTCAGAACAAAAGACTGGCAATAAGGAAAAAATTTAATTGTACATGACAGTAAAAGCAAAACTAGCTGGGTGTAGTGGCTCACACCTATAATCCCAGCACTTTGGGTGGCCGAGGCGGGTTGATCATCTGAGGTCAGGAGTTCGAGACCAGCCTGGCAAACATGGTAAAACCCCATCTCCACTAAAAATACAAAAATTACCCGGGCGTTGGTGGTGCACACTTGTAATCCCAGGTACTCTGGAGGCTAGGGCAGGAGAATCGCTTGAACCTCGGAGGCGGAGATTGCAGTGAGCCAAGATTGTGCCACTGCACTCTAGCCTGGGCAACAGAGTGAGACTGTGTCTCAAGAAAAAAAAAAAAAAGCCAATTATGCTGTTTCTGTTAAGCAAATTTTACTTTCACATTTTAAAAATAATCCAGAATTTAAATGACAAGGGAATTTATAAAATTATATGTATGTGTGTATATATACTTATATTTATTTATTTATAGGTGTGACTCCACAATTCAGCAACTGCTGTGCTGCCTACTACAAATCACAGCTCATTTTAAAGCCTTAACTTAGTGTTAAATAAGAGGCGAGAGTTAATTTAGGGAGCGATTACAGTGGAGGCGTCTTAGAGCAACAGTCATTGCGGCACAATTAGTCTTCAATTTGTAATTGAGAGTAACTCCCACAGGACTAACTCAATGATGAATTTCAAATAAGGAGACTTCAAAACTATGAGGAAAAATGGCTAATTACAAGCTAAGGGAAAAGGGAAGGTGGTGAAAGAAAAGAAGTTGAATCTATACGATTTGACTGGTGATTCCTTAAAATCCGGAATTGCCAGAAGGCTTTGCAATTGCAGTCAGCAGAGCCACATGCAGAGTAGAAATAGGAAAAAAAAGCCAATATAGGAATTGGCGATTGGCAGAATACACACTGCGGCCCACTGTTGATGGGAAAGGCTTTGGTCTAAACATGGACAAAGATCAGGCATTATGTGTGCCACTGGCCTAAAAAGTACTTTGCCTTTGGTTAAAGGTATGTGGCAAGGATCAAAGAGAGAGGCTTCAGCTTTGCCCATTCTGGAGCTAAGCAAGCCCATATACAGCTGTGGGCTGGGCCAGTGCGGAAACAGCCTTTTGAAACAGCCAGCACACTGTTGAGGGGGGTCTCAGCTCTGAGGCTTCCCAACCAGCATCATACAGGCTATTCACAGAGAGCCCTGCCACAGGCTTTTGTCAGCTGCTCCTCTGGCATCCAAGGCAGAGGACCAACTTGCAGCTCCTCTTTCTGCTTCCCAACATTTTACAGGGTTGGGGAAGCTGCCTTTACTTCCAACTCAGTGGCAGAGAGCAGAGGGCATTTTCCACTCAGGAATGCGCCCAAGAATGAAGACCTTACTGTTGGTGACGCCACCCCACTGCTCCCTCTTCTGATTTTCCAGTGGCTCCAGCCATGGATAACCTTATGAGGAAAGACTTTGACAACTCATTTACCCCTAGGGTGCCCACCATTCAGAGTGGGTGCAGGACCTGTGCCTTGGCCAGAGCATCTGTAGAAGCCTCCATTGTAAATAGCCAGAGCTCCAGAAAGTACAACCTGAGGCAGCCCCCTTCTTGTTTTGCGTAAATCCAAATAAATCAATACCTACTCTCCACCCAAGAATCTCATTTTGCTCGGAGACACCCACTCCCAAAGAAAACAGGACAATATTTCTTGCGGTAGCCTTGGGATCTATAAAGGGCTGTGCTTCGCTTTAGTGTGCTGTCCACCTGCTGTGACTATTTTGTGTTTTGCTTCTAGTAGCAGAGCCCCTGTTTCACTAGTAATGAGGTTTACCCCTCCCAGTGAGTGACGGGCATGACTCAGCCCTACAAGAATTCCCCATTCCCTTTGCCACTGTGATTGTTTCAGGGATAAGCACACAATCCAAGCAGGGCCATATTGTCGCTATAAGACCTTTTTATATGGATGCTAGGAAAAAGAGGACATCTTCTTTGCTCGGGTCATGAGATGTAAGGACTGAGTAAGCCAAGACCCACTGGGAGCCATTTTTTTCTCTCATGTGAAAAAAACCTGACTTAGAGTGAAGCCAAACCAAAGGAATCAGAAGTGAGAGCTGAAGACAGACAAAACCCTGAAAACATTATTGAGACTCAGGATCCACCCATGCCTGAAGCCAGTGAGTGCACTCCTTGACTTCCAGCTACTTTAGCTAAAGCCTTGCTTTTTGGCTCAAGCTACTTTGAGTTGAACTTCTGTCACTTATAAACAATGAGAGTCTAGGCTTACATCAAAGAGAGAATGGGGTCCACATTAGATTTTGCAACAGGCCCAATTTGTATAGCTATATAACCCACTGGGCCATATATTCCTACAGAAACTCACATGTAGTTTGGAGAAAGGGAATAATGGAGATCTTTAACCAAATTGTCTTGTGCTATAGTCAGGCTTGGGAAAGCAGTTTGTCTGATAGGCTGTGTGTTCCTTGATGGCAGGAATTACATTTATCTACTAGTTTTCCCAGAACCTAGTAGATGCTCAGAAATTTGGCTGACTTGATTTTACTTCTCACAGGTGACACCATGATGTTAGAGCTGATGAAGCAATAACTACAGTAAATTTAGTTCTTTTTACTGAGTTTCCTCTGTGTGAAGGCAGTCCAGAATTTTCAGTGTGTCTTAGATTGGGTTTCTCTGAAAGCAAACCCTGTAACAAAGACTTGGGTGCAGACTGTTTGTTTGGAAGAAGAGAATGAAAAGAGAGAGGAGCCAACAAAGGGTGGGTTAATGTGCTAGTTACTGCTGCAGGCAACTGGGCTCACGCCACTGCAGACCTTCTGAGGATCATGCAGAGCAAGCCTCAGAAACACTAAGCCTCAGAAACAGCAAGCCTCCCACACTAAGATGGGAGGCTGGGGCATTCACCAACAGACACATGATCCACATTGACTGAGTGGTATCTTCCAGAGTATAACCTTTCATCCCCCAACACACACACCCACTGTGGATTACATCTGTGCATGGCTGAGTGGCCTGCACCTTAGAGAATGTTGAGCAGAAATTGCAGTACGTATAATGGTGTATGGAAGAGTCTGCTACAAATATGTGAAACCAGACAACCCAGGGGATACAGTGTGGTGAGCAAGCATCAACTATAGGTAGTCAATATTCCTAATAACATTTGGAGTTCAGATACCTAGAAAGGTAAGAAAGGTATATGGCATTATTGGTGGTATTCTTGGAAGAAAGACATTCGGCTATTTCTTGGCATTAGAAACACCATTTGTACAGTAAATCTTGAGAAGTGTCCACATGAGCATGTGTGACTGCATGCATTCAAGTGTTCAAATGGCACAAGCTTCATGAGAACAAGGCCTCTGTCAGTTTTAGCTCATTGGTGTATCTCATTGTAGAACACAGTTCCTAGAACGCAGTATATGCTGAAGATAACTTATAGTCTGGTGGGGAGATTTGTTGTGAATGTTAAAAGAAGTATTGCTTGGGGACTATGTATTATTTCTAAATAATTTCGAATTGGAAATTGCAGTTTGGCAATTTCCATAAAAATCTGACCTAAAAAAAACAATTTCTAGGAAAATATCCTATAACTGTGAGAATATCCTGCAGCCATATGTGTCCATAGGCACAAAGAAGTGCATAGAAGTGCTACACAATTCTGTGCAGCACTGTGTAACTGCAAAGAATTAAAAGCACCTGAAGTGCCCACAATAGAGGTTTGGTTAAGTAAATTAAGGTAAAACCACACTATGTAACACTATGCAGGTGTTAAGAAAATTGAGGCAGGTTATAGTACTAATATGGAACACTCCTAAGATACACTGCTAACCTTTTAGGTGCTGAACAGTGTGGATAGTATTATGTCGCTTGTGGGGTATGTATATGTGTTTGTATGTGAGCTGAATACCTCTGGAGGGACACAGAAGAATCTAGTAACAGTAGCCTCTAGAGAGAGGAGCTGGGGTCTAGGGACAGAGGTAAAAGGGAGACCACCTGTTTGGTAGTGTTTTAATTTTGTTTACCATGCATATATATTACTAATTGGATAAGTAGAGGATGGATGATTGGATGAATGGACAGATGAATGGATAGAGACAGAGATAAAGCCAGTAGAGAATGATGGTTGTTACATGAAATAAGAGCAAGAAACAATTTGCTCAGCCTTTACATAAAACCTGTAATCAAGATTACATTTATTCAACACAATCTGTGTATGCCTTATAAATCAGCAGTAAAAACAGTAGAAGCTATCCTGTTGGCCGGGCTTAGTGGCTCATGCCTGTATTCCCAGCACTTTGGGAGGCCTAGATGGGATGATTGCTTGACCCCAGGAATTCAAGACAAGCCTGGGCAAGATGGCCAGACCCCGTCTCTGCAAAAACTGAAAAAATTATCCAGGCATGGGGGCACGTGCCTGTTGTCCCAGCTACTCGGGAGGCTAAAGTGGGAGGATGGCTTGAGTTGGGAATTTGAGGCTGCAGTGAGCTATGATTGCACCACTGCACTTCAGCCTGGGTGACAAAAGAGAGACCTTGTCTCTAAACATATCAAAAACAAAAAACTTTGTATCTTATGTAAGTTACTTCATTTATTCTGCACGCCACCATCACAGAGCAACATGTTATTGTACGTAAACCTATACCTTACTCACAGATGAATAAATTGAAGTTCAGAGAGGGGGAATAACTCACCCAAGGACACACAATTTATAAGACACAGTCATCCAGTTTTGAATTCAGGCTTGCTGATTACAAAGCCAATTAGTTATCACTGACTAAAATCAATGGTGATATTGCAGAAAATTACAATTTTATACAAAGTGGACTTTGGCTATTGGCAAGCTTTGAAAAAATGTGTCCAACAGCGTTCTCTCCACGTTTTGTTTTTCACTAAATAAAAGTCATCGATTCATTTCAGACTTATTTTGAAGGTCAGGAAAGTTATTCATTCATCGTCCCTAAATGTCCAGATCCACAATACACAAAATAAACTTCTTCAATAAAGTTCGCCCAGCTCCCCATTAATTCCACTCCAATTTCACCTTCTGGGAAAGCCTGGAGACTGGCTGGCGAGGAGGCTGGTCCCTCTTTGCTGTGGAGGTCCTATGCTGATCCTAACACAACGCCCAGGCCCCACACTGCTGAAAGTGGTTGCTGCCAGCCAGACGGCTAATCATCATTATTTCCTGGAAAGGCCCTCTGAGACCTTGAGCATAAAAGAGCCTATTTCAAACCGGAGGATGCTCTCTGGTCCGTACGGTACCCACAGGGACACAGCAGTAGTTGCAGTATCAAGAAGCTACTGACATGGATCTGAAATGACTTTTATAACAGCGGCAACAAAAAAAGGCCTCAGCTGCCTCTAGGAACGCATCTAACAACATCACACCATCACCCTCGGCATCGACACTAGCTCAATTACTGGGCTCACCTGAGCTCTGCAGTGGGCAGCTGCATCCCGGGGCTCCTGCTCTGGGTTACCCCCTTTCTGTATTTTGGACACCCTAAATTGCTTTGGCAGCGAGTTAGCTAGCTGCGCCACATAAACATTGTTCTTCAGGACTGGGTCACTTTTAACATAAGCTACCAAAACCTGCCTAAATGTTACTCCAAGCAAGTAACTGAGTACAATGCTTTTGAAGAAAAAACAATTTTTTTGGCTTAGCAACAGTACGTGTTCTTGGGAAGCAACTGTGAATATTCAAATACTGTAATTGGAGATGATTTACCTTGTTTTGAATTAACTAAAATTCCATTGTTAAGCACAAATACTGCTCCACTAAATCATCATGCTTTAATAGGTCCACGTGAGCAGGTTACCGAGCGCATTAGGATTTATAACGCTCCTGGGAAGCTGACCACTGTATTACGCTTCCTGCTGCTAGGTAATATGCATGACACATTTCTGGACACTAATTCATTTATTTAATAGTAACAGCATGCAAAAACAGAGTTCAAAATGAGGCTGACAAAGGAGGTATAAAAGTTTTATTAATCCATAGCTAATCAAAGGCCAGCGGAAGGCATACAATGGTGGCATTTACAGACCATATCGAATGTGAATAAATTAAATTTTTGTTTCCTAAAATCTTACTAATAGGATATATTCGACTTGAAACATTTATACTTTTAATTACAGAGGCAGGCAATTTGGAGCTGGTTTCTAGCTGCACTTTCCTTAAAAGCTACAACTTTGCATCAAGGATCAACACAAATCCTGTCATCAGCTATCGTCTCAAACATGATCAATTACAACACAAGTGGCCTCATGCCAAATATTGCAATGTTGTTTATTTCATTGCTGGTTTAATTATACTCTGTCAATCATTACAAAGTTATTTTTCTCTGAAAGACAAGGAGTATCTACTTTATTGTTATCCTATCACCCTGGTTACTACACAAAGCACATAAACAGGTAGCATAATGCCTCTTACGGGAAACCTTTTTTACAGTTTGATGGCTCAGTTATTCAACAAATCAGAGCAAAGCAAAAAAGAGTTTGAAGTACAAGCAAAGGAGACCATTAGGAAAGACCAAGAAACCCTGAAGTGCGTGGGAAGAATCCTTCTCTTGGCTTAGTTCAGTGGCATATTTTGGGAGAATATTTGCTCAACATTTCTAAGTCAAAACAAAAGGAAATGAAGGCATCTGAAATATAAACCTCTCCGTATTCCAGAATTCTAAGCACATTCTATTGCTCAGAGAATTTTGTAGCGATCAGATAGTTCTAACATAATAACCTTGTATGAATATTTTTCTCATATTGAAGGTGAGAAAGAGATCACAGAATTTTCCATGGCAATATTTTCCTGAGTGTATTTTGCAGCAGATAAGCTAAAGAGGTTTTGGAGATTAGGAGGTTTAATATTAAAGAAGGGTTCCATGGTCAAATGAGTTTGGGGAATGCCGGATTAAACAACGCTGTGTAAACATGTATCTTTAAGTAGGTTTCCTCAGTGTCTTTAATATGCTAATGGACAATGTGAAACTACAAGAGGAGAATATGGTATGAGGCATTTCCCATATTTATTTGATTGTGGAATTTTTGCTGAAAAGAATAAAGACCAATGTATCCCAAAATACAATTTAGGAAATACCAACATAAGGCATATCATCTTACGTTGACAATCAGGGCATACCAATGGATCTCACATCTTCCCTGGTAGGTCTCTAGATGTTGCCCCCACCATCGCTCTCTGCTACCTATTGATAGAAGCCCACCCAACATTTTTCCCTCAGGGACTTCACAGTCAGCTTGAAAATCCACACACAAACTTCTAACACTGATCTCATAGCCCTTAACCCAGAAGATTCTGGAAATACCTGTTAGTCTTCTGTACTTTATCTCTAATAAAGTACAAAAGATGGGCATTTGGATTTATTTTATATACTCAGGACAATAGGCCTGAAAAGGTGGTAAATATTTTTTGGTCATTGCAAGGTTTACAAAAATCTCTAACATTGTTTAACCAGGCACATACGGGAATCAGACAAAAAATTAACAGCCCCCACCCCTAGATCACAGTTGTATTTTCACACTGTTGGATGTTATTCATTCAGAAGAGCACTGGGGCTTACTAAAAAACTACTAGAACTGTTAAGTAAGTGTAGTAAGGTCACAAAATACAAGGTCAATACTGAAAAATCAATTGTATTTCTATATACTAACAATAAACTCTTGGGAATTGAGTTTTTAAAAATATAATTTACAATAGAATTAAAAGTAAAGCACTTATGTATAAATCTAACAAAATAAGTGTAAGAGTTGCATCATGAAAACTACCAAATATTAATAAGAAACAATACAACTAAATAGAGAGCTGTAATGTGGTCATAGATTGGAAAACTCAGTATTGTTAAGACCATAATTTTCCCCAATGTGATCTGTATAGTCAACAAAATCCTAGTCAAAGCATCAGCACAGGTTGGCAGCAGACAGAAATTGACAAATGATTCTAACATTTATATGGAAAAGCAGAGAATCTAGAATAGCCAAAATTATTTTGAAAAGAAAAACAAAATTGGAACACCCACACTAATTGATCTCAAGGCTTACTCTAAAACTACAGTAATCAGTACAGTGCAGTACTGGCATAGAATAGACATGTAGATCAATGGAATAGAACAGAAAGTCCAGAAAAATGCCCACACAAAAATGGGCAAGTGACAATCAACAAAGGCGCCAAAGTAATTCAGTGGAGAAATAAGTCTTTTCCAACAATGGTGTTAGAATAACTGGATTCAATTAAATGCCAAAAAATGAATCTTAATCTTTTCTTCACACACCATATAAAAATTAACTTAAGATAAGTCATAGATATAAATGTAAAATCTAAAACTATATAGCTTCTAGAAGAAACATATGACCTTAGGTTGGTAAAGATTTCTTAGTTATAACACAGAAAGTGCAAACCATAAATGAAAAAATTGATAAATTAGGCTTTATCAAAATTGAAAACTTTTTCTCTTCTAGAGAAAAAGACTCTTTCTAGAGAAAGAGTCTCCTAGACTAGACTAAATTATGAAAATGGAATGACAAACTGTAGGCTGGGAAGAATATTTGCAAAGCAAACATCTGATAATGCAAAAATCGCCTTGCAAATATCAGATATTTGCTTTGCATTTATCTATCTAAATGAAAATATCCAGAATATATTTAAAAATTCTTACAACTCAATAATTAAAACAGAAAAACTCAATTTTTTAAATGGTCAAAAATTTGAACAGATTTTACCAAATAAAACACATAAATCATTAGAAAATGCAAACTTAAAACATGAGATACCATTACATAAACATCAGAATGGCTAAACATGAAAAAGTCCAAAAGTATAAAGGACTTATGAAGAAATGAATCAATTCAAACTCTCTTACTTTACTGGTGGGAATGCAAAATGGTACAGTTACTTTGGAAAAATAGCTGGTAGTTTCTTGTAGAGTTAAATACATATTTACCATACTACCCAGGAATCCCACTCCTACGTATTTATTCAAAAGAAATGCAAATGCATATCTACACAAAACCTGTACGCTAATGTTTGTAGCAACTTATACAGAATTGCCACAAACTGGAAACCTCTCAAATATCTTTTAAAGGGTGAATGGATAATAAATTATGGTACATTCATACAATGGAATATTATTGAGCAATGAACAAGAACATACTGATACATGAAACAACATGGATGAATTTCAGAAATGCTGCTAACAGAAAGATGACAGATACAAACACTTATATATTGTATGGTTCTATTTACATAATAACCTTGAAAAGAAAATACAGAGACAAAAATATGATCAGTGATTGCCAGGGGTTAGGAGTTGTGGGAGAGGACTGACTACAAAAGGGATATAAGGATGCCTTTTGTAAACGTTGGGGGTGATACAAATATTCTATATCTTGAGCGTGAAGTGGTAAAAGCACTATACATTTAATGCAAAGTCAGCGAACCATACAGCTCAAAAGGGTGGAATTTTACTATGTGTAAATTATACTTCAGTAAACCTGATTTTTAAAATAGGACATAAATTCGTGCTTTGGTTCATCTTACATTTTATCTAACATATCCGCATGAAAGATCATTCTACAATTTGGTGGTATTAAGCATTTTAAATACAACTTTTAAATTTTTCATTCGGAGCGTTGTTTGGTGGATTCTTGGTGTTAAAAATTATGTTTGACATAGGTACCAAACCACAGTGAAATTTCCCTACATAAAGAGGTGAAATACATTGGTGTTACTATGAGAATTCTTAATGGAAGGAAGTGGCCAGCCAAAACACCACAAATAAACGGAAACTATCACATGTTGTGACTTTGCCTTCTTGGTCTGAAACTCCTCAGTCCCTACTCTAATCAGGGAATTTTGAGCATCTTGGCTAGCCTAGTAGTTAGAAAGCCTGGTCATCAGGGAAATGAATGATTGCACTTCGTAACTCCTGACTTACATACTACACAGTGCTCTGATCAGCTGCTTCAAGTGTTCCCATTAGTTAACTTACTGCCTCTGGTATCATCTCCATTTCCTTCTCTTTGCACTCATGCTAGCATGCTTATTTAGAAAGCCAACATTCCTTAAGCATAGAATTATAAGAAAATACTATAAGCCCTTCTGTGGATGCAGTGAAAACCTAGAGGAAATGAATATTTTCTTTAAAAAAAAAAAGACTAAAATTGACTTACATTACTAAAAGTCATAGAATTGTACACTTAAAAATTGCACATTATCAAAAGTCATTGAATTTTGTGACATGTAAATTATACCTCAATAAAGCTGTTTAAAAAGAATTTATTTAAAAAACTGATTTACAAAACAGGACAAAACTTGAATAGATCAGTTATCATAGAAGGTATGTAAAAATAATTGAAGATCAGTCATTTTAAAAAGAATCAGAATTAAAGAGTGTCACAGCTGAGTTCTGTTTCATCTGTAAGGAAAAGGTCATTCCTTTACAATTCAAAATATTATAGATCATATTAAAAGTTAGAAATTGCCCCAACTCATTGCATGACTCCAACAAAATGTTAATACCAAAACCTGATTAAAATTGTACAAAAATGGAAAATGATAGCCTGATCTCACTTAGGAATTGAAATGCAAAATATCAAATAAGTATTAACAAAGAAAATCCAGTAGCATATCAAAACAATGCTCTATGACCAGGTAGGGTTTACTGCAGAAATGTAAGGAAATTCAAGATTATGGAGTCTCTCAACATAGTAGATGACATCAACAAATTAAAGAAAAAAATAACATGATCATATAATTAAATGCCAACAAAGCTTTTGTTTTTCTCAGAAACAGTTGCACTCCTTGGGTGTTTGTTTTGGCCCATGATAATAGTCTGGATACGTGTCCCCACTGGATCTCAGGTTGAAATTTGATCCCTGGCTGGGTGCACTGTCTCATGCCTGTAATGAGACAGTGGGAGGCTTTGGGAGGCTGAGGCAGGAGGATCACATGAGCCCATGAGTTAGAGAGCAGGCTGCTCAACATAATGAGATCCCCGTCTCTACAAAAGAAAAATTTAAAAAGTAGCTGGTGTGGTGGTACATACCTGTAGTTCCAGCTACTGGAGAGTGTGAGGCAGGAGGATTGCTTGACCCCAGAGTTCAAGGCTGCCGTAAGCCATGATTGCACCACTGCACTCTATCGTGGGTTAAAGAGTAAGACCTTGAAAAAAAAAAGAAAAAAGAAAGAAAGGAAATGAAAGGAAAAGGAAAGGAAAAGGAAAAGGAAAAGGAAAGGAAAGGAAAGAAAAGAGTTTTATTCCCAGTGTTGGAGGTGGGGCCTAGTGGGAAGTGTTTGGCACATCCCTCATGAATGGCTTGGTGCAGTCCTGCAGTTGAGTGAGTATAGGTTCTGTTAGTTCCATGAAAGAGCTAGTTGTTGAAAAGATCCTGATACCTCCTCCCTGCCTTCTCTTGCCTTCTTTCTTACCATGAGATCTCTGCACATGCCAGCTCCCCTTTGCCTTCCATCATGAGTGGAAGTAGCCTGAGGCCCTCACCAGAAGGTGTGCTGGCACCATGCTTCTTGCACAGCCCTCAGAACCCTGAGCCAAATTAACATCTTTTTTTTTCTTTCAGTAAATTACCCAGCCTCAGGTATTCCTTTATAGCAACACAAATGGACTAAGACAACCCATGAACTCATCCCCTGGGTATCAGCCACTCTGTCAGGTAATGCTAACCCGGGAAAGTATGAGGATCTCCTCACAATCTGTCAGAACCTATAGCTTCAGGAAGTGGGGGATTTATTTTTCCTCACTTTTCAGGGCAAGTTTCTTCAAGTGACACTTCCGGTGAACACATGCACAGACAAATATGGGGGCAGTAACTGAGAAGGCTCCAGCTTGAAGATTAAGCTGTCATAAAGAGGAGGACAAAATCAGAAAGAAGTGTAGGAAGACTAAGCCAGTGTCCAGATGCTGACACAAATCAGTTTATGGCTTTTGCTCACCTCTTCAGCTTTTCTAGGCCTCAGTTTGCTTGCCTGTGAAATGTGGAGCTCTTTAGATCCCTTGGTTAGGTTCTTGTCTGCTCCAGAATTATATGATTGCTCTGCTTGACTAACTTTGAAAGATATACAGGGAAGAATTAACTGCACATTGAGTAAGGTCTGTGAATATTGAGCTTTAATATGAAGGTTGGAATTCTTCCCTGGTATTTATTTTTAAATTTAATTTAATTTAATTTAAACATTTTTATGGGTATGTAATACTTGTACAAATTTCCTGATATTTTGATCATGTCTTATTATCAATTCTTTTCTTCTGTAAGAAGTGACAGCCAGGCACAATGGCTCACGCCTGTAATCTCAACACTTTGGGAGGCCAAGGCGGGCAGATAACTTGAGGTCAGGAGTTCAAGACCAGTCTGACCAACATGGTAAAACCCCGTCTCTACTAGGCATAGTGGTACATGCCTGTAATCCCAGCTACTTGGGAGGCCGAGGCAGGAGAATTTCTTGAACCTGGGAGGCGGAGGTTGCAGTGAGCCAAGATTGCACCATTGCACTCCAGCCTGGGCAACAATAGTGAAACTCCATGTCAAAAAAAAAAAAAAAAAAATAGTGCCTGACTGCTTGGCTGTTTATGGGAGAAATTAATGGCAAAGAGCATTCAATAGGCAAAGTTGTGTTTTGCACACAATTTTAAAGCAGTGTACCTAAGGCAGTATTTATCAAATAGAACAGATGTAACTTGTATTTTAAAAGTGGGTTGGGACAGTAAAATATGAATGGAAAAATACTTGGTGTTATAGTCCATTTGGGCTGCTCTAACAAAATACCTTGACTAGGTGGCTTATAAACAATAGGATTGTTATTGTTTTTGTAAGCCACCCGTCAAGATTAAGGTGTCAGCAGATTTGGTGACTGGGGAGGGACCACTTTGTCATAGACCAATGTCTTCTTACTCTAACCTCAAATGGTAGAAGGGACCAGGGGTCTCTTTGGAGCCTCTTTTATAAGGAAATTAATCCCATTAATGAGGGCTCCTCCCTCATAACTTAATCACCCCCCAAAAGGTCCCACCTCCTAATACATCATCTTGGGGGTTAGGATTTCAACATGTAAATTTTGGGGTACACAAACATTTAGACCATAGCATTAGTTTTAAATAAAACACATCTCACACTGAGTCTCCAAAGGAGGTATCCCATCCCCCAAACAGGGTTAACCTCAGCTAGCTCTCCTCCCTCCTTCCCTTTCTTTCCAGCAGAGTCTCAGAGGACTAGCATTTCTTAGAACACCTTTGGAAAATGCTAAAATCACAAAGTGTAAACTTGCCAACTGAGAAATAAAAACAAAAGTCACCAAGACTTCATGTTTGCCTTTTGTGGGCTGTTTAAGGCATTAAAAGCTAAATGAAACCATTTTTTTTTCTCACGATCATGTGACAAACCCTGTTTTCCAAAGGTGACTGCGTTCTCTCTGCCTCAGGAGGTAGATGTGAAATTAGAGAGGTGTGGGCTGCTCAGAAAGGCCCAGGCGGCAGCCACGGAGATGGATTTGTTCACCATTCCTGGGTAAGAGCAGCAAGCGTCAGGGAGATCAAGTCATCACTGCCCTAAATCCCCAATCATGTCGGCCTCCACTTCATAAACCAGTGGGGCAGGCAGCCACGCGAAAGCCTAAAGGTTAAGCACATACCATTGACCTGAGAGAAACGAGTTTTCTCACATCATTAAATACAGCCTTGACTGATCACACCAAAAAGTGCCCTGGGAGCATTATTTAAGGCTTAGCTGTTCCACCTGCATTTGTGTGACACAAAATCAATATCTTTCCCCTGCCTTTGTTTGCCTGGATTATGTTTAACTACTAAATGGCTTTTAGGACACCAATTAGATTTATCATCTTGCATTTTACACAGGCAGGTGTGTGAACAAGAAAAATAGGAATATGTCTTCATTTCCTTTCCCTCTAGGTTGTTAGCACAAGAAACATGAAACAGCTTATCTGGAGTATGCTTCTATGTCACAGATACACGATTTATAATCCTTATAGCAGAAATGTTTTCCCTTGACCTAGAAGACTTCCTTGACAATGGTGCTTTTAGAGAACACTGTAAGAATAAATTATTTAATAAATGCATGGAAACAATTGACTCTTCATTTGGGGGAAAATATTAAATCTCAAGTTACACATATATAAACAAATTTCCAGGTGCTTTAACTTCTTTAATGCAAGAAGAAGAGGTACTAGACAATAGAAAACAATAATTAATAAAATAATAAAGGAAAAGATTAATGTATTTGACTATGTAAAACTTCTGAAGGGCAAAAATAATTCAAGTAAAGTTAATGTTATCTAACCTTTATTCAATACTTATTATGTGATAGGAACTAAGCTAAATCTTCACATATATTGACTTCTATATATATATATTATATATATATGGATTATAAGGAATTGGCTCACATGATTATGGAGGCTGAGAAGCCTCAAGGTCTATAGTCAGTGAGCTGGAGACACAGGGGAGACAATGTGTAGTTCCAGTCTGAGTCCAAAGACTTGAGAACCAGGAGAGCCAACAGTGTAAGTTCAGGTCCAAAAGCTAGCAGCTCAAGATCTAAGAAGAGCTGATGTTTCAGTTCAAGTCTAAAGGCTAGAGAAGACCTAAGTCCCAGTTCAAGTGGTCAGACAGGAGGACTTTTCTCTTACTCAACCTTTTGTTCTATTAAGGTCTTCAGTTATTTGGATGAAGCCCATCTACACTAGAGAGGCAATCTGTGTTACTCAGTCTACCAAATCAAATGTTCATCTAATCCAGAATCGCCCTCTCAGACACATCTAGAAGAATATTTGGCCAAATATCTGGAAACCCTATGGCCCAGTCAAGTTGACACATTAAATTAATTGTCACACTGATATTGTCCTCCTTTAGATTGCTTAACCAGAAACACACAGCCAGAGTGGTAGAGTCAAACCTTGTAACCGCCTCTGTCTGAAACCATACAAGTTCTGTCTTAGAAACTGAGGGAAATACTTAAAAATATTAGACAAAGGAAAAAAAAATAACAAGAGTTTTTATGAATCAATAATATTGATGAGTACCCCTTATCAATATTGGCAAAGAAAATTTTAAAAACATACAAACAAAACAGGCAATTACAAAGGAAATGGATGTTAATAAAAATAAATATGCTTAATCTCTTTAATGATCAAAGAAATACAATTTAAAAGAATGAGGCATCATTACAGATACCATATTAGACTTGAAAATTACTAGAATGATTATTCCCAGTGTGGGCTAGGAGAAAAGAAAGTGGCACATTTATACACAATTATTACAAAGTTTTAGGGAGGTCAATTTGAAGAAATATATCAAAATTTAAACATACACTATTTTTGACACAGAAATCTCTTTTAGGTAGTTCTCCTACAGACATACATATTGGTGCAGATATATTTACAAAAATATTCATTACAGTATTGTTAGTGAGAACAAGGTATTACAAACCAATTAAATGTCCATCAGATAAGAGTTAGGTTAAGTTATATGTTCATATAGAAAAATTCTATGCAGCTGTTAACAGAATTTTTAAAAGGGAAGAAATGTACACAACATAACTTGGATAAAAACGAGGTACACAATCATATGCATATTATGGTCTTGTTCTTATGTGAATATATAAAGTTCATAGGAGAGTTTTTACTGAAAGATGTAGATAGTTGTTGGGGGAGGGAGCAGATGAAGTCAGGCCCTGAGCCATTACTTTAAAACTTTTGTTTTCTTATTCCTTGAGTCAGATTTACCATAAAGTTAATGAAGTCTAAGCTTCAGGTTCTCCCACTTGTATGAATCTCTCTCAAGGACCTGGGAGGGGCCTTAGCAGTGTGTTCACATAGCCATATGTTTTTGCAAATTTACAGAACTAAAATAATGCAACTTAAATCAGTTAAGGCAACTGACTCAATTTCAATTGAGACTTCTCTGTCACATGTCCTTTCATGTTGGGTGCATAGAGTTATTTTTTTACCAAAGTCTTCTCCTAACGCAAAGCTTTTAGCATACTTTGACTTCCATTCAAACTTCCCATCTCCTATCTCTTTATTATTACCGTCTATTATAGGTCTTCATCCTCTGTCTGCAATTTCAAATTCCAAAACAAGCTATGAACAGTTTTATCAGTATTCTTTTGACAGCAAAACTTTATTTGATTGAAGTTTAGTTAGTGGGAAAACCTGACCCGAACTGACATGAGACTATTAAAGATTCTCCTTTTCCCACTTAGAATGAACATCATGTTTTGCTGCAGAAATAATTATGCCTTTGATAATGGGTGTTGCCCAGTCCCCAAGGAGTTTTTAAGCAATAAATGCTGACAAACAAAATGCACAACGGATGAGAGAAAACAAAAGATTAGGTACTGACCCTTCTGAAATAGACTTTTCAGAAATAATCTAGGATATGGTTTAAAAAAGAACCAAGTCTTTCCTGTTTGGACACAAAGGAGCATCTCTGGCAAAATAAGCAAGTTGTCAACATATCTTATGTGACACTGAGACTAAGTTTGCCTTAATTTATTTTTTTGTTTATATAATTAATTTATTTAATTTTTTGGCCAATGTTAACGAGATCACTAAGTAGGTTGCCTTAATTTCTAATGAAGTCCAAACCTTTACAGTTCCTGATCCATGTTCCAAGAGTGTCAAAACAATGCTGATTATAGCCTGTGCCTTAAAGGTGGGTTTCAGATGGAGAGCACCAGCCTGTGAGTACACATATTGACATAACCAGTACAGGTTTGCCTGTGTGTGGAGAAGAACTTCAGTAGAGAGGAGGAGAATCATCGGTTAGTCCAGTTCCTCCCTCTTGTATTCTACAACAAAGCATCTGGTATGTAGAACACTGAGCATGGGCAGAAAGCCTGGTTTATGAGTGCTGAGTAGTACTGATCATAAGGAAAATCCATTGTACTGTAGGATCAAAATGGCTTACATTTAGCTATAGAAAGCGATTATGCTGTAAACAGACTCAAAGTCATTAGTAGGAGATGCAAGTCAGAACAACAAGGAAACGCTACTTTTTACCCATTGTGTAGGCAAACATTAGAGTGATATGATGCCTTGTGCTAGTGGTGGTGTAGATACTCAGGAACACCTGAGCATTACAGGTGGTAATGATGCCTGGAGAGGCCATTCTGGAAAGCAATCTGGCAGCAAATCTCAACACATCACAGCAGTTGTACTTTGGTTGGGGTGTGGAAAGAAGAGAGTAGCTTTGTATAGGCTGATAACAAGTGGGCTGTGCACTCAGGAGTCAAAGAGTTTAAGAAAATAAGCAAAACATACTGAATCAGTATAAATTTTGCCCAGTATTTCAGCAAAATATTGGGAAACTAAGGTGAAACAAGAAGGAGGAAAACATAGAGGTGAACTAAGAAAACTACTGAAATCTAAACACACAACACAGAGGTTTCATCTGACTGAACTGCAGGGAAAACAATAATAATAGTAATAAGAATAAAAATAAATACTATGTGAACTGCATTATCATTCTAAACTTTGAAAATTCTCAATTCCTAAATATAGCAGGGCCGTCAGTCTTAGAAAGAGGATTGTGAACCTTTATTTTAGTTTTATAGGAAAAGATGACTTTCTAAAATTTTACTCTCAATATTTAGCTTTCCAACATGTTAAACCAAACCTGATAAAGGCAACCTGCAAAAAATCCCACTACTAACATCACACTAATGATGACAGACTGAATTATTCCCAATATCAGATAGGACTCAATATGTCCGCTCTGACCACTTCTGTTCACATTATACTGGCAGATTATCTCCAATAAAGCCTTGAGATGACAACAACGCTGGCCAATAGCTTGATTTCAGCCTTGTGAGAAACTCTGAGCCAGAGAATCTAGCTGAGCTACCTCCAGATTCTCGAACCACAAAAACTGAGGTAATAAAATGGTTTTGAGCCACTAACGTTTTGGGCTTTTCTGTTATACAACATTAGACACATAATAATACTATGCTCTATTAAATGCTACTAGATCTAAGAATTGAGTTTATCAAGGTCACATGATACAAGGTCAATATAGAAAAATCCATTGTATTTCTATATTCTAGCTATAAACAATTGCAAATTGAATTTTAAATATTCTATTTACTTTGGCACCTCATAAAACCTATTAAATACTTGAGATAAACTTAGCAAAACTTGTTTGTTGAAAACGACAAAATATTCCTGACAGGGATTTTACAAGACCTGAATAAAAGAGAGATATACCATGTTCATAGATGGTAGGCTTCAGTATTGTTAAAATACCAATCATCACCAAATTGATTTACAGATAAAATGCAATTTCAATCTACATGTGAACAAGGAAGTTTGTAGAAACAGACAAGCTCATTTTCAAATTTACATGGAAATTCAAAGAGCCTGGAATAGCCAGAACAATTTTGAAAAAGAACAAAGTTAAGTCTTTAAACTACAGTAGTTCCTCCTTATAAGTGGTTTCATTTTCCAGTTTCAGTTACCCATGGTTCAACCACAGTCTAAAAACAGGTGAGTGCAGTATAATAGGATATTTTGAGGGAGAGTGAGAAAGAAGGAGACCACATTCACATAAATCTTGTTTCTCTATATTGTCACAGTTGTTCTTATTATTAGTTATTGTTAATCTCTTACTGTACCTAATTTAGAAATTAAACTTTATCATAGTGATGTAAGTATAAGAAAAAACATAGTGTATATAGGGTTCAGTACTATCTGCAGTTTCAGGCATTCACTGGGGGGCTTGGAACATATCCTTAGGATCTAGGTCTAGGAACATTCCCCTAGGATAAGGGGGAACTACCATACCTGGTTTCAAAACTTACTCTAAAGATACACTAATAAAGATAATGCACTGTCATAAGAATGTCTACATAGCTCAGTTGAACTGAAGAAGGTTTAGATATAGCTACAGACATGTAAGTTAAATTTATTTTCAACAAATACGCCAAAGTTATTCAATATGGAAAAGGCAGTCTCATCAAAAAATAGTGCTGGTACATTTGGATATCTAAAGGTAAAAACAAAAACAAAAATCTGAACCTCAATTCTAACTTTAAACTATAAACAAAACATATGTGTGATAAAAAAAACTTTTATCCAGAAATATAAAGAATTCTTGCAATTCAATAATATGAATATAAATAACCTAATTTAAAAGTGGTCAAAAGGAACACCAGCAAGATGGCAGAGTAGGAAGCCCTGGACCCTCCTTCCCCTGACAAACACTCCAATTTGGCAACAATTCACAGATAAATAAATTCTCTTTGTAAGAAATCTAAAAAGTAACTGAAAGGCTCTTGCATCATGGATTAATGCAAAATCAGACTTACTGAAACTGGTAGAGAGGTTTAAGACATCTGCTCACCAGAATCCCTAACCCTGGCACAGTGGCCTACAATCAGGAAAAGACCCCCTAACTTTCAGCTTCTTTCAGGGAAGGGAAAGAGTTGGTTCACATGTCCAGTGCCTCAATTTTTTTGAGACGGTGCCCCAGACGGCTGGTTTCTGTTTTGCCAAACTTGAGCTTTGGTGGGATCAGCACAATCTAGCTGCTTGACAGGAAGAGAGATGTCATCTTGGGCTGGTAGATAACATAGATCCTTCTTCTTGCAGTAAGTAGACAAAAATCTCAACTCTCAGCTACTCCCTAGAGTGGGAAGAAGTTGATCTATGTCTCCAGCACCCAGCTTCTCCAGTGCTACCAAAAGAAAAGGCGTCTGTCTTTCTAGTCTTGGAACACTCATGGGTCCAGCACAGTGTAGAGACCTTGGGGAGAAATAAAGATGGTGGCTTAAACTGGTAGATGCCTCCTGGCTCAGCACAGAGCAAATAGTGGGGGGAAAAACCCCACAGTTGCCTGCTCTACCTGTCTAGTGTGCAGACATCAACACAGAGAGTCAAGGGAAATAAAGAAACTGGCAAAGATATTCCAAACAAACAAACAAAATAAATTCCCAGAAACCAACCCTAATGAAACAGAATCATATGATTTATATGACAGAGTTACCTGTTATAAAGATGCTCACCAACATCAAGAGAAGAACGCATGAACAATGTGAGAATTTCAGCAAAGAGATAAAAAATATTAAAAAGTACCCAACGAAAATCATAGAGCTCAGGAACATAACTGAAATAAAAATTTACTAGTGGTTTAGATTAGATGAAGAAGAAGGATCAGTAAATTTGAACACAGATCATTGGAAATAATTCAGTCAGATAAAGAAAAAGAGAAAAGAATGAAAAAGAGTGAAGAAAGCTTATGGACTTATGGAACACCATCAACTGGGCCAATATACACATTATAGGAGTCTCTGAAGGAGATGAGAAAAAGAAAGGACCAGAAAAGTTATTCAAAGGAATAATGGTATAAATTTTCCCAATTTGGGGAAGGAAGCAAGCATTCAGTTCCAGGAGACCCAAAGGACACCAAATAAGATGAACCTAAAGAAATTGATGTTATAGTCAAATTGTCAAAAGTCAAGGACAAAGAGAGAATTGTGAAAGTGGCAAGAGAAAAGTGACTTGTTATATACAAGAGAATTTCCATAAGACTATCAGCAGAATTTTCAGGAGAAACTTTGCAGTCCAGAAAAGAATGGGATGATAAATTTATAGTGCTGAAACAAAGGAACTACCTATCAAGAATATTATACCTGGCAAATTGTCCTTCAAAAACAAAGCAAAAATAAAAGATTTTCTCAGATAAAAGTGGAAAAAGTTTATCATCATCAGACCTGCCTTAGAAAAAATCTAAAGGGAGTTCTTCAAGTTGAAATGAAAGAATGCCAAACAGCAAAACAATAGTCTAAGAAAATAAAAAATTTATTGGTAAAGATAAACATAGAGATAAACACAGAATACTATATTACTGTAATAGTTATAGGTAAACCATTTTTTATTTGAATATAAAAGTGAAAAGACAAAAGTATTAAAAATATAACTTTAAAATATTTTAAAAGATACACAGTATGAATAGATGTAAATTGTGACAACAATAACATAAAGTGTGTGGGCATTAAAGTGTAGAATTCCTGTCTGCAATTGAATTGAAGCTATTATCAACTTAAAATAGACTGTTATAACTATAAGGTATTTTATGTATGTGCCAAGATAACAAGAGTGAAAAAAAAAACCTATAGGAGTTACACAAAACAAAAAGGAGAGGAATAAAAGCATAACAGTACCAAAAAAAATCAACAAACACAGAGGAAGATAACAAGAGAGGAGAAGACAAAGGAACTGCAAGTAACAGAAAACAATATACAGGCACGGTGGCTTATGTCTGTAATCCCAGCACTTTGGGAGGCCGAGGTGGACGGATCACCTGAGGTCAAAAGTTTGAGACCAGTCTGGCCAACATGGCAAAAACTTGTCTCCACTAAAAATACAAAATTTAGCTGCGTGTGGTAGCGCATGCCTGTAATCCCAGCTACTTGGGAGGCTGAGGTGGGAGAATCACTTGAACCCTGGAGGTGGAGGTTGCAGTGAGCCGAGATCATGCCACTGCACTCCAGCCTGGGCAACAGAACAAGACTCCATCTAAAAAAAAAAAAAAATGGTGCCACAGAAATACAAAGTATCATAAGAGACTACCTGAACTATCTCTCAAAAAATAAATAAAGTGGGGCTACATAAAACTAAAAAGCCTTTTGCACATCCAGCAAAGAAAATAATCAACAAAGTGAAAAGCTGACCTATAGAATGGGGGGAAATATTTGCAAACCATGTATCTGATAAGAGATTAGTTTCTAAAATACATAAGGAACTCCTCCAAGTCAATAACAATAAAACTAATAACCTGATTTTAAAATGGGCTAAGTAACTGACTAGACATTTCTCCAGAGAAGACATATTAAACTAACAGGTATTAACCTGATTTTAAAATGTGCTAAGAAATTGAATAGACATCTCTCCAGATAAGATATATTATACCAACATATTATACCAATGGCCAACAGGTATATTAAAAATGTTCCACATCACTAGCCATCAGGTAAATGCAAATAGAAACATATGTCCACATGCAGACTTGTACACAAAGGTTCATAACTGCTTCAGTCACAAGAGCCAAAAATCTACAAGCAACCCAAATGGCTATCAATAGGAAAAGGGACTACCAACATGTGGTATACCTATCGAGTAGACTACTACTCTGAAATAAAATGGTAAAAACTACTGATACACATAATGCCATGTATGAATCTTAAAAACATTTTGATAAGTGAAAGAAGCCCAACACAAAATAGTACATATTATATGATTCCTAAAATCAATATGAGTCTGGGCACGATGGCTCACGCCTGTAATCCCAACACTTTGGGAGGCCAAGGTGGGTGGATCACCTGAGGTCGGGATTTTGAGACCAGCCTGATCAACATGGCAAAGCCCTGTTTCTAACAAAAACACAAAAATAAGGTGGGCATGGTGGTACATGCCTGTAATCCCAGCTACTCAGTAAGCTAAGGCAGGAGAATTGCTTGAGCATAGGAGGTGGAGGTTGCAGTGAGCCGATATCACACCACTGCACTCCAGCCTGGACAACAGAGTGAGACTCTGTCTAGAAAAAAAAAAGAGAGTGATACCATCTTATATCTGTCACAATGTATTGGCAAGAATGTGGAGATATTGGAACACTTGCATACCGTGGGTAGGAATGCAAAATGGTCCAGTTGCTATGAAAAGCAATACAGAGGTACCTCAAAAAATTAAAAATAGAACTATCATGTGATCCAGTGATCCCACTGCTAGGTATCTATCTAAAAGAATTAAAATCAGTATTCCAAGGAGATATTAGCACTCCTAGGTTCATTGCAGCACAATTCACAACGGACAAGATGTGGAAACAACCTAAATGTTTATCAACAGATGAATGGATAAAGAAAATGTGGTACATGCACACAATGAAATAATATACATCCTTAAAAAAAGAAAATTCTGCAATATGTGATGACATCTACATACTTTGAGATCATTATGCTAAGTGAAATGAACCAGTCACAGAAAGACAAATACTGCATGATTCCACTTATATGAGGTGCCTAAAATAGTCAAATGCATAGACTCAAAGAGTAAAATAGTAGTTGCCAGAGGTTGGGGATAGTGGAAATGGGATGTTACTAATAAATGGGCATAAAGTTAGCTAAACAAAATGAATAAGCTCTAGAAATCTGTAAGTATAGTCAACAAGAATATATTACACACTTTAAAAAATTTGTTAAGGCTGGGAACATTGGCTCACACCTGTAATCCTACCACCTTGTCGGGGCTGAGGTGGGAGGATCACTTGAGCCCAGAAATTCAAGACCAGTCTGGGAAACATAGTGAGACCCTATCTCTAGAAAAAAATATTTTAAATTAACCTGGTGTCATGGTGGATGCCTGTAGTCTTAGCTACTTGGGAAGTTGGGGTTAGAGTATCACCTGAACCTGGGAGGCCAAGGCTGCAGTGAGCCGTGCACCCCATTCTGGGCAATAAAGTGAGACCCTGTCTATCTCAAAAAATTTTTAAATTTAATTAATTTAATTTAATAATTTAATTTAATTGTTAATAATTAAGTTAAATTTTTTATTTTAATTTAATATGAGAGAGATCATGTTAAGTATTCTTATCAACATCAAATTTAAAAAATTTAATGGTCAAAAGATTTGAAAAGAGATTTTACCAAAGAAGTTAAGTGACTAGCCATTAAACACATTAAAATATTTTTCAACACTTTTATTAGGAAAATGCAAATTAAAATGACAATGAGACTAGGCATGGTGGCTCACACCTATAATCCCAGCACTTTTGGGGGACGAGGTGGGAGGATGGCTTAAAGTCAGGAGTTTGAGGCAAGCCTGGGAAACATAGCAAGGCCCACTCTCTACAAAATTTTAAAAATTAACCAGGCATGGTGATGCAAGCCTGTACTCCCAGCTACTCAGAAGACTGAGTCAGGAGGCTCACTTTAGCCCAGGAGGTCAAGGCTGCAGTTAACTATGATTATGCCACTGCATTCCAACCTGGGCCACAGAGCAAGATTCTGTCACAAAAAAAAAAAAAAAAAAAAGGAAAGAAACAAAGAAACAAAACCCCACAATGAAATACAACTACATACCTGCTAGAAGGATTAAAACTAAAAAGACTAACCATACTAAGTATTGATGAGGATATAGAGCAACCAGAATTCTTATACATTTATGATGGGAAGTAATATGTACAGTGATATTAGCAAAAGTTTGGCATTTTCTTTTAAAGTTAAACATATATTTATCACACAAACTGGAAATCCAACTTCTAGGTATTTACCTAAGAAAAATAAAAACATATGTCCACACAAAGACTTGTACACAAAAGTTCATAACTGCTTCAGTCACAAGAGCCAAAAATCTAGAAACAACCCAAATGGCTATCAATAGGAAGAGGGACTACCAAAATGTGGTATATCCATCAAGTGGACTACTACTCCGAAATAAAATGGTAAAAACTACCGATACACATGACACCATGTATGAATCTTAAAAACATTTTGCTAAGTGAAAGAAGCCCAATACAAAAGAGTACATATATGATTCCTAAAATCATATAATATAAAATCTTATTTTATATAAAATCATTTGTATAAAATCCTAAAATGGAAAAAGGTAACTTATAGTTACAGAAAGCAGAGTAGTAGATGCCAGGGATCAAGATTAGGGCAGGTAGAGAACAGATCCAAAGAGGCAAGAGAAAACTTTAGTGGTTGTGAAAATGGTTAATAATCTTATTTTGGGAGGCGATTGCACAGGTAAGTGTATTTGTCAAAAACCATCAAATTGGCTCTCTCTCACCTGCTGTCATCTAAGACATGGCCTTGCTTCCCTTTCACCTTCTGCCATGACTAAATTTCCTGAGGCCTCCCCAGCTATGTGGAACTACAACAAGAGAGATGTCACAGTTTTCCATTTAGATCAACAACTTCAAGTTCTTAACATGGAAAATTCAGAGAAGACTGAAGTGGTTCTCTTTGCTTGCAGTTCCTTTAAACCTATCACCGACATGCACCTCAGATTGTTTGAGCTGGCAAAGTCTACATCAATGGAACAGGAAGATACAGAGTTGTCAAACTCATAATCTCTCCTGTTGGCAATGCATATTAGAAGAAAAGACTCATTTCTGGGGCCAGGCGTGGTGCCTCACACCTGTAATCCCAGCATTTTGGGAGGCTGAAGCAGGCAGATCACGAGGTCAAGAGATTAAGACCATCCTGGCTAACACAGTGAAACCCCGTCTCTACTGAAAATACAAAAACTTAGCCGGGCATGTTGGCGGGTGCCTGTAGTCCCAGCTACTTGGGAGGCTGAGGCAGGAAAATGACATGAACCCGGGAGGCGGAGCTTGCAGTGAGCCAAGATTGCACCACTGCACTCCATCCAGCCTGGGTGACAGAGCAAGACTCTGTCTCAAAAAAAAAGAAAAAAGAAGGAGAAAAGACTCATTCCTGCTCATCACTGGGTCATCATGGCAGAACTTGCCACCAAGAATTCCAAATGGGTGGGAGTTAATACCCGGAAAGTCTTCAGAAGGACTGGACAGAGATTGTTAAGACACCATCAAGAGAAAGTGGAGGCCAGTAACTGTGATCACTAGCAGAACTCATCTACACTAGCAAGGCCTGGACGGAAGAAGAAGTGGACTGAACAAAGACAAGAGTCTAGTCAAAAGAAATCCCTAGAGCCCAAAACGAAAGGTGTGCCAAAGGTCAAGCTGCTATGTGGGGCAGATTTATTGGAGTCCTTCGTGGAAGAGTGAAGATATCGCCTAAATCGTGGCAGGCTATGGGCGCATATGTATTAGTTAGGCTGGAAATGATGCGCAGAAATTCATCTATGAATCTGATGTGCTGTGGAAACACCAGAGCAACATTCATGTTGTGAAGGAATGGATTACTAATGACATCTCATCCACAAAAATCTGGAGAGCCCTCAGAAGGGGCCAGAGCATTTGCTACTTGGTACCAGATCTTGTCCAAGAATACATGGAAAAGCATAATTTGTACAGTTCCAAGAATGAAGACAGGAATGTTGCAGTCATCCTGGCCCCTTTGCAGAGAAATGTCACAGAAGCTAAGGCATAGGAATTCTACAGCATGATGTTTTGGACTTCCCTTTTCGGGATTTGAAACAACCTGGGTTTTAGTAACTGGGGAAAGAAATTGTGACGCTGTTGCCTAAACTAAAGCTTAAAAGTTTAGTAAAAATCAGTGGTAAGTTAAAATCAGGGTTTTTTCCCTTTTATCAGAAATTGCTAAGATGAATTTTTTTGTATGTTTTTTTTAAAAAAAGAATGTACAATCTCTTTATCTTTAAAACAAGAGATTAGCAGCACACTAAAACCAAAAGAATTTTCAGTGAAACTAGCTATGAGTAAGAAGTCAAAAAGCAACAGCCTAGCTCTACCACATATAAGAAGTAAAGTGTGAAAAACAAAAGTTCATTGAAAATTCTAACTTTGGTTATGAAGGGAATTGACATTTTATTGATGCCTGCTGCTGGGTAATCTGCAGCTAGGGTAGACAAAGGAAGGAAATCTTACAGTGGTGATCTTGTAAAATGCACCATTGATAAATCATCTCCAGTTATGCAAAATAAAGGTTGTGAATATGCCTGGCAGAAACATTGCACCAATAGTTAGTTCTCTGTGGCACACATCAAAGTGGCCAACTAAATTTTGGCAAGACCTATCTGCCTGGAGCTTCACCTTTGGAAGAAGGGAGTGAGGTCCAAGCCCTTGTATGTTTAGAAAGGTACGCAGGTTATTTCTGATGCCCCCCAGAGGTAGAGAGCTACTGCCTTACACTCTATACACATTTATTTAGGCTTGTTGTGGGTTATGCTCTAGCCCTGGCCATCCGCCCTGTCTTTATCTTCAGGAACAACTTCAGAAAGGACATCAGGCTACATTGAATCTAGAAAACCACAGAAATTGAGGGGACTCATTCAAGGATTTTATAAGTCTGAATGCTCTTAACCTTTATTGGTAGCTTAATCAAAAGACCTGAGTGGGGTGCAGTGGCACATGCTCAGTAATCCCATCTATTTGGGAGGCTAAGGCAGGAGGATCACTTGAGCCCAGGACTTTGAGACCAGTCTGGGCTAAATAGTGAGAATTTGTCTTTAAAAACTGGAGTTTCTGAAGAACCCTGCTGTTTCTGTTTCAGCCTACTGTGAATCTGCCATTTGTGAATTTAATCAGAAAAAGGGTCTGTTTTCTTATACTTTTTTTCTTCTTGTCCTTTTGTGTGAAGTTTAACCAAAAGTAGTAGTCTCAAATAATTAGTCTTAGCTTTATGTTGAAAACACAAGCTTGTTACATAGTTTGCTACCGATTAAAATGTTGTAGAAGTTTTACCAATTTGTAAAGCAAAAAGACCGGAGATAGCTTTCTGTAGAATAGTTTTAGGGTTTGTAAAATAGTTCTATGATAGAAACAAAACTAAAGTTAAATTTCTAATGAAAATAGAATAATTTGCCTTTTGGCAATTTCTATTTTATACCTACACCACCCCAGATGAAGGGTTTGTAACTGCAGAAGAAAAAAAAAAATACTTAGAAATGTGCAATTGGGGCTCACACCTGTAATCCCAGCACTTTGGGAGGCCGAGGTGGGTGGATCACCAGGTCAGGAGATCGAGACCATCCTGGCCAACATGGTGAAACCCCGTCTCTACTAAAAATACAAAAATTAGCTGGGTGTGGTGGCGCGTGCCTGTAATCCCAGCTACTCGGGAGCCTGAGGCATGAGAAGCACTTGAACCCAGGAGGTGGAGCTTGCAGTGAGTCGAGATCACACCACTGCATTCCAGCCTGGCAATGGAGTGACACTCTGCCTCAAAAAGAAAGAAAAAAAGAAACTACTAAAGAAATGTGCAATTGGGCCAGACACGGTGGCTAATGCCTGTAATCGCAGAATTTTGGGAGGCCGAGGTATGAGGAGTTCAACACCAGCCTGGGCAACATGGCGAAATGCCATCTCTACAAAAATACAAAAATTAGCTGGCATAGTGGCAGGCACCTAGAGTCCTAGCTACTGGAGAGGCTGAGATACGAGGATTGCTTGAGCTCAGGAGGCAGAGTTTGCAGTGACCTGAGATCATGCCAGTGCACTCCAGACTGGATGACAAAGCGAGACCCTCTCTCAAAAACAAAAACAAAACAAAAACAGAAATGTGCAATGTATAGTCAGATCTGAATCTACAGTTTGAAAGAGAAAAATGTTAAATAAAGTTAAGCTAAGACATGTGCTACCACTCCCAACTTACTCTTACTGAAACCATCAGGCCACCTCCCAAAGACAGGGAGGGAGCAAAGCCTGACACCTAGCATGTTTCAGGATCCATCTGCCAAGTGAATGAAAGGTTGGAATCTCAAATCCTAGAAAATCTCAAATCCTAGAGTTCAAAGTTGTTTTTCTCCTCTTTGGCTTTTTGCAGTTTAAGAGTTGAAGTAGCCCTAAAAAATAATGATTGAGCAAGATGAAGCTATCAGAAATGAACTTTGATTTTTTCTCGGCAACTATACCTAGTTCATCGGAAGTGTTGTGTAAACTGCATAAAGGTTCCACTGCTACAAATCTCTCTCATACTGTCATGCCTTCCTGCTTAGAAGTGCCTGTTCCCTGCTCAGCTGTGACTCTACTGACCTCAGGACATCACTGGACAAGGCATGTGGGAATCCTTGCAGGAGCCCTGGTAATAATGAAATGGAGCAACAATTTTGTAGAAAGAATGAGCTGCTTGGCTTTTTCTCCCAGTGCTGAGGATGCTGTTGATGCCGCCTCATAATAGCGTAGTTTTGGGTGTCATCAAGGACAGAACTTCCCCTTTGAATAATGGAAATTAGAACAATGACCTTCACAGGGGAATAAATATTAATGACTGATATGACTTTCTTTAAGGAAGAAGGAAAAAATCATCAAATTGTAGACTTACTATGGGTGCACTTTATGTAAATTATACCCCAATAAAGTTGATTTTAAAAATAAAATCTGAAGAAAAAATGAATTCAGAATTAAACAGCATATTGAACACAGCTGGAGAAAGAAGTAGCATACCGGAATATCAATCACTGGGAGTTACTCAGAATGTAACACAGAGACAAGGAGATCAAAAATATTAAAGAATTTAAGGGCCGGGCGCGGTGGCTCAAGCCTGTAATCCCAGCACTTTGGGAGGCCAAGGTGGGCGGATCACAAGGTCAGGACATCAAGACCATCCTAGCTAACACGGTGAAACCCCGTCTCTACTAAAAATACAAAAAAATTAGCCAGGCCTAGTGGCGGGTGTCTGTAGCCCCAGCTACTCGGGAGACTGAGGCAGGAGAATGGCATGAACCCGGGAGGCAGAGCATGCAGTGAGCCGAGATCACGCCACTGCACTCTGTCACCTGGGTGACAGAGCGAGACTCCATCTCAAAAAAAAAAAAAAAGAAAAGAATTTAAGAGAAGGTGAAATGAAAAGGGCTAACATACATCTAATCAAAGTCCTAGAAGAATAGAAGTAGAATAAAAAGAAGGCAACAAAAATAATGGCTGAGAATTTTATGGAATGGATGAAAGATATACATTCACAGGTATAAAAATTATGGCTACTACCAAACAGACTAAAATGATTAAATAAATCCTAGACATATTGTGGTAAAACATCAGAGAACCAAAAACAAAATGAAAACGATCTTACAAGCAGCAAGAGAGAAAAGCCAGAGCACCTCCAAACAATAACAATTAGATGAACAGCAACAATGGAAGCCAAGAGATGGTGAATTATAATTACCTCAAATAGCTGAGCAAAAAGTAAATATCTGCCTACAATTCTGTACCCAACAAAGCTATCTTTTAAGTTTTAAAATTATCCTCATCTTTTAAGAATGAGGGCAAATTAAACATTTTTTTATTTTAAAAATAGAAACAGAAATGGTGAGAGTTTACCACCAACAAACTTTTATTAAAGAAACCTCTAAAAAATATTCTTTAGGAAGAAGGAAAATTCTCTAAGATAAAAGGTCTGAGATGAAAGAAGAAAAGATGATCAAAAATATTGGTAAACTGTACAGTTGTTTATCCATATCAAAATAACAATATATAATTAACGGGGTTAAAAAGAGCATCTAAATTCTGAGCAAGAATGTTATAGCATTGAAAGGTAGCAGTCTGATCAAAGTGTTCTTGTATTATTTAGAAAGGTGGTTAACCCATTTATGCTGGAGGTTGCAAATTTTTTGTGTGAAAAATCAGACCTTGGCGATGACCTTCAGCAGTAGGATACAAATAACTCACACAAGTTTAGCGTTCCAATAGTGGAACACCAGGCATAATTGGGTTAAGATATTAATTAACTTTAGACTTAAAGATGCATATTAAAATTTTGAGGGCAATCAATAAAAGAATAGAAAATGGCATGTATAACTCCAAGTTTGACAGAGAAAACAATGAGATAAGAAAACAAATCAAACTCAGTCAACCCAAAAAAGTGCAATAGATCATTCCATGGCCTATAAGGCCATGGTAAAGCTAGTGGATTTTGATCCAAGGGTAGAATTCTGCTGGAATTCTGGAAGATCCAAGATAAATGTGAGATATGTTCATTCCCAGTGCCCATGGGGCTTCTCTTCTGATGAAAGGCATTTTCAATTTAGCTCAGAGTTTCTCATTGGTTGACTGTAGCCCAACAAGGCAAAGCTTTAAGTCCTACATCCAGTCCTCTGCTCACCTATGTCGTGAAAATCCAGTGGCTCAGCTCCTCACTGCCATCTGTAATCTTCGAATAATAGCATATCCAGTCTGCAGATATGTGTAGAAAAATACTCCCAAACCAGAAAACCTACTCCTTATTAGGGCAATCAAGATCCTCCCAATCTGAAAGGGGAAACTTCTTACACTGTTGATGGGAATGTAAGGTAGTACAGCCATACTAATGGCTGGAAAACAGTATAGAGGCTCTTCTAAAAACTAAAACTAGAACTACCATATGATCCAGCAATTCCACTACTGGGTATACACTTTAGAAAATCAGGATATCAAAGAGCTATCTGTACTCCCATGTTTATTGCAGCACCATTCACAACTGTCAGGATATGAAATCAACCTAAGTGTCCATCAATGGATGAATGGATAAAGAAAATACGTATATATTTTTTTCTAATATATACATATTCGAATATATATGTGTATATATATGTGTATATATGTATATATGTGTATATATGTATATATGTGTATATATGTATATATATTCGAATATATATGTGTGCATATATATATATATATATACACACAATAGAATATTAATCAGACACAAAAGAGAATGAAATCCTGTCATGTGCAGCAACATGAATGGAACTGGAGGTCATTATGTTAAGTGAAATGAGGCTGGAAAGAGTAAGGGGGAGAGGGAGATGAAGAGAAGTTGATTAATGTGTACAAATACACAGTTTTACAGAAGAAATAAGACGTTAGTGTTTGATAGCTCAGTAGGGTGACTATAGTTTATAATAATCTACCATATATTTAAAAATACCTAGAATAGAATAATAATTCAAATGTTTCTAGCATAAGGAAAAGATAAATCTTTAATTATATGACTGTATTAAATTAATACATGGACCATGAAAATATATAATATATATAAATTAAAAATAAAATTATTAAAAATGGAAAAAATAACACATAGGATAAAAACCAAAAGATCCTCCCAGTCTCACAGAAGCAGTCAAACACATCTGATATCCAAAATATTTCTAATAAGATTTCTAGAAAGAGATAACAGAGAAGATGGAGGGGAACAAATAAAGACATACTAAATATTTCTAGGAAGTGAAGAGATATTTAAATTATTATATGGAAAAGGCATGTTAACTATCTATAGAAATAATGGGAGCAGGGAAGACCATAATATACAGACAAATCCTGGAGACATTTGAAAAAAAAGAAAATTCTTTTAAGCTTCCAGTATGTGCATATATGTTTGGGGGCATGGTGCAAGAGATTACTTACTAAAGAACGGCAATTAAAACAGCACTGACTCCTTAAATGTAACAAACAATTGAAAGCAGTAGAAAAAAATGTAAGTGCTGAGGGAAAAGGATTTAAAACTAAAGTGCTATACTCAATTAATAAAGAATTCAAGTTGTCCGAATAATGTTACCCCCCTCCAAATGTAGCTGCCTTCAAATCCCTGGAACCTATGCCTATGAATGTTTTCTTACATGGCAAAAAAAGGACTTCAGTGATGTGATTAGATTAAGGATCTTAAAATAGGGAGATTATTCTGGATTATCTACCTGGGCTCTAAATGCAATGATATCATAGCCACAGGGAGGTGGAGGGAGATTTGACAGACAGAAGAGGATAAGGTAATATGACCATGAAAGAAAAGAATGAAATGATACAGCCATGAGTCAAGAAATTCTCAGCCATCCAAAGGCAGAAGATGCAAGAAATAGATGCCCCTGCAGAGCCTCTGGAGGGTAGCCCAGCTCTATTGGCACCTTGACTTCAGCATAGTCATACTGATTTCAGACTTCTGGGCTCAGGAACTGTGAAATAATACATTTCCGTTGTTTTCAGGTAGTTTGTTGTTTTTAGTCTCCATGTTGCAGTACTTTGCTATAGCAATCACCAGAAATTAATACAGTGAGCTATTACCAAACTATTTGACTGGAAATTATCGATGAAGTACAGGAGAATTTACACCTTGTCTATGACAATTCAGAGGTTACTAGAAAGACTGAGTCAGTGTTTCAAAGCCAAGAAAAGACATAAACACCCCAAGATTCAAAGCAGCTTAAAGTAAATCTAATATTAAATTACTAACATACATTAACAACTTATAAAAATGGGGACAGCACAGATTTTAATCAACAGTAGTTTATTTGAGAATTTTCTATTTGAATCAGCCTTCTCTTAGTATTTTTATTTTATTTTATTTATATTTGAGATGAGGTCTCACTCTGTCACCCAGGCTAGAGTACAATGATCTGATCACAGCTCACTGCAGCCTTGACCTCCTGGGCTCAGGTGATCCTCCCAGCTCAGCCTCCCAGGTAGCTGGGACTACAGGTGCATGCCACCACACCTGACTAGTTTTTGTATTTTTTGTAGAGATGGAGTTTCACCGTGTTGCCCAGGCTGGTCTCGAATTCTTGGGCTCAAGCAATCTGCCTGCCTCATCCTCCCAAAGTGCTGGGATAATAGGCGTGAACCACCACACCGGGACTGTGTTAGTGTTTTAAAGCTATTTGATATCCACACCAGCATCTAGAACAGAATTATTTCAAAAAATCATTTTTTTAGGAGCTTTTCACTGCTCTAATCTTCACATCTAGTGAGGTGGAGTAATAGCCAAATATCACAACACAGCTTCAGATCATAAATGTACTACTAGCAAATTCAACTACCCTCCCTCCTTAAACATTTTGAATTTTCTTTCCTTTATGTAAATTCAATACAGCAGTAGCCTCTACCATTTCTCTTTAAAGCACACACACATACTGGAACTCACGATAAATGCTCCTTTAGTAAAAGACATCATGATCACATAGTAATGGTGATTTACTACTGACCCCGTTGTATGGATGCATAAATCAACCAAACCGTCATTTCACAGGATGCCACTGTACTTGTGATATACTGTTCCACATCTTTACAGATACCTCTTTAATTAATTAGCTGGATATATTAGGATAACCAGAAAACAAACTATAGATTTTTCAATGAACATTAAGCCTATCCCCAGCATTGTAGTATGTACTAGAGAATATACAAAATAGCAAAAATAAAAATAATTAATTAATTAATTAAAAAAAAAAAAACCTTGCCATCTTCTTGGGGAAAGAAGGTCCCACACAAAACAACTGGAAAACTATGTTAAAGAATACCTGATAAAATGCTAAAGCTTTTCTGAGGCTTCATTTTACTTCTTCCCAAACAAATGAATGCAGCCGAACACAGGGACTACAACTGACCTTTTTACAACTGAAAACTCATTAACTGATTTTAATCATTTTTTATACTTGTTGCCAATTGATTAATTTGTATAATGAAAAACATACTTGATGTATCTATTAACTAGGGTGTGACTAGGACGTCCCATTTGTTTGTCTGCCTTATATGCCATTTGGAGTTGAGACTACTTGTAAAGCGCAGCTGAAATTGGAAGGTTGCTCTGGGAGAATGGACTCAGTGTCAGCGGAGTTTGTGAATGATGTAAAACTTTAACAGTGTCAATCATGGCAGTCTTTCCAGATGATTCTGAATGCCTCGCCAAGCTTTACACGACTGAAGAAAATTGCCTTCCATGAAGTGGTACCCAAAACTCCAGCCCTAATTAGTGCATCTAATTCAGTAAAGCTTTGTCCTCTTAAGCGTTGCTATCACTTTGCTAGCCATAGATTAACATCTAGGTAGTGCAGGTGCTTTAGCGCCACCCTAGAATCAAGCAACATGCATAAAGCAATCTTAAACACAGGTCCAGAAAGAAGCATGTATTTCTTATAACAGTACCAGCCAGAAATAGTTTTTTCTAGATGCCTTTCCATTCCAGGCCTAAGCTAATGTCACCCTTGCTTGTTGGCAGGACCATTTAGCCCACATGGTGGAGAGCAGTGTATGTTTCTCTAGTACATGCCATTATTTATTGACTATCTGCCTCACTTGCATCTGTGAGATGTAGAAACTCACCAGTGGTTTCCAAGGCCATCAGTTTTAAACGGCACCATCCATCACAAAATGGAAAGGAGTGATCAACGTTCCCTGAACTGCAATGCATTATACGAGGGTCAGCAAGTGGGAGTCATGGTTGGCGACACAATTGCTGGCCTCAGGTAGCATATCCATCCTTCCAGCTGTTCTGATCCATATGGGTTCAATGAACTGCAGAGAGTGCAGGACTCTTCTCATTGAGAGTATCTGCTGTAAGTCTTTCATCCAAACCTCATCATAACAAGTGTAAGGGAAGCTGACAACCATTTATCTAAACTTCATCTGGTAGCCAACTGCTGACAAAGAGGAAAACATGCACATTAGTGAGCAGACAGATGTGATCAGGGAAATTAAGGTGTTCTTATCTTGAAGAAACCAAAGATTTTAAATATAGGGAAAAAAATTTAGTCATTACGTCAATGCCAGATAGAAAGCCACTAGTGCTGTTTTCCCTGCTTAGTAAATTCCAGGGCTGTCCCCAGTAGTCCTGACACTCAATTTCTTATAACACAGAGCTATTAGGATAATATTATACAAACCTTCAGTTATCAAAATCAAGATTCTTGCTTTAATTTCTAGGGCCTAGAAATGGATTTCAAAATAGTAAATATTGCCTTTTTTCCTTATATTTTGGGTCCCAGTTTTAACTTTGCCCCAGACCAGCAAATTTTTCACCCCAGGAATTTCTTATTGATATTTGACGTATAGCCTATGTAAAAAGTTAAAATATATGATGGTGTATAAGTAAAAAATCCCTGGAATGCTTCCTTAACATCTCTGACCTTCGTATTTTCATCTGTACAATGTGGATCACGATAATTGTACTCCTCTTAACAAAGTGGTTCTCAAAGAAGGGTGATTTTCATCCCTCATGGGACAACTGACAAAGTCTGGAGACATTTTTGGTTGGCACAAGTAGGGGGAGGGGAGTGCCACTGTGCCACTGGCATCCAGTGAATAGAGGTCAGGGGTGCTGCTAAACATGCCACAGTGCACAGGACAACCCACAACAAAGAACTGTCCAGCCCAAAATGACAATAGTGCCAATGGTGGGAAACTCTGCCTTAACATCATGTGGTTGTTGTAGAAATCAAAGCAGATGCCTAGTGAAAAATGTTATGAATAGTGATAATCGTAATAAGATGTCTTAATTTGTAGCTTGTCTGTACGTTGCAATGCAAATTAGACTCTTATAAATGAAGCATAAAATGTGAAGGACAATAATTGCCAAAGAAAAAATCTTCATTGAAAAATATAAGGGTGGAATTGTGGTGACGCAGAGGCTGCCCTAATCACACCACTAAAAGCTTGGAAGTTGGCCTGGGTAACCAAGATCGCATTGCTCTCTCCACCAGGAGCTCAGGAGAATCATCCACCATCTCTGGCAGTGAAATCAGCTGCGAGGCTGGGGGATAAGTTCTGGAGCAAGGTCCACTGGGCTGGATTCCTCTGTAATGGGTGATCGAGTGGCATGTAAAGTACAGGGCCAGCTGTCTGATCTTGGATTATGCCTCATGAAGGGCTCTCAGGATCAAAGGACTGGTGAAGTATCACTGGTGAGGCCACACTGGGATAGGAGTTAATGGGCAGAGTGACTGGCAGGCAGGGATATGTCAGAAGGGAATGGAAAGCACAAAATTGCCAAATATATTATTCTAAAATATTATTATTATTATTCCCAAATATCTTCCTTTGGTAGTGGATCAGGTCATGGCCTGTTTGCTCTCAGATCTATTATTTGTCCTTCCCTGCTCTGCTCAGTCTAGGGGGCTGGGGAGGCTTGCAGGCTGCCTTCCATATGCCCCCATGTCAACGGGCATTTTACAGTGTTTGGCTAATGAGAAATAGGAGGGCAGAAGGAAGAGAGAAGCCAGAGGACCTCTTCCGTTCTCTGCTTCTGGTGCCTGTCGGGTATCACGTTCTTGCATCACCTCTTTAGTATCAGTGTCTATCAGAATGGTCTTCTGTGGTTTCAGCTTCCATCAGGTGCCCCCAGCCTCTGAGCTGTGGTAACACCACTTCCTCCACTCCACTTCCTCCCTTTGTCCCTCCAGTCTAGGCGTGTAGCTTCCTGCTACTGCTAACCTCTGTGTTGCTTTCTTGTGCTCTTTTCATCTTCTCAGCTCTTTCTGCACCTGTGTAACCTGTTCTTTGCACTAAATAAATTTCCTCTGATTTAAGAAGAGTGATTCCTTCTTTCTGGTTGGACCTTGAACGAAGGTCCTATTTTGATATTTTTTAGAGTAGAAGGTGGGGTACAATAGTGTGACACCTGGAACTCATGGTTATGCAGGTACAGCAAGAGCAAGGAATCAAAAGAATACAGAAGCAGCTGATATTCATCTACTTAACAGGTATTTGTTGAGCACCTACTATAAACTGGAAATTGTGCTGGGTATAGAAATTTGTTTTGAAACAAAAAATGCACTGCTTGTAACTTTCAACAAGTAATAACATAAAGAACTACAAAATTACTATATAATAGTGAATTGCTCTACTTAAGATATTTAAAAGCCATTTAAGAAGTCTGGCAACTCAAATAAATGCAGGAAACAGCACAAACCTTTCCATCAAAATAGCAGTTGAGCCAAAGTTCAGACTTAATATATTGGAGACAGAAGTTATAACTCTCCAGGTTTATCATTTCTAATATGAATATCATTAAGCCGCGTTTCCAAACCCCCAAATAATAGCCAACCCAGCTACATTCTGTTCCTTAGAGTGATGCTTGGGGAGCAACGTATTTTTGAAAAGATTCTTTTCCAGTTTAAAGTCATATATCAGAACCAAGAAGTATGAATAGGCCTTGGATTCGAAGTTTGCTGGATGGTTAAGCAAGCTTGTTAGGCAACCAGCTACGTCGGAATATTTACATAGAGAAAGAAAGAGCAGTTTTAAGACCGGCTGATGATTCAAGACATAAAATACATTTATTCTGTGAGCTGTTTGGGGGATATAGTAAAACATAAATATAACTGAAAACCTAAATTGTTGAGCCAACTGAAGAGACTCAGAATCAAATTCTATTCATATACATTTGCATGGCTTCCCTTGAAATCAACAGGCACTACATGTATACCTAAGGGCATTATATTTACATATTTTGCCCATTGCTGGCTTGGAGTAATTTTTTCTATAATAAGAATAGAAGAGAAGTTTATAGTTCACTCGCTGTTTTCATCTCTTTGTTCCAGTGTATTTCACTAAATACAAAAGAGTCTCACGAAGTTTTCATTGCTGTTGAAAAGGTAAATTGAGGCACTCATAAAGTAAATTGTCCCCAAATTGTCTTATAAATCACTGGCTGATTAAGAAATCCAAAATTTTAATTTGACACGATGCCACCCTTTCTGAAGATACAAGAATGATCAGATTTTCTCTGTGTAATAATACGTGTGGGCTTAGAAAGCACAATACTTCATTAAATTCCTTTTCTAGATATAAACACAAAATAGAATTCTTAAGAAAAAAAATAAAACCTTTGGTGTGGCATAGATTTTGTTTAAGATGCACTTTATTTAAACAGAGATAGTTAACATCAGTGGCTGGTTAGCAGCTGAATAATTACATTAAATATATTCACCTCAGTGAAGACTGAAAACAAAGAGATAGTAAGTAATTTTTTTTACAAGTACCCTGCTGTCATAGCAGCTGATCATGTTTAATAGCAACCAGTATTTCCACTAATTTTGCAAGAAAGACATGTTGGAGATAATTTCATCTTCTAGAGTAACTGTAAATAATCTTCTCAGAAGTGAGTTTACAATGACACCATATAGCATAACCACCAGCGAACAACTTGGAAACGTAATTTTTAGAACTGTAGTATTTGCAAATTAAAGGATTAATGTTAACTTCAGTCAACAGGGAAAATAAACTTGATGAGTAGAATACATTAATATCAAATCAGGTTTGTAGATAACATATACGTTTCATGCGATATCCCAAGGTGTCTGGGTGTCGCACTTTCTTTCTCAAGAGAACCTCAAAGGAAATCACTATTCATTCTAATTGTATCATTTTAATATTCATCTTGTAAACAATGCAACATTTTTGCATGAAGTTAAAAAAATTCAGGTCACTTTTTAAAATAAATCTTCAAGGAACTGGGGAATTAGAAAATCTAGTTTATTTTTTAATTGATAACAAAGAACATCAGAGGACCACAGGCATCATGACATCATGGTTTTCTTTTTATCATTAAATACAATTATGTAAACGGGAAGACTCTGCAGTTATTCCCCAAAGTAATATACAAACTCTAAAATGCAGGATGTTCACATAGCATAAATATAAACAAAATGAAAATTAAAAGCTATGAATTTTTTAAAGTTTGACCTATTGTGTAGATGTCAGTTATGTTATTTTGATAATTAACAAGCAAAAATAGGGCCAGAAAAACATAAGAATTTCAATAGTCCAAAACATGATGACAACCAGCAGAATTCAAACTTTTTTTTCAGATACAAGAATAATGACCCAATACTTTTTTTTTTTTTTTTTTTTTTTTTTGAGATGGAGTCTCGCTCCGTCGCCCAGGTTGGAGTGCAGTGGTGCGACCGCAGCTCACTGCAAGCTCCGCCTCCCGGGTTCACGCCATTCTCCCGTCTCAGCCTCCCAAGTAGCTGGGACTATAGGCACCTGCCACCACGCCTGGATAATTTTTTGTTTTTGCATTTTTAGTAGACATGGGGTTTCACCGTGTTAGCCAGGATGGTCTCGATTTCCTCACCTCGTGATCCGCCCACCTCAGCCTCCCAAAGTGCTGGGATTACGGGCATGAGCTACCGCGCCCGGCCGGCCCAATATAGTATTAAAAGAAATGTAACCATCCCTTCCTGTAGGTGCTCTACAATTTCTTAATTATCATCATAATTTCCACTGATTATCTTATGCTTCATTATTAAGATATAAAAACACAAAATAATGGAGGACTTGCCAAGTAATAGTGTCTCCAAATGTATCTATTTTTAAAGGTGAAGGGTATACAACCACAAGACATGACAGGTATTTTAGGCAAGCTTGTTTCTATTCAGGGATAATAAAATACTGGCCAGGCGCGGTGGCTCACGCCTGTAATCCCAGCACTTTGGGGGGCCAAGATGGGCGGATCACAAGGTCAGGAGATCGAGACCATCCTGGCTAACACGGTGAAACCTCGTCTCTACCAAAAATACAAAAAAATTAGCTGGGCGTGGTGGCGAGTGCCTGTAGTTCCAGCTACTTGGGAGGCTCAGACAGGAGAATGGCGTGAACCCGGGAGGTGGAGATTGCAATGAGCTGAGGTCATGCCACTGCACTCCAGCCTAGGTGACAGAGCAAGAATCTGTCTCAAAAAAAAAAAAAAAAAAAAAAAAAAAAAAAATATATATATATATATGTATGAAAAAGATTTTATCTCTGGAAAATGAGAATAAAAGTTTTTTTGTTGTTTCTATAGATATTCTGCTTATGTAGAAAGTAATTTTTTTTTTTTTGACAGGGTCTCGCTCTGCCACCCAGGCTGGAGTGCAGTGGCATGATCTCGGCTCACTGCAACCTCTGCCTCCCGGGTTCCAGCGATTCTCCTGCCTCAGCCTCCCGAGTTGCTGGGATTACAGACACGCACAACCATGCCCAGCTAATTTTTTGTACTTTTAGTAGCAACGGGGTTTCACCGTGTTAGCCAGGATAGCCTTGATCTCCTGACCTCATGATCTGCCCACCTTGGCCTCCCAAACTGCTGGGATTACAGGCGTGAGCCACCATGCCCAGCCTAGAAAGTACTTATTTTCGCAAAGTACTTAACACATAAGTAGAAGGAAATATTACAACACAGTTAATTTATAATTCCTCAAATCCCTATCGTTTAAGTTAGTCTTCAAAGGCTCTGCAAAACACAGAAACTCAATGTATTACAAAGAATTAGACTAATTCAAAAAGGAATATCACAAATATTTATAACCTGTTTAGGAAGAGCTATAAGAGAATAGAATTTCCTTGCGAAGAGGTACCAAATGTTCTCTACTGAAGTGAGAAGTGCACGTGTTATTAAATAATATCAGCCATAAATAGATATTTCTTATTCTAGTTATGCACTGAGTTTTGATCCTGATAAATAACTTGTCAACACTTTATATAAAGCAACTGATATTTTATCATTTTTAAATTTTAAGTGACCAAATATACAAAATGCCATAAAAATTGTTACTTGTACAATTATTAAAGCCCAACTGGTAACTAGGAAGAAAAAAATGATTTTAGTAAGGGCTTAAATGAACAGAAAAGTAGTGCATTTTCTAGAAAATATAATCTCAAGTATCCCGATATTACATATTTCCTTACAATATTTTATGTGTATAACAACTGACTTTTAAAACCTGACTTGTATGGCAAAAAGTGGCATCATATAAGAAAAATAAAGCACTGCTCTTCTTCCTGTTAGGTCAAAAATGTTGGGAATTGAAGACTTTCAGTTTGTTTTAAATTAGAAGAGGCTTTGTGACACTTTAAAATGGAAAAATAAAAAACTTTTAATTAAATATCTAGAAAAGGAGATATTTTACTCAGAAAAAAATCTATCTTTACAGTAAATTATATTCATAGACAGACTTCTGTTTTTGCCCATGAAAATTTAACTACTGTGGGAATTGCCTTTCCTTCATAAACAATTAGAAAACCATCCAAAAATATACTTTAAAACTGCTTCAGACAGAGGAGAACTATAGTCCCTGATCAAATGAGGCATACCCGATAATTACCCCTGCTTCCCGCCTAGAGATAGTTTCTAGTGCACAGAGCAAAGTGAGAGAATCCAAGCAAAATTCGGCACTGCCACTGAGCTCAGGAGATAGATGCTAGAGTTTGGGAAGGATTAGGCGTTTAGAATTTGCAGGCTAGAGTACTAGAGATCTGCAGAGCCACCTCCTGGAATCTTAGACCTGAGTACAGATCTATCCAGGAGGTCACAAAAAGAACCACTGAAAACCAGTAACCAGAACAATTACTGGAGCTTACATAGAGTTAGGAATAGTTTACTTTCTCGCCAGAGTGGAGAGACCTTGTAAGACACAGGGCAGTAGGTAGAGTTCTCTGAAGTACCACACCTTAGGATTGGGACTAAAATAGCTTTAGAGTAAAAGTTGCTATGAACCAGCCGCAAAAAAATCTTAACATCAAGACTCAAAAGGATCAAGCTGATTCAAACAACTAAATTTCACGCCAAAAAATAAAGTCCAGCACTTTTTCAAGTACCTTTTAGCATCAATAACTTAAAATTCGCAATGACCAGCATTCCATCAAAAATTACCTGGCATGTAAAAAAGCAAAAATGTAACTCATATAGAAGAAAAATCAATCAATAGGAACAGATGCAGAAATGACAGAGATGATTAACTAGTATACATGGGCCAAAAAGACCCAAATGAAACTTCTAGACATAAAAAACATAATACCAGAAGTGAAAATATACCAGATGGGATTAATAGCTGATTAGACACTGTGGAAGACACTATCAAAATGAGAAGACATAGGAATAGAAACAGCCAAAATGAGGCAGAAAGAGAAAAAAACGACTAATAATCAGTGATCTGTGGGGCAATGTAAAGCAACCTAACACACATATAGAGTTCCAGAAGGAAAAAGCGAGGGACAAAAAAATTGTAGAATAATGGCCAAAATTTTTCCAAATTTATTGAAAAATATAACTCCCAGATTTAAAGAGCTCAATGAACCTCTGCTAGAATAATCACACACACACAAAAGCTTAATGTAGCATGTGATAATCACATTAACTGAAGTCAGCAATAAAGAGAAAATCTTAAAACCAGCCAGAGAAAAAATGTGCATTATGTACAAAGGAACAAAAAGTAAAAATCATCAGACTTCTTATAAGAGGCCATGCAAACCAGGAGGCAATGCAACAAAAACTTTAGAGTGCTGGAAGAAAAAACCTAATTATCTAAAATTCAACACCACGTGAAAACATCATTCAAAATTTAAGTAAAGATAATATTTTCTCAGACAAATAAAAGTTGAGAGATTTTATCACCAGCAGATCTGAACTATAAGTGTTAAAGTTCTCCAGAAGAAAGAAAATAATAACAGATAAAGATTTGGATCTACATCAAGCAATAAAGAGTAATAAAAATGGCATGTATTGGGGTAAATATAGGACATTTGTTGTCATTTTTAAATTTCCTTAAATACAGTTGGCTATTTTAGCATAAACAATAGCACTGTATTAGAGTTTAGATCATATGCAGAAGTAAAACACACTGTAACAATAGTACAAAAGACAGGAGGGGAAACAGGAGTATGTTATGAAGATTTTTACACACGAAGTACTGTAATGTTATTTGAAAGTAGACTGTGATAAGTTAAAATTATTTATTGTAAATTCTAGAGTAACCACAAAAGAAAAAAAAGTAACCACAAAAGAAAAAAATAAAAGGAAAGAAAGAAAAAAAAGAATAGCTAATAAGCTCATAGAGATAAAAATGGAGTCATAAAAAGTATCCAAAAAGAAGACAATAAAATGTGAGAGAGAATAATGAACAGGTGGGACAAATAGAAAACAAAAAACAAGATAGTGTTCTATCCAATTGTATAAATATAAATATATTAATAAATGGCCTAGGCACTCTAATTAAAGAGCAGTGATTATGAAATTAGATTAAAATGCAAGACCCAAAGGTATGCTGTCTACAAGAAACCCACTTTAAATATAAAAATACAAATAGCTTGAAAAGTGAAAGGATGGAAACCTTAATTAGAATAAAGCTGAAATGTCTATCTTAACATCAGATAATGCAGACTTCAAAACAAGGTATAAACATGGGATAAAGATGGATATTTCATAAGTAAAGGGGATCAAGTCTAAAGAAAAAATAATAATCCTAAATGTATATGCAAGTAAAACAGAAATCCAAAATACATGAAGCAAAGACTGACAGTACTAAAAGAAGAAATAGAAAAATCTACAATTTTAGTTGGAGACTTCAGCATTCCTCTCTCTGTGAATGACAGAATGAGTAAACAGGAAATTACAGTAAGAATACAGAAGACTTGAACCACATTCTCAGCCAACTTGACCTAATTGACACTAATGGCACACTCTACCCAATAACAAAGTAAATATTTTTTTCAAGTGTATTTGGAATATTTGTCAAAATAAATCATATACTATGCTATTAAAAACTCTTAGTATAGGCCAGACACAGTGGTTCACCCCTATAGTCCCAGCCCTTTGGGAGGCCAAGGTGGGCAGATCACTTCAAGTCAGGAGGTCAAGACCAGCCTGGCCAACAGGGTAAAACTCCGTCTCTACCGAAAATACAAAAATTGGCCGGGCATGGTGGCGAGAGCCTGGGATCCCAGCTACTCCAGAGGCTGAGACAGGAGAATTGCTTGAGCCCAGGAAGCAGAGGTTGCAATGAGCTGAGATCACACCACTGCACTCCAGCCTGGGCGGCAGAACAAGGCTTCATCTAAAAACAGAATAAAAAAGAACTGTGAACTAAACCTCTATTCTGTATTTAAAAACAAAAAAAAAAAAACCAAAAAAACAAAAAACAAAACAGAAAAAAACCTCTTAGTAAATGTAATAGGATTAATCTTACAAAACATGGTCTGTAACAAAAATGAATTTAAACTAGAGATCAATTACAAATAAAAAATCTGGAATTCCAACTAATTGAAAATTAACACACTTCTAAATAACAAATGGGTCAAAGAAGAAATCACAAAGAAAGTTAAAAAATATTTTGAACTGAATGAAAATAAAAATATAACATATCAAAAGTTGTGGATGAAGCTAAAGCAGTTTAAAAGCAAAATGATACCATTAAATGCCAGTATGGTGGGCAGCTCTCAATTCAATAATCTAAGCTTCTTTCTTCAGCAAAAAAGCAGTAGAAAGGAATGGAAATCAAACCAAAAGGAAGGTGGAGGAAGGAAATGACGAGATCAGAGCAGAAATCAGTGAAACAGAAAACAGAATAATAATAGAGATTGGTGAAACCAAAAGCTAATCCTTTGAAAAGAGCAATAAAATTGATATACTTCTAACCAGATTGATCAAGAAAAGGTGAGAAGAGACTAAAAATAAAAAAGGAATATTATAACCAATTTTTAGCAATAAATTCATCAACTTAAATGAAATGATAAATTCCTTTAAAGATACAAACTACCAAAGCCCCCTCAGGAAAACACAGAAAACCTGAATAGAGTGATATCAATAACAAAATAATTGTTTTAGATAACACCCTTTCCACAAAGAACATTCCAGGGCTAGAGGGCTTCACGGGTAAATTCTTCCAAACATTTAAGGAAGAAATAACACTAATTCTATACAAATTATTTCATAAAATAGAAAAGAAGGAGACATATTCCAAATCATCTTGTGAGGCCAACATCACTTGGACTCCAAAACCAGAAAAAGATAAAAAAACTACAAACCATGTTTTTTCAACAAATGGAATCCAGCAATATAAAAAGAGTAATACATAGTGACTAAGCAGGCTGATTTAATATTCAAATATCAACCAATAAAATTAATCCAATTAACAGGCAGAAAAATCATACTATATCATCTCATAGATAACAAAGTATTTGATAAAATTTAATATTCATTCATCATTTTAAAAAACTCTCAGAAAACTAGAAGCATAAGGGAACTTTCTCGAGTGGATGAAGAGCATCTATTAAAAAAAATCGACAGTAAGCATAATACCTAATGATAACATACTAAATGTTTTCCTCAAAAAATCAAGAACTAAGTGGGGGTGTCCAGTTTAATTATTTCTATTTGGCATTTTACTGGGGATCCTAGATAATGCTATGGGCATATTGACTGAAAAAGAAGAAGTAAAGCTGCATTTACGCATAGATGACATGATAGTATGTGTCAAAAATCTAGGAAATCTATATAAAAGCTACTAGAACTAAGGTGGGAGTTTAGCAAGTTTGCAGGATACAAAGTCAATATAGATCTATTGTCTTCCTATGTACTAGCAGCAAATAAATGGAAATTTTAAAAAGTAATACCATTTATAACAGAATAAATAACATTAATTTCTTAAGGATAAATTTAGTAAAATATGCAAAATCTGTTTACTACAAATAATCAAATATTCACTAGAAAATAGCAAATATCAAATTATCAAATAATTATCAAAAATGATCAATAAAATTAAAGATGTAAAAATTGGAGCAAGGGGCCAGGTGCAATAGCTCACAGCTGTAATGCCACCATTTTGGGAGGCCATGGCAGGAGGATCACTTGATCCCAGGAGTTCAAGACCAGCCTATGCAACATAGTGAGACCCAATCTCTCAAAAAAAAAGAAAGAAAGAAAGAAAAAAGAAGAAGAAAAATTAGCAGGTATGGTGGTTCAAGTCCATAGTCCCAGGTACTTAGGAATCTGAGGCAGGAGGATTGATTGAGTCCTGGAGGTGGAGGCTGCAATGAGCTGTGATCATGACACTGTACTCCACAGCCTGGGTGACAGAGTGAGACCCTGAGAAGGAAGGAAGGAAGGAAGGAAGGAAGGGAGGGAGGGAAAGAGAGAGACAGAGAGAGACAGAAATTAAGAAAGAAAGAAAAGAAAGAAAGAAAGAAAGAAAGAAAGAAAGAAAGAAAGAAAGAAAGAAAGAAAAGAATAGAAAAGACAAGACCATGTTTTGAAGACTCAATATTGTTAAGATGTTAAATCTCCCCAAAAGTGATATTTCAACATAATCTCATTCAAAACTCCAGAAGATATTTGTAGAAAGTGACAAGCTAGTTCTAAAATTTATGTGGAAAGGCAAAGTACCTAGATAACCAAAACAATTTTGAAAAAAAACCCAGTGTTTGAGGACTAATCACCCCGATATCAAGACTTACTATAAAGCTATAGTAATCAAAACAACATGGCAGTGTTGTAACTCTAGACACGTGAAACACATAAGAGAAACTCCAGAAATAAACACTGCCAATGGGTAAGCAGAGTCTTTTCAAGTGGTGCTGGAAAAACGGGGCATCCACATGCAAAGAAACAAATCTAGACATGGATCTTGTACTTTTCACACACACACACACACACACACACACACACACACACACACACACAAAATTCGAAATGGATCACATACCTAAATATAAAATGCAAAACTATAAAACATTTAAAAGATAGGAGAAAATCTCGATGACCTTGGATTTGGTGATGACTTTTTTAGATACAACACCAAAAGTATGATCCATAAAGAAAAAATTGATTAAGTTGGACCTTTATTAAAATTTAAAATTTCTGCTCTGTGAAAACACCGTTAAGAGAATAATGGGCCCAGCTCATGCCTGTAATCCAAGCACTTTGAGAGGCCAGAGGTTGGTGAATTGCTTGAGCTCAGGAGTTTGAAACGAGCCTGGGCAACATGGCAAAACCCTGTCTCTACAAAAAGTACAAGAAATTAGCTGGATATGGTGGCATGCACCTTTAGTCCCAGCTACTCAGGAGGCTAAGGTGGGAAGATCACTTGAGTCTGGGAGGCAGAGGTTACAGTGAGCCAAGATCACACCACTGCATTCCAGCCTGGGCAACAGAGCCAGACTCTGTCTCAAAAACAAAACAAACAGACAAACAAAACAAAAACAGAGAGAGAGAGAGAGAGAGAATAATGGTCAAAAACTAGAAACAAGTCAAACATTCATCAACAGGAAAATGGATAACAAGTTGTGGTATATCCATATGTATTAGTCCATTCTCACATTGCTATAAACAACTACGTGAAACTGGGCAGTTTACAAAGAAAACAGGTTTAATTGACTCACAGTTTTACAGGCTGTACAGGAGGCATGGCTGGGGAGACCTTGGGAAACTTACAATCATAGCAGAAGGGGAAGGGGAAGCAGGAACATCTTCTCCTGGTTGGCAAGAGGGAGCAAGACAAGGGGAGAGGTACTATGCACTTTCTAAACAACCAGATCTCTTGAGAACTCTATCATGAGGCAGAATTTGGGGAATGGCGCTAAACCATTAGAATCCATCCCCATGACCCAATCACCTCCCATTAGGCCCCATCTCCAACACTGGGAAGTACAATTCAACATGAGATTTGGGTGGGAACACAGAGCCAAACCATATCACCATACAATGAAATATTACTCAGTAATAAAAAAGAATGAACTAAGGATACACAGAACAACATGGATGAACCTCAAAGCACTACATTAAGTAAAGAAAGCCAGACAAAAAAGACTCCATACTTTCTGGTTTCACTTATATGTAACTCTAAAAAGGTGAAACTGTAGTAGAAGACAGCAGATCAATAGTGGCCACAGGTTAAGGGTGGGGAAAGAGGATTGACTACAAAGAAAGCACAAAAAAAGCTTTTGGGTGCTAGCAATGTTCTATACTATATATTGATTACTCATATTCGCCAGGGTTCCCTGCACTTAGGCTGAGTGAATTTTATGTTAGTTATATCTCAACAAAGCAGATTATTTAAAAATACATCTGCAAATCTTCTTCCCACCATTGATGAACAGTGTCCTCTTTCCGTTGCCTAAAATATCCAGAATATCATTTGAAGTTTTGATGCCATATAAAGTGAGTCATAGAAGCCAGCTTTTATTCATCTATCCAGCCAGCCAGCCAGCCCAGCCAGATAGCCAAGTAGAATAAGAATAAAATACAGTTTGATTTTTAGAAATCTTACAATCTAAAAATAAAACTATCATGTTTAACATTTATGGTGTGAAAGTTTTATAATGCTATTCTAAGCACTTTGTATATATTAACTTATTTAATTCTTTCAATAATGCTATGATATGAATTGCACTATTAATTCCATTTCAGGAAGAGAAAAACTGAGAGACAGAGAAGCCAGGTTAGCTTCCTGGCTGGTAAATGGTAAAGCTGGGATTTGAACCCAGGCAGACTGACTCTATACCTGCTCTGCCCAATATATATAGTTGCCACTAGCCACACATGGCTACTGAGTACTTGCAATGTAGTTAGAATGAACTGAGACATAAGTATAAAAATGTACGCCAGAGTTCAAAGAATTACTAAAAAAAGTAAAATATTGCATTAATAATTTTAATATTGATTACATATTGAAATAATATTTTAGATATTTTGAGTTAAAATGAAATATATTATTGAATTACACTTACCTTAATTCAATAATATATTTACTTTTTAAAATGTGGCTATGAGAACTTTCAAAATTATCTATGTGTCTAATGTTATACATCTGTTGGACAGCACTGCTGTAGATGCTGAGAATTGAACTATCACATTCTACTGCTTTGGTGACAGACCTAAGAGCAATTATGAGGTGATGCATAAGTGGTAAAATAGAGGTATGGACAAAGGATCATGGGAGTGTTAAAAGAAAATTATCAGTTCTGTTCTGACCAGGGATAAAGAACCTAGGGAAGGGCTGGGTACAGTGGCTCATGCCTGTAATCCCAGCACTGTGGGAGGTCAAGGTGGGTGGATCACCTGAGGTCAGGAGTTCAAGACCAACTTGACCAACATGTTGAAACCCTGTCTGCACTAAAATACAAAAAATTAGCCGGGCATGGTGGCTCATGCCTATAATCCCAGCTACTTGGGAGGCTGAGGCAGGAGAATCGTTTGAACCCGGGAGGCGGAGGTTGCAGCGAGCAGTGAGCCGAGATCGCACCATTGCACTCCAGCCTGGGCAACAAGAGTGAAACTCCATCTCAAAAAAGAAAAAAAAAAAAAGAAGAAGAAGAAGAAGTCAAATCTCAAATCCTGCAGGCAGAGAGCTTTGAGCTCCCATCCTGTCTCCACCGCCTATTATCATGAAACCTTGGAGTTTCCTAAGCTCTCTCTTAGCCTTTGTTTCCTTACCTGTAAAAGAAAGATGATAGCAGAGCCTATTCCTAAGGCTTTTCTTTATTGGAGTTGCATCTATAGATATATAATGTATTAGATGTTAAAATAAATACATTTTAAAATATTAATTCACTTAAAAATATAAACTCATAACATGTTAATGTAAATAACATATTTTAATTTTTAAAAGCCTATATTTTCCAAAACAAAACAAAAACTTAATGAGAATAGTATCATTGTTTTACATTTTTGCAAGTCTCTTTAATGTCTGGCTTAATAGAAGACAACTGGATTCTCATATCTGTTATATCTCTATCTCATATCAAAGAATGCCAAGGTCCCAGAACTACGCTTTCAGAACTACTGGCCTAATACAAAGCTCTCAATGGCTGTTAGCCATTTTTATTCACAGATTCTATTCCCCTATGAGTTACTGTGAGGATCAAATGAGAGCATGTATTTTTAAAAGACTGTGAAATCATGACAAGCTTACAATGCGAAAAACTCCAGTCTGAGACATTGGTGGCTATTCTTACTTATATTTTTTCAACAACTGAAATTTAAACTCTTGAAATGAATTTATCAAAGCCCTGCTTTGCTATTGTGTGACCTCAAATGGAATTAGTCCTCAGAAATGTATACAGAAAAGGAAAGAGAAAGAAAATGAAGGAAGAAAGGAAGGGAGAGAGAGGAAGTATGGGAGGGAGGGAGGGCATGCAGGAAGGCTGCTTGAGTTCTAAGATGTCTTAAAATGTTTAAGGATCTGCTGATGGAGACATTGTCTTAGCTACTTCATCGGAAGACTCGCAGACTCTAGAAGCCCTGATAAGTATCTTCACAAGTGAACAATCACCAAAGCAATATATAGTGCCCACCAGAAGACGACTCAATTCCTTGGACAGAAAGCCCAAGAGCTACCCAGCTGGCCCTTCAACGGTAAGGGATCAATTCGAGTTGCTCATGCTGGTGAGGAGAGATGGAAGGAACATAGTATTGCCCTTTACGCACAGTTTCACTCTCCGAGCTTTCAGTTACTAGTGGTCAACTGAGGTCTGCAAATAGGTGAGTACAACATCATAAGATATTTTGAGCGAGACCACATTCACATAACTTTATTACTGTATATTATCATACTTGCTCTATTTTATTATTGTTGCTAATCTGTTACTGTGCCTAATTTATAAATTAAACTTTATCATATGTATGTATGTACAGGAAAAAAACATCATGTATATAGGGTTTGGTACTACCTACAGTTTCAGGCATCCACTGAGGATCTTGGACCATATCCCCCATGGATAAGGAGGAGAACTAATGTAGGCAAAAGATTCAGCATGAAAGTTGCTGTGGATCTCATGACAGTAAGAAAAGTGTATTAGTCATAATCACTTCAGAGCTTAGCTCAAACAGGCTTAAGGCAAAAGAAAATGTATTGGTTCACATAAAAGCCAGGTCTCACATAAAGAAAGCTCTCGCTGTCTCGCTCTCTCTCCCCCACCCCTTCTCTCTTTCTCTCTCCGTCTCCTTCACAGACTACTTTGCTTTTATCACAGACTCTGCTTTGTTTTTGTCTTAGAAGCTCCTAGAGACCGTTCTTAACTGCAAGTAGTCCCAAAAGAAAGCTCTTCCCAGCAGCTGAAACAAGTTCGGGTTTGCATCTTATTCACCGGGCTTACGTTTCTGTATCCATCTATACAATAGTAAAACAGTACTGAATTTAATTCAGTTGTTAGTGATCTAAAAGTATTTCTAGCTACCTTAGGCTCATTGCTTTTAGCTCTATGGGGCATTATATTAAAATATACAGAATTTCCATTTATAGGCTGCTATTAATCAATCCATCCACGATATCCATCCAAAGCAATTGATCAATATGTTTGCAGCACTGATTTGCACAAACATGACTAACAAAGTTTGTTAGAAAGATACTGGCCTATTCATCCTCTAGTCTGGCAGGATAGAGGCCTAAAAACAAAACAAAACCAAGCACTTCTTGTACACAAGCCACACTCTGCCTTGAAAGATATATGTCCTGTTTCCTTAAAATGTATTATGTTGGACAATCATAAGATGTTTACTGGAGTCTGGCCTCTGCAATTCATTAGAACTCCAGGGAATAGAAACGCTCTCCTGCAAACTGATGTATCACAATGGCATGTGATAACCTTGTTTGACATCATCAGTTTAGGTTTATCACATCTGGCTCATTTTGAAAATTATTTCACATTAAATGATTTACTTTTTAAAGAGGGGAAGGAAGGGAAAGGGGAAGAGTAATAAAAAAGAAATTTAAAACTCAGCTAATTAGGACAAAAATGTTTTTAATCCAGCTCTATAGATTTGGCAAAAATTAAAAAGAAAAAAAGGAGACCAGCTGGAAAGCAATAAAGCATATCTACTTCTCATCCACACCGCTGCCAGCTGCTGCTTCAAGGGTTTGGCAAAACAAGCCTTTGTACAGTAAGTCCACTTCTTTTATTCCTAGAGACTACAGCCTTTTTTGAACTTGGATGGTGACTTCATAAAGAGTGCTGTTGTTTTATTTACTCTCAATTAATCATGCTCGACTGTAAACAAAGTGTCTGTTTTAGTTCTGCTGACAATTATCCACTTGTCAACAGCTCCCTCAAGTACCTTCAGCATCTGGCTACAGCAGGAAACCTCCACATCAAAATGAATGTCTCAGTAAACTCAGGATTTCATCAGCAGTCAGGATTATATTGTAACAAATGTCACCAAGCCTCCTTGATGAGAATATACAGCATCAGATGATAAAGTGTTTCTCAGGATATCCCTTCTTTCTCTCTGTTTGCCTTGGGAAAAAAAAAAAAAAAGAAGAAGGAGAAGGAGAAGGAGAAAATAATTTCACCTAAGGACTCTTGGAAGACGGGGCTGAGGAGGTAGTGGGGACAGCGAGGGATGGGACTGTGACTTCGGATATTTTTACAAACAACCAAGCACATGAAGACAGCTTCAGATGTCTTCAACTATGGACAGCAAACGTCCTCATTAGTTACATTCCACGAGATCAACAGAGCCAAACTGTTACAATTGGTGGTAATTTGTGTGAGGAATTCATAGTAAGTTTTGCTGTTATTTCACTAAGGTTTGAAATTGGCACGACTTTATCCAATGTTCAAATACCCCCTTTCCTTTGGGAATTTTTCTCCCATTTAAAATATGTATAGAACGTAGGGGAAAGTCAGTGCCAAGGTCATTAATATTTTGACAATAGAAATGTTTTAAGGACAAAACAAATGTTACGTTTGGTGGTTTGTTGAGGGGGAATTACTAAGGTGTGTTCCCTGGAGCTCCCCTTGGAGAAGGGAGCCATAGAAAATTAAACTGAACATCGATACTATATCCCATTTCTGTTCTTCCAGCCCTAAGAAAGGAGAGAAATCATGTATATCATGTGGGAAGGAGGGCTGAGTGAGTGGGGGCTCTGACAAACCAGTCCTCAGGGAGAATGTATGGATTCTTTACTCAGACTTTCTATCTCCTCGGGATTAATTTACACCCACTTCAAAACCGAAGAGATTCAAATAAGTTGGCACCACTCCCTCCAAGTTGGACTTCTGGGTGAGGATTCAGTGGTGGGGAGTCCGAGAGGATTGTAAACCACCAAGAGGAACCAAGCACCCAGCACCCCCAGACTGGCGTTCCCATGGACCCAAAGCGGCCTAGAACCAACGCCTGATCCAGAAACCTTGCCATCCTTCGCGACAGGAACGGAGGGCCAGGACAGCGAGACGCGCTCAGCGAGGCCCCTCCCCCACGACCCCCCATCTCTATAGTTACCAGCTAAGGTAGATTGACGGGGTAGGGGGAGGTGGACCCGTGAAGAGTCTGCTTCTCTCCTCTTTCTGACAAAAGCTAATCAATCTAACTGCACATAATTGATTTTAATGAAGGGGGGCGGGGTTCTTCGTATTAACGATTGCCCGTGGTCCTCAGCTTGCGCGGGCTGCGGCTGCGGGTGCTGATCTGCGTCTTTCTTTGCCGTCCGGCCTGCGCGACCCGTGCGCCCTCCACACCGCCTAGCTTTGGGGCCCTGAAGAGCAAAGAGGTCTGAGAACCGGGATCCTGGCCGGACCGCCGCCCTGTTTCACCTGGTAATTTATGCACAATTAATTGAGATATCTTTTATACTTGATGTGTTGCAAAATTAATGCCTAATTTATGTAATTAGTCAATTAACTCTAATTCCAGCATATGTTCCCAATGCCCAGAAGGTGTTCTGTTTCCCAGGTACTTATTTTGATGTCACAAAATGCAGCTAATTAATTTTACATGCATATTAATTTGGGATCTCTTTGGCAGTTCCCTTTGTGCAAGTAATTTTAATATTTGTCTTTCTAACCTTTTGGGGTAGGATGAGGGAGGTGCAGGTGGCTATGAGCAGCACGCGGGGGCGAGCTTGGGTGGTGCCTGAGGGTGGCCCAGGTGGTGGGGCAGTGTTCCCGCAGAGGCTTCAAGTGGCAGGGAGTGCAGGCACTGAGCTCAGCAGGCCCTTAGGGGGCGTTACTGTTGCTGACCCCACGTAGTGCATTTTGCTCGGCTTTGGGAAACAGAGCCTTCAGGGCAGGGAGGTGGAGGCGCCCGGGCTGCCTGATCCTTACCCCCGGGGCATTTCCCGGGTCCCTAGGCAAATCGCTCCTCGCCCAGTGGTCCTCACTCCTGGGAGCCAGTGACACTTTCTTATTTATTTATTTGCGCCCTGAAGGACGACTCGGATTTCCAGGCCAGCCGGAAGAGGCAGAAAGCGAACAGGCTGCTCAGAGGTAGTGGCCCTTCCTTCCAGGCGTCGCGCTGATCCCCAACTGCCTGGCGCCCGAGTCCCTGAGCTCCCCAGAGCTGAGGGGTGGAGGGAGAGGTGAAGCGAGCCTCCATCTCGGGCTGCGATAGCCTCCATGGGGCAAAGACTAAGCAGGGCGAAAGTCTACTTTCCAAGTTACTGGGTGGCACATTAAAACTTTTATCCGTTTTGGACAAATTAATGAGCAATTTAATTAATAAAATCAGAGAGTAGTGTAAGTGCTATGATAATGAAGTTAAATGAGTGCACAGTAAAATATTCACTAATCCAGCGCATTGCCAAATACCCCCTTAATTCTGCTTAACACTAAAAGGGTTTTGAGCACCATAATGAGATTCTTCTGTCTGCTAATTAATTGACACGCTCCTGAATATTCATATGAGCTAGCACCAATACGTTCCTAATTGCACCGTGGAATAGATCTCAGAGGAAAGTAAATCGCCATAGACTTAATTAAAATAATGTATTCCAGATCCAGCACGGGGAAAGATGAGACATTTGCCTTCGAGCTCGCTAAGAAAGTGGCACCTGGTTGGTGGAGGGGAGAGATACCAAATGTCGGCGCCCAGCCTGAAATAAGTGGCATGGGACGCGCAGGGAGGGCGTTCAGCTTCAGAAAGCAGCGGCTACGCTGGGTCCAAACCCGGCGGCTCGGGAGGCCATAGCTCCTAGGTGCGTCCGAGCTCCTGCTACCCTGCGCGGTGTTGTCCTACCGGAGGAAGTGGCTGATGGGCAGTCTAGGATCCCGGCCCCTGACCCAGGGCCCTCTCCTCCCTGCGGTCCTGGTCCGGGTCATGGTCCCGGGGCTGGTCTGAAGTGCTGTCTACAGAGGGCACTTGGGGAAACATCGTAGGTCCGGAAATTCCCAGGGAAAGTTTTTGCAGGAGTTGTGGACGCCGCAGCAGCCCCAACTCTCCCAACCCAGCTTGCGACCCGAGAGAAGTCGCTCACACTTCTCTTTGGGGGAGGGCGACAGTTCCGGGGAGGACGCTTGGATCCCGAAAATGACGGGATCCAGGTCCCACAACCCTCAGGAAGCGCTGCGGTCTTCAAAACTGCGCAGCTAAATTCCTGGGCGCATTCTCCCTTTCTTGGCGAGTCCAGTGCCCGTGCCGGGGAGCATTCCAGCCCAGCTTACCTCGGCAGGTAGAAAGCACAGCATCGAGGCTGCGGACCCTACATCTGGGCTCCACATCACAGCCATTTTTACCAGATAATGCAAGAGAAATAAACTCTCCTCCCTTGGAAACACAAGTCCCCCACCCCCTTCTTTTTGGGGGGAAAAAAATCACCACAGGTTAGAAACTGAAAAGAGTTTATTTGAAGGCATACAAATGCATATTTATTATACACATGTAGGAATTAACAATGTAAATTACACCGCCAGCAGTTGCTGGTTGTTTATTCATTAGATCTTTAGAAAATCTACATTGCCTCCAGACAGCGCGATGATAATGTGAAATACACAAGCAGTTTACATAACCAACTTCAACGCACAGCTTCGTGCTCCGCCACTCGGAGTCATCAACAGGTCGCGGGGAAGCGGACGCGAAGGAAAACCTAAGTTCCTAACAACTATGGAAAATCTGGGAAACCTACGAGGCCCACAGTTCCCTCTGTCCTTTTGGGAAGCGATAAAAGACTTGAAGAAAAAGAAGCAACTGTCTCACTATGGTTCATCTACTTTATCTCGTTTGTGTGTAGCTTTTTTTTTTCTTTGCAATTAAAAAAAAATCGGTAAAAAGAGGATGGATGGGCGGAACGGAAAGATCAATATCCTCCCCAAACTCCTGGTATTCCGGAGTGTTCCTTAAAGACTGTGAACCCAAACTGCTTTCAGGGGTGAAGTAAGTGACGAGAAGGTTTCCTTTACTGCCGGCGAGGGAAGAAAAGACAGCCTACCTTGGCTAAGGGAGGCCACCGGCTCCACCAATCAAATCGCTATGGCTATGAACAAATGGTTATCCGCTCCAAAGAAAATCACTTGCTGGATCAGCCTTCTTGGAATTATTAAATCCTTCGTGGTTCTAGATTTATCCAAAAGATGGAGATGAGGTGACACTTTAAGAGAAAAGTGGCAGTGCAGACTTAATGGTTATTTTAAGTACATAAATATTGTATATAAATATATTTACAAGATTCTTTCCCAGTAAAAATATTAAGTAAAACTAAATGCGGGGGCGGGTGCCAACTAAGGTCTCTTGCGTCGGGCCAGTGAACGACGTCAGCCGCAACTCTAAGTGGCAAAGTTTTCGAAAAACCTCGCCGATCCTCTGAAGATCGGGTTAATGATTTACCCCACTCGCCAACCACCTGATGTAGCCTACCGCTACGCCGCGGAGGTGTGCCAGGATGCGCTGCAGGGGGGGATGCTGGGGCTGTTTTCTGCTTCTCTCTTCTCTTCCTCCCTCCCTTCTTTAGCTCCTTTATTTTGGTTAGGCCAGCTGAGCACAGAAGAAAATGCCCTGCCAATCCCGGAAAGTTTGCGCTACTGGGAATGCCTCGAGTCAGTTTGCTGACCTAAAATCTGGTGTTCATACCTGTGCTGGAATTGAAACTGTAGGCTGAGAAAAAAGGCGAGAGAAGGAGGGTAGAGGGGAAAAGGTTAGCGGGAATGAGAAGGGGTGGGGAGAGGGAGGGAGAAAATGGGGGAAAGGAACGCAGGGGGCAGGAGTCTATTTCTGGGGCGTCGGTAAGTCCTTGGGGCAACCTGGTTTTCCCCTGCTGACAAGCTGTGTCAGTTAACTGCAACCCACCAAGAGTCAGCCAACAGCCCCCGCGCTGCTAGAGCGCCCAAAGCAGAGGCCGGCCGCGAGGAGGGCCAGAGTGCACCGCGGGGGGGTTTGCACCGCGCTGGGGTTGGCACCGCGCGCTAGGACCCACGAAGCGGCGCGCTAGTCCCAGGTGAGCACGAAATGAGCGGAAGGACTCTGCCGCGGAGGGGCGGCGAGCGCCTGGCTGCGCTGCAGGCCCCGCCAAGCCCCGCCCCCTAGCCATTCTTAGCTGGGGGAGGCCAGCACGGATCAGCCGCTTTCTTTCTTTTCTCTCTTTCTTTTTCAAACCCGCTTTGTGGGTGGCAACTCAGCGGGGGACGCATGGAGACAAGAAAACAAAAAGCAGAGAGAGAGGGGGAGAGAAGGAGAAAGGGAGAGAGGGAGAGGGAGAGACAGAGAGAGATCTACAAATAGTTTTTAACCTGCCTAGGAACACAGCGAGTTATTACATTTGAAAGCTGTTGTGGTCTTCAGCGAAACCTGCTTCTGCCATTAAGAAAACACATACTACACACGTTCACCCTGGTTAAGCTCTCCTCCCTGGTCAGCCTGAACAAACAAAGCAGAAGCGCAGGGTTTTAAGGCTGAAGATCTATAGGTTATCCGGTTTCAAAACAAATTAAAGCAGAGGGATCCACCAAAAAAATATATATTATAGATGCAAAATATTCTTCATTTCACATATCTGCAGTTGCCCCCCCCCATCGATTTTATTCCAATTTATTAGCAAAGCACATTTTAGCCTACTGTCCGGGATTTACCTGAATCTATTCAATCAGTAACTTATTTTTCCCAGATCCTACATTTGAAGGAGCTTAAACCCGTTTTTCCCACTTATTGGAAGCTTTAAAACACTTTATAAAGCTAAAAATCACTTTCCTGTTGCAGCTTTTCCAAAATTCCTCCCCCAAAAATAACATTTAAGAGTGGGTGCCCAGCCAGAAATACTGATTTTTTAAAAAACTCAGCAAACCAATAATTTTTGACAAAGAAAATTAATATGAACAGTATAGGATGATTTTTCTCTCCCTCCCTCCCCACTTTAAAAAAAAAAACCCTTTGCTCCACCCCGCTATTAAACAAAACACAATACCTTTTTCTGGGTGGTACTGCACAGAAGTTGATTCAGTTTTGACAATGTTGTTTAGCTATCATTTGCTATTTTGAATGAATGGGAGCAATCCCCCCTTTTACAACATTTGTTTCCTATTATGGAGAGGTGCAGCAGTTGAGGGCAGACATGTGAAAGTGGCTGTTTGATTCTCTTTTTCATCTCCCTGACCCTGCTTTTGTCCCTTCTCACCCTGGGAATGTCACGCCTCGCTACTTCACTTTGAGATGCTCGAGAAAGTGGCTTTGTTATTCCCTTTTAGACATACACGAAATTGTTCTCATTCCCCCCGCTGTAAAAGATACTTCACATCGGGACTCGGTTCACAAGTGCAATGCAATTTGGCTTAGTCCAACCTTTGTTCTGCTTGTACAAATGAGCGAACAGTGCACACATTATACAGTTGATCTACTGCTGTCTTAACCCCAGAGTTAGGGGCTGGGAGAAAAGCAAGTTAATCCCTTCAATACCAAGGTGGCTTTAGCAATATTTCCTCCAATAATAATAATAGATTTGAATTGCTTCTTCTATTTCACACAGTACAGAGCAAAACTTATGGGGAGGGTTTAGCAACAACACAAAAAGCCTTCCACCACCCTTTTGCAAATAACTTTTTAAACAAATACATTTGTGAGCATGGTAATGCCCAATTTAAAGCTATGCAACTGTTTGTGCAAAGGAGGGATTTGATTTGGAAACAAAGATTTTAAAGCCTTGAAGTCTCAGAACAAATCACAGCCAAGCAAACATCAAATGGTATTTAGCAAACCAATTCCAAAGAGAAGGCATTGTGCTGAGCAGGGAGAGTTGTTTTCTCAGGCATTGAAATTGCTTGCTCACCATGATGGGGGAGGGGGAAGAGGAGAGCGGGTGGCACCTCTTGGGGATGGGGATCAAGCTGCACCAGCACCTAACTCTGGCTACTCTTTATTTTATGCTTGAGGTAGAGGGGAAACTGGGCCTTCCACGCTCTCCAAACCGCAGCAGCTGCTTGGGATATACTATTAAAATGTGTGGGGTGTTGCCTCCCTTTACCTCACTCCCAAGCAAAACACAGATTTAACTCTAGGTGCCCCAGCCACAGCCAGAGGCCCTATTCACCGCTGGACAAGTTATGCTGGTGGGGACTAAAAAACTGACACCCTTGAAGTTGAGCCCCCCAGTTTGGATGGGAGTAAAGGGTGAACAGGAAGTGGAGACTCTTGTCTTAGAACCCCACAAGATTGAGCCCGGAGGGGAGATCTGATTATGGCCAATATACTACTTGTCAAATGTTTTTTGTTTTGTTTTTGTTTTTTGTTTTGTTTTTTCCTGTCTGTGATGAGTTAAGGTCCCCTTGTAGCCCAGTCACCAACGGATGAAATAGCTGGCTCCAAAGTTCCCCGGCAGACATTCTTCCCCACTAGTTGGAAAAAGTATGCTCCTGTGGCACCACAGTGCAGGGGTCGCTGGCGGGGGTAGGGGGTGTGGGTGGGTACGGAGTCCTTTCACTGCCCGTCGGCAGTTGGCACCAGAGCGGAAAGTGTGTCCCCTCCCCCGCCTCTCTCCCTTGGGCAGTTTGATTTCCCGCCAGACTCAGTCGGAGTGGCCTGGAAGAGCGGGCTCAAACTCCAAAGGCAGTCGTGGGAGAGTCGTAGCGGATACGTTTCCCCTGACATGCGCCGGGTGCTCGTCTCTGCCCCCCACCCGCCCCCAAAACCCAAACCTGCAAGTCGATGTTGTCCGGTGACCCCGGGAAAGGAGAACTTTCTGAGCTAGTTCCCTCTGGTCCCGAAATCCAGCACGTTAAAGCCAGGCCTTGCGGTGCTGGGGGGCTGGTGGGGGAGGCGCACAGACTCCGAGGACAAACAGCCCCCAGGACACTCGGGATGGCCATTTTTTTAATTGACCACTGACAGGCTGAGGGAGTTTGTTTTAGTGCTGAATACCCCAGGAACGAAATCCTTTTGAAAGGGAGGCTAAGTCGTTTCACGCCACCAAAGTGCAGATTTGAAGAATGACTGATGGGACAAAGAGGCGCGATGCGTTAGCGCGGGTTCCCAGAGCGAGCGCAGCACTGGGGCAAATGCGGGAGGCGGCCTGGAGAGGTGGGGCGGGGCAGGGGAGACTCGCAAGGCCCTAAAACCTGATATCGACGGCGCACCAGCCTTCGACCCTCTCCCTCAGCACATTTCACTGTCAATTTGGTAAAGGAGATGCAAAAAGCAGAAGGGAGAGGAGAAAAGTGTAGTCAAGAGGAGTGAAGGACCGGAGTGCTGTAGGAGAGGGGAAAGAAGGAGAGGGAGGGAGAGACTCAGACTGAGGAAGCGGAGAGGAGTTCAGGGAGACTCAGGGAGAAAGAAGAGGACCGGGCAAAGGAAGGCTTAGCCGAAACGCTCCAGGCAGCGCAGAGTTCATTTTCCAAGTGGGGACGACGGGTATTGTTTTTGGCACCTAGGAAACCTTCGGAAGCTGCCGGGTACTTTCCCTCCGCCTCCCGTCTATGTTTGGTAAATATTAACAAACCAGGGCGCGTTATTTTCTGGAGTGTGCATGGAGGGGCTGGCAGAGACTAGGGACAGATTTCCTCTCCTGGAGCCCCCGCCCCCAAAGCCCCAGCTCCACCCTTCACGCACACACACACCTGCTTGACAACAGAAGGAATCAAAATCAATATTGTATTTGTCACCCCTCTGTCTCCTTTTTACTCCCTCAGCAACCCGGGTGCCACTGAAGCGAATTGTGGATTTATGGAGGGAAATTAGCATAAATTATTACGAAATCTGTAGCCGTGTGTGGTCCAGCTTGTGGGAAAAGAGGCTATTGCGAACTCTCCAAGCAGAAAGGTGGTCGGTGGTGGGCTCTGCGGAGGCGATGAATGGCTATTGCACGAAAGAGATTTCCATTTGGTTTGCACATGGGTATAATTGACTTATGTGTATTTTATACAGTTTTCCCAACAACTCCCTAAGCCACCGGGTCGGATGTGCCTCCCCCCCCACCCCCACCCCGTGTTTGCTTTGGGTTCTGCACAATAGACTCTGATGCACTTTTCAAGATTTCTGGAAAGTGCTCCTTCCCTCCTCCTTTTCGTAATACCAGTCTTAAAATGCTGTCAATAACATGCAAATCCTCCCTCCCCGCCCTGGGCTTTGTAGACCTCCAGCAGAACCAAGATAAAACTTTGTAGCAAAGCCCAAGTTTTAAATGTGTTTCTCACAACTTCTCTCCTCATCCAAGGCAAACTTGTGCTACTGGGTTCGGTTTACTTAAGTAACCCTGGTCGTGTGCAATATGCGTCAAACTCCTATCTCCACACTAGCCAAACTTTAAAGATTCATCAGACACAAATTCCTACTTGTATCCTCGCATGTTCCAAACTTGGGGGTGACAACTTTCCCGGGGAGATAGACAAAGATTTATTCCAACTTCAGACTTTTTTTTTTAACCCGAACGTTTTTACTCTTAGAATTTAGTTAATCTCCTGTTTACTCTGAGCAATGATTTCGACAGGCATACAATGGCCTCTTTGCAGGGCAACAAAATGCCAATTGTTAAAATAAGAAAACACTTCTCTCTCCTTATTCCCCACCCTCAACACGCACCCATGCCGGTTAGAAAAGAATCTTCCTGGCTGTCACTGGGGGAACGGAGCAGAGCTTTCACTCCTATCTACATCCCAATTCCAGCCGCCCACGATATTTTATCGGTCTACGTATCAGTATGAACGGATGCACATATTTACTAAGAGGATCCTAAAAATTCCTGGGGGAGTCTATGCTGGTACCCTTCCACAGCAGGAGCGCTCCTGCCTTGCCCACAGTAACTGTTTTGTACCGAGGCCAGCTGTACTCGGGAGCAGGAAAGCTGTGGACCAGCGCCTTTCCATTCTGGGAAACACAAGCCTTGCCCACTATTCCTCATCACGGATCTCCCAAGCTCCCCAGCTCTTTGGACTCCCCAGCTCCTTCCTCCCCAGGACCTTCGATCCGAATCTGGCCGCACAAAGTAACCCCCCAAACGCCGCACCTCGTTATGACCTGAAGCGCGAGTAGCTGGGATGAGTACGGCTGCCTCCGGCCAAAGCTTGGCAGAGGTTCCACCCGAGTCCAAGTGGTTTATCTGCTGAGAAGGGCAATACATTTATCTGCCCTTCTCGAGCCATACCCCCAGAGACAGGTCAACATCCCTCCCCCAGCCCCTCGCACCCATCTCCTCCTCCCAGTTATTTTTTCCGAATTAAGAAGGTGACATTATTCTTTTCTTCAAGCACTTCTGTTAATATTGAAAAACGTGCGCTTGCATCTCAACCGAGGCAGCCCAGAGCCAGAGCCATTTCAATATTAATGAAATTGTTTAATCTCCTAAATTCATCGTGTTTAAGTTACGTTTTGGTGAGTTATTGACCGCCTCCGAAACTGTAGTTAATGAAGTTGTGTGTGTGTGTGTTTGTGTGTGTGTGCATTCGCGCGCTGAAAGATCTTTTTTATGCTAACCCCAAACAGCTCCACTAATAATGCTCTAATATCACTTAAAGTGTTGAAACTTAACACCCAGAATTCTCTACGATCACCACGTCTAGGGAAAAAAAAAGTTCTCCCATTTCTGGACTTTGAAGATGATTCTGTGTGGGCTGTAAGTATTGAGTTTTTAACAACGCAGTAAAATGAATGTCTTTTAAAAACCTTAAAGGTCGGAGAATGTGCAGAAACCCGTGGGAACTCCTGGTGTGTACTTATAGAGTGCGTGCATGCAGGCGGGGTCGACTCACTATTTATTTCATAGCAATTTGATGATGATGATGATGACGGCAGCGACGACGATGAGGATAATGATAATAATAATAATGATTCATTTAACCCTTCCAAGGCGAATCCGAACCGAAGGGAGCCTGCTGCTCGCACCAGGCGGAGTGACCCAAGGCACATTCCCCGCTCCCCAAGAAGGAAAACTCTATGGTTCTTTCCCCAAGTTGTAGAAGATACTGCTGTCTTAGTGGGATCGCAGGCGGCTTTTGCTACACTCTAAATCCTAAATAAGTTCTCCATACCAAAAAAAGCGGCAGTTGGGGGATGGGGGGTGGGAGGTTGGGGGGGTGGGAGGGCTGGGAAGGGGAGTTCCGGGTGTAAAATGAAAACTTCCAGGATGTGCCTGAGTCCTAAAGTTTCAAACCACCTGGGAAAAGCGAGAGCCCCTGAGGCTTACCTGGTGATAAACTGTGTCAAACAAACTCAGGCCCTCCCCAGGTCCGCACAACATTTGCCCCAACAGCTCCTGAGCCTCCATCCTGTGTCCAACCAAATTCCCGGAGGACTTTTAAAGCAAATACCTGGACTCTTCGCCCAGATACACTATTTTAATTTTTAAAAATTTGGTCAATACAGTTACATTCAAAATGGGTTCTTACATGGGGATGTCCAATCACATTTTGAAAGTATTTGTAAACCCCATCACTTTTTCAAAGCTACACACTAACTATACAAAGCTGAAGCAGCTGCATAGGAAAGTCAAGTCAAATTTCGACCTAACTCTCCGGGGACTGGGGGGCAAGGGTGTGTTTTCATTATTATAACCCATGCAACCAACCCCGGGTAGTGCTAAGCGCAGGAAAAGGGTCGGCTTCAGGGGAAAGCCGTGCCTAAAGTTACCTAACGATACAAACCGGATACAACGCAGAGGAAACAGAATACCCCAGCCAAGCAATTTCCATGTCAAACATCATCCGCGCGGCTGCTCCATCTGTGAACGTGAGTGGTCGCCTGGCTCCCTCTTCCGCGGCGGCCGCTTCCTCATACCTTCACACGGCGCACACCGGCCGGCGCGTCCAGCTGCCTGCCCAGTGGCCGAGGCTCTTCCCCCTCGCCCAGTCTTGAGCTGGAAGTGATTCCTATTGGCCAAGGTGTCCATGTAAATAGGTGTGAAAGAAACCAGAGCTGGCCGGGCTCTCCCTTCTCGCTCAGTCCCCTCCCTCTGCAGCCCCCGCTCCCCCTCCTCTTCCTCCTCCTCCCAAGGCGATTGTCATATGATAGCTAAGAAGTGGCACATTAATGAAGCGCCGCTACAGGGGTCTTTTCTGCTCCTGTCACCGCTTAAAACTATCAGATGGTTCGAGGGAGGACATGGAGGCAGCCACCTAGCTCAGCGGAGACGCGGAGCCCACAGCAGCGCCCTCCGGAGCCCTAACACGTCGCTGCCACCATCCGCGCCGGGACTCCGCAGCCGAGCTCGGCCGCCCGCAGGACGCTCCAGGAGCGTCGCGGACCGGGCGGCACGGGACGCTGCGGGGCTGAGCTCAAGAGCCCAGGTTCGCGCCGAGTCCAACCGGACCCGGACGCTGCGCGCGGAGTGCGCGTCGAGTGCGCGCCGAGAGAGAAGCGGCGCGCAGCGGCGTCCTCCCGGATGCGGACGCGCAACTTGAAGCAACTTTAAGGTGAGCAGCTCTCTGTTCCGTCCCTGCCCCCTATTCTGGCCCCAGTACCGACTTACTTCCCGGCTATCCTCGCGCCGTTCGCCGGCTTCCCCTCCCGCGCCCACTAAGCCCGCAAAGTTGCTGGCGAAAGAGTCCGGGCGCTGGCTGATCGAGCGCCGCAGGCCCCACCCCCGACCCCCGAAGTCTGTTACTCGGTCTGGCTGACCCCGCCGGTGTCTCTGTGCATCCATGCTACCTTTCCCTATTACCCACCCCCTTCCCAGATCCGAGCAGTCCGCCGGCCCGCGCGGACCCAGAGCAAGAAGAGGGCGAGGAAGAAGATGCCTCGGCCCGGCCGCAACACGTACAGCGACCAGAAGCCGCCCTACTCGTACATCTCGCTGACCGCTATGGCCATCCAGAGCTCTCCCGAGAAGATGCTGCCGCTGAGCGAGATCTACAAGTTCATCATGGACCGCTTCCCCTACTACAGGGAGAACACGCAGCGCTGGCAGAACAGTCTGCGCCACAACCTCTCCTTCAACGACTGCTTCATCAAGATCCCGCGGCGGCCGGACCAGCCAGGCAAGGGCAGCTTCTGGGCGCTGCACCCAAGCTGCGGGGACATGTTCGAGAACGGCAGCTTCCTGCGGCGCCGCAAGCGCTTCAAGGTGCTTAAGTCCGACCACCTGGCGCCCAGCAAGCCAGCCGACGCGGCGCAGTACCTGCAGCAGCAGGCCAAGCTGCGGCTCAGCGCGCTGGCGGCCTCGGGCACGCACCTGCCACAGATGCCCGCCGCCGCCTACAACTTGGGCGGCGTGGCGCAGCCCTCGGGCTTCAAGCACCCCTTCGCCATCGAGAACATCATCGCGCGGGAATACAAGATGCCTGGGGGGCTGGCCTTCTCCGCCATGCAGCCGGTGCCCGCTGCCTACCCGCTCCCCAACCAGTTGACTACCATGGGCAGCTCGCTGGGCACCGGCTGGCCACACGTGTATGGCTCCGCCGGCATGATCGACTCGGCCACCCCCATCTCCATGGCGAGTGGCGACTACAGCGCCTACGGCGTGCCGTTGAAGCCGCTGTGCCACGCGGCGGGCCAAACGCTGCCCGCCATCCCCGTGCCCATTAAGCCCACGCCGGCCGCCGTGCCCGCGCTGCCTGCGCTGCCAGCGCCCATCCCCACCTTGCTCTCGAACTCGCCGCCCTCGCTCAGCCCCACGTCCTCGCAAACAGCCACCAGCCAAAGCAGCCCCGCCACCCCCAGCGAAACGCTCACCAGCCCGGCCTCCGCCTTGCACTCGGTGGCGGTGCACTGACCCGCAGGAGCCCACGCCCCCTCTCGTTCTCCTCCCCACCACCTCACTCGCCTTCCCTGGCTCCCAGTCCTGCCGGCCCCCACCTGGGACCGCCACCCTAACTTGTTCATTTCACCTTCGGCCAACCCGCCTTGCCCCAAGAGAACTTTGTTTTGGACCCAGGAGACCAAACACAAACTTGCAGATGGGCCGAGAGGCGCGTGGGAGTTGTCCTCGCCCCCACATCAAGGAAGGCCGGGGCCACCTGAGCCGAACCATCCCCTCCCTGAGGCCCCGAAACCCCCTCCTATTTGACCGGCGGGGGAAACCCTGTCACCCCCTCTTCGCCGAGAAAAGCGCGTCTTCCCTCCGCCCAGATCGGCGGAGCCCCGAACTCTGCGCAGTTTCAAGACTAGAGAAACTGCCTCAGATGTTTCCAGGAACAGATCCCCCCCACACCCCCTCCCCGCGAGGGCTGCAACAGCGCAGGGGAGGGCCGGATCTCTTTACGTCTTGGAAATCTGCAGCAAAAAGGAGCCACTAATCTTCCTACCCCACTCGCCTCCGCCCATCCGGCAGGGGCTGGGCCGACCACAGCTTCCCGGGGTTGCGGCCCTGCCTCCTAGGCTTCTGCGGAGATTTTGTTGTTGTTTGGGGTTTTGTTTCCTTCCAGAGGCTCCAGGCGCTGGGAGTTAGGAAAGAGGCTGCCAAGCTGAGAAAGCGACGCTCGTCCTCACACAGCAAAACAAAACTAAAAGTAACCTTGTATTGTTTACAAAGCGCCCAGTAATATGTAAACAGTGAACTTGAATCTGTCTTGCTAGGCGGACGAACGGGCAAAGCCCACATTATAAGTACCTGTTGTAATGTGAATGTTTACTCTTCATTTCTGGCCAGGTTTAGAAAGGGAGGGAAGTGGGGATGGGAAAGTTAATTGGGATGTTAACTTTCCGATGACTTAGAGACCTTTTTAGCTATTTATTTTATTGTTGGGAAAAAAAAAAAAAAAAAAGAAGGAAAGAAAATGAAATAAGCCCAAACCAAGAAAGCATCAAGGGCAACCCGGGAAGAACTTAGATAAGCTGACTGGTAACATGAAGGGATGTCACCGGATAGCTCTCCCACGGACAAGTCTTTCTGTTTGCTACCAGAACTTTTCCAAGAAGCTAAAGGGCTGCAAAGAGATGTAAATACTTGTGAATAGGAATGATTATACACTGTGTAAAATGCACTTTTGTTTGCTGTATTCCTTTAGAATCTTAGATAATTGGCTGGAAAACGAACTGTTGTTCTGGTGTGACCTGCTTAAGTTAAAAAAAAAAAAAGTTGTAGTGTCATCAGAGCTGTAAAATTTTTACCTTTCATTTTCCCTCCCTGTACAGAATTAGCGTGGCATTTTAAATATTGATGTTCTTGTTCCCAGCATGCCTGTTTTAAAACAAAGGATTTAAAAAAAAAGGGTGTCTACATTAAATTATGACCTAGTCCAAATAATATTTTCTCATTAAAATATGTAAATTCAAATTTTAGTTTTGTGTGTTTTTGAAGAGTTGCTACAAATAATTTTGCAAAAGATGGATGTAATGCTTCCCTAAACATGCTTTCTGCAATACACTGAGTAATTTGCCTTTTTCATATCATATTGTGAAAACAGTCAAACCTCCTCTTATGCACTTGGAGATTGTGGGAGAAATTATTCAGATAGAATTTTGAAGGTATTTGTGTATAGGGAAAAAGGAAACAGACTATTTCTATTAAAGATCAGGTGCACAGGTGCAGTGGTGAAAGAAAACCTGTTTTTGAAACAATAAGTATTTTATATGTATTTTTGTCTTTATTGAAATATACATTTTATGAAATATAGCACTTATAAATATAAGGCTTATGTAGAAATCAGGTAGAAAATATGGAGACTTAAAAAGTAAAAACAGACTTGCTTACTCAATGCTTATATTCTGATGCATCTTATTTAGTGTGAGTATTCAGTTCCTTGCTCCTTTAAATTATTGCGGTTGTTAAAATTTTTTAAATAGAAATTACCTAGAGGTTCACCTTCATGTCCAGATACCTGTTCACTTTGAACTGAACAGATTTCTTTCACTCCTTCCTCTGAGAAGATAATGCTTGATGCACTTATTTTAAAGATATGAATGAAGTTACTTCAAATGCCTGACTTTAAGTACTTGCTTTTCTTCATATTTTTGCAGAGAATTAAAATTTGCCGAGAATTTATGGCGCAAGGCTAACTGACACTTTATTGAAAGGGTCACAATATTTCCAGAATGAGATGTGTATTCACCTAATGAAGTTACAAGGCAAAGAGTAACTTAAATGGTGATTAACACTTTACTGTGTAAAATGATTAAACAAGAGACCCTTGTGCAACACAGAGGGAGCCACATAGAAACCACAATCACTGTACTTCATAGGAGGATCCTTAGCACCTGCAACCATTATATATTTAGAGGACTACCTGAAAAACAACTTAGGATTAATGCAAAGGGTAATTAATCCTGTTCTGACCATTTTTTAAAAAGAAGGATCCCACACACAGCCAAAAAAAAAAAAAGTGGAAAATAAATGAATCATTGGACTGATTAAAATGCATGAAGCTACTAAAGCTCGTCAGACAGGGGACAACTAAACTCATTCATCAAGCCCAATTCACAATTATATCAACAAGATCAGCTAAAGAAAGCCTGGAAAACTTAACCGCCCTGGGCTAGGAAACTCTTAAAACTTTGTTCTCAACAAGAAATCATATACATTTTTTTAAAAAAAATTAAATATGTTTTCACAGTTTCCTGCAAAAGAAAATTAAGGCCATCTCTGGAATATGCTAATCTCATCGAATTTGGTAACACTGAATTCAAGCTGGGGATGAAAGAAGTATAGAGGGCTAACACGGGCCTCAAACATTTTATAAATCATCAGCTTAAATAAATGTTCCTCTTACAACAGGCACTAGAATTCAGAGATGAGTGATGTGTACATCTGCACATTTAATACCTAGAGGTAAATAAGATACAGATCCTATTTCTGATTTTTAGCAAAGGAGAGATTTCAACTCAGTATTTGAAAATGCTCTTTTCAGCTGGTAAGTTCGTCATGGTGTATTGCAAAGAATGAAATAACTTGGGCATTGTGAGCCCTCCTTTCACAAATGCAGGCATCTTTTCTCAGACAAAGTTGAATGAGTAAAGTAAAAAAAAAAATCCATTGATGATATTTTGACCTTGATCAGAAATCCAAAGGCAGTCCAAACACACATGCCTCCACCCCACTCCATCCCCGCCTCACCCCCCAGCTTTGAGACTTATGCCCTGTTTAGCTGAAGTGCCCCACAAATAAGGAAGTTTATAACTATGATACCTTCAATGGCTCTCTTTGTCATGTTAAATCTTTTCACCTGGCTCAAGTCCAAAGTCAATACACACAGCTTTAAAATAAAACTGGAAGAGACAACACCATGGAGTGGGAAGATGTCTGTGTGGTATTTGTCCTGAGAACTGAGATAAGTGATATTCTTTTCTATTTTGTAAATTCAAGTAGTATTGATTTCTTAGATTTCGGGTTTTTTATTTGGAAACTTGGCTATTCTATTACTTTTGGTTTTTTACATGATTCTGCATTTGACTGAGTTTTTAAACAGGATTCTCTGTGATTTGAGGAAGCGCTGACACAATGAATGAATTTCATGCACTTTCTCAAGAGAGAAGCTGCAGAAATTCTCACTGTTTCTATTATCTGATTTGGGGGTTTTGAAAAGCCTGAGGAGTGGTGCTAGTAAATGATCATCAAAATGGCCTAAATACTATAGCAGTGAGTTTAATTCCTTTAAAGAGATGAGAACACTGAGGGTCTTGCAAGCATAAATATGGCCAGGTGCTCAAGAAGGATGAGGTGGGAAGTAGGAGGGAGGAAGAGTCCAAGCCGGTGCTGCAGAGAGTAAGATTTACATTCGTTTATGCAAGACTGGGGGAACTGGGGGGTTGCAGAGTGTAGGGGTGAGGAGCGGGTTTATACTTTTACAAATGAAAATTCCCTTTGTAAAAGGTATTCAGCTAAGAAACAGAAAGGATCAGGATCTATTCTTAAATTCTTAATATAAATGTCAATTAATTTTTTTCTCCTAAAAGCCACATATGCACAGAGACACCCAAACAAAAACAAAACAAAAACCACCCAACCCACCGGCTGTGAAGCCTCAAAGGGGATGCATTTGTTTCGTTTAAACTAACAACAAATTATCTAATTAATATGTTTCAATTACAGCATGAAAGGCGCAGCCCCTGGACCGCCCGCCGTGGAGGCACAATAGCCCCAGAGCCCACTCTAGGAATTTACAATAACTTCACATCTGTTTCTTTATTTTCCACTTTTTGAGTCTAAAACTCCTCTCAAGATTACTGCAAACCACAGCCTCAGTTATGAAATATGTCCCAGTGTTAAAGGGGGATGAAACTTTGCCCACGGATGCTTCATTTGCAAGCAAAAAAAGTGAAAGCCCATTGAAGAGCATTAAACAAATATATTAGAATTCTGTCACTTTATGCAATTGAGTAGATCAAATGAAGGGTCCCGGCCACTTCATTCACTCTCATTCACTCGAATAGAAAATGCAAAGAATAGCAATCCGAGACTGGGCCACCGATGTAGATTTAGCTCCTTTTTACTGGGAGACAAAAAGGCTGAATTTTCACAAACACATTGCTGACTCGGGGACTAGGAAACCGGCACTGGAACCCCTTTGGAATTTAAATTCATTTTATCTTCCTCTCTCTTTGGGGGAATCTGTTTGCACTACAGTGCAAGATGCAGCAGGCATCCTCTGGCTTCTGAAAAAATGGGGGAGGGGAAGAAAGTGAGTGGGAGCAGGCAATGTGGGACTTGGGATTCTCAAGGAACTCTTGGTGATCAACAGTCAGGTCTGAGATAATAAGTTTAATTTAAACAAATCTTTACCTATGTCAATATAAACATCATTATATCATACACATCTCCAAATCTACCTCTTTGCTAGGCTTGGATTGCATTAACTACTTGTTTTCAAAAACCAGAATCACATCCGGGTCATCAAGTTTTCTTCTTTCAACAAATGTATCTGGTCTTTGGTGTCATAACAGGCTAGATAGCTGAGCTTGCAACCTCACCTGTTCTGTCTCTCCTGTCTGTCTCTGTTAGTCTCTTCTCTTCTCTCTCGCACACCACTTTCTGCTAGCTACCCTATCTGAGCACTGTGATAGTTAAACAGGTTATGTTAAAATCAGGAGAGAGGATACTCTTTGGTTAGAATTTCCAAGTGAGAATTCTCTTACATTTTCATTTTTCATCCCTGGAGTGGGGAAAATAAGCCACATGTGTCAGGGTAACGGAGATAATCTTGTGGGGATACTTTTATCTTTTGCCTGCCATGCTTGACGTTTTTGTTTAGGTAAACTTTGTAGACTTTTATCCACCAACATTGTAGAAAGGTTGCAGTGACTATTAGAGGTATTTCTAGAGACAGTGTAAGAAAAAATAAAGTAGACTTATCAACTTTCAAGATGTGATTGCAGAGGAATAAAGAAATTTTTCTCAAACTTGAAATCAAAATGAGATCTGATCTAAAGGAGAATATATTTGGAGGTTTTCTATTGTGTTTTTAAATTTTGTCTGGTATTATTTCCAGGTACCTTTAACATTTTTCATGTTAGCTTCAATAATTATAAAGTCATATTTGACACTATTCTTCATTTAATTCTTGGGATTGTGCCTGGAGCTAGGAATAGGACTGAGAAGGGGAAGTGGCTCAGACCTCCAGATAAATATATATGTATAAAAAAAAGATGTTGAAAAAATAGTTGGTTGCATATAACCATAGGCTATCAAACTCACTGGAACTAATGATAAACTAATCAGAGATTAACCATGAAAAAATGTCGTTGGCTAACTAAAATCTTCCCTGGAAGATTGTCCTTCTAGAATATCTTCAAGAATATTCGGACAAAGCATTCTTTGGGTGCAGCCTCCTTTTGCCTGTGTCTGCAAATAACCGATGTCAAATCAGTTGCAGTCTTTTGAAGGAACAAACTCTTGGAGCATTAATTAGAGCAGATAAGCTCAGAGATAAAACACATTCTTTAAGTATCTGTTGTTTGGAGACATTGTGATTCTAATTCATGCTTTGCAGCCTGTATATTTTTATTTACTCAGTTAATTTCTCTCCATGAGTGTTCCCCGTTAACTGGGTTTACTAAGTATACAGTACCGAAAGAGTTGGTTAGCAGAAATAATTGCTTTCAAACTCTGCTTTTGCTACAGATTTCTCTCTTCTTCATGAAATACAACATATTGGTAATTCCAGCACATGACAGCATATAGAGAAACTGTTCAGCAAAGGATTTTAATTTTGTGCTTAGAAGAAGCTTAGTATTTGTTAAGTAATATCTAGTGTTTTGCATTAATTAGAGCAGCTCCTTGTAGAGACATTACAGCCAAGAATGGTTTCACTTAACAGGAAAACTCTGAGTATCTGAACTTCCCCACTAAACCTGCTACGGTGAAACCAGAGCTGCAAATGTCTGTCTTGCTTGGAAATATCAACACATATTTTATTTATTTACATATGTTTGATAAACTAAAATTCTATGTATAACAATAAAATGATCATTGACAAGTTCCACATCACTCTGGGTGCCAGGTGAACTACAAAAAAAAAAAAGGCTGAAATAATGGTTTGTCTGAAGATTCTTAGCTTGATTTCATATTGGAGAAAAACTGCCAAAGACGACCCAGCCCTTCCACGTTGAATGGATTCTTCAGACTGAACCAAGTATTTCTATGACTGCCTAGAAGATGCAAAGTTGTATTCCCATTCTTGTGTTGTGTGTTGGTAAACAGGGGAAGGGCAGGGGAGAATAAGGGAGAACAGGCAAGGATAACATCTTCTATCAGTTTAGTCCAGATTATGCTTAACACAGCAGTTTCTGGGCCTAACACAGAAAAATTGATGACTGAATGATTGAGCGTTCTGAAAATAGTCCTATTGGTTTAGCTTAGGTAAGAACGCTATGCTTTTGCTCCAGGTGTCAGTAATTGAGAATGTTGACTGAGATTAAGTTTCTGCTGTGGTATTAAGTTTGTAAAATTAAAACATGTGAAATGCATTTAAGTTTACTTGTGGATGTTATTGGCTTCAGTAAAAGAGAACCCCTCACATAAAACAAGAAAATGAAAATGATTAACTTTGACATAGAAATATAAACAGCAATTTGATTAATTATAGTGCTAATTATTCTTTGCTGTGTAGCCAAACATTATCCATTTCTTAAAATGACAGATGCTGAATAAATCATGTAAAATAATTACTTGGAATTTCACTGCAATGAGAAATGGTGTAGTTTAGAGACAGATTTATATTGATTTCTAAATATATAATTGGTTCTGTTCTATTTCATTTAGAAATTTAGTTTGTACTGTAAAAATACTTTGTTATAGAAATATTTTATATATTTTGCATTATGCATATTTTTAAATCATTTATTTCTTTCAATATTTTCCATAGTTATTTCAGTATTATACATTTTTACATCTTGCTTTTCTCCAGCATATCATAGACATTTCCCTATCTAGCTATATACTTTTAATAACCATTGATTTTAAAGGTTGTATAATATGCCACTGAGTGAATTCTTTTTGTTTGGGCATTTAGAACGCTTTTAGGTTTTGTTTATTTTTGCTAATACAAAGACTGTTGCAGTGAACATATTTTATACCTAACTAAACACTAGTTCCAATTACATAAAATAAATTAGCTTTTGGCATACTGAATTCCTTAACAGCTTCCTGCAAATTCAATAATGTAATTTAACTTAGGATTTCAGCTTTTGCTCTTATATTTCCATTGCTATTTACCCTGCAACCAGGAACCCAGAGCAATATCGGCTTGACTTAGAATCATGAAAGCACTGAATGTTAGTGTTAGAAAGGTCCTGAGAGATCCAGGTAAACCAATACCTTTATTTTACTTACTTGTGAATCCCTCTGATATATTGTCTTATCTGCAGCCCAGTGATTTAACAATACCAGAGTCAGGTTCTAAAAGTAAAGTAAAGCAGAAAACTTCAGTCCTACCACAGATGCCACACAAATGCAACTAACAATAAAAAATTATGAAGGTATTGAAATTGACAAAATGAAGTCTTTATCTGATAATGTGAGTGTGCATGATTTTAAGGCAGTTCATACTCTATGGCCCGCCGTACCCTTTTGAAGTGGGCGTACTGGGCAGTTTGTGCGACTAGAGGGAATGGTCATTGGTTAACCCCAGATCTCAAGAGAAAGAGATCCACCTTGAATTGGAATCATTTCTTAAGTTTCTGATATCTTCCCCCAAATTACAAACAAATAGTCTTCCAGACAGACTGCCTTGAGTCCAAAGGGTTCAGGCCCTCAACAGATGTTGACCAATTTGTTTCTTTGACTGCTTTGAAATGACTAATTCCCAAGAAGGGAGATTGAGGGGAAGGGGATGGAAAAGCAGGCAAGAAATCTGAACTTCAGGCTTTGTCTCCTTGTTGTAGCATTTTGTTTTGACCTTTCTTATGTGACACTTTTGTGTCAGACTTCCCCCACTCCGGGTTCTTGAGACCTTATTTGTTTCTAATATGGTGGCTTCAGCCGGCCACAGTGGCTCACGCCTGTAATCCCAGCACTTTGGGAGGCCAAGGTAGGCAGATCACATGGTCAAGAGTTCGAGACCAGCCTGGCCAACATGATGAAACCCCGTCTCTACTAAGAATACAAAAATTAGCCGGGTGTGGTGGTGCGTGCCTGTAATCCCAGCTACTGGGGAGGGTGAGGCAGGAGAATCGCTTGAATCCAGGAGGCGGAGGCTGCAGTCAGCCAAGATCGTGCCACTGCACTCAGCCTGGGTGACAGAGCAAGACTTCATCTTGAAAAATAATAATAAGGTGGCTACACAGTGCATGAGGCATGACACTGGCACCCATCAGTGCTTGTCAGTTGGAACAGACAGAAGAGAATAAAGAAGGATAAGCATGAGGTCCACACCTCATGCTGTAACTAGTTGCTGAGATTGAAATCATTCTCCTGAATTGGGATCAATGTTTTTTGTTGGGGGAAAAAATCATAAAACCAAAGTAATATTTTCACAACTACTTTTCCATAGTCTTCAAACAACGAGCCACCATCCTCTGAGCTGATCATTCCTACTGTTCTAAGTTCTTTAAAAAAATTTATTCATTTTATCCCAATAACAGCTTTATGAAATATGCACTTTTTTTATTATGCCCATTGTACAGATGGGAATATTGAGGCACAGGGCATTTAACTAAGTTGCCCAAGGTTACCCTGCTAATAAGTATTATCTACACCCTATGGATTCTCAGTAAAGGTTGGTTTAATAGAAAGACACTTTCACTAAACTGCATTTTCTTCCTAAACTGTCTTCTATTTAACTTATTTGGGGGAAAGAAAACCTTCTATAGAACTAAACATAGTCCTGTATTCTAGCTTACAGCAATTTTTGATCTTTGATCTCAGTCAGATCATGTACCAAAAAAGTCACATTGAAATATCTCCATCCCATCCTTGAAAATGGACCTCAGTGTATAGCCAACCAACCTGGATCCATACATCAAGATTAACTTAAATCTTCCAGAATTGAGGGCAGCCACATGAAATCTAAGCAGGAATGCATTCTTATAGTTAGAAGAAAATTACCAACCTGAGTGCCCTTTTCTTCCCTGACAGCCTCTATCAGATCATAAAATAAATCAGAAGGAGGAAAAAGTACCATTTTTGCACTTCTTTTTTTGAGACGGAGTCTCACTCTGTCACCCAGGCTGGAGTGCAGTGGCGTGATCTCAGCTCACTGCAACCTCCGCTTCCTGGGTTCAAGTGATTCTCCTGCCTCAGCCTCCTGAGTAGCTGGGATTACAGGCGTGCAACACCACGCCTGGCTAATTTTTGTATTTTTAGTAGAGACAGGGTTTCACCATGTTAGTCAGGCTGGTCTCGAACTCCTGACCTCGTGATCCGCCTGTCTCGGCCTCTCAAAGTGCTGGGATTACAGGCATGAGCCACCATGCCCCGCCCATTTTTGCACTTTTGATGTGATTTTAAAAAGAAGAAAAATGGAAAGAAGGAAGAATCAGGATGATGTAACTTTCTAACTCAGTAAATATAGTTTCATCTGTTGTCGATGGAACCAAATACTCAGGAAATCAACATTTGGTGTTTTCTCTTAACGCTCAGCCTTCATTAGTGGTGCTTTCTAAAGTATGCTTGGGCACTCACATAGCTTTTTCAATGCAACTCTCAAAAGGGTGGCATTTGTCTGTTTTTGGAAGTGTGCATTTTAAGAAGGTTGTATGTCTTTGCGTTTACTATCCCAACTCTAACCTCCATTTTGACCACTGGTCTCAGTTCTGAGTGACTCCTGAGAAACAGTTCATGCTCCCAACTTGAGTTATGGGCTGCCAGTTTGCTGTGTGTCTGGAAAGTCTGTCAACCTTTCCCTAATAGAGCTGTGCTTTGTTATATGTGTTTCGGCTGGATAAGGCTAGTGAGGCTCACGCGAGCTTCTCATTTGTCTCATGCTGGTTTGATGGCTGAACTTGCCAAATAAGGGTTTATACCTGGTAATGCACATGATCACTCACTATAGGAGGTCCTGGGGCTATTACTCCAGTGGCCAAGCTTAGCCATTGGAGTTATTACAGCCCCCACCCCATCTTTAAAGATGTATATAGTTGCAAAGACTGGGGTCCTTGTTGTCCCTTTCTCCCTATTCTGTTCTGATTTTTTTTTTTTTTTTTGGAAGGCGTTTTCCTGTTGTTGCACAGGCTGGAGTGCAGTGGTGCGATCTCAGCTCATTGCAACCTCTGCCTCCCAGGCTCAAGCAATTCTCCTGCCTCAGCCTCCCAAGGAGCTGGGATTACAGGCGCCCGCCACCATGCCCAACTAATTTTTGTATTTTTAGCAGAGACAGGGTTTCACCATGTTGGTCAGGCTGGTCTCGAACTCCTGACCTCAGGTGTTCTGCCTGCCTTGGCCTCCCAAAGTGCTGGGATTATAAGCATGAGCCACCGTGCCCAGCCTACAAATATAAAAATAGCTGGTCACAGCAGTGCATGCCAGTAGTCCCAGCTACTAGGGAGGCTGAGGTGGGAGAATCACTTGAAGTCCAGGACTTTGAGGCTACAGTGAGCTATGATCATGCTGCTGCACTCTAGCTTGGGCAACAAAGAGACCCTGTCTCTTAAAAATATAAGTAAATAAATTTAAAAATAAAACATCTAGTGTTAGTTCTGTTTTCCCAACTGAATCCTGACTAATAGAGTGGTTATGAGCCTGGATCACTTAATCCATCAGCACCATAAAAGTCTACTCAACTGATGCTTACTGAACAATGGACATGGATGCTCTACTGTGCTAGGAATTGGCAACAAGGACATAGTTACAAATACATACCCAACAAATCCTGATTTCCAGGAACTTACCATCTAGTAAAGAAGACACACATGGAGAGCATGCCTCAGTGAAAGAAAAGGTTCTCTGAAAGTTCTGAGAAGGAAGAAGAGAAAGAGGAGGAACAGAAGGCCTTGAGAGGATTTGGGGTTTAGGACTGGGTGAAGACAAATATTTCAAATTCAAGTTTACTAGCATAAGGACTTTGGGTGGCACATCTGGCAGATAGTGACTTTTCCCACTTGGTGGAAAGAGACCTGATGGTTGAGACGAGAGGGAGGTCAGATTGAGTGTGTTACAGGACCAACAGGTTCATATGCCTGCTGTGTAGCAACAGGCTAATATGCAGAGACAGCAAGGGTTGTAGCAGAGAAAGAATTTAATACTTTCAGGGTGGCCAAGCAAGGAGATAAAAGGGGTAAGAGCAGACACTCAAATCCATCTCCCCAAGGAGCTCTGGGCTGAGTTTTTAAGGGGCTCATGCAGTGCAAGGGGCTGGAAAATTAGGGTTGTTGATTGGACAGGGTAAGTGATAAAATTATCAGGATGTAGAAACCACATTCTTTGGTGAGTCATCTTCTCTTGGGGTGCTTCAGACCAGCTGACATCAGTAGTTTCATTGACATGCAGGACTTGAAAGAATATCTCAAATGGAAAACCTAACATTTCACAATGCTCAAGTAGTCATCTGTAGAGCAGTTAAGGAGAACTATAATCGAGGCTCTATGTGATTCTAGGGCAGCAGGCAAAGAATTATGAGGAAGCAGGTCAGAGTGCAAGCTGACCTAATGATTAATGTTGAATGTGCTACAAGCATGGTGTATTTTCATTTCTCCCCACTTCTTCCCTGATTAATTTTTATAATGTTTATAGGGATAATTTCAGGTGAAGAGAGCAGATGGACTTTCTGGAGGCCAGAGTGAAGAGTCTGTGGAGCCAGTGTAGTCCTTAGGAGATTTATGAGCAATGAGGCTGCATACAGAAATGGCCTCACATAGCAGGAAGATAAGAAGTAATGAGAAGATGGATGGAGAGGGTTGCAAGCCCCAGGAGAAGTACACCTGAATGTTCTTCAAGGATGAGAGTTGGGGCTTTCACAGTTCCTTTCACCCAGTACTAAGAACTCTAATTTCTTAGGTGCCCACTGTGTATGTATATGGTCTGATTCATATGTTATTCTTTTTTAATCCTCATATCAACCCTAAAAGCTACCCTTATTACACTAATACCTAAAGGAGTTAATACATTTCCTGATGAGGGGCTGACTGAGATTCAAACCCAGATTCTACCTGTCTTTAAATCCAGTGCCCTTGCCAGTTTAGTCCACTGCCATTGTAACATACAGCAGCATGTCCTTCAAAAAGTATCTATTGAATAGGATACCATCGAGGCTAACGTGACAAATAGAAAGAGGTAATGGTGAAGTAATTAAGAATCGAAGGAAACGGATACATTTGGAAGACATATGCCACAAATCAGAGGACATGGTAACTGACTAGATAGTGGGAGAAAAGGTGCTGGGCAGGAGAGGTAAAGATCAAAGTAATTGAATGGCAATTCATTTAGTCAGGACTACTTGGGTTGCAAGTAACAGAAACTCAACTCAGCCTGATAGTTCTAGCAAAAGTCCCATGGAGGAGTCTGATTCTTTCTCTTTGGGTCATCACTGTAATTAAAGAGATATAGTTCTCTGATTGGCCACATATGGGTCAAGTTCCATCCCTGGGACCCAGGCAGGCAGCTCTACTACACAGAATTCCTGAGGCTGAGCAGGATTCCTTTGGAATGCTCACTATACAGTAACGCTAAGTTTCAAGCCTGATTAACTAGAAGTGAGATGCCATGGATGGAAAATATCAATGGTGGGGAGCAAGTGGCTTTGGGAGAAAATGTTGAGTTTGGGTGAGGACCTGCTGAGCTTGCACCAGCTCCAACAAAGATGTAGCCCAATCTTGTAGGTGTCCAGCCGTAACCTGAAATTGCTCTCATGTTTTCTCAAAAACTTTAAATCTTTTTAACTTTTAAGGTAAAAGTGTGAATTCTAGAAATTTTGGACCATCCATTGATTTCAAAAGTAGAGTGAAAGGGACAAAAAATAATGACTGAACTTATAGAACCTACATGCAAAGTAGAGTGAGATTTTTTCTTTGTGAATGCACAAATTATTGGTTCAGGTAATACCATTTTCACCTCCTCTCCATAAACTTTATGGGTTTGTGGCATTGAGCTAAAACAGGAGTTGGCAAATTTCAGCCCATGAGCCAAATTCAGCTTGCTGTACAGCCTGTGTACTAAGAATGGTTTTTATTTTATTTTGAGATGAAGTCTCGCCCTGTCGCCCAGGCTGGAGTACAATGGCGCTATCTTGGCTCACTGCAACCTCCGCCTCCTGGGTTCAAGCGATTCTCCTGCCTCAGCCTCCTGAGTAGCTGAGATTACAGGCACATACCACCATGCCCAGCTAATTTTTTGTATCTTTAGTAGAGACAGGGTTTCACCACATTGGCCAGGCTGGTCTCGGTCTCCTGACCTCTTGATCTGCCTGCCTCAGCCTCCCAAAGTATGAGGATTACAGGTGTGAACCACTGTGCCAGGCCTGGTTTTTACATTTCTAAATGCTTGAAATAAGTCAAAGGAATAATAATAGTTTGTGACACATGAAAATTATATGACATTCAAACTTCAGTGACCATAAATAAAGTTTTATTAGAATATAGGCATATTTGTTAATTTACATATTTTCTGTGGCTGTTTTGGGCTACTAAAGCAGAGTTAAGTTGTGCCAGAGACCACATGGCTTGCAAAGACTAAAATATTTATTATGTGACTCTTTAGGGAAAAAGTTTGCCAACAACTGAGCTAAAAATGTGGAGTATGAATTGGCCTATGATAGGCCAACCTATATTTATTGGATGGTTACTGAGCTACAAATATGGTAAAAAGCCAAGATGAAGTCTAGATTTTTATCAAGTAATCCATTTGATTGTAAGTGTGGGAGCTGTCAATAAATTTATTCATAGCCTGTTACAGAACTCGGATCAGAAAGCAAAAGCTAGTCACAACTCTCAGTATATCCTTATATTTCTCTAGTTGCTCATGGGACCATCTCATATTTTTACAAACTGTGTAGTTTACAAAGTGCTATCAAACACGCCATAGGTTTGAGCCAATATGTAAAACACTACATAGTTAGCTTATGGTAAGACCTGACTTCTCCTGAATGTAACATTTGCTAGGGATTGGTTGATTAAAATATGTCATAGTATGGTAGTATATAAACAAATGAATCAATTTAGGAAACACATTACTCGTTAGATCAAGTAAGCACATTCCAAGTAGAATGAAGATTAGCTGGATGCCTTCCCAGCATCTATTCTCACCTTTCCAAAACCTACAGCTTCACTTTGGGAGTGCATGAAGTAATAAGAAAGCTGCTTCTACCAAGAAACCTATACTAAGACAAGCAGTCCATTCTCAGCCACGGTGACTGGTCAGACAGGCATGTGGTCCTTAGTTGATCCTATCAGAGTGATTCTAAGAAATGTGGCAGGAATGCTTCAAAGTCAGTCGTTCTTTCCTGATAGGATTGAGTGAGAAGTGGATGGGAGTGGCTGGCTGCCCTCGTAGGAACCCCAGAGAAACTGCTAAGATGAAGCTGGCATTGCAGAAGCAAGAGTAGAGAGAAAAAGAAACAGTCCTTGGGACATTATTGAGTCACTCTCTTGGATGCTACCTGATGTACATCAAGTTCTGCCTTTGACATTTGAAGTGTCATGAACCAGTAAATGCCCTTTACTCTCCTAGTTTGAATCGGGTTTTCATTTACATGTGGCTAAAACACATCAGGTAACAAAGATTCTTTGATTTATTCATTCATTCATAAAATGTTGTTATGTGGGTTTTTTTTGTTTGTTCTTTTTTCTGACCCCAAATGTTAGTCTTTTCTGAACAACAACCACAACTGTTACCGGAAATGAGTCCTGATCCAGACCCCAAGAGAGGGTTCTTGGATTCCCTCACAAGAAAGAATTTGGGATGGGTCCATAGAGTAAAGTAAAAGCAAGTTTATTAAGAAAGTAAAGAAATGAAAGAATGGCTACTCCATAGGCAGAGCAGCACTGAGGGCTGCTGGTTGGTTATTTTTATGCTTATTTCTTGATTATATGCTAAACAAGGAGTGGATTATTCATGAGTTTTCCAGAAAAGGGGCAGGAATTTCCCAGAACTAAGGGCTCCTCCTCTTTTTAGACCATATATGGTAACTTCCCAAAGCTGCCATGACATTTGTAACTGTCATGGCATTGGTGGGAGTGTCTTTCAGCATGCTAATGCATTATAACTAGCATGTAATGAGCAGTGAGGACGACCAGAGGTCACTTTCATCATCATCTTAGCTTTGGTGGGTTTGGGCCAGCTTCTTTACCACATCCTGTTTTATCAGCAGGGTCTTTAGAACCTGTATCTTGTGATACCAGTCCTGCCAGTTTCCTGTCTCATCATGTGACTAAGAATGCCTAACCTACTGGGAATGCAGCCCCAGTAGGTCTCAGCCTTATTTTACCCAGCCCCTACTCAAGATGGTGTCGCTCCAGTTCAAATGCCTCTGACACAACCAATTCTTACGTTTTCCTATACCAACTCTAACACTACCCAGAGTTAGTGTAGAACCCACATGTCAAGGGTTCAATCCCACAAGACTGCCCCACTTCAGACACCAGCCACAAATGAGGTCCTCAGGTTACCTGCACTTCTTACCGGCTGACCGCAAATTCAGAGTCTCCTTGCCCCCATTCTGTAATCCACTTGAACAACTGCCCAGTTTATTATAAAGGATACAGCTCAGGACAGCCAAATAGAAAGGATGCACAGGGCAAGGTATTTGGAGGTCGGGGGATGGGGGTGCAGGGCTTTCATGCCTTCTTTGGACATGCCACCTTTGCAGTGCATCCACGAGTTCACCAAACTGAAAGCCACCCAACAGTGTTATTTACGGGTTTTAATGGAGGCAGTAGGCAAATCATTGATCATTGGTGACTGAATGTGATTTCCAGCCCCTCTTCCTTCCCCAGAGGTCAGGAGGTGAGGCTGAAAATTCTAACCTTGTAATCACTTGGTTTTCTGGTGATCAGCTCCCATCCAGAAGCTGTGGAGCCTGCCCACCGTCCCCTGAGCCACCTCATTAGCATACAAAAGACAGTAAATTCCAAGTGTTTTAGGAACTCTGTGTCAGGAAGCAGGGACAAAACCCAAATATTATTATTATTATCATTATTATTATTGTTCTTTTCACACAACACAGGAAGCTTTATTCATACACTACTGCTCCGGAGAAAAGCAGGCTCAAAGAGATCGCTTTCTTTAATATGCTGCAATCTTGGGCTTCTGCCAATTCTCAAAATCCATTTCAGTTCATCCAGCCTCTTTTTCTCTTCCACCCCTATCCTCCTGTCCTCTTTGGCTTTTCTCCTCTTTTAGGTAACAGTAGCTTGTGGCTCCATAGGCCATGCTGAGGAACAGGGTATTTTTGAAAGAACAGCCAAACTCAAGGAGGCAGAGAGACCTACACTGGTAGCACTATCTTCTATTTCGTATTATACCAAAATTACCTACACTTATCCTGCTCATATATTATGCTCGGCTCTGGAAACTACTCAATCTGTGCCTTCAAATGACTCACTGGGGCCGGGCGTGGTGGCTCACGCCTGTAATCCTAGCACTTTGGGAGGCTGAGGCAGACGAATCACTGAGATCAGGAGTTCAAAACCAGCCAGGCCAACATGGTGAAACCCCGTCATTACTAAAAATACAAAAAATTAGCCGGGCGTGGTGGCGCACGCCTGTAATCCCAGTTACTCGGGAGGCTGAGGCAGGAGAATCACTTGAGCCTGGGAGGCGGAGGTTGCAGTGAGCCGAGATCAAACCACTGCCCTCCAGCCTTGGCAACAGAGTGAGACTCCTTCTCAAAAAAAACCCAAAAAAAACCACTCACTGGATGGGGAGAGGGAACAGGGTTGGGGAGGGAGAGCAGTGCACAGACACATGGAGTTCAAAGCAATGAGCTGTAAATTGTAGCTGTCAGAATAACTGGTGTCCTAGACACTTTTAGTCATTTCCAATAGTGACTCACAAATACAGGGGAGACTTTAGTTTGCACTTTGTATCCCTTTCCTCACATAATCCTCAGATGTCATTAATTAGTGATAAATTAATCACAACAAATCTGTCCAACAAGATTCTTCTCTTGAGGTTGTAGTGTCTCCCTTCAATACCCAACTCACCACACTGTATATTTTACAGATTTTGAGATAAGCTCAAATTTTATTTCTCCAATGCATCTAGGGATTTCTTTACAGGTATATATTTTTTTTGGCAAAAAATTTCCCTGTTTTGCAGGGTGCAGTTGCTCACACCTGTAATCCCAGCACTTTGGGAGGTCAAGGCCGGCAGATCATTTGAAGTCAGGAGTTTGAGACCAGCCTGACCAACACAGTGAAACCCCATCTCTACTAAAAATACAAAAAAATTAGCTGGGTGTGGTGGCACGTGCCTGTAGTCCCAGCTACTTGGGAGGCTGAGGCAGGAGAATCACTTGAACTCGGGAGGTGGAGGTTGCAGTGAGCCAAGATCACACCACTGCACTCCAGCCTTGGCGGCAGGGGGAAATTTTCCCAGTTTTATTACTTTTTAAACTTTTACTAGAGTATCCATTTGCTAGAGTATGCAGCCTTCTGCATCAGAAAGCTGACTTCCGGGAAATCTTCAGCTTTGTCACTTGAAAGAGGTTTTTTTAGTTCCACTTTGCCAATAGCCCCTTGGATGTATGGGATTTTGGGGGATGCCAGTTTCCAGCTGTCATGGCTGGGCCAACTTAGATGCCAAACTGCAAAAGACTCAAATGCTTGGGGTGGGGTGGTGTCAGCTCAGTATTGACTGGGATGGATATCCACGAGACAAAAAAAGGATGGAGTAATAGAAGTTTAACAATGGTAATGGCAAAGGATGTGTGGCTTAGTGAAAGCAGCAGAGTCTTAGAGCCAGACAGGTGCAAGTTCACTTACTGGCTGTGTCACCCTGGCCCAACTACTGAGCATTTTGGAGTCTTAGTTTCTCCCCCAGCAAAATGGGGGTAAGACTTTTCTCTTTGCTGAGATGTATGTAGTAAAGGAGCTAATGTCTGCATGGTGTTTGGCTCCTGACTGGTGCTTGATAAATGATTGCCATATTTATTTATAATAAATGCCACACAATTCTATACTTGGTTATTGCTTTGAAACGTTTCAAAAAGTGATAGCTTATTTAGCATCCTAGACTGCTGAGTGCTAGGCCTTGGCCCTGTTTGAGCACCTACTATATGCAAGTCCCGCAGAGCACACAAATCATGCCAAGATATAGCTCCTGACCTCAAGGCAGGGCCATGGAACACTTAAATAACAGCAAAGGATAAAAATGATCATTCAAGACAGCAGCAGGAAAATTTGAAAAATAGAATCCAGGATGAATTACAAAACACGTTAAACCAAGTGTTATATAACTAAGAAGAAAGAGGAGTTGCAAGTCAAACTTCCTCAGGCAGTTTTAGTTTTCACCCCACTTTGGAACTTGTAGAATTCTTCCGTTTTTGTTTTTTTTTTTTAAGGTGGAAAAAGAGCTATTTGGATTTACTGACATCCTGTTTCCTAATGAATGGTCTTTCTGATTCAAAAGTTCTATCAACACTCTGATGTTATGTCTCAGGGATGCAAAATCAAGGGGAAAATTCTCCACACAAAACAAACCTCAGATGTCCTAGAACAACCCTTCTGTTCCAAATCTGGTTCTTATTTTCAATTCCAAAAACAACACACAAGGCCTTAGAAGGCACAAACTACTTCATGTTTATGCATGCGGCCCTGGAGAAGCTAGAATTTCAGATGCCTTTGATTATGAATCGGCTGAAGAAAACATCTACCTAAAGTTACTTACTGAAGAATCAGTTCTCCCTGCCCCCACCTCACCTCAACCCTAAAGAACGCCCATCCAGCATCAATTTACAACGGAGCACTTGACACGACTTTATTGGTATATCTTTCTTAGGCATTTGACCAATCAAAATGATAATTTAGACAAACTGGGGATGGCAGAGTGCATTATCCAGCAATATCTCATTATTATGCAAAAAATGAGATATTCACGGCAACTGTCTCATCTATTTATTGTTTGGTTACTCATCTGGAAATTTTAATACTTTCTTCAGGGGCAGGGACTGGCAATAAAAAAATAGACCTATATATCAAACCTTTAACTTCCAGCCATCATTGTGTGCTATAATACAGATGGAGTGACTATCAGCAAGCTTTACTGTGTTGGTTTATTTTCTTTAGCAGAGAATGTGGATTTAAATGGGATAAAGCAACAAAGTCGACTTAGGGTCAGAAAGCCCATCGGAACCTTCCACTTCCTTTGCAAGCAGAGATAACTGGCTACAGTCAGCCTCCCCAGGACCTGATGCCAATGGATAACTGCAAGATCAGAAGGGTGAGTATGAGGGGGTGGGAATGGCGGGTTGTTTAGGGTGAGGAATGAGGCCTCTGCATCTCAGAAGGGCTGTTCTTCCTCATCCTTTATATTTTTATAGGTCCCTTCTCACAAGCACAAAGCTTGCTGTGTGCCAGGCACTGCTCTAATTACTTTACAAACAATTACTTATTTCATCTTCATCATAGGCCTACATGGTAGGCACTAGTATTATCCCCGTTGTATAGACAGGGAAACTGAGGCACAGGGTGGTTACATAATTTGCCCAATTAGCAAGTGATGAAAGCAGGATTTAAAAGCAGGCAAGCTGGCTCCAGAATTTGTGCTCATAACCACTACTCTGCATGCCAGTTATACAGAAGGGTAGTAGCTCTCTGCTTCTGCTTTTTATGTTCTGCACCAGAAAAATAAATTGGTGGGGAACAAACTGCAAGCCATCTGAAAGAGAATCATATGAAATACCTGTTAAAGATCGGTTCTTAGACACAGATCAAGTTATTTAGAAACCCTGCCTGTGAGATTCAGGAACCTGCATTTTTAACAGGTTCCCTGAATGATTTTTAATCACATTAAAGTTTGAGAACCATCAAAATAGATTTTCTGGGCTAGGAGTCAGAAATTAATCTGTATTTAGGTGCCAACTCCAATGTTTATGAGCCTTATAATTTTGAAGAAATCTCAGCTTCCTGGGCCAGGGTTTCTCATTTGTAAAATGAGAACAAAAAATAACTGTGCTACATACTACATAGAGTTGTTTATAAGAATGAAATGAGATAAAGTGTGTGAGAGAAATCAGCAAATTGAAAAGTGCTTTCAAGGCCGGGTGCAGTGACTCACACTTGCAATCCCAGCACTTTGGAAGGCCAGTGTGGGAGGATCACTTGAGCCCAGGAGTTTGAGACCAGCCTGGGCAACATTGTGATCTCCACAAAAAAATAAAAAAACATTAGCAGGGTGTGGTGGCATGCACTTGTAGTCCCAGCTACTTGGAGGCTGAGGTGGGAGGATCGCCTGAGCCCAGGAAGTCAAGGCTGCAGTGAGCCATGATTGTGCCAGTGTACTCCAACCTGGGTGACACAGCAAGACCCTGTCTCAAACAAAACAAAACAAAAACAAACAAACAAAGTAGAAAAGTGCTTCCAAATATGAACTATTGTTGGTATCTCATTATTTTACATGTACAAGGCTTGTCTTCCTGATAAAATTATAACCTCCTGGATTAACTATAGTTTTTTTCTACCCCATAATAATATGTATCATGTTGTAGCTATCCCATAAATACTGGCTTAAATACATTTTTTAAAATATGTAAGCAGGAAACATAATAAAAAACAATAACATATAAGCAGATCCACAAAGTCAGCCCTATATATTTTTTGCAATTCTAGTGACCAAAGTTTATACACTGGGCTCCAGAGTCCATACAATGTCATTACACACATTGTCACATTTGAATTCTCACAAGTCTTATGATAGATAGGGTAGTTAATGATGATATCACTGTTTTGCTGGAAAATATGGAACTCAGATTTAATTACTTGCCCAAAGTAACCTAGTTAGTAATCAAATGACAACTTCCACAGCTTCTTGCAACCCTGTACAACACATTCACATGAATGCCAGAGTTTTGTTGTTGTTGTTTTGTAAACAGAGACAGAACCTAGCTATGTTGCCCAGGCTATCCTCAAACTCCTGGGCTCAAGGGTTCCTCCTGCCTCGGCCTCTCGAAGTGCTGGGCTTATAGGTATGCACCACTACACCCAGCCTGCAGCATCTTTTATTTTGGGAAGTGTTCCCTGGGTTCGGTAACACTCCCTTCAGCATTAAATAGTTTGTCAAAGGCAATCATAAGTCATTTTCATCTGGGGGACCTAGTCCAAATGTATTTAACATTCTAATATTCTTAAATTTTCTGTAAAATATCTTTAGGTGACACAGTACATTGAAATTTATTTGAGCACCCTCGCTAATAAGATGACACTTGTTTACTTTTCATTTGACCCACTGGATTGAGATATCCTTATATAATGGATAGTCAAGTGTAGTCTATCCAGTAGCTTTGATATTGAGCAAGTCACAGCCACCAGAGTGATCCTTTTTAAAATGTAAGTCAGTTCATGCTGTTCTTTTACTCAGAACTCTCCAAAGGGTTTTGTTGTAATTGGTAAGATGGTTATAAAATTGTTGTGGAAATCTGAAAGACCTAAAATACACAAAACAATTTTGGAAAAGAAGAACCCAATTGGAGCACTTATACTATCTGATTTCAAGTCTTACCAGTAAGCCATAATAACCAAGATATGTGGTGTTGGCATAAAGATAGACATAAAGCAGAAATAGGCCCATACATGTATGGTTACTTGCCTTTCAATGAAGATGCCTAGGTAATTCAATGGCTAAAAGAAGTCTGTCCAGCAAAGAATGCTGGAAAAACTGAACACTTATATGACAAAAATCTTAACTGCTATCCTATACCGTTCACAAAACTAACAAATTGGATCACAGACTTAAATCTAAAGGCTAAAACTCTAAAATGTCCAGGAGAAAAAGTAGGAAAAAAATCTTTGTGTCCTTGGGTTCGGTAGAGATTTCTTAGAGAGGATACAACAGCTTGAGCCATTAAAAAAAAAAATTAATGGATACACTGGAATTAAGAAAAATGACAAGCCACAAGACTTGTCACTCTGTATATCTGATAAAGGACTTATACCAAAACATATATAAAGAACTTTTACAACTCAATAATAAGAGACTAAAAAAATGAGCAGAAGATTTGAACAGACACTTCATTAAGGAAGATATTGTGAATGGCAAATAAGCACTTAAAAGACATGTGCTAAAAAACATTACTTATTAGGGAAATGCAAATTAGAAATTGCTTGATTTCAAAGACTTACCATTAAGCCACGTTAATTAACGTGGCTAAAACCTGGCAATACCAAGTATTGATGAGGATACAGGACTACTGGAACTCTCATACAGTGCTGATGAGAATAGAAAATGGACATCCACTGGTCGGGCGTGGTGGCTCACGCTTGTAATCCCAGCATTTTGGGAGGCTGAGGCGGGCAGATCACCTGGGGTCAGGAGTTCGAGACCAGCCTGACCAACATGGTGAAACCCCGTCTCTACTAAAAATACAGTTAGTTGGGCCTGGTGGTGCATGCCTGTAATCCCAGCTACTTGGGAGGCTGAGGCAGGAGAATCACTTGAACCCAGGAGGCAGAGGTTGCAGTGAGCCGTGTTCGTGCCATTGCACTCCAGCCTGGGCAACAAGAGTGAAACTCCGTCTCAAGAAAAAAAAAAAAAATGGACATCCACTTTGTAAAATAATTGGGTAGTTTTTATGAAGTTTAATATACCCTTACCGAATGATCCAAAATTCCACTCCTTGGGATTTACCCAAGAAAAATAATAATGGCATAAGATCCCATATATAAGTGTTTATAGTAGCTTTATTTATAATGGTCCCAAACTGGAAATAGTCCAAATGTTCTTCAGCTAGTGAATGGTTAAACAAACTGCTACATCCTTTTAACAAAATACTTCTCAGCAATATATATATAAAAAAAAAAATGACTGATATATGCAACACTTGTATGAATCTTAAAAGCTTAGTTCTAAGTAACAGAAATCAGCTACAATAGGTTACATATCTGTGACTTCATTTACATGACATTTCGTGAAAGGCAAAATATAGGAACGGAAATCAGATCAGTGGTTGCCAAGAGCTGGAAGTGGAGACAGGGATGACCTCAAAGGGGTGGTACGGAACTTTGGAACTTTGGAACACCCACTTCTGAGGTGGGTGTTCTATATCTTGATTGTGGTAGTGATGGTTACTCAAGTCTATGCAGTCGTTAAAATCTATCAAATTATACACTTAAAACTGGTGAATTTTACTCTATGTAAATTATACCTCACTAAAGCTGATTTTTAAACAATTCTTGCAATGTTTCGCATTTCCCTCAGCGTGAATGACTCTGTAAGCCAACAGGCCCTTCAGGATCTGAACCCACCACCACCCTCTCTCTGACCTTATCCCTGGTCACTCTCCTTACACTTTGCTGCAGCTAACAGAGCCTCCTAGATATGAAGTCTTCTCAGACTGTGCAGGTACAAGTCCTCTCTGAGCATTGCACTAACTCCTTCTACCTCCTTTAAGTCTGTGGTTAATTGCCACCACTTCAGAAAGGCCTAATCTCTTACTGAATGTTCCTTGGATGGGCCTCAGTTTCCCCATCTGTAGATGGAGGAAGCAAAACCACAGGATCTCTCTGAGAGCTTTCTAGTCTGACATGCTACAGTTCTGACATATAGCTTTTAGGTATGTAAGAAGGCATTGAATGACAAACAGCAGGTGAGTGAAACACAGTTCTAGAGTGTTCTAAGGGCAAATGACCACTTCCAGCTGCCAGAATCAGAAGACGCTTAATGGAGGAGTTGGCTCCTAAAGAACACGTAAGATTTCTTGGTTTTTTCTTTTCTTTTCTTTTCTTTTTTGTTTTGAGATGGAGTTTTGCTGTTGTTGCCCAGGCTGGAGTGCAGTGTTGCAATCTTGGCTCACCACAACCTCTGCCTCCAAGGTTCAAGCGATTCTCCTGCCTTAGCCACCATAGTAGCTGGGATTACAGGCATCCATCACCACTCCCGGCTAATGTTGTATTTTTAGTAGAGATGGGGTTTCTCCATGTTGGTTAGGCTGGTCTTGAACTCATGACCTCAGGTGATCCGCCCGTCTCGGCCTCCCAAAGTGCTGGGATTACAGGCGTGAGCCACTGTGCCCGGCCCAGGTAGGATTTCTTTATACAAAAACAATTAACTCGACAATTGGGAATATTGTTCCAGTTTCTTTTAGAGTAAAGTTCTGGCTTCTACTTGGCTTGCATAGTTTGAACATTTTGCCCAGCTTTGACAACATCCTTGAATACTGTCATGCTATGCATTCAGAATCTCTCCTGCATGTTTTCTTGCTTGCCGTCCTGCTGGGGTCATTGGTAATTAACTGGCCAAGGTGTACATTATGTCAGTGCTGTGCCAGACATAGGAAAATTGACAAGATCGCTACCTTGTTGTAGTATATCTGTTCACACACTTTTTTGTACTAGATTCTGATCTCCCAGGGGGCTAAGTTTATGTCTGTCTCAGCTTTGGATCCACAATGATAAAGCATGGCAAACTCAAAGAATGAATGTTCCTGAGAATTCTGAGCATTCTGCTTGTATTAGTGTGCACATCAGGAAGAACAATTAGCAAGGTCATTAATCACGACTCTCTCTATTTGATTGTCAAAGCTAATTGCCTATTAAGGTAAAGCAGGACTTATTTCTTTAACCAGAAGGGTTACAACCTGAGCATGTTGGCAAATTTTGAGATGCTGCTGTGAAAGACAAAATAGAAGAAGTTCAAGCACAAAGCTAAAATCTGAAGGTCTTTTCATTTACCCTTGTTTACTGGTGACCTACAATCAAGGTTGAATCCTCCCTCTGCAGAAGTAATTAAGGTGAAATGAGATCACAACGGTGGGGCCCTGATCTGATAGGATTAGTGTCCTTATAAAAAGAGACATCAGAGAGCTGGCTCTTTCTCTCACTTTCCAGACACACACATTGAGGAAAGGCCGTGTGAGCACACAGAGAGAAGGTGGCTGTCTACAAGCCAGGAAGAGAGCCCTCTGTAACAACTGAATAAGCTATCACCTTGATCACAGGCTTCCAGCTTCCAAAACTGTAAGAAAATAAGTATCTGTTGTTCAAGCCACCCTGCCTGTGGTATTTTGCTCTAGCAGCCTGAGCAGACTACGACAACGATGGCACCCTTTGTCTCAAACAGGCCCAACTTAAAATTCTCTGCTATATTGATTTACAGCCTCTTCTGTCCCAAGATGTGAATTAGCGTAGGGCTTTCCAGAAATTTCTCATTCCCAAACTGACCTGCTCTCTGTTAATACTTTCCCTGCTACCTTTCAACTAATAAATGACATTGAGAATTTCTCCTTCTGCTGTATGCTTTCAGTTGTCAGCGACTTGCATTTTCTGTAGCCATCATTTAGATTTGAAAATAACATTTTCTAGCAATTTTGGATAGAGGCAATTTTTAGAGTAACCCAATGGAGAGTGTAAGCATTACCTCTATATATGCATGCCCAGGAAGGAAAGCTGGAACCAGCAAAAGGCTGTCCACAATCTGCATTTCCTAACATCACATAATACTCTCTGTATTAGAGTTCTCCAAAGAAACAGATTGAACAGGATATACACATACAAACACACACATACACATATATATAATCTCCAATTGTATGTGTGTGTGTGTGTGTGTGGTAAGAGAGAGAGAGGGAGAGAGAGAGATTTACAATGAGGAATTAGTTCATGTGATTATGGAGGCTGAGAAATCCCATGATGTGCCACCTGCTATCAGCAAACTGGAGACCCAGGAAGCCTGGTGGTCTAATTCCAGTCAGATAAAGAAGGTCGAAGAACCAGGGGAGCTCATAGTGTAAGTCTCAGCTCAAGGGCAGTAGAAGATCGACATCCCAGCTCATGCAGGTAGATAGAAAAAAAAGGGGGGTACATTCCTTTTTCCTCCACTTTTTTGTTCTACTCAGTCCCTCAATGGATTGGATGATGCCAGCCCAGCTTGGGGAGGGCTATCTACTTTATTGAGTCTACCAATTCAAATGCTAATTTTATTTGGAAACAACCTCACAGACACACTCAGAAATAATGTTGAATCTAAGCACCTTGCGGCACAATCAAGTTGACACTATTAAATTAACCATCACATTCTAAAACAGTCTTTGGGGATATTTATAAATATTGTTATAGAAGACTTTTTGGCTGGGCCTAGTGGCTCATGCCTGTAATCCCAGCACTTTAGGAGGCTGAGGTGGGCAGATCACTTGAGGTCAGGAGTTCGAGACCAGCCTGGCCAACATGGCAAAACTCTGTCTGTACTAAAAAATACAAAAATTAGCCGGGCATGGTGGTGTGCACCTGTAATCCCAGATACTCAGAAGGCTAAGGCAGGAGAATGGCTTGAATCCAGGAGGCAGAGGTTGCAATGAGCTGAAATTGTGCCACTGCACTCCAGCCTGGGTGACAGAGCGAGACTCTATCTCAAAAAAAAAAAGAAAAAAGAAGACTTTTTGGCATTGCATAGAATGAATCCAAATTTTAGTTCATGGTATTGAACAACATATGGCTAATACTCATCCTTGCATTCATTCAAAATAGCTAAAATGTTATAAGGCTAATGTCCTCCATCTCCCCAGAATGTGCAAAGCATTTTTATTCTTGATGTTTGTCTTTTATCACAATGCAAATGCCATCTTGAGCCCCAGTGCTCTCAGTTAGAGGCTGGGGATGTTTTCTTTAATCTATTCTGAAGGCTGATTTTTCAGATATTATGACAATGTTCTTTTGCTCTATGCTCTCCTCTTACTTTGGAAGCCAAGGCAATATTGTATTGGCAGAAAGAGTATGGATTTTGAAGTTAGATAGTGACATGGTTTGGATCTGTGTCTCCACCCAAATCTCATGTTCAATTGTAATCCCCAGTGTTGGAGGTGGGGCCTGGTGGGAGGTAATTGGATCATGTGGGTGGATGCTTCATGAATGGTTTAGCACCATCTCTTTGGTGCTGTTCTCATGATAGAGTTCTCAGGAAATCTGATTGTTTAAAAGTGTGTGGCACCTGTCCTCTTGCTCTGTCTTCCCTCTGCTCGGGCCATGCAAGATATACCCGCTTCCCCTTTGCCTTCTGCTATGACTGTATGTTTCGTGAGGCCTCGCCAGAAGCTGAGCAGGAGCTGGCCTGCAGAGCCATGAGCCAATTAAACCTCTTTTCTTTATAAATTACCCAGTCTTAGGTATTTTTTTATAGCAGTGTGAGAATTGACTAATACAGAGAGATTCTCAGCCTTGATGCTTACTTTCTTTGTGGAACCCACTTTTTTACTTACAAAGTGGAGATACTGATGCCTAGGTATTCTGTGCTCTTAGCAATGGTAAGACTAAGACATGTCTCTGGACGTTTTGGGGAAGCATATCAATCAGAGTTAAACTAGAGAAACAGAAACACTATGAGAGCTATAGAATAAAGCGTTTATTATGGGGATTCGACCTCATGCAATTGTAGGAGCAAGTACAGAAGTCTATTCAAGATTGTGACCACTATGTCTGATGTTGGGTCTGAGGTTGACATACTCAGCTAAGTTGGCAATTGGGAAAGAAGTCTTGGTATGAAGTAGAGGAGAAAAGGGCAAATTGGAACCCAGGAAGATGTATTGGAACCTGTATCTGTCTCTCTGGGCCTCCATCCTTCATAATGTGGGTGACTTGCAGGGAAAGCTAGTATATTGTGCCATGGAGCTGCACACATATCTGGCCCAGGACGTGGAAAAACTGAGAGAGGAAATCCGGTGGGAGCCAGAGGAGCTGTGAGCCCAATTACAACCCACACCCATACCCACAAGGTGAGCTAGCAGATCAGTGACAACTTGTGCAAGTCACTATAGTGCATGGCACCCTAAACCAGCCCTCAAAGACTGAAAATTAATGCTGCCTCACTGCTGTCTTCCAAATTTCAGGCAAGTTTCTCTTGTGGCTCATGCAAACCTGGAGCCCTGTGGGGAAAGGAATCATGGGGAAATGAGTTTCGGTTTAGTTACATTTACACAGTGCAATGCCACTACAGTAAATATTTTCATAGTTTCTTAGAGAAGTGGAAATGGATTTATTACAAAAAGCTCTGTGGTTAAATTTCTGTATTTTGTGTGTGTGTGAGAGAGAGAGAGAAAGAGAGAACATGAATATCTGTGATTCTACTAGTTTGTCAATAGCAGCACCTTGGTCATCTTCCTGATGCCCGTGTGTATTGTTAGAAAAACAAAAACAGTTTAACATGCAGGCACCAAATGATATTCTTTCTGGACAAACCAGAGAAGTAAATAATCTGTCAGAAAACTTCCTGAACCAAACCTATTCCTGTCTGGATATACCATGCATTATTCTACACATACAGAGTTCCATACAGTGGAAACTGGATTCTAGAGCAAAATGTCAACAGCACATGACACTTGTCCAATAAATGTTAGCTGATTCAATAGAAAAAAGGGCAAACGCTTAATGCTGCCTTCTAGTTATTAGCACATAACCACATCCAAACCTGGAATTTGTTAATTAATGCAACTTATATTTATTTTAGTTTCTTAATATAAAAATGCTCAATGTGAAAAAGCAATGTGTGAGTTACTCTATCATATGATAATAAGTTATGGAGAATATTATTAGCAATCAAATGGCTTTAATCATGTGGAGAGATGTGCACAGAAACTAATAAAAATGTATTTCTAAATCTACTAGTATGCAATCTCCCCTCGCTTGTCAATATTTTAGAATGTCACCTTGAAAACTTTTAAACACATTAAAATTTATTTAATTTTAAAAGGGGCAATACATTTTAAAATTAGGTTAAATTATAGTCATGCACAGCATAACAATCTTTTGATCAGTGTTGGATCACGTAGACAGTGGTACCATAAGATTATAATGGAGTTGACAAATTCCTTTTGCCTAGTGATGTAGCCATCATAACGTCATAGCACAACACATTACTCATGTGTTTGTAGTGATACTTGTGTAAACACACCAACTATACTGTCAGTTAAATAAACATAGAGCACACACAATTATGTACAATACGTAGTACCTTATAGTGCTAATAAATGACTATGTTACAGGTTTATATATTTACTATAGTTTCTATTGTTACTTTAGAGTGCACTGCTTCTACTTATATATTAAAAAGTTTAACTGTAAAACAGCTCAGGCAGGTCCTTTTGGAGGTGTTCCAGAAGAAGTCATTGCTATAATAGGAGAGGACATCTTCATGTGTGTTATTGTCCCTGAAGACCTTCTAATGTGACAAGATGTAGAGGTGGAAGACAGTGATATTGATGATCCTGAACTTGTGTAGGCCTAATGTGTATGTCTGTGTCTTTGTTTTTACCAAAAAAGTTTACAAAGTAAAAATTAAAACATTTTTAAACATAGTAAAAAAGCTTATAGAACAAGCATATAAAAAAAGAAAATACTTTTGTACAGCTATCCAAAGTGTTTGTGTTTTAAGCTAAATGTTGTTACAAAAGGGTCAGAAAGTTTAAAACAATTAAGTGGTTTGTTTTGTTTTGCTTTTTAGAGATGGTTCTTGCCATGTTGTGCTGGCTGGACTCGAACTCCTGGATTCAAGCAATCCTCCTGCGGACTCAGATGATCCTTCTGCCTCAGCTTCCTGAGTAGCTGGGGTAAAGCTTATAAAGTAAAAACTTTGAGTAAGCTAAAATCAATTTATGATTGAAAATAATATTTTTAATAAATATAGTGTAGCCTAAGTGTACAGTGTTTATAGAGTCTACAGTAGTGTACAGTAATGTCCTAGGCCTTTACGTTCACCCACTATTCACTCATTGACTCACCCAGAGCAACTTCCACTCTTGAGACAGAGTCTCTGTTGCCCAGGCTGGAGCGCAATGGCATGATCTCAGCTCACTGCAACCTCCGCCTCCCAGGTTCAAGCAATTCTCCTGCCTCAGCCCTACTAGTAGCTGGGACTGCAGGCACGCACCACCATGCCTGGCTAATTTTTGATTTTTTAGTAGAGACGGGGTTTCCCCATATTGGCCAGGATAGTCTTGTGGTTGTGATCCGCCCACCTCGACCTCCCAAAGTGTTGGGATTACAGGCGTGAGCCACCGTGCTTGGCCACAACTTCCACTCTTGCAAGCTTCATTCATGATAAGTGCCCTATCCAGGTGTGCCATTTTTTATCTTTTACACCAGCAGTCCCCAACATATTTGGCATCAGGGACCGATTTCGTGGAAGACAATTTTTCTACGGATGGGGGTGGGAGATGTTTTCATCCGGCATTAGATTCTCATAAGGCGCGCAACCTAGATCCCTGCATGCGCAGTTCACAACAGGGTTCGTGCTCCTATGAAAATTTAAGCTACCGCTGATCTGATAGGAGATGGAGCTCAGGCGGTAATGCTCACTCGCCCACCATTCACCTCCTGTTGTGCAGCCCAGTTCCTAAGAGGCCATGGACCGGTAGTGGCTATAGAGGTAACATGCTATATATAGAGGTTTGTAGCCTAGGAGCAGTAGGCTATAGTGTATAGCCTAGGTGTGTAGTAGGCTATGCTATCTAGGTTTGTGTAAGTCACTCTATGATGTTTGCACAACCAAATAACCTAGTGACACATTTCTCAGAAGGTATCTTTGTCATTAAGCGATGCATGACTGTATATAAAAGTATACAGTAAAAATTCCCATGCAATTCCCCATCTGCTCATGTTCTTCCTCTCTTCCCAACATAGATAACCACGGTTATTAGTTTTTCCTATATCCTTCCAGACGCTATTATCCATATATGAGCCAGTACAAACACAACCATCTCACCCCCAACCTTATCAACCTTATTATGCAAATAGTAGAAGAGGTTTTATTGATTTCTTCATTTAACCCATTTTGGGGTTCTTTCCATATCAGTACGTAAAGAATTTCCCCAGCCTTTTCTTTAGCTGCCTAGAATTCCATTGTATGTATATTCAGTGATTTATACATTCAAATTTTATCTTTTAATTTCAACTCTCTGGAGATGGCTTTTGGCATCCCCCTCCATACCTTCTGGAAATAACTGCCATCCAGCAACTGGTAATTCTTTCTCTGTTCAAAGAGCAACAACATAAATAATGCTGACCCTTGGATTTGAGCAGTTCTAGTGTTCTGCCCATTGAGTAGAGCCAAGACACACACACACACACACACACACACACACACACACACACACACTCTCATCAGCAAGCTGCCTGTGCTCCCCTCAGCCAGGCTCTGGCTGTCAGTGAGCATGACAATGCTCCAAGCTTCCGTCTAGAGCTGAGCTTTGAGCCTGTGCAATGGGCCACTGCGTTTAGCTGTAAATGAGTGTGCCAGGCCCACTGCCACAGGCACTCCATTTGCCCCAGAGCCCAAGGCTGGCCCGCCCCAAGCAGCTCCTCTCCCAAGGCAGAGCTCCCTTCCTGGTCATAATGGACTCCTGAGTCCATGTGCTTGATTGAGTTCTTCTTAATTACATCCATTGATGTTGAAAAACACTCAGACCAAGAAAGAGACCAAAGAGACTGTGGGCACTTGTAGCTGCCAAACAGGCAGGTTTTCATACCATGGCCACTGGAGAGCTGCATAAAGGCCAGATGGTAAGTCACAGCATATGCTCCTGCAGAGGACAGCCTGAAGACACTCTGTGTGTAGACAGCCTGGAGCAGAAACGCCACCTGGGAAGCCCTGGGAACACAAAAGGATCAAAGCGGAGCGCACTGGCGCTGAGTCCTGGAGTCACTCCAGGGGAGTCGGCAGCCCCAGGTGGCTGCCTCCAGAGGGCCTGACTGTGCCTTCCTGGGGCCAGGACCTTTTTCTCCAGTGCTGGTGCTCTTGATACTTGAGATATGCCCTCTACTCACGGGCACACCTGAACACCAACATGCACTCACCTTCTGTGTGAAATACACGTCATTTCTGAGGAATTTATCAGGGCCAGAAAGGACTGACACTCTCTGCTTTTAAGTAAGTCAATAAAAGTCGCATTTGGTTGTTAAAGGATTCATCCCAGGTCTTTCACATAGGTCCTCGGTAACAGTAATTTGGTTTCCAAACCGAAATAAATGTGTGTGTGTGTGTGTGTGTGTGTGTGTGTGTGTGTTCAGCTTTTGCAGTTTCACATGCCCATTTAAATGGAGAAGACTCCTACAGTCATTTCTGGTGGTTTGGCCATAAAACCCTCGGGTTTAGAAATGCTCTTGTTTAGCATTCTAAGATGTAGTTGCCTTACTCATACTAATTATGATAACAGCTAACACTTCCTGATTACTCACTTGGGGCCTATCACTTTGCTAAGCACCTTGCATCCATTATCTCATGTAATCCCCATCAACAACCCTGTGATGTAGGTCCTATTATTATCCAAGTTTTACAGATGAAGAAGATGAGAATCAGAGAGGCTACATGACTTATCCAATGTCACACAGCACATCCAAAGGGGACCTGAGTTGTCTGTCTCAGGAGCCACTATTGTCATCACAAAAAATTCATTCTGGAGCCTAGTTTTTGTCATAGATTGTTTAACAAACTATGGGGCTTCCTGAATGTGCTGAGTGTCAGGGGAGAGAAAAATTTTTCTTTGGGTTTAGCCATCTATCCATTGTAGAATTCTGCCTTTAAATTATATTCCACCTATGCACATCAGCCTTTCTTCTGCTTCTTTCGTCTAAAATAATGAAAACGTCGGTTAAGACTTCGAATAGATTCCATTTTAAAGGTATATTTGCACTGTACTCAGGAGTCTTCAGGCTGAGAAATCTTCCCAGTTTCATAGGGAAGAGTCCTGGTTCCCAGCTCTGTGCTTGGCTTTGGCTAGAGAAATACATTCATTCCTCCGTATTACAGTGGATTGTCTCTGACTCTCTTTTCCCTGTGAGCTATTGGAGAGCAGGAACCATGCAACATCCATCTTTGCATTTTCTGCATCTGGCATACAGCCCTGGCTCAGTAAATAACTGAAAGGTATTGATCATACCAGCGTCAGGGTAGAGATGAGATAAATCAGCTTGCCTCTTCCCCTGGTTGTTACATATGCACGAGGGGTCTCTAAGAGGCCTGGAGAGCCAAGCCAAGTTCTACCAAATCCCTCTTTCTAGGACTTGTTGCTCTGTGCTTGGGAGGCTGGGTTCCTTTGCCTGGCTTGGAACCACCCAGCTGATATCAGGGGATCCTTAATAGCTTCATCATAAGGAAATGTGGTGCCCCAGAGAACTCCATCAATGGCAAACTATGGAATTTGAGACCACCATGGTCTTTACTTTCCCTATTCTTCCTCTATTGTGGCTACAAGGTGAAGGCGGGGATACCATTTCCGAATGTAATGAAAGGTTTTAATAGCTAGGCTTTGCTGATTTAAAAAATGCCACATTTTCCTTATCTTTCTCAACAAAACGAAGATCAGTTATATCCTACCTCCAGGTTAGTTGCTTTTGTACAAATTTTAGGTTAAGTTAGGGATTGGTGAAAATTTTTCAGGAACTTTTGGAAAAACTATGAAGTTTGGATTTCAGGCATGTCCAATTATTTTCCAGAGTGAACAAATTTTTTTTTAGATTATCTACAATGTATCACTCCCAATCACCTTGTCAGAAATCAGAATGATTCAAATGCTAGTCTTATTTTTAATTTTTGTGGGTACATAGTAGGTATATATATTTATGGGGTACATGAGATGTTTTGATACAGGCATGCAATGTGAAATAAGTATATCAGAACATCACGGAGAATGGGGTATTTATCCCCTCAAGCATTTATCCATTGAGTTGCAAACAATCCAGTCACACTGTTTAAGTTATTTAAAAATGTAAAGTTACATTATTATTGACGATAGTCACCCTGTTGTGCTATGATATAGTACGCCTTATTCATTCTTTCTAACTTTTTTGTACCCATTCAAACGCTATTTCTACATGTCACCAGGAAAGCCCTAGAGTAGCATATCTACTAACAGGATTTCTAAGAGAGAATAATCTTGGGTGGATGGAATCATCTTATGCTATCTTCCTCTTCCCATTACTCAATGGCTGAGTCTTAACCTGAAAAACTCTCACACTCATGCTTCAAAACCCAACTTAAATGCCACCTCCTCTAAGGAGTCTTCCCTGACTCCACCAGACACTATTAGATGATCCCACCTCTGTGTCTGTAGAAGAGTTTGTGTGTTCACCTTTCACAGCACTTGCTATTAATATATTACATTGTATGTGCTTTTCTCCCTGAGTGAACTATGAACTCCCTAGTTATTTTTATTGTTTCAAAGTTTTAAATGATAAAGGATTACATGCTCATGATAAAAAAAAAAAAAAAAGAGGGAAGAGGAAAAGGAGAAGGATGTAGAATAAGTGCTTTTCTCTCCCAACAAAGACCTTTAATATTTCTCAGAAGCAAACTCTCCCAAAAGTTTTTTGTGCATCTTCCTGAATTCATCTAGGTAAGTACAAATATAAATACAGAAATGCATTCCTTTTTCTTTAAAAAATAACATACATAGAACAATTCTCAATCACCATGATATTCTGGCACAGACACAGGGCTAAAACTACAATAGGTGATCAATTAACATATATTGACTTGAACTGGGGCCTCTGCTCTCCCAGCTGAACTACCCAAGGGAGTGAAGTTACCTGGGATCTAGATAGTACCTCAACTGTTTCCTCTCCCCACAACCCCCAATCAGATACCAGGGAGATAAAACTCAAGGCAGTCAATTTTCCTACCTAGAAGCAGGAGCTTAGTAAAAAGACAAGAGAAGATGTATACTCATGGCTAAAATATGCATTGGTTTCAATCTTCTTTACTGCTGTATCCATTAAGTGTTCCAGATAATAGAGAACTGATTGTATCCTTGAAAACTGGACTGATGGTAAGGATTATTTGCTGTAAACTCAGGAATATACAGATTGCAAAGTGAAGTATGTCCTTTGTTTAGTTTACATATTAATAAGAACATTGTTAATTCCTTTTATTATTTATATTTTAAAGACTGCAGTGTTGTGCTGGTTGATTCTGTCATTTCAGTTTTTGTCTTTTTCTTTTCCATCTCAGTATCCCCAGCAGAATCATAACTTTTCACAGAGGCATCTAATTTCTTAACCTTAAAGCAGAAGAGAAACGTCTTTCAAATTTTCCTATGACGGTCAAGGAGTGGGGGTTGTGGAATGTATATACTTAGATGAATTAAACTCAGACCTTCTCCGGTTGGATGTTTGAGCCGCCCAGACAAAGATGAAGATTAACACAGTTTAAGGATGAAATATAGACCATCCTGTGCAAAACCACCGTGTTGCAGTTTAATTAAAAGAATTCATTAAAGTGGTGCCCCATCCAGGGTAATTAGTATGCGTAATTTATGCGTTGCCTAATACACAAGGGCAGTAGCCTGAATAATAAACTCAAGTTAACCTTAAGTGAAAGAGATCGAATGGTCAGATGTTTATTTAGCTCAGGTTTGCTCACGAGTTAAGGTTAAAGAGGTGAAATTCAGTTACAGTTAATTAATTAATTTCTCAGATTTTCTTCATGAAAATCTTGCTGGCTCAATTGGGTAAAAGTTTTGTCAAAGGCAGACAGCACTATTTTTATTCATCAGCTATTTTCTACCCTGTCCTCCAGCAAGTTAGTAACCATTTGAAAGAACACATTTAAGGGAACTGCAAAGAGAGAGAAAATACGAACACATCAAACCAACCCAAACAAACCCCAAGATAGGAGCAGATCTGTGATCTGTGCTTGCAGACAAAAATCAAAACCAGGACAGATTTAAGGAGGACATCATTATCAAAATGTTGGGACTGACTAGGATAATGTCCAGGTTTTTTTCAATTGTGAACCACATGTTTGAGAATTCATTTAAGTATTTGAGCTGCATGAGTTTTTGTTGACAACAATGGAAAGCGTCCATGCCTGGCGTGTGCATAACATGTCGCAAATATGAACCAGTGGTTATTCAAGTTCCCTCTATTCCTTTGGTTAGAAATACTTTATCATGCCCCAATTCTGTGATGTAATTTTCATGGAATTAAACTTGAAGAGTTCAAAATTATGCAATTAATTGTATTCAGCTTCAATTATAATGACTTATTAATCAAGTCCTTTGGCAAGACACCTGGCACTCTATACAGTGGTTGTGGTGGGAAGCAGCTAGGCCTGAGGAACTTATTGGTTCATGTGAGCAAGCTAATTAGGTGAATTGTTGATTGATTGATTGCTTTATTGGTGGCTGCATGTAGGTAAGAGTGCTGAGGTGTAGAAGCTGGGATAAGTCAGGAAAGATCTAACTTAATTTGTACTGGAAAGACTGAAGGCTGTAATAAAATCATCTGATATTTATTGAGCACCAATTATGGGCAAGGCAGTGGGTTCGTCTCTGGGCTTCCATATTAAATTGAAGTATAAGACAGAGGTGTCTGGCCGGGCGCAGTGGCTCATGCCTGTAATCCCAGCACTTTGGGAGGCCGAGGCAGGTGGATAATGAGGTCAGGAGATCGAGACCATCCTGACTAACATGGTGAAACCCTGGCTCTACTAAAAATACAAAAAATTAGCCAGGCGTGGTGGCGGGTGCCTGCAGTCCCAGGTACTCGGGAGGCTGAGGCAGGAGAATGGTGTGAACCTGGGAGGCGGAGCTTGCAGTGAACCGAGATGGCGCCACTGCATTCCAGCCGGGGCGACAGAGCCAGACTCCGTCTCAAAAAAAAAAAAAAAAAAAAAAAAACCACACACACAGAGGTGTCCTTCCCTCACTCTCACCTTGACCTCCCAGGATGCTAAGACAGAAGCACAAGCAAATACAAACAGCCACACAGAGTTACATGAGCACTAAGTAATGAACTCCATTTACTGAAGAGCATTTCTACTTTATAGAACTGCCTTTCCTCCATTCCATATCGTTCCAGTGGGCTTCCAATCACCCCCACCCATCTGCCCACATGTTGGGCACCTGACCCAGGTTAGGTCAATCAGATCTTTTGTAAATTTGGATCTTGAGTGGAGACAGACAAGGTGGGGGGAGGCAGTTGGCACTGTCACCCAGTGGCTGCCGCCAAGGAGCTGCTGGGATTCCTGGGGCTGCCATGGTTCCTTCCCAAAAAGTGGTTTTCAGCTCTTCTCTTTTGTGATCTTAACGGTGTCTCGGAAAAATCCTATTTGCTGTTTGTCAGCCAGAGTTAGTTCCTGAGGCACGAAATCGAAGACTCCTGATAAAGACAACGAATGATCCCGAATTTGAGAGATGAAAGCCCTTCCTTATTAATGTAATAGTTGGAGTGGTGCTGAGGAATAGTGTAGAGAAATGGCCAGATGCACTGGATTCTGGTCTGGGTTGCTGAATACTTGCTGTCTACAAAGTACTGAGCATTCAGAATATGCAACCTTGCAGATACACAACAAATATCCCCATTTTATAGATGGAGGAACTGAGGCTCGGGTAAGCTCTAAAACTTACCCGAGGCCGCAATGCTAGCAAGTAGCAAAGCTGAGATTTGAACCTAGGACTTTCTGACCTCAAAGCCTGTGGTTCTCTAGCTTGTGGCCTTGGGCAAACCATTTAGCCCCTATGGCTGCAGGTTCCTTAGTGGTAAAATGTGGATGACACCAGCTGCCCTGACTCCCCCACAGAGCTGTTGTGAGGATCAAAGGGGAGAATGTCTGTGAAAGCACTTTAAAGCCTGTGACACTCTCCAAATACTTGTAAAGGCTTGTAATTGTTAGGCGGAGCTCCAGCTAGGATGGGCAAGATTCTGAGAGGTGACAAAGGAGAGGTGGGTACAGGGTATGATCACAGACACTGGATGCTGGGGGGAACTGGGGACATCTTGGTATATAAAGAGTCACTAGGGAGGTTGGGGCCAGCAGCTGGAGGGCAGCAGAATTTGATTTACCCATCCAGAACACTTAATACTGGAGCCTGGGGAGCTCAAAGTTTGAAATAGATGGTTTGAAGCCCAACAAAAGGAAGTGCTACTTTGCAGATAGTGAGTAAAGGAAAGTTCTCATCTTGAAGAGGTCAAGGTGTTTGCACATAAGTCCGTCATTTCATCAAGTCTTTACCAAAACCTTAGGAAGTTTGTGTCATCCCCATTTCACAGCTGAGATTCTGAAGCTCAGCAGAATGAAGAAAACTGCCTAACATCTGAGTAGAAAATACAGGAGCAGACTTAAAACCCTAGCCTTACTGAGCTTTCCACATAGTCTCTAGCTTCTTCTGATTCTCCCTCCCACCTCCTCTCCTCACCCACAACTCATTAGCTGGAAAGAAAATGTAGACGTCCTAGTCTCACTGAATGAATATGCTGTGTGGCTTTAGATTAATCATGTAAACTCTCTGAACTGTAGGTTTCCCCATTTGTATGACGATCTGGTTGAACTCTAAAATATTCTGCAAGCATTATCTCCCCTGAGGCCTTACTCAGGGGAAAAACAAAACAAAACAAAACAAAAAAAACCTTTCGTATGCATAAATCTCTACCCTTGAAGATCCAGCCCCCGGTGCTCCTCAGCTGCATCCTAAACCACAGGTGGTAGAGTTTTATAGAGCTGGTTGCATCACCCAAAGGAAACTTCCTGTAGCTTTTGCAGTAGCCTGAAAAGAAACCATAGGTCCAATACATTGCTTTCACCGATGATAGTTTTACTGATCACATCAGTACCTTAGTTTGGGGTGATCTGAATGTGTTTCCCTTATTAGGAGACAATAAGTCTCCTAATCCATCTGACGTTCTTCATCTGGGGAGACATTGCCCTTCTTGTTTTTTTTTTGTTGTTGTTGTTTTATGAGACAGAGTTTCACTCTTGTCGCCCAGGCCGGAACGCAGTTGCAACCTCCACCTCCTAGGTTCAAGTGATTCTCCTGCCTCAGCCTCCTAAGTAGCTGGAATTACAGGCGCCTACCACCATGCCTGGCTAATTTTTGTATTTTTAGTAGAGATGGGGCTTCGCCATGTTGGCCAGGCTGGTCTCAAACTCCTGACCTCAGGCGATCTGCCCACCTTGGCCTCCCAAAATGCTGGGATGACAGGTGTGAGCCACGGTGCCCAGCCTGACATTGCCCTTCTAGTTTTACCATTTGTCCCTTTGCCCTGTTGCCCATTTCTCCTTGGAGACTAGAACATGTTAGCCTCTCAAGGATAATAATGGACAAATGGACAGGAATGAAAATAATTACCCAAAATTGGAGGTGATAACTTCATGTTCAATAGCAAAAGTTCCTACTAAGGATCTATTTGCACGACCACCCTTGGCAGAATTACTGTATGCAGAGATGACTTTATCCCATCCTAAAATCACAAAAAGCACTGTCACCTTAAAAAGCATCACTGTAAGCAAGCTCACAGTGTTTAGTTTTGAGAGCAGTATCTCACCGACAGTGTTTTTATTGTCATTTTCTGTTCCTTTTGCGTAAGATTGTAAACCGCATGAAGGCAGAGGCTCTTGTTTCTTGTTCACTAGAGTAGTGCCTGACCCATAGGAGACAATATATATTTGTTGATTTTTCCAACTTTCACTCATACAAGATTGTTAAAACAACTAGAGACTTATGAATTTCAAAAGTGATCCAGGCGTGAGGGAGATAAGGGAAAAGCGTCCTGTTTTCCGGTTCAGTTATGTCTATGATTACACCAAAGCAAGGGGCCCCACACCATCACAGCACACACAGCATGGGCTTTGGGTTCAGACTACAGCTGCATTCCAGCTCCTTCACTGATTAACTGCAAGGCCTTGGACAAGTCACTAAATCTCACTGAGTCTCGATTTTTCATGTACAAGGTGGGTAACAATAGACAGGACTGTTCTGGGGAATAATTGAGATGCTTTCTTTGAGAGCCAACTATCTAACAAAATGCCTGGCACTCTAACAATCGGTTCTCACTCTCCTACAGTCCAAGTTGTGGCGTCCAATAAAGTGGCCACTAGACACATGTGGCTATGGAGCACTTGAATGAGACTACCGCGGCTGAGGAATTACAATTTTAATTGTATTTAATTTTAATTAAATTTAAACACTGAAGAATCGTAAAATTTTTTTCCCTCTTCAATACCATTTTATCTTATTTTGATAAGACAGCATTTCAGCTTACCCATTGCATTGCATAAGGCATCGTTATGATGCTGTAGTGCATGTATGGGACACCAGCATTTTTTCTAATATTATTCACAAACACATCACTGATTGAATCAGTGGACAGATTGACTCCATTCAAATGATTATCTTCTATGCACTAATATAACAGTATAATGCATTTATTTGGATATTTCAGGCAGACAGCTCCAGTTATAGCAATTCCTATGTAAACTGTAATTGGTAATTAAATTGAAATACTTAGTTTAATTATAATATAATTAAATTATGTTTCTAGTTAGAAAAAATAAGTATGGGCAAATTTTCAAATTTAAAATGAAGGCGTACTACGGATATGGAATTGAGTGGAGATGCAGAAGCTAGTCCCAAGACCCGAACAGTAAAGAATAAAAGAGACTGGAAGAAGGTGTGTTCCAAATCTCACAACATATGGCAATTGCAGTTGGCTGCCACAGAGTCAAACAAAAAAGCTGTTAAGAAAAAAAAAAAAAAAAAGGATAATAACGCGGACAATATTAAAAGCTATTTAAAGCAAACGCACATTGAATTTGATAAGAGCTTTCTCTCAATAACTAAAAAAGAATTGAAGAAATTAGTCACCTGCAATCAGTATTAAATGTCCAACAAAAATGTCTTAAGCAATTCTTGACAAGATCTGATCTTGTAACGCTGGTCAGGTATAAAATGGCTTGAATTCTTTCACAAAAATCCAAACTAAACCAAACCCAAACCCACATGTTTAGATGGAGAGATGGTAAAAGAAATCATTTCAGTTGTGGAAATTTTTTTAGAAAATTATGAGGAAAAGACTAAAAGATATTTTACAAAAGCAAAATTTCAATTAAGCCATCAAACAAGTGACTGTAGAATGAAAGACTAACAATGTCAATGATCAACTGACTCAAAATGTGAAAAATGAGAAGGTACTTTTTTTTTTAAAGCTTTAGACAAGCCATATAGAATAAGAGACTGTGCCCAGTTAATACGGGACACCTTTGGTTACATTTTTGTTTAAAAACACTTTCAAATTTACTTAGAAATGGTGTCTCCGACCTAAAGAAAAAAATCAACTCAATGTGTAGATAGCTTTAAATATTTTAGATATGTCAAAGAAGAGTTTCAACTAGATAAGAAAAAAAATCCAGTTTTATCAACAAGACAGATGATGGCCCTGCTATGTTAGGTCAAAAATCTAGATTTATCAGAATTTTAAAACAAGAGACAGATTTTTCCCTTATTGCTTCACTCCATTGTGTGACACACACTGAAAATATTTGTGCTAAATTTTTTTTAATGAAAAGTATCACGGACACAGCTGTTAAAAATCATTCAGTATGTACATGTTGTAAACCACAAGTGTATGGAACTATTGAAAGAAATAGAAAAATGATATATTTAATGATCATGTACTCTTTACTAATGTTGACTGCTTAAGAGTTGTGGAAGAGTTTTATAAAGATTTACAATACTAGTAACCCCAGTTTAAGATTGTCTTGAAACTAAAAGAATAATTAAAGTAAAAAAAAAAATGGCAGCATGATTTATGGTTTCTCAACTATATCAGACTGCGTACAAATGATCTAAACGTTAAGTTCTAAAGAAAGCAAAAAGAATTTATATTGAAATATAAATTCTTCATAAAGCAAATTAGTGATGTTTTTACACATTTTTTAAAAGCATGAATTGAGATGCATATTTTAATTGTAATCAACTGTTAGGTAAATTGGCAGCAAAAATTACAAGAAAAACGTGAACATCACTATGTTTATATTGATAAATTTAGAATTGCTTTTCAACTTATGCAATACTCTTTTGAAATCAATGTTAATATTACGAGTTGATATAAGAATTAATTTATTTAACTTGGACAGATGTAGTTTTAAAATTGATATGGTTTTTCTTCAGAGTCAAATTAATTATTTGAAGCAAACACATGAACCAGTTTTAGAAATAAAAATGCAAACACTAAGGGAAAAATGTTTTGGTACAAGATTCAGTTATTGGAAAATTTTTAAGTACGTTTGGAACAACTTGAATATGTGAATCCACTTTTTCAATTGTAAATTTTATAAAATCTAAGTATCGTTCAGGTATTTCTGATGAAACTTTAACAACTGAATTGAGATGTAGCTAAGTATAAAACAGACAGTGGAGTTCCAAGACTCACTATGAAGAAAATAATGTAAAATATCTCGTTAATCATTTTTATTTTATATATATATATATTTTATACTTTAAGTTCTAGGGTACATGTGCTTATCAGATGTTGAGATGATCATAGTTAGGATATATTGGGTTAAATCAAATACAATATTAAAATTAATTTTCTTATTTCCTTTTTACTTACTTTAATGCTGCTTCCAAAAACTAAATTATGTATGTGACCTGAATTAGATTTAAATTGGACAGTGGGAGTCTGTAGGTACGAACACTATGCCACATATAGGGCTACCTCCCCCACCACCTCAAAGGCTCCAAGATTTCTTCTTCACAGTGTTCCATCTGAGTCTGCGATTTCCTGTGTGAAAAGGACAAGTCCTGTCCTGCCAATTTAACCTCACTCCATATTTACCCATTTGCTTTTTAAAAATAAGTATACCGTAATTCTGTAATAATTTTCAAGTTTTGTTTTTATTTTCTTCAAAATTAGATTTTCACATAATTTATAGAATCAAACAATTCTATGAGACTTAATCCAAAAAGATTATCCTACTATTCAACCCTCGACCACCACCTATTCTCTTTTTCAATAGCAACCAGTTTCAATTATTTTAGCTGTTTCTTTGTTATTTACCTCCATATATAAAAATAACAGCCTTGTGTTTCCTACCTTTTGAATTTTCAATTTTAGGTATCATATAGGGAAAATAAGGATTTAGCTCTTATTCATGATCTCCCATTCCTTTATCACAGACCACTACACCACCATTACTACCACCCACATTCACACCGTCTCATGATCCCTTCAATATAATTGTATCATACTTCTGTTTAGATTAATACTGTGTTTCCATTAGTATGACAATTTCAACATTATTCATAGCATTGAACCTATAGATATGAACGATATAGATATAGTATAATATCTTTACTTTTCCTTTCTTGCACAATTTTGTTCTTCCTAAAGTAATGCTTTTTTTGTTGTTGTTTAGTTTTCTATTTGTTACTAATTCAGCCTCTATTTTCCCCTAATAACCTCAAATCTTTCCTCTCTGTATTCAGACACACCAGGTTGTTCTATCGTTTTCTTTACTTGGATTAATCTCTCCTGGCATCTTCTGACCTGCCCCACTATAGGCCTGTTTCACACTCTATTCCTGGGAATTCATTTCACCAAAGTTTTGAGAATTTCTTTGACTTCTTTCTTCTTGGATCCAGTGTCTTTATGCTTTTATTCTTGTGCAGCACATTACCTACTAGCTAGCTTCCTGGGAAAAGGTACATGAGATGTAATTTTTGTGAGCTCCTGAAAGCCCATATTTTCTTTGGTCTACAGCCCTTCTTTATTGATAGTTTAGTTGGGTATAGAAATCTAATGGGAAAATATATTTGCTCAGGATTTTAAAAGATATTGCTCGATTGTTTTCTAGCATCTGGTGGTGGTGTGAAATCTGATCCTTGATTCTTCATATGGGGCTTGTTTTATTTTTCTCTCTCTCTTTCTCTCTGAAAGCTTATAGATTTTTTTTTCTTTATCCTATGTTCTGAAATTTCACAATGATATGCCGCATTGTCCTCCATTCTTTTCTGGAATTCATATTATTCAAATGTAGGATCTAATAAGGGGGAAGTAACGTAATTATCTTGTATTTTCTCTCATTTATTTGATCTTCATTTTTAAAGTTTTTTTTGGCTTTAAGAAAGATTTTCTCAACTTTATCTTATGAGCTTTCTATTGAATTTTATTTATATACTATACTTTTAAGTTTCAAAAGGTATGTCATGGTTGGAATGTTTTTGTCGCCTCCAAAACTCATGTTGAAAATTAATTCTCAATGTAACAGTGTTGGGAGATGGGGCCAAATGGGCAGAGCACTCATGAATGGATTAATTACTCTACAAAAAGAGTAAAAAGAGCTTCTGAGAGTGAGTCACCTCTCTTCTGCTCTTCTGCTATTTGAGAAATGGCATTCTTCCCCTCTGGAGGATGAAGACTCCAAGGTACCATCTTGGAATTGGAGACCAGGCCCTCCCAAGACACCAAACCTGTTAGCACCTTGAGCTTGGACTTCCCAGCCACCAGAACTATGAGAGAATTTATTTCCATTCTTTAGTAAATTATTCAGTCTCATTATTCTATTATAGCAGCACAAACAACCAAAACAAGTGTTCCTTGTTCTTTATTTTTTTTTCACAAAACTTCTTATTTCATGAATCCTTTTATATTTCAGAGGCTATTAATAATAGTTTCTTTTTTCTTTCTGAAGTCTGAAGTTTCATCTTCCTGCTTTGACTCTACTTCTTCCAAGTTTTGTTGTTTTCTGTTAGTTGTTTTGATTTCAGTCATTCATGTTATAGGCTTCCTTAGGTGTTTACTAGTTCATAGCTGTTTATTCATATTTAAAAATGGGATTTAAAAAAAAAACTGATTGGAAAATTTGTCCAAATGGGTGAGACCTGCTGACTGTGGTATTCTGACTGAGTCATTCATGTGGGGCAACCTTGATGCCAGTATCTTTTTTTTTTTTTTTTTTTTTGAGACAGAGTCTTGCTCTACTCACTCAGGCTGAAGTGCAGTGGTGTGATCTCAGCTCACTGCAACCTCTGTGTCCCGGGTTCAAGCGATTCTCCTGCCTTAGCCTCCCAAGTAGCTGGGATTATAGGCATGTGCTACCACGCCTGGCTAATTTTTGTATTTTTAGTAGAGACGGGGTTTTGCGATGTTGTCCAGGCTGGTCTTGAACTCCTGGCCTCAAGTGATCTGCCCACCTCAGCCTCCCAAAGTGCTGGAATTACAGGCATGAGCTACTGCACCAGGCCCAATGCCAGTATCTTTAGGACTTTTTTCTCTTAGATTAGTTGGATTTTTTTTTTTTGTCACAATTCATTTTTATTGATAGAAAATAAACACTTATTCCAGTTTCAAAGTTGTTATACTTGAAGTTGCTATTTTAAAAATATGAATTTTAGGGCTGGGCGCGGTGGCTCACGCCTGTAATTCCGCCGCTTTGGGAGGCCAAGGAGGGCGGATCACAAGGTCAGGAGATCGAGACCATCCAGACCAACATGGTGAAACCCCGTCTCTACTAAAAATACATAAAAAAATTAGCCGGGCGTGATGGTGGGCGCCTGTAGTCCTAGCTACTCGGGAGGCTGAGACAGGAGAATGGCGTGAACCTGGGAGGCGGAGCTTGCAGTGAGCCGAGATCGCACCACCGCACTCCAGCCTGGGCGACAGAGCGAGACTCCGTCTCAAAAAAAAAAAAAAAGAATTTTAAATAATCACTTAATAATCCTGCTTTCACTAAGACAGTAAAATGTGGCTTTAAAAAAAAGTATTCAGCACCATTTGCTTATAGATCTTTCAGAATTTGTTCTTAATGTTTCTGGAACTTTCCTGTCTGTAAAGTACAAGAATAAATGAGCTACATAAGAAAGCCTCTCTGGAACAGGCAATGGGAAGTTAAGCAGTCATCATAAAGGAATCAATGTACATTCTGTGTGGTGATTTGGACTACAAAACAGTCTCTTCCCTTCTATGGTAGCTCGAGAGAGACATGCTTCTAAGCACTGAGGTATGACGAGTCTCAGATTGTTATTTGCTGTTAGAATTGGTCTTCCCAGCTAGTAATAGTAAATCTCTGGCACAGGTGCTATTGGTCCTTAATGTCCTGTGATTTTAGGAAATTCTGTAAATAGTTTTGATTTAGTTCAATTCATTCAGAAATGAAGCATGTTTAATTAAGTTCACTACTCTGACAGAGTAAGGATATGTTGGTTTAGCATCCTTATAAAATATATGTAATGTGTAGGTAAATCATGGTCCCAAATCATACTTAGAACACTACTTTATTTAAACCAATATGTCTTTTAACAAAATGTTTATAATTAACAACAGCTGATGAAACTATATCCAAAGGTATAACAAAGGAGACTGAGCTCTGTGTTGCTTAAAGAACTTTTAAGCAGCCATTCAAGGAGAGGTAAAGAAACCCACTTCTCATTCTCATTGTAGAATTCCTATTGGGGCTGGACCAGAAATTAGCACTTCTAAATACTTCAGAAAAGTCCAAAGTGTTAAAAAGCCTTCTAGGCAAAAGAACGTCTTTCTGCATCAGTGAATAGCAGTGCTCATCAGAATTTCCTAATAACACAAAAACAAAGGCAAGTCTGTACATTTGATCAGATGTCAAAGAAATGGGAGGTAGACTATTATCTCAGCCTTAGTCAGAGCTCCTGCTGGCTTCTTCCTACATACTGTTCACCAATTTGAGTAAAGTGGACTTTGTGAGAGAATAGTGTTTGATGGCTAGGATGTCTTTTGGGCATTTCTTCCTAAGTGGAATACACAACATATAAGCGAGTAGGGGAAATAATAGAGGGAAGCTACTCTTTCCAGCTCAGAAGGAGTTGGTGATGCCAATATATGCATTAGAGAAGCCCATGGGATCCTCTAGCTGTGGATAGTGGCTAATACGGTCATCCAGAATTGACACTGTGGACTGCAGCAGCATTTTCCTGTACAGCTCCAAAAACTCTGGGTAGGGATTTACAGGATCCAATGGCCCATAGATAACAATGAATGGAGATAGTTTCAGAGGCAAGAGCTCCCACCTAGTGCTTTCTAAACTGCCTCCTCTGATTGATGTACTCTAAGAGACTGTCAGAGACGAATTCCTGTCATTATTGCGGACCCCTTTCCACATGTCCCACAGCTTATTTTCAGAGGGCTGAGTATATGGCCCAAAGACTGGCGTGAGACCTCGAGAGAATACAAAGAAGTTCATCAGCCGCGTGAGGATGGGTGACAGCACACCTCCATGTTTGAGTAGCTTTTGAAGAAGGAGTAGACAGTGAGTCTCAGAAAAGATATCTCCAGTTGACAGACAGATGCCACAAAAGCGCTTCCAGGATGCTGGCCTGCTCAAATATGGAATAGTGATATGGTCTCAGTTTGTTACTGAAGCCAAAGCCTAAGAAATCAAGGACAATCACTCAATGAAATCTCAAGGTCAGACTTTCCCACATCTTGTACCAATCATAGCTGGATGTTGGAAAGCCATGTAAAAGAACAACTATCTCTGGACTTCCAACCACATCCACAGAGTCTTGGTAGAAGATAGGCCATCCCTTATAAGTGAAAAACTTGCCTGAAGACTGCCATGAGTGAAGGGCAAGGGAGAGCTGAGGGGGTGGGATGTGCAGGTATGTGGCAAGCAGGGGCACTTTCAACAGACCCACCTTGACCCACCATCCCCTCATCCTGATTCAGGTTAAGACCTGGGCTGCAGGACTTCATGTTTGGGGAAATCAGTTGTGCATGCTGGTTAGTTGGATTTCTTAGTGTAGAGTCTTCTAATCTCCTGTCTAGAGGATCTAAAGCTGACTGCCAGCATTCTAGAAACAAAGCAAGTGAAAGGGTTGAAGAGGGAGAGGAGGGGTTTAAAAATTCAGCATGTACATTTTCACTAAATCTCTATCCTCAATTGTCCTAATGTCTCACAGCCCTCAGTCCTCTTACTAGAGAGAACAAACCTCAAAAATTCTGCTTAGGTGATACTAAGGCTATCATTCTAGTAAATGGAATTGGTAAGGAGATTCAAAATCTAACTGCTTTTTTTAAGTCTTTCTGTTTTTATCCTTTCTTCACCCCACTTCCAGAGGTATCCAATGTCATTAACTTCTGAGCCCTTTGACATTTCCATGCTACAAGTTTCTTCCTGGATTTTTCCACTGCTGGCATAAGATTCAACTTTTTCAAGTCTGCTGAATCAGTCATTGTCTTGTCTGGATTCCTCAAAAGCAGATCCTGAGACAAAGGCTGATGCGCAAAATGTTTATGTGTGGGTATGATCCTGAAACTTAGGAATGGGGGTGAGTCAAGAAAGGAGAAAGATAGAAGAATGCATTATACTGTTGGCCACAGCTTTGGGGCACTTGTATGTGAGTTGTCAACCAGGTTCCTCCAGGCATCCCGCCACTTGACATCAAAGAAGCCTAAGAGAGGCATTGTCAGTTTAGATTTCTATGAAGGTGTTTGAAGCATGCTGAAAACTGGCCTCTACAGTTATGGCTGGGACAAGAAGTGAGACTTAGAGGATTTGTTGGATTTGTGCTGAATCTACCATCAATCTATAGATTAGGTTAGGGTGAATGAGCATCTAAACAGTACTGAGTTGTGCAAAGCATTAACAAGGTGTGGGTGTGTGTGTATATATACATCTTTATTATTTAGGTCTTTTTTATTTCTCTTGGCAACATTCAGTATGTTTTGCACTTCTACAGGTATTGCGCTTCTATTGACCCACTTTTCCTTTGCCATGTCCAGTTTGCTGTTAAACACATTAAATAAATTCTTTGCTTCCAATATCAATTTTTTTATTTGTAAGATTTTCATTTGGTTCTTTTTAATAGTTTTTGGCTGTCTGCTTACATTCCCTATCTATTCATACATGTTTTTCACTAGACACTTTAACATATTTTTTTCTACTTATTTTAAAGTCCATGTCTGATAATTCCAACATTAAAATCATCTCTGGGTTGGCTTCTACTGACCTCTTTTAACATAAGTCATACCTTCTTACTTCTTCACATATCTCTTTAATTTTATGCTAGTAATTGTATATTAAAGAACAGTAGCTTAAAAAGTGCTAACATCAGCCAGGTGTGGTAGCTTGCACCTATAATCCTAACACTTTGGGAGGCTGAGGTGGGAGGACCATTTGAGCCCAGGAGTTCAAGACCAGCCTGGGCAACATAGTGAGACCCAATCTCTGTGAAAGAAAAAAAAGAAAATTTTAAGTGCTAATATTTACCTCGAGAAAAGGGCACACCTCTTTTGGGTCGGTCCATGAGTGTGGCAGGCTGAGTCAATTTAATCTGTAGTTGGACTTGGTTGCAGCTTTAGCTAGATTCACTCACCTTGGCTGCAAATATTTTGAGGAAGGGATTAGGACTTTCCCTCAAACTGGGCTTGGGATATGAGCACTGGAGAGACTCTAAAGATCTCTTTGTGCTTTATTGCCCAGCCCTCATGTTTTAGCTATGGGAGATTTGTATCAGCTTTAAGCCAGGCTGCCAACCTTTTGGGTTGCTGGACAACTCTCTTTGCTCTCCAGTTCAACTTCCAGCCTTTTGCTTCTCAGAAGACTCCTTTCTGCCTTTCTTTTCTGTCCCCAGGTATTGGAGAGCCTCTGCAGTGCATTCACAGTGGCTCAGATGGATATCATTCAGCTGTCTTGTCCTGCCCAAGGCTGGGAAAATTTGAAATGATGTACGAAAGATATCCAATATATTTACCACTGCCCTTCTGCTTTTAAGCCTTCAAAACTTTGCTACAATCATCTCCTTTCCTATATGCATTGTCCTTGTGGTTTCTTCTTCTTCTTCTCTTTTTTTTTTTTCTTTCAAACAAGGTCTCGCTCTGTCATCCAGGCTGGCATGCAGTGGTGCAATCTTGGCTCACCACAACCTCCACCCGCCCGGTTCAGGTGATTCTCCTGCCTCAGCCTCCCGAGTAGCTGACATCACAGGCGTGTGCCACCACACCTGGCTAATTTTTGTGTTTTTAGTAGAGACGGGGTTTCGCCATGTTGGCCAGGCTGGTTTATTCTTCTTAAACATGTATTTAATACCATAAATTAAACATATATTTAATAACTATTTTTGGAGGATACAGTTATATATGTGTGTTCAATTTATTCCCATTAATCCAACATCTTTCTATTTGCTGAGTCTTTTGTCGTTGTTCTTGTTAAGCCTTTGCATATTTACTTATAATTATGATGTATATTACTCCAAAACATCAGCCTCACTTCTATACTCTAATTCTTATCAATTCAGGTCCACAGAAATAAACCCAAGCCTTCAAAGTAATTCAGTCAATATATAACCTTTATAGCTATTTTAAGGGGTTTAGTTACCAAGGTGCTTAACCTTTAAAAAAAAAATGCCCTGTTGGATGGAGGAATGCATGCCTTTATTTAAGGTCCCACTCATTTCCTCACGCAACAAATTTCTATTTTCCACCTTCATTCTACCCCAACTTTAAAACAGAAACACAGAAAAACCAGCTATGATTGAGAGGAAACATGCACATTATCAACTATTTTTGCAAAAAAAAAAAAAAAAAAAACCAAACAAACAAAAAATCAGACTCTTTTCCTAAGCAAATGACAAGATCTAAGAGTGTTTTGCCAGAGTTCGGCGGTGCAATCACCAATCCCATATATTACAGCCAGAGACTGCTGGCAAACCCCATGAGCGGGTTAGGGGCAGTGACACTCAGAGGCTGACTCTGGACTTCTCAGCCTCTAACTGCAATTCCTAAAGTGGAAGACTCCTCTCTAACAAGCTCAGTCACTAAAAGTAGCCAATGCTCACAGTTCCTTCCACTCCTAGTGACTAGAACATCTCCACTGTCCCCCAAACTTACCAGCCTGTATTTAGACATCAGTCTCCTGATTCACTTATGTCATGTAATCTTCGAAACAATCTGCTTTTCCTCCGCTAGACACCACCATCCCCACAGTCCCCCACTTCACCCCATGCTAGCTCTGGACACCAGGCCCTTGCACATGTCAAATTACTGATGTGCATTTACCTTAGAAGTGGGAGTGACAGAACAACAGCACCAAGTGTCAATTTGTTAACGGAGACATGCTTGGTTGGCTCATTTTCCAAATGAAATTTGGTTCCACTTTAAAAGTCAAAGCTGTCATAAAAATGCCACAGACAATGAGGATTAATCTTACACTGTAGAAATTTTAGAAACTCTTCTTCAAAATTAGAATTAGGCTGTGTGCAGCTTAAAAAGGAAAAATAGGTCAAGGCACTTGCAAAAGGTTACCTATGAATGCATCCTCCCACGTTAAGTGCCTTTAACTCAATGTCCCTCGTTCAATCTAGTCCAAAGCAGAAGTGCCCATGACTCACCATATTAAGTGCAGCGTTTCTGATGTGTCCATCATTTTTGTGTCACTTCAGTGGAAGCCTTCAATTCCAATTTTACACTCTCAGTCCCCTCTGTATGGGAAGGCTGGTTGCAACAGACTACACCACTGCCTCTGCTCCCTCAAAATGCACCTCCTAAACCATGCTCCAAAGAAAACCTCTGTTACACTTTCTGAATCTTTAAAGAAATGATTCCACACCAATGTAGCAATAGATATTAAAGGACTCACCAGTCCCCTTTCAAGAGGATGAATATTACCCTCCGGGACTTGCCAGAGATTTGATGCAACAAGCAGTGGTAGGCTGGAGGAAAAAGATATGTTTCCTTTTTTTTTTTTTTCCTAAGCAAACCTTTTTGTGACACCCTCATATCTCATGGCCATCTTGTCAACCCAAACAACAGCTGGTCGTTTACATCTTTCATTTTATGCAGATTTATTGCATGCCCACTGAGTGTTGATGTGCTCAGTGCTGGGGATCCTGAGACCAATAAGACACATTATTTGACTGCTGGAACTTACCATCTAGTTGGGAAAGACATGAAGAAATTTAGGATGACACAAGGGACCTACGTATTTAGAATAATAGACAGACTGAAGAGGTGAGTGTGTGAAGAGAGGCTTCAGCATTCTGCTGCTAAATCTTTAAGAGCACAACCTTCAGAACGAGAGAAAAAGCTCTGATTTGTAGTTGCCAATTTCTGTGGTGTAAATATTCCCATGGCTGCTGATTCCAATGTGCTAACATGTCATCACTGAACAAGGAGTTGAGGAGAGATGCTAACCCTTTGCTCTTCCAAGCACATATAAACTGGCTTTAGCACTCCACAGAGGTTTTTCTGGAGATGACTCTGACTTCAGTCTTAAAAAATAAAAAGGTAGGCCGGGCACAGTGGCTTATGCCTGTAATCCCAGCATGTTGGGAGGCTGAGGCGGGCGGATCACCTGAGGTCAGGAGTTTGAGACCAGCCTGGTCAACATGGTGAAACCCTGTCTCTACTGAAAATGCAAAAATTAGCTGGGCATGGTGGTGGGCGCCTGTAATCCCAGCTACTCGGGAGGCTGAGGCAGGAGAATTGCTTGAATCCAGGAGACGGAGTTTGCAGTGAGCCAAGATCGTGCCATTGCACTCCAGCCTGGGCAACAGAGCAAGACTGTGTCTCAAAAATAAATAAATAATAAATAAATAAGAAGGTATTAATTGTCTGAGGTGGGGTGTACACAGAAGTGTAAAGAGCTGTCAAATTGGAGCAAAAACACTGGACAAAAGCATGCAGATGAGAAAAGTATGATAAGAGTGTAATTTGTGGGGCTAAAAGCAAATGAATATAGTAGGAGCCTATGTCGTATAATCTTCCAGGTAGGAAATGTCAGGAGACAAGATTGCAGAGCTGATATGGTAAATTGCATTTATGGCTTCAATTCCTTATCCTTCTCTGAATCTATATCCTTTGCCATGGAATTTGACTAAGCCCTCCTTCTCTGGCTCTGGGCTTGGCTATGGGACTTGCTTTGACCAACAGAATAAGGCAGAAGTGATAATATGCCTGATCCAAACCTAGATCTCCAGAGGACTTGTATACTTCCCTTTTCCCCACTTGTGTTTCTTCCATTGCCAGGTAAAGGACATGCCTGGGCTAGCCCACAACTTCCAGGAGAAGGATGTGAAACATGTGAAGCAGAGTTGCCCCCGCTAAGATGGTCCAGCCAAGCCCAGATTAGAGCCTCCAGCTGACATAGGGACACTTGAGCTATAATAATTAATGGTTGTTGGTTTTAGCTATGATTTTTAAGGTAGTTTGTTAACACAGCAGTAAGTAACCAATACAATTGGGCTGGGGCTAGGATGTGGAAAGCCTTTTATAACTTGCTGTTGACCTAGGACTTCATCCTACGGGCAAGGAATCCACGAAGCAGCATCCAGCAGGGTATTGATACAGCCAAACTTGCAGCAAGATGGAGAATAAATTGATGGTAAGTAGCTTGCAGGAGGCCTGAGCATATGATAAAACACAGTTAAAAGAGTATAACTCTTTGATCTAGCTTTTATAAACTCAGGCAGAGCATAAGAATTCCAGACAGATTAAGAGAAAAAAGCCCTGGGCTGAGAGAGGCAGGAAATCAGGGATCACGAGAGAAGCAAAATTAATAAGAAGGATGAATAGATGTATAGACATAGATAGATAGATAGATAGATAGATAGATAGATAGATAGATAGATAGATATAGATAGATAGAGAGAGAGAGAGAGAGAGAGAGATTTATTACGGGAATTAGCCCATGTGATGATGAAGGCTGAGAAGTCCCACAACATGCTATCTGCAAGCTGGAGAACCAGGGAAGGTAGTGAGGCAATTCAGTCTGAGTTCTAAGGCCTCACAATTTGGGGGGCTGCCAGTCTAATTTCTGGAGTCTGAAGGCCTGAGAACCTTGAGCCCTGGAGGGCAGGAGAAGAGGGATGCTCCAGCTCTAGAAGAGAGAAAGGGAATTCACCCTCCCTCAGCCTTTTTGTTCCATCTGGGCCCTCAACAGATTGGATGGTGCCTACCCACACTGGTGAGGGTGATCTTCTTTACACAGTCCACTGATTCAAGTGCTGATCTCTTCCAGAAACACCCGCACAGACACATCCAGAAATAATGTTACCAACTATCTAGCATCCATTAACCTGGTCAAGTTGACACATAAAGTTAACCTTGACTGCAGGAGACTGGGTTACAATTCTTTCTTTGCCACTAACACTTAATGGCTGTAAGTATTACGACACTGGCTCAAAGGGCTAAGTAAATTTAGTGAGGATTAGCAGTGAGGAGGAAGGTGGTGCAGGGGAAAGTGGAAAGAGGACAAATGAGAAAGGCCTATAAGGATCCTGGTTAGAGGGAAGGAGTTCCATTGAGAAATGAAACCACCAGACAAATGAATGTGACAGGTCAATTTAAACACCAGAAACTGGTGTGTGCCCTATAATTCGGGATGGCATTAATGCATCTGAAGAGACACCTGTTCCCTGGGTGTGGGGAGCACTGGACTCTCAGGGGTACAGTGTAGCCACACAGAAATATAAGGATAAATCCTGCTCCTGACAGAGGCAGGGTCACAGAAACTAGGGTGATTTCTTGGAGTTTTATAAAGTTATTGGAGATCAAGCTTAAATACCTTTATAAAAACAAAGTGACATTCTATTATTTACATGATTACTTGGAAATTTCTTTATTGCTTTATTGATCTGCAGATACTGTTAAGTCATATGTGGCTATTTTTGGTTTGCAATAGAAAATTTTGAAATATTTAATCTCTAAAGAAAAAGTTCTCTCAACAACAAAACAAGTGAAGCTCAACTGACAATTTATCATGGGAGCATTCCAATCCCCTGTCTATTTTCTCTCTCCTTCATTTATCCTCACCTTTCCTTGAGTGCCTCCCCTGATCTCACTCCTGAAGTATCTTACTCTCCAATAGCTGTCAGAGTCCTCCATAATATGCACCTCAGATAGAAGCATTTGGCATTAGACAGGTGACGTGACATTAAGGACCAAAAACTGAAACTGCTTTTGCACAAATTGTAACAGGGAGAGAAACCTAACCTGATTCCATCTTGCTTGAGTCAAGTTGACACATAAAATCAACCTTCATAGCAGGAGACTGGGTTCTAATTCTGTCTCACAAGCTAACTGCCTTTGTTTACTTTAAAACAAAATAGCAACAGTCCCTTCCCGGAACTAACCCCCTCCTTGCTCAGGGACTAAGACTGCCTTTGTAAGACCAGTGAAAGTTCATGAGGTTAGGATTATGGGAGGGGCCTGAATTTTGTTAAAATGTAGGTGTAGTTGAATGACAACTATCCATTGTTCTGGAGGTCATAAGATTTGTAACTTTCCTAATTGCTCTTACAGATAACATCATTATTGCCAAAACCTAAGATTGGATGCAAGATATTTTTGGACCTTTGCATTCTGCCTACCAACTGACTCCACCCAGACCCGTGGCTCATACCAAGGAACTGACTCCCACCCAGAAACTGACTGAGCACGTGAAGACAGTTTGGACCCTCCTATGATTTCATCCCCAACCAATCACCAGCACCCATTTCCTAGCCCCCTGCCTGCCAAATTATCCTTTAAACCCTAGCCTACAAGCTTTTGAGGAGGTGGATTTGAGCAACATCTCCCATTCTTCCACTTGGCTGGTCTGGTGACTATTAAACTGTTTCTCTACTGCAACACTGCTATCTCAGTGAATTGGCTTTATCTGTGCAGTGGGCAAGAAGAACTCTTTTAGGTGATTACAAAACTACCCAAGGCTCAAAGGACTGAAATCTTAATGGTGGAATTTCAGACAGTATGACAGACAGTGGGAGAATCAATTCTAGCATCCTACTACCACTATGTTGGCTCCCTGTTTACCTGCATGGCAGATCAACTTTACTCTCTCTTAATCCAAGAGAAAGACTCCAACTCATTCACGACATATAAAATGTGCATGTATCTATGCAAGCATTTTATTGTTTCCATAGATCTGCTGTTTTTTAGCTGTCTTAACTAGCCAGTCACTATACTTGCTGGGAAGATGGTGGAAAACCTTTGTTAGACTTGCTTTTTCAATTTCAGTGACACAAAACTGTCTTCCTGCCCTTCATCCTCTGGCACATTTGCCAGAAGGTGGCAATTATAGCCACTTTCCCTAATCTCACTACTGCTCACCCATAGTATTTGGAACCTTTGACCAGGATATAAAGTTCTAGACCAGTTTCACCTCTTTCCCCAAAAGAAAGAATATTTTTCAAAATGAAGTATTTCCCCCTATAAACAGTATATATGTTTATTAAAAACATAAAGACAGTATAGGAAAGTATAAAATCTATAATCTCACTGTACCACTTCCATACATTGATTGCTAATATTTTGAGATATGATTTTCCATGTTTTTTCAAAAGTACAATATTTATCTATTGCCATGTAACAAATTACACCAAAACTTAGTGGCTCAAACAATAAATATTTATTATTTCACACAGCTTCTGTGTGTCAGGAATTTGGGAGTGGCTTACCTGGGTGGTTCTTACTCAGGGCTTCTCATGCAGTTACAGTCAAGATGTCATCGGAAGGCTTCACTGGGGCTAGAGGATTTGCTTCCAACATGGTGCACTCTAGCTTGGTGCTGGTTGTTGGCAGGAGGCCTCAGTTCCTTGACACATGGACCTTTCCACATAGTTGCTTGAGTCATGTTTACATGGCAGCTGGCTTTCCCCAGAAAGAGTGATTCAAGATAGCAATTCAGAGGCCAAAATGTTATGCATACTTTGCCTCAGAAGTCACACCCCATCATTTCTGCACATGCTGTTGGTTATACTGGTCAAACTATCCAATGGCAGGGGGCGGGGGGACGTGGGTAGTTGGGAGAAAAGGAGGCAAGGGTCACAGGAGGCCAACTTAGAGGCTGACCATCACACACATATACATCAAAAATTATATAATATTATGCATACTGTTGGTAACACGTTGTTTTCACTTACTAGTCCATCATTGTTCTGTCAGTCCTGTTTTACGTCATCATTTTTAATGGTTACATGATATTCTATTATATAGTATACTAAAATTTATTAAGTTCCATAATTTTGAACATTTAATTATTTCTAATCTTTTGTTTATAATGTATAGTACTGTGATGAGCATCCCCATATATTTATTCACACATGGCCCTTAAAATAAATTTAAAGGAAAGAAGTGTTGATACATAAGATAACTTATCCCATTTGTAAATCAACCCATAGAAACGACTGCATATTATTCCAAGATACTTGGCCTTTAAAATTATCATTTTTAAAAAGCTCAAAGTGGATTAAAAAAAAATTAGCTTCTATTAGAGGTTTCAAATTAATTTTAAAATGTTAACAAGAGCTTAAGGCACACTACCAAAACATGCAAAGGCGCTTGTTTTCTGTTTTATGGTGACAATTAATGAGCAACTTTTTGTTAACTATTTATTTGGAGATGTTGTTAGATCTAGTTTGAACCCCCGCTTTTTTTTCATTGCAAATGTATCTCTAAGAGGTAGATTTTTCCAATGCTTTGACTGTTTGCCATGACATTCTAATTCTTTACATGGTGATTGAGAATATCAAGATGTAGAAATGGATTATTAAAAGAAGCACTGTTCCAGGCTGTTGTCAGCTTCTTGTCTCACAGATCAGGTGGTAAGGCACTAAGAACCTTGATTTAGATAAATTTTGAATTTATTACAAACCTGATGAACTTATTTTTTGTCAATTCAAAAGTGTACAAAAGATCTCAAAACTTCAATCAAGTACATTCTCAAAGAGATTTTTGACGCATAAGCCCAGAAAGGAAAAACTGAAGTCTCTATCACACCTCTGCCATATTTATTCATCTAGTTAACATTTTGCCAAGTGGATTTAGGTCCACTTAAGAAACTGTAAATAAATGTTGATACATCATAACAGAAGTTATAACTCACATTCTAAGTAAACCACTGACTCTAATTTACTCACAATTTTGCAGTGGCCTCATTCCATGGAGAAAATTAGATTTTTACATATCATAGCAAATCACAAAGCCAAAATGTCAACTTCATCTATCAGGCAATTACTTGTAGTGTTTATTTTGGGGGGAATTTTCTACATATATTTGCTTAGAAAGCTGCACGGGTCCTCCAAAATAAATAAGAGCTATAATTCTTGCCAAAAAATCCACAGTTCCAGAGAGCTACTCATCAATTTCTAGCAGTATTAATGAGGAAAGACACTGAGACAGTCATTCATACTGTCTTTATGATAAGAGTAACCTACAGGGCAAATCAAGATTAAGGACAAGGGCAAGATAAATGGTTTGGAAGACTCTCTCTGTGTTTCTTAATCAATCATTTGAATCTGCATTAACCACCTGAAGTCCCCATGGAGCTCTAGAAGCTTCAGGGAGGAGTGAGAATTGGTACTGAAGACATCCCCAAAACATTTTTAAGGTGAGAATAGTCTCTTTGTAGATACAGCAGGATCTCATGTTCCCACACTGAGAGGAAGATTCATTTGGGGTTGGGTAATTCTTTGCTGTGGGGGTGTTCCTATGCACTGTGGGATGCCTAGCAGCATACCTGGTACTCTTCCCAGTTGTGACAACCAAAAATGTCTCTCTATATTGCCAAATATCTCCTGGGGAGCAAAATTGCCCCTAGGTGAAGACATCTGCCTTAATAGAAGGATGAACTTCTCTCTTATACACCTCACTTTTAATGGCCTCATGATGTATCTTTTTTTTTTTTTTTTTTTTTTTTTGAGATGGAGTCTCACTCTGTCCCCCCCAGGCTGGAATGCAGTGGCCCAATCTCGGCTCACTGAAAGCTCTGCCTCCCAGGTTCACATCATTCTCCTGCCTCAGCCTCGCGAGTAGCTGGGACTACAGGTGCCCGCCACCATGCCCGGCTAATTTTTTGTATTTTTAGTAGAGACTGGGTTTCACCGTGTTAGCCAGGATGGTCTTGGTCTCCTGACCTGGTGATCCACCGGCCTTGGCCTCCCAAAGTGCTGAAATTACAGTCGTGAGCCACTGCACCCGGCCGTATTATCTTTCAAATGGCATCAAGGCAGGGACCATCCCCCAGGTTGGAAAACATGACAGGGATCTACCTGAGAAATCTGGAACGCCTTGGTAGGATTTCCCCAGGATGTGTGTTTTTCACTTTGCTGCTACCAGGTTCCACAGGTAGTGGCTGATTTCCAGTCACCAGCTGACAGGATCCTGCCTAGGCAAGGACAGGGTAGGTTCATTTGGGTGGGTCCATCTCAATTAGCCACATAGCAATCATAAGCCTTTGCTCATTTTTCTTATGATCTGAGGCTTCATTTCAAAGAGGTAGATTTCAAAATGATAAATTAAAGGGAATAAAATAACCTTAAATAAAAAGTATTTCTGCCTTGCCAGTGTGCAAGAAATGGCTCATAGTTAGAATCTCCCAAGGTGGCCTCTGTACATGACCTTGGGCAAGAGACGTTAAAAAAAATGTTAGCAGGAGCAAAGATCAGTTTTCCTCTTAAACAACAGAAAATAATTAAAAAGAGACCAAGGGCTTATTAACTTTTCCTCCTGGCAATATGGATTTCTTTCTTATCTGCCCAAACTGCTCTCCTTCTGCCTTCTACAGGCCAGCACAGAAAAGATTCCTAACAATTCAGAAAAAAAAGGGGACTAAGCTATTAAAATGCAGCACTAAGCCTTGAAGTTTCTGTTGACCTAGAAGGTGGACGTAATTGATAACATTTCATAATCCGTTTCCTGTATATTTGACCCAATTGAGAAAAAACTCATTTTAAAAGAGGAAAGTAGATTCAACTGGATTTCGTTTGGAATTCTTGCATCTCTAGCCTTGATGTCACAGCTTGTTCTTTTCCTTTCCTCACTCTTGATACCCACCAGCTGCCACTGATAGCCCAGAGCCTCCAAAAGCCCCATCTGCGCCACTGTGAGCAGGAAATGAGACACGACCTTCCACAAACCATTCTGCAGAGCAGCAGACATCCTAAAGAGTTCAGGCTTCCCATCATCCCAAATGTAGCCCTCCTAACCGCCTGTTGACCGTGCAGGTTGCCTTTGGGAGGCTGACCAGTCACATCAGGGATGGGTAGAATTCCCTCTACCTGGTTCTAGAAATTTTCCTCTAGGCCCTGGCTCATTCTGTCTCTCTGCCAGATTCTCATTAGCCAAAGAAGAAGTAAAAACTTCCTTCCAGACTTCATCTTCTGATCCAGCCAGATGGTAGATAAATAAATAACAGAGCAAAGAGGAAAAACATACCTGCTTTTGCTTAATAAAATACTGATAGTATATGCTGTTGTCACAGGAAATATTCAGATGGCAACAGCAGACGAACAGGCACAATGTGATGGAAGAAGGCCTGGAAGGCAGGGCTTCCATTCTTAGCCTCTGATTTTCATTGCACAGAAGACTGGAGGGAGTTAGGAGGGCTTTGGGAGCTCAGGAGAAGTCAAGTAAACTTAAGGCATTAAACCCAAGTAAAAGTAGTTCCATCCTCTTGGATGACATTGGTTTGGTATTCTCTAGAGTGACTGCCTGGAAGCGAAATTCAAAATGTGGAAGTTTTGCTTGAATGGAGTCATAGAATCCTAACTCCTGCTGTGCAGATCCTTCTTACAAGAAATACCAAGCCATCCTCTCAGAAATTTCTGCTTGAGTTTGGTACCAGAAAAACATATATGTCTGTTATGAATTTGAATAGTTTCTATGTCAGGAAAAGAAAACCACCCGTGTGAAGAAAGGTTTCCTCTTTTGCCTGAGCTGCCAGGAAACATGAAGCCCAAATCAGTACCCAACTGTCAGAACACCATTGTCCCAGGTGTGGGGCAGAGGAGAGACAGGGGAGGGGTAGGAGGGCAGCCACTGGATGTGCTTCCCTTAGATAATCTCTGTTTTGATATTGTTCTTATTTGCATGAGACTTGTAAAAGTCTCAGATAATTTTGGAAGTATCTAGGACTCAAAATCCAACCTAAACAATAAATAACAACTTTGTAAACCCTTTAGAATTTTATTTACGTATATAGAAGCTCCCAGCTAGTCACAAGTCCTTTTCATTGATTCATCCAGGCAAGCCACCTAAAGTAATTTTGCTTGACAGTGTTGTGTCACTTTAGTGGTCAGGATTCTTCAGAGAAACACGATAGATAGAGAAATAGGTAGATAAAGTAGGTAGGTAGGTAGGTAGGTAGGTAGATAGATACATAGATAGACAGATAGATAGATAGATAGATAGATAGATAAATTTATTATAAGATATTGGCTCACACATTTAAGGAGGCTAAGTCTCACAATATGTCCACTGTAAGCTGAAGACCCAGAAAAACTGGTAGTATAGCTGTAAGGCCTGAGAGCTGGTAGGCCAATGATGTAGATTCCAGTCCAAGATGGAAGGCATGAAAACCAGGAGCTCTGTGTGCAGGAGAAGAGTGACATGCCAGCTCAAGAGTTTGACAGAGAAAGAGCAAATCTTCCCTTCCTACATTGTTTTGTTCTATCCAGAGCTTCAACAGATCGGATGAGGCCCACCCACACTGGGGAGGGCCATCTGCTTTACTCAGTCCACCAATCCAAATGCTAATCTCTTCTGGAAACCCCCTCACAGACATACCCAGAGAAAATGCTTAATGAGATGCCTGGGCATCCTGTGATCCAGTCGACTTGACACATAAAATTGCCTATCACAGCCACTCTAGTTCAAGTTACTGAAAACATTTATATTTTTATTTCTCTTTTTGCTTCTTTTCTCTACTTCCTTCAGTAAATATTATATGTGTCATATACCTACAGAGTGGCAGGTCTTGTGCTACCCATCAGAGAACAGACGTGAGCAGAATTAGATGGGGACTTAATCTGGGGAGCTTAGAGCAAAGATGGGAAAAGAAGAATAATCAAATAACCTCCCAAATGAAAGAGGAAAAGCACAATGCTAATACATGCTGCAAATAATGGATGTATGGTACCATCAGAGTACAAAATAGGGGGCTTTGTCATAGGGTAGACAATCAAGGAACGCTTCCCTGGGGAAATGATGACTGAGCTAAAGGATGACTCTTCTAAAGGAAGAGAAAAAGTTCGCTAATAATGAAAAAAAATTATACAGCATTTTCAGACCATAAAATATTCTAAATGCATTATCGTACTTAATCCTCACTCATAATTTAACTCATATTTATTCAGCCTTTATCACATGGCAGAGGAAGGGTGGCATTGAGATCTTCCTTTGAAAGAGAGAGACTGGCAGCATGACAGGGTAAGGGACCTAGCAGAGAATCAGAGTAATTAATAAGGACCGGAATTTTGATATTTCTACAAATGTCTTAGCGGCATTATGGCTAACACTATACTAATGTCACGGAAATATGAAGGAAACAGCCTCTCAGATGTTCATCAATTTCTGCCAGTTCTTTAGGTACTTTGGAGCCATGTTTACTCATGTACGTTCCATTATCAGGATCATTGAAGATTAATACTAGAAGAATCCTTTGAATCCCTTCATCTTACACATGGCGAGGAAACCAAATCACTACATCACTTTTTAATATGCTACAGACTAGGCACAGTGGCTCACTCCTATAATCCAGCACTCTGGGAGGCCGAGGTAAGAGGATTGCTTGAGGCTGGGAGCTCAAGACTAGCCTGGGCAACATAGTGAGACACTGTCTCAAAAAAAAAAAAAAAAAAAAAGAAAGAAATTAAAACAAACAAAAAAAAAGCACGCTACCATTCAGACTTGTCACTAAATCAGCTCTTTTTCCAAGTTTGTCCAAGTTAAGGACTTTTTATTGCACCATGGATCAAAGTTCAAACATCATCCTCAGCAAATCCTGAAGATCAAATTCTACATATCGGCTTACTAATTGGACAAGTGCAACTTCTGCCCACCAAACCAGCACCTTGGAGGAATTTGAGCGTGGCACTTAGGCAACATAAGCAGAAAGCTCAGTAGCAGAGCATTTGGTTCTGTGGCTACTTCCCTGGGATAAAGGGGAACCAGTGCTTGCACGGCAGATAGAGCCAGGCTCTTTTCTAATACAATCCCAACATTTCTCTCACAAGGGAGAAATATGTGTTAGGGTCAAATAACCCAGAGACAGGATTGATTTTTCTGATTGTAATGGAGGCCTCAATGATCACACTATTTATTGGGCTATACCTGATCCCTAGGTACGACCTGTCTTCCTGTATTTCTGTACTCACCAATCTGAGTCTGAACTTAAATCAGACCAAATCAAGGAGGAATCATTCATATTTGAGGCAGACTTTTTATTTCTATAAATCTTAAAGGTTATCTTCTTGAGGCTGGGTCCCCAGCTGTCATATAAAAAGATAAAAGATAATGTACCAAAATAATCTGATCTTTGACAAGTGAGATTATCAAAGATTATCAGTCTCAGAACAAGTGCTTGGGTTTATTTTTTATGTGGCCATGTGTGATCTAAAGTTAAAAATAATACAAGTGGATTCAAATTCATGGCTAATTGTACATCAAAATGAACTCACTACAGAGTCATTTAAAGCATAAAAATATAGAACTGTTAAGAATTCAACTTATTGGCCGGGCGCAGTGGCTCACGCCTGTAATCCCAGCACTTTGGGAGGCCGAGGCGGGTGGATCACGACGTCAGGAGATTGAGACTATCTTGGCTAACATGGTGAAACACCGTTTCTAATAAAAAATACAAAAAATTAGCCAGGCGTGGTGGTGGGTTCCTGTAGTCCCAGCTACTCGGGAGGCTGAGGCAAGAGAATGGCATGAACCTGGGAGGTGGAGCTTGCAGTGAGCTGAGATTGTGCCACTGCACTCTAGCCTGGGTGACAGAGCGAGATTCGGTCTCAAAAAAAAAAAAAAAAGAATTCAACTTATTAACCTAAGAAATAAGAAGAGCGGAAAAGGGGAAAAACAAATAATTATTGAAGTACCTACAACAATCCAATGAAATAGTTATTCTCATTTTCAGTTGAAGAAATTGAGTTTGAGAGAAATTAAGTAATATATTTCCTAGACCCCAAACTTCTTAAAGGCAAGAGCAATAATCTTATTTATTTGTCTATCAGCCAGCTCCACATCTTCACACAGCAATTGCTCCATAAATGTTTCATGATAGAGTAAACTGGCAGAACTACGGCTTGGACATGGATCGATGTGACTCCAAATCCCAGGTTCTTGCTGGTCATGCTGCTTCTACAGCTACAGCAGCGAGAAAACACTGTTGAAATTCAGCTACAGAGGCCAGGTGTGGTGGCTCACGCCTATAATCCCAGCAGTTTGGGAGGCCAAGGCGGGCAGAGCACTTGAGGTCAGGAGCTTGAGACCAGCCTGGCCAATATGGCGAAACCCCGTCTCTACTAAATATACAAAAATTAGCTGGGCGTGTTGGTGGGCGCCTGTAATCCCAGCTACTCAGGAGGCTGAGGCACGAGAATCACTTGAACCTGGGAGCTGGAGGTTGCAGTGAGCAGAGACTGAGCCACTGCACTCCAGCCTGGGCGACAGAGTGAGACTTGGTCTCAAAAAAAAAAAAAAAAAAAAAAAACCAGAAAGAAGTTCAGCTACACTACAAATAAATCAAAAAACAGCTTTCTGATTTTCTCAATTAGACTTCATAAACATTTATTGAGCATCACTGTGTGCTTAGTGTCGTGCCACACATCATGGGAGGCACACAAAATGTGGAAGGCATGGTGTTTACGTTGGAAGACTTTCCATGCTAGCTGATGAAAAAATTCCTGATGATTTATAGATGAGTCAGAGAAGCACTTAAAGGAAATGTACAAGCACATGTAAGGCGGCCAAACTACACAAAGGAATGTTGAGCTAAATAAAAGAAAGAAACAAACTCTTGTGGGGCTAAGTATGGAACAAGTGGAGTCTTGAACCTGGACCTCTTGGGAAGGGTGGGAAGGACAGAGGGCACTGCAGCTGGAAAAGTGTTTGAGTGATGGTGGGTGAGTGGGAGGGGGAAGCTCTGGTCTGCTGAGGTCAGATTCTTACTTCAGGGCAACAATTTTGAATCAGAAAGGGAGAACCGAAGGTTTGTTGCCGGGGGCCTTGAAGCAGCTTGAGGCAGTTGGGATCAACCTGACAAGTTCTCGTATATTGTCAAAGGAGCTTGCAGGCATAGTTGCAGAAGATGGCTGTGGGAGTATCACGCCAAATAGAAATCCAGAAAACGGTAGAGCCAAGAAAACACAAAGTTTGGGATGACAGCATAGGGAAAATTGATCCATGACAAATTTCTTCAGAGAACTTTGGTGACTGCCACTCATATAGGTTGGTCTTTCATATATATATATATTTATATATATATGTGTGTGTATGTGTTTATGTGTTTTTTTTTGTTTTTGTTTTTGTTTTTTTTTTTTAGTACACGGTCTCACTCTGTCACCCAGGCTGGAGTGCAGTGGCGCAATTCAGCTGCTATGGCTCACTGCAGCCTGAACCTTTTGGATTCAGGTGATCCTCATACCTCAGCTTCCTGAGTAGCTGGGACTACAGGCATTTGCCACCATCCCTGGCTAACTTTTGTATTTTTTGTAGAGGTAGGGTTTTGCCACATTGTCCAGGCTGGTCACAAACTCCTGGGCTCAAGCAATCCACCCACCTCTGCCTCCCAAAGTGCTAGGGTAACAGATGTGAGCTGCCAACCCCAGCATCTTTTAGATATTTTATATTGACTTACAAATGTTTTGGTAACATGAAGACAGTATCATACCTTGTTAGGTCAGAAACATAAGGGAAAACAGCTTTCCAAGCAATTCAGTCCATTTCCTCTGCCTTTTGCAGTTCTTGGGAGTATTACATGCATAGCTAGTTCATATTCTCATAATTATAGAATGTTAGAAATAGAAGAGATCTCAGAAACCATCAGTCCAATCCCCATATTTAGAAAATAAGACAACCTTAACCCAGAAAGGTTTTGTGCCCCTCCAAGATCACACAGCTAGTTAGCAGCCACTACATTTTATTCCCCGGGCCAGGGTAACAATTGCTCAGTATTGTTCCATAATCTGAGTTCAGTTTAGTAAATAACATTGGCCCTTAAACAGACATATGGAGCACTGCACCATAACTCTGTTGTCACAAACTTTCTTCCTCTCCTAATGTTTGATCTCCATTTTCCCTTTTTATTAAAATTTAGAGGTTGAGGATTACATCTTATTCATTCCTGCACATCAGCACTTAGCATCATGTCTGGCACATAGCAGGTATGCAATACATTTTCGTTGAGTTGACCTGAATTTGAATCACTGATTTTCATGCCCGCGCTCTCAGGGGCTTTGGTGACTTACTTCATTTTTTAAAATAAAAGAATTATCAGATCATTGAACTGGAAGGGACCATAGAGATTAACTCTTGCTCTACAAGTGAAGATGACAAAGCCCAAGGAAGGTAAAAAGATGTATCCCAAAGACAGCACTCATGCTGGGTTCCAGACCCTATTTTCCAGATTACATGATTTGCTCTTTGGTAGAAAGTATTATATTTTTTCAATATTTGCATGTTGGACAGATTCTAGAATATCAGCTTTTTAAGGGGAACAAAAATCTACAGAGTATCTTGTGCTCTTCTATGAAACTTACTGCCAGTAAGTAGGATAATAAACGTCTTAGATGGCCAAATGATTCTGTGACAAATGATTTCAGGGAAGAATTTCCCACTGAGCATGGGCTTGAGCTCACTTTGAAAACATTCCATTAGTAGGAAAAACTGACTCTCAGAGAGGCAGTGAAATCAAAGCTGGAAAAAGCCAAGACAACTGGGGCCCCAGAGTTAGATGTGGGTCCAATACTGTACAGATCAATTGCTCTAGTCTATGCTTCAGCCAACAATAATAGCCCTACCCTGACCCCCTGCTTACTTCCTGCTAACTTGTGACCTAGGAGAACCAAGTGTGAGCATGAGACCAGCGTAGGCCAACCTATCACTGGAACTGGGAAACAACACTCCCCCATGTCTGGCTGCATGTGGCCAGAGCATCCTCTCCTAACACAAAGGGCTGGCCATTAATCCTTCCCGAGTGGAAGGTCAAACAGAGGCTGCCCTGCAACGCTCTGCTGGTTTCATTCAAGCTCTTCATGGCTGTGGCCCTAAAACTCTCTTCGCACTGACAATGTCTGGTGGAGGAGTCATGGGCTGAAGTGGTTCTAGAAGCCACTTGGTCAATGACAGGGCACTCACAGGAAGTTTGGCTCTTAACTTGGAGGCTATATTAGTCTGCTAGGGCTGTCATAACAAAATAGCACAGATCGTGTGGTTTTAAACTACAGACATTTATTTTCTCACAGTTCTGGTGGCTGGAAGTCCAAGATCAAGGGGTCGGCAGGTTTGATTTCTCCTGAGGCCTCTCTCCTTGGCTTGCAGATGGCCACCTTTTTGCTGTGTCCTCCCATGGCCTTTTCTCTGGGTGTGCGCATCCCTGGTGTCTCTTCCTCTTCTCATGAGCACACTAGTCATATTGGCTCAGGGCTCCACCTTTATGATTTCCTTTCACCTCAATTATCTCCTTCAAGGCCCTATCTCCAAATACCATCACATTGAGAGTTAGGGTTTACCTATGAATTTGGGGGTACAGAATCCAGTCCATAACAGAGGGAAGCCAGCCTCTCCACTTTGCAATCACTGGTGTGTCTCTTCTTACTACTACTTAATTTTCATTGGTCTTTTCTCAAAGAGACATTTGTGATTGATTTAGAAAGCAATGGAAAGAAATCATCTGCTAGTTGAGTTCTTAAGTAAAGCTGTTAAAACTGCAATTAAAAGGGAGAAAACATAAAAAAGAAATCACCTTTCCAGAAAGAATAAAACAGTATTTGTGTTACACTCTGCAAGGTCAGGGGCATAAACACACAAACACGTGAAGGGGAAGAAGCCAGGAAGTTCTCTTAACAGAAGTGAGCAACTTTGCTGGCAGGCTGTTGAGAGCAAGCCTTGTCTGCCTGATTTACACAGGTACAGAGAGAATGGTCTGGAGGCTGCGGGCCTGCTCAGCCAAACGCCCATGTGTGCATGAAATTAGAATGTCAACATTTGATTCATGCTGCCAAGCTGTGACTGTGAAACAAATTATGTCAGTGGGTGGCAACTGCAATATTAGTCTAAGCAGATAACATTTAACTATAAAAAGGGGCCCAGTCTTCCAGCCTTCTCTCTTTTATTATTTTAAGATCAACATTGTTAGACCTAGATGGGATAAAATTTTGAGACAAAGGAAGATGTTTTATGTGGAGGCATGGGTACTTTAGGCCAGAACACATTGCAATTCAAGAGATGTTTGCACCTAACCATCTTGTTGAAATCTAGCAGTCGGGTAATGGCAATGATGATTTTTACAAACAACCACCACCCACTCAAATGAGTTCAAAGTAGATGACTGTGTCATTTGTGGGATAAACAAACCGCAATTAAATAATCTGCTTCTTATAAAGATAGCCTTTGATTCCTAAGCAGAAGCTAGTAACTTTGTCCTTAAATGCATTTCAGTAAAGGAAGTGGCCGATACCTTGAAAGAGACAGTGAACAAATTCTTCCAACTAATTTCCTGGGTTCCACGCAAAGTAATTTCTCCAGAGTGAGGTCTGTACAGATGTTTGTGTTGAAACCTGTTATTTTCTACTCAGCTGACTTAAGCTGGTGCCTGTTGAAAATAAATTTTAAATTAATATGCCGTTAAAATTTGCTGAGGGACTTCATGTAAAAAGTAGGGGTTTGGTCGGTGTGTATTTTTTCTTTAAGACTTTCTTGGTGAAGCTACGCCTGCCTACAACTTAAACTTGACCTACGAGATGACGGTTTTCCCATGAAATGAAGCGCACATCTATCTCCATTTGAGGCCCACTTCTTTAACCAGCAATATGGCAAAACATCAGTTTGAAGTTTTATTCCATTACAAACACCCATGTAGTTAAAGTTAATGCTGTGAAAAATCCAACTTGTAGCAGTGAACTGTTTATAGAAGGAGCATTCACTTAGCAGTTAAGCCAGGCCAAGACAACACCACAGGATTCATGTGCAGAGAGGCTATGGAGAGCTTTTTGGGGGAAGGGACACAGCAAGAGATGAGTGTCGCTTAAAAAACTGTTGACTAGTTTAAAACAGTTTTACTTCTGAAAATGAAGATACCCTCGCATCTCCTCATGGTTAAACATGAATACCCCTTTGGACTCACTGCGTAGAATGATGATCTCCATTTTCTCCTGCTATTGTTCTCATATCCCCACTCATAGGTAACTATGTTCAAAACTTTGTAATTGCAATTTTCCTCTTATGAAAGCACAGAGTAAAGGCCCAAGGGTTTTGTCAAAGAGGAAGCATTCGTAGAATATGGTTCTCTTAAACAGCATTCCTATTTGATGAAGAGGACTGTGGAGAGAGAAAACTTTAAAATTCACCAGTAAATCTTTTGGCGCTATCATTTTTTATTCCAGTTCCCTTATACCAGACAAAAGCAACACCATAGCAAGATCATCAGTAGGTTGATTTTGGAATTGCTTATCTTGTTGAATAGGGCATATTTCTCAAGACATTAATAAGTAGTTCTTCTCTTTAAAGCTGGGTGTAGTAGGCTATAAACTCACAAAGGAGCAAAACAGATTTCTCAAAACTAGACATTGTAGGGCAGCAAGCCCAGAATTTCTATTTTGTCTCCAGTACATGGTTGATGAAGGTGGGCATGTAACCCCACTGATCTGGTTTTTGCCTACATGTACAATCCCTGAGCTGAAACATTCTCATTGTCTGAGGTGTTTGTGAAAAACGGCGTCCGTGGAAGCCCTCTGAAACAGATCATTATAAAAGGGAGAGGTGTGAGGTAAAATGCCTGTCTGACCCACCAGTCTGGTCTATTGCTTCAGCCATGGCTATTGATGCAGAAATGAGCTCTACTGCTGCCTCTCAGGCAAGAATTTCCACTTTGAAATTTCATTCATTCTGAAAACACCCCTTGGTTAGGCCATATTTCCTTTTCATTCAGTTGATGTCAGAGCCTGCCAGCCACTTTAAAGCCTTAACCTCTTCACAATCATATAACACATTCTGCCGTTTATTTCAAAAACAATTCACAGACCGAAGGGAATATTTTCTCTCTATGGGGACATTGCAGGCTTGTAACTTCTCCATCCTCTGAAAACCATAGAAGAAAGTTGGCATTATCACCCGCAGTTAACTGTCAAATGCATTTAATGCTTTATCAGGAGAACTAGGGACAAAACTGTTCTCATCACACCATGTCAGGAAAGTAAATTGGGGTTCTCCACCATGTAGGAAATTTACTTTATTCCTTCAGTCAGAGATGTAAAAATTAGGAGATCAGAGAATGGAATAAACAATATTTTGATGTAAACAGATGATCAACATGAGAGGAATGACCGTCTGGTCACCCGGGGGGTTTATTCAGTTAACACTTCCACCCCTTAAAGACAATGGCGTGCAATCAATGCATATAGGGCCTTTCAGGCCCGTTGCTAAGTGATACGCAGTGTCAACAGAAAAATGCCGGATGTACAGAGGACTGCTCCAGGCCCAGGAGAGATCAACACCCTCTGATGATATTTTAAACTTAATTCAGTTCCCGATGAAGATTGTGACAGGTTCCGTGGCCACAGCAGAAAAGATGTTTGCACTTCAAAATCCGACTTCGTAAAGTTGCTCTGCTGTGTGCAAAGAGTGTTTAATTTGGTAACAAGTGAATCGTGGCCCAAACAGTATTTGGTTCAAATAGGAAAAGGCACCCAGCAGGGGCATCCTGAATATTCATTTCTTGCAAGGCACAGCAGTCATCTTACAATCTCTGCTTCAGTATCAGAGCTGCTCATTTGTCTCAGATTGTATGTGCATTCTCTCATTTTTTCATCTCTAAAATCTATTTTAGGAACAGCCCCTGAAGCCATTTTCAACAGCTTCTTCAGAAATTCTAAAGAAAGGGAAGAAACTTGAATAGGATCACATCACCCCATACAACCATGAAAACCTGTTTTGTGGGGCATTCTTGAAACCAGCCCAGAAGCTCTTAAGAGTTTTTGTATTTATTTACCCAATTCTTTCTCTCCCTTCTGTATCCCTCAATAGATTTTTATATTCAAATGCAAAAGATTTCCATGTGCACTGAAGATCCATTTATGTATTGGTTTAGAAGATCAGGCCACGATGTTGAGAAATGCAACTTTTTCATAAACAGATGTTTACAAATTCAGTCTTTGTGTTAGGAAAAGCATACTCACCACAAAGAGTCTGTTTTCTATATTTGAAGGCAAAAATCCTTTTGAAAAAACCCCATATCTCTAAAGTCCAGAAAGCGTTAACATCAGATATATTCCTCCTCAAAGCCACTTCCCAGAGTCATCTTACCAAACCTGTAAAATGTTTTTCTAACAAGGCACTAGCTGATCCTGCATCCCTGGGTTGCTGCTGACAATAAACACTTGGTCACAAAGGCTCTGAGAGTCGTGTAGGCAGGAGGTGATGAGGAACACGCTCAGTGTAGTCAATCCAGGAAGCGCTGTTCCCCTGGCCAAACACGAGCCTTAAAAGAGCCTGAGTCACATAATTTTCAGTGGGCAGGTTTGTCCTTTTTTGTCCCCAAGAGTTTGTTCTGTTCATTAAACCAGTAAGAGCCCAAGAGCATTTTGTCTAGTGGGCTAAAAACTCCTGAAGCCGGGGTGTGTTCACCCAGATTGAGAAGAAGGTGGGGAGAGGGACTGCCTTCTTGACATTTTTCTTCCTGTCTCATCCCACGAAGCTAATTTTATTGGGTTGTTCCTGTCATGTTTAAGCTACAGGTAGTAAGGGGGAGACTGAAGCAGATAAGACCACACAAAAGCATTCCCAGGCCTTGTTTCCGTGACTCAGGGAGGGTGGTTTTCTCTCACAGAGGCATGAAAGCATTGTGGGGGCAATGAAGAAGCAGCACAGTGAAACAAGCCAGCAAGTTATGACGAGGCTTGCACTGAGGCCACCTGCCACCGTCCCCCTGCTGTCTGCATCTCTTGTGGACCAGGATCCACAGTAAAATCCATGCAAACTTTTTCATCATTTTCCAAGACGGAAAAATAGGTTTTTGAGCCTGTGTCAGCAAAGTGAATGGGCACATTATGAGAAGGCTAAGCAGAGGCCTTCTATATTTTTGGATTAACAATCAGGCCTGGGTCTTGATTGAGCCTCTTTGTCATCCTCGGAGCAAGAACAACGGAATGCTGGATGATAGGTGAAAGAAATTTCCCTTGTCAGACATAGCTGTGGGGCCATAAAGACATATTTGTCTATCAAAAGGTGCAAAATATCAATTGAACTGTTAACTGAAAATTAGCACAATTTTCCTTTTTTTTTTTTTCTTTTATTTTGTTGAGACAGAGTCTCGCTCTGTCGCCCAGGGTGGAGTGCAGCTGCGCGATCTTGGCTCACTGCAAGCTCCGCCTCCCGGGTTCACGCCATTCTCCTGCCTCAGCCTCCCGAGTAGCTGGGACTACAGGAGCCCGCCACCATGCCTGGCTAATTTTTTGTATTTTTATTAGAGAACGGAGTTTCACTGTGTTAGCCAGGATGGTCTCAATCGCCTGACTTCGTGATCCGCCCGCCTCGGCCTCCCAAACTGCAGGGATTACAGGCATGAGCCACCATTCCTGGCCTAAATTAGCACAATTTTTCTATAGGTATGAAAAAGGCATAACATTTTCCTTAAATTCCAAATAAAATAATTTACAGTTTACACTTTATAGTTATTGCAATAAGCAAATTGCTTTGCGTATGTCTTCCGAACTTACCCGAATCATCACATGGAAATCCATGAAGACGCTTTCATTGTGTGTAGTTCCAGTGTAATTGATGAGAACTGCAGGCTATTTTAGCAGGAATATTAGGGTTTGGATGACGCTCCAACTCGGGGCATATCCCTGACTTCTCAATGTCTTTGTATGTAAAAGTATTTTCTGTACAATCACTTGAGACATAGATTACACCTTTGTTTATGCTGTACAAAGATGATGGCGCTCTCCCATCCTGGGGGAAGGGTGTGCTTTCTACTTTTTTCTAGTGTTTGTGCAAAGCCATTCACATTGTTTCTCTTTGTCCCTCTTGTGGCCAACAGGCTACACTGATAAACTCAGGCTGTGTAAGTGAAGACGTCTACAGCTACAGAAAGAGAGCAAAAGTAACTAGGCCACACTAACAGCAGCCTATGATTTCCAAATCTTTGCTGGCTTGAGAGTTGACCAGAAAACATGTTTGCTTAGGCCAGGCAATTTCAGGAGGTAAAACATTAGAACATGCCATGAAGCAACATAGCTCAAAATAAAATAACCACAGGACAACATAACCCAAAACAGGACTGCTAGATGTTTTCTACGTAGATGTATAGCCACAAGTACATTTTAATTAAACTATGAAGCTAAGCCTGATTGTCTATTTCTAAAATTTCCCACTAATACATTTAACATACATTTGATCGTTGTTGATCTGCTTTCTCTTAGACAAGATCATTGCTGAGCTTGGGGCTCTCATTGCTGAGCTGAACATTAGAATCACTCAGAAGAGGCCGGGCGCGGTGGCTCATGCCTGTAATCCCAGCACTTTGGGAGGCCAAGGCAGGCGGATCACGAGGTCAGGAGATCGAGACCATCCTGGCTAACACAGTGAAACCCCGTCTCTACTAAAAATACAAAAAATTAGCCAGGCGTGGTGGCGGGCGCCTGTAGTCCCAGCTACTCGGGAGGCTGAGGCAGGAGAATGGCGTGAACCCGGGAGGCGGAGCTTGCAGTGAGCCGAGATGGCGCCACTGCACTCCAGCCTGGGCGACAGAGGGAGACTCCATCACAAAAAAAAAAAAAAAAAGAACCACTCAGAAGAACTTTAAAAATCTGGATGCCCAGGACCCACATCCAGAATTTCTGTTTTAATTGGCTAGGGGTAGAGCCCAAGCAATGGTATTTGTTAATGCTCCCCACATGAGCCATGGTTGAGGGCTGGACTTGTAGATTATGAAGTGGAGGTAGGTTCTGACAGAAGAGGCAGAATTTATAGGAGGAAAATCTGTAAGGGAGAAAAACATCCATTAAATTCTATTTTTCTGTAAATGGAGAACTAAATGTCATTATTTAATCTCAGCAGCAAAACATCTTTGTTTAGCTCTAGGGTCAATATATTCCACAGGAAGGTAGTTGAGATCCACTGACTTAGGTGATTGGAAAGAGACACCCAGAAACTGGAAAGCAGGTATTGGCCATATTCAGAAGTATTCCATGGCAGGTATCAAAATGCTGTAGAAAATGTGGAGGAGGAAGAGGAGAGGTCAGGCATCAGGGAAGACTTCCCAGAAGAGGTGCTTCTTGAAATGGGCTTGGAGTGAAAAGATTCCCAGAGAGCAATTGTGGGTGAGGTGAAGGGAGCTAGTTAGATATAATTAGGGAATCCCTTTTCTAAAGTTCAAGGACTTTCTAATAAAAGGGAGAAAAAGTATTTCACCTTTTTACCATGCTTTTTCTGCTTCCAGAATAGAAAAGGTAATAAAAGCTAATATTTACTGAGTATTCACTGTGTGCCAGACATTATTCCAAGAACTTTTTTTAAAATCAGGTTTGTTTGTTTGTTTGTTTGTTTTAGACAGAGTTCCGCTCTTGTTGCCCAGGCTGGAGTTTAGTTGTGCGATCTCAGCTCACTGCAACCTCTACCTCCTGGGTTCAAGGGATTCTCCTGCCTCAGCCTTCTGAGTAGCTGGGATTAGCCACCATGCCTGGCTAATTTTTTGTATTTTTAGAAAAGACAAGGTTTCACTATGTTGGCCAGGCTGGTGTCTCAAACTCCTGACCTCCAGCAATCTGCCTGCCTCGGCCTCCCAAACTGCTGGGATTACAGGCGTGAGCCACTGCACCTGGCCCCAAGAACTTTTCACTTAAATCCTTTGCATTTAAAACACCTAATTGTCAAAATATCTTTATGAGGTAGATACTACAATTACTCCCATTTTACAGTGGAGGAAACTGAGTTACAGATGGGTAAAATAACTTGCTCAAGATCACACAGCAACTAAATGGTTAGTGTCTTAACCTCTCTTCTGCCTCTTTTCAGGTATGGTCTTCAGCAGAAGCCACCTCTTCCACCAGCAGCCCACAGCTCACTGGTGATAGATGCTGTTTTCTAGAAGCTGGCCCATCTACCATCTAAACCCAGCAGTTCTCAGGAGCCTAGACCCAACCAACTATGGCCCACGGTCCACCAGAGCTTCAGCAAGAGAAAAGTACTCGTGGCTCAGTCATTTTCTCTAGCCACCTAATCTCATCTTACATAAAAATTGTAGAGTGGTCCCCCCCTGCTTTTTAAAAATTATTATAGAGGTGTAGATTATACCATTCTTTTTAAAAACTTTCTCTCTAAAGCAGCAAGTTACTACAAATTGTGAATCCTGAGTGGCCTGGCCTAAGGAAGCCAGACAAAGGGCATTTAATACATGTTTTTTAGAATGCCCTAGAGAATTGATATGGCATAGACCAATAAAATTGCTTTTTTTCTTCCTCTCACTCGAATCAGCTAATTCAATTTAACAGATATTTATTGACCACTGGGTATGCCTGGGGTTTCTAATCTGAGAAAAGGGACAACACAGCAACAGAAGTTACTCTAACAGAAGGCAAAGAGGGAGGTATCCCAAGGAAAATATCAAAATGCAGTGGTCATTTGGAGGAGTATGAGAGGGAAGTGGAGATGGGTGGTGGTGGGGCTTCCTGGAGGAGGGCTTAGAATAGTCCCTGAAGTCGAAGAGTTTCAATAGAGAGAGGCTGTGGGAGGGATGAAGGGGCAGTCAATTCTGTTGAGGTGAGGGATCCAAAGTCACCTTTGGTTGCCTGTCCTGGAGTTGAAGGCCAGCAGGCCGTACATGAAGCCCAGGAAGAACAAAGATGTTTGCTGCCAACTTCCAAATTACACAGGCCACAGAGTTGGGGGCAGGGAAGCTCTAAGGTCATTCGTACAAAGTAACCAATTTACAGTTATGGTTACACTTGAGTCAATTAAAATGTTTTATTAGCAGGAATTTGAATCTCTTACCTTCATTAACATTTAACAGTAAATGGGAGAAAAAAGGTAAATAAAATATTATCTGGCTTTTTAAAGGTCATTTCAGACTGAGCGTTATAAAATGTGAGCTGAGAAGGGCGGGATGGCCCTTTGTGTGGATTTAGTACATGGAGCCCACTCTATGTGTAGATCTATAGAGGTATCTTCCAGCAGGGGCAGGAGGAGACACCTCATGGCAGATGAGGTGCTCAGAAGTGGATTAATTATCATCAGCACATTTGGAGCAGGGCGAGGGAAGAAAGAGATCTGACAAGTGAGAATTTTTTTTTTTTTTTTTTTGCTTTAGATCGCAGGTTATAAATCATTCTGGGGTATGCAGCCCTTAGTAATTACTCCTATGATCAACATGTGCTGCTTAACAACCTTAGGCTAGCAGCCCAAAATGATTAAATTTCATACCTAACCATTCCCCCAAAGGAAAGAAGCGTGAAGGGAGCCCTGTGCCTGGGTCCCAGAGAGGACACAGAGGGCCTTGGGGAAGCCCCGTCAGAGTCGAGAGAGGCCATTCTCGTGCCCCAGGCTGTCCGTGGACATTGTACATCAAGACCTACCATTAGTGAAAGCTAGAAGCAGAAACATAATAATTTGGCAGGAACATAAACAGCCCACTTGAAAAGAAATTCCTCATTTTTCCATCTTTCAAGGTGTAGAGGCACAAGTGATTAAAAAGTCATCCAAAAGCTGCCCAGGGAATATTTCCTCCTAACATGTCACTCCTGTAGATGAGACCTGAAGTGGTGACCTGATCCTGGAAAGGCAGCAGGAAGCCAAGATGTTCCCATTGCAAGGGAAAGGCCTTTCTTGAAATTCTTTCATCAAAATGAGTGGACCAGAAGGAGAAGTCCCACGTCTCCCATGATGGAGTTTTAGAGATTTTGAGGTTCAGTTGATTACTGTCTTCCTTGCCCTACGTGAAAGATGGAGCAGGGAGAAAGGGTCACTCTAGATCTGAAGAAACAAATCCTAGCAAATGGGAAGTTTCTCTTTTGAAGCAGTGACAGAAAACATAGTCTGACTCAAATGAGTAAGAGCTACTTGGTTAAACCCCCTTCCTGGGAGCAGGGAGAAAGGGTCACTCTAGACCTGGAGATACAAATCCTAGCAAGCGGGAAGTTTCCCTTTTCAAACAGTGATAGAAAACATCGTCTTACTCAAATGAGTAAGAGCTATTTGGTTAAACCCCCTTCCCGGGCCTTCCTCATCATGAAGACATTTGACTTTACCACATCTGAAAATAGGGGGGAAATGAATTCACAGCAAAATAAATATTTCCTAATTTTAAATAAACATTGGTAATCACAGTGATTGTGTCCAAAGCACAATGCAGCTATATAAATATAGAGAACACCACTAGAAGGAAAAAAGAGAGTATTTACCTATATAAATATAAATCCAAAATCTGATTTTAACTTGCTAAAAGCATCTGGTCTAGTTCTCTAAATGTCAAAGGTGTCTACTCACTGTCCCTCTAGCGCTACCCTAATTAGCAGCTGAAGACATGGCCTTCCTTTTGTCCAAATCTGAAGATACGTATCACACCTTTCAACAATCGTGAGGACCTTTTCCTGTTCCATTTAACAACTTTATTTTGCATTTGATCTAGCAAAGGAATGAGGAAAAGGTTTCCAGAAGATGGTAAACTAAAACTCCAAATAGCTTCCCTCAGGGATCCTCCAACCTGATTCCATTCCCTTTTCTTGTTGCAGAGTATATGCAAGGAACCTCTCGCCCACTCTAAGAAGTCGGGGGAGATCTTTGAGCCTGAAAAACCTTCATCATCGAGATGTGCTAAGACAGAGCTGGAGGCAGAGAGATGAGATTGTGCCTACTTTCCATGTCATAGAGAGAAGTCAACATTCTCTATATGATATGTAGGAAACATGATATAACAGATATGATGTATATATGTTATATATACATTTGAGTTCTTGACACATAGATATCTGTGCCATCTGGTGTTCTGTTTGTTTGTTTTTGAGATAGAGTTTTGCTCTTATTGCCCAGGCTGGAGTGCAATGGCGCGATCTTGGCTCACTGCAACCTCCGCCTCCCGGGTTCAAGTGATTCTCCTGCCTCAGCCTCCCAAGTAGCTGGGATTACAGGCACGTGCCACCATGCCCAGCTAATTTTGTATTATTAGTAGAGACAGGGTTTTACCATGTTGACCAGGTTGGTCTTGAACTCCTGACCTCAGGTGGTCCATCTTCCTCGGCCTCCCAAACTGCTGGGATTACAGGCATGAGCCATCGCGCCTGGCCTGTGCTGTCTGTTATCCAAAAAGGTGTCATATTTGGTTCCTGGTAACCACAGAAACAATTGTCTTTTAAAAAATATATTGAACACACAGCCAAAGTGAAGGTCTATACTTCTCCCTTAGTGAATGTCATCATGGTTCAGTCCTACAAGAATTGTGTGAGGTGAGGTGGTTTTGTCTTAAATGCAGAGAATGAAGTTGGGCTCCCAAAGAGAATTCAGTCTTCCCTGGTCACTGTTACACCAGACTGTATTTTCTTTAAATGAATCTGCCCTCTCTCTCAAAGATAATCTGGAAGTAACATGAAACGATCATTTATCACTACCAATATGACAGTACTTTCTCACCCACTGTTTACTCCTTGAAAACAAGCACTGGAAGAAGCCTTAGAGATCCAGGCACTCACCCCAAGGGGCATGTGGAATGGGGCGACACGCTGGTTGTGACAATGACTGAGGTGCTGTTGTTTTGCAGTCCTGGATCTGTCCCATGCAGTGAAGAATCGCGTGGCCCCACTGAGAAATGTCAACCCCTGGTGAGGAAACCAAGGCCCATAGTTGACTCTTAGATTCAAGCTCCCAACTCTCAGTTCATAGATAGTCACATTTCTGTAGTTGAACAATTAGAGAAGCAACATTTTTTTAAAAAAAAAGACAAATACAGATATCTCAATGTTGCCCGTTTTCCTGCACAACTGCCTAAGAAGTGGTAGCTCTAAGTAGGTCTACTGTTGTAGCTCTAAGTAGCTCTAAGAAGGTCCATTGTTGTTCCTACATCTCTGCCTTCTTCTTGATGCAAATATAATGAGTCCTTAGCAGCAACTCACACCTGTCTTTTTCCGTCCTTCCATGTAAAGGGCTCTTCCCCTGTACCTAAACATAGCAGGAAATTTCAAACCACTTCACAAAGACGCCCTTATTTGGACAACACCTATTGAGCACCATGGATATGCTGGGCACTGAGCTTGTTGCCAGAAAATGTATTATTTCATTTAACTGCAACTCAAACCTATGGTGCAGGTACTAAGTCCATTTTGTAGGTAAGAAAACTAAGGCTTTGAGTGGCTTATATAAATTGCTCAAGGGCTCATGCCTAGTGACTGACCCAGGTGTCTATACTTCCAGTCACATCTACTGTTACTCAGTTTCCCCACACCCCAGTTTCATTGCATCTTCCCATCAGTTTTCTCTTCCTCAATGACTGGAGAGTCTCAGGAAACACTTTCCAAAACTTAAGATTCATATGCTCTATCAGGTGGGTGAGGTCTCAGAAGAGATGAGTAAAAAGACTCACTGAGACAGAATTTCTAATAACTCCATCCACATTTCCAGGTGGAAATGGTAGACTTGAGTGTATACACATGTGATTCACTTGCCGTGAAACAAAAACACATCCAAAGTGAACTGAAACCTCCTGAGAGAGAATTGGTGCAGAGGAAAAAATCAGTGATGAAAGCTCATGGCCATTTACAAGAATGCAGTCTCTCTCTCTCTCTCTCTCTCACACACACACACACACACATACACACACACACGGTCTGCAGTAAACACACTGAAATGGTTACCTGTGAGGGCATGCAAGAGAAGAGGAGTGAGGAACAAAGGAACAAATAAGATGACAAGTGTCATTAACTTAACCGTCTGCTCCTGGGGTTAAAAATTTTAAGCTATGTCTACGACAGTTTACAAATAAGTAGTCAGCCAGGCATGGTAGCTCATGCCTGTAATCCCGACACTTTGGGAGGCTAAGGCAGGAGGATCACTTGAGCTCTAGAGTTCAAGACCAGCCTGTGCAACATAACAAAACCCCATCTCTACAAAAATAAAGTAAAATACAAAAATTGGCTGGGCATGGTAGTGCATACCTGTAGTCTCAACTACTCGAGAGGCTGAGGTGGGAGGCTCACTTGAACCTGAGACGTGGAGGTTGCAGTAAACCGTGATCATCCCACTGTACTTCAGCCTGGGCCACAGAGCAAGACTCTGCCTTAAAAATAAGAATAAATAAATAAAAATAGTCAATGAAGATGACTCAATAAAAATTATAGAATCCCTAAGCCTGCCAAGTTGTGACTTAGGTAAGGGAATCGGCAAGAGAAGGGAGAGAAGATGAACTCTCCTTTTGCTAAAAGTGGAGGCCTCCTTAGGAATTTCATAATTATGTGCTATTGCTGTTCATTAATTGCAAGGAAACCAGCCTTGCTCTGGCCCTCTTGCCTGCTGGGAGGGCATGACAGAATTACTGACTCACATGAAGGATGGGGACTGGCGGACGGCACCCATCAGCATGCCTGATAGCCGGTATGAGACTCCAGGTCAGGGACGGCTGCCCGGATTCAGACTGCATGTAATTAAAAGGTTTACATGGAATAGAAACTGACCCTCACCATCTTAGGCATGTCAGAGGCTGCTCGTTTGAAGCACAATTCGTAGTTCTTTTTCCTTTGCTCTTGGTTTTAAAACAATGTATAGAAATCATGTAGCCTGGCAAAATAAAAAATAAATACTCTATCACACAGCCAGTGTTTAACATGCAAAGGTTTTTCTTTGGCTGTGCAGCAAGTGCACACATGCATGCACACACACACACACACACAGAGAGAGAGAGAGAGAGAGAGGCAGAGCAAATACTCTGATGAGTAAAAATGTGAATTTGAGGGCAAATGAGGCATGAAACATATTGGCCAATAAACAACACAAAAGAAGGTCATACTAAATTTTTTATCTAACCAGACTGGGAAGCATTTGAGCTAAGAATACCCAGCAAGAACAGGCTTTCAAGGAGGTTGCATTTCTAACCAATACAGAGGGCCACTGTTTCTTATTTTGTTATGATGCAGACATACAGCAGCTTAGGATCTTATTGTCCTATATATTCAAAGGTAAGAATCTGTAAAGATTTAAAATATCTAAAGACACATCCTTGATCTATCATAAGAAAATAAAGTATGCTGAAAGTACTTCTGTAAACATAGCTCTTTTGTGAAAATGTCTTGTCCAGGAGGTCTTAACATTCCCAAAGTACTTTTCAGTCCACAAAACTCATTCAAAACCATCTTGTAAAGTGGAAAGGGCAGGTATTATTTGCTCCATTATCCAAATGAGGAAGTCAGCTCAGAAAGTTCAGGAGATTTTTTTGAGCTCTTGTGGTCAGGGAGTAGTAGAGTCCAACTAGGATCTGATTCATCTGACTTTTAATCTAGTATTGCCCTGCCAAGCTGTCAGTCCTGCAGTTTAAAAGAACCACTATATTTTCTGTGCATATAATAGATCAGAACCAAAAGAACAATGAGAATGACTATCTCAGAGAATCTTCCACTCCATCCCCAGCCCACCACATGCACACCCAGAAGCATCATGGATGGAAAGAAAACAGATTCTTTCAAGATTCTCAGACCAGTCAGTGCAAAGTGAATAGGTTTCCAGCACCTGCCACTTCTGAGAATACCTGAGCCTTGCAAGGCTGAGGTCACCTGAAGCTCCTCAGGGGGCTCTCTGTCTGCACTAATTAGAGAAAGCAATATTGTTTCAAAGCATTCCCTTCATCTGTCTTCCAGCCTCGCTTTGCTCCAGGATTTGGGTATTCGGCAGCTCAAGCCCGGTTCACACAGCCTGCCACCCCTTCAAAGGAGAGGAATAAACATGAGCTCGCCAAACAGGTGGTGATGAGAGACGTGCCTGGACTGTCTTGGTTGTTCCACTCTACACCTTCACTTTCATTATCTTCAGCATTTGTCAAGCAAAGGCAGGCTGATGATCCAGGGCTTCCACACCTTCAAAAGGAAATATTGACTGAACAGTGGTGCCGCTGCTACTCTCTTTACCTGCTGGATACCCACAGGGACTCACATCGTCAAAGGAGGAGTCATCGTTAGACTTTTCTCACTGACATCCAGTGGCCCAAGGGAGAACGAGAGAGATGAAGGGCCAGTCACAGGAAGGGGTATGAACCACACTGAGGAGCTAGAAGATTCAAAATTAACTTTCAAGGGTAGGAACATACAGACAGGACCAATTCACTCAGAACCCGTAAAAAATATACTCTTTGTGATGATGGATAAGTCTAAAATCCCTCAAGAATGTAGCCACTGACCATCAACTGGTTAATAGTAGTTAGCCTCTTTGGGGGACTTAGCTTTTCCCTGTATCCACACACCCACAAAAGTCCACTTCCTAGAGTTTAGGAAAAGGATCCCTCATTTGAAACAGGGATAACATAATGGTCTCGTGGTACTGGCATAACAATGGGTATAAATGCAGTGACCAGAGACAACCTATCTGTAGGAGAAAAAGAACACAAGTCTGTCCACCTGAAAGCTCAGCAATGCATTTAGTGAACTAGCAAGAAGTTCCTGAATGGAGCAGGGAGGAGAGGAGAAGGAAGGGAGCAGGTTGGGATGGGGAGGGAATGGGTTGTTAGTTTTTTTCTTCTGCTGGGGATAAGGGCCGACCAGAAATTGGAAGGTAGATGTTCCAGTGTCAGAGGAAACAGAAATTCTGCAGCCCTGGGTGTTCCCAAAGAATGTGCATGGACTTTGGGAGGCCGAGGCGGGCGGATCACGAGGTCAGGAGATCGAGACCATCCCGGCTAAAATGGTGAAACCCCGTCTCTACTAAAAATACAAAAAATTAGCCAGGCGTAGTGGCGGGCGCCTGTAGTCCCAGCTACTTGGGAGGCTGAGGCAGGAGAATGGCGTGAACCCGGGAGGCGGAGCTTGCAGTGAGCCGAGATCCCGCCACTGCACTCCAGCCTGGGCGACAGAGCGAGACTCCGTCTCAAAAAAAAAAAAAAAAAAAAAAAAGAATGTGCATGGAATTGAACTCATGTCCTGAAGTGGATCACAGGGCAGAAGACTAACATTTGAGCAGCGGTCACTCTTCGCCTTGTCCCCACTCACTCTTCCTTCTGGTGTTCTCCAACTCTCTTCCAGAAACTTCCTGAAGAGTCTCTTCCAGGCATTCTCTTAACCATACTAGTTCCATCCTCAAGTCACCTCAGCCTGTGCCCCTTTTGGGGGGACAGAGCTTAATCTGGTTCCGGCTTCATCTGTTTCTGTCCCAAGATGAGACATAAGCGAAGGCAGCAGAATATAAGCTTCCCACAGATGTGAAGGAAGGATGTTCCAGCATGGTGACTGTGGCTGGTCAGTTGTATGTAGGGTATATTTTCTAGAAGCAAAAGCTTTACTTATCTTTAAGGTGATCTTGACAGATGTACTCAAAAAAGGAATTATTTCCCTCTTGAAAATACATTTCCCAGCAATAACTTTTTAATGGAATGCCGGGACTAATCTGTATAATGCCTCCTCTGAAAAATATACAGGGGGAAAACCCTATCTTTTCTCCACAGTCTTATGTTCAGTAATTGGGGCCTGTAAATTTAACTGACAGAAGACAGATTAACAGAATAAAAAAATCCCAGAGTTTGTTTATATACGCAATGTGCATACATGTGGGAGAACTCAGTGATGTGGGAGATGATTCTCAAAGGAGTAGTTAGAATTGGGGTCTTATATACCATCTTTACAAAAGGTAATAAAGTGTGAAGAAGGGACTAGATAAATAAAAATGGCCTGGGGGGTTCTGGGAAGGCTCCTATGAAATGTATGGCAAACAAGCATTGTTTAATAAGGTTTGTTATGCAGCTAACAGTTGTTCTTCACTTCCTGGCACAGGAGACAGGAACATCTTTACAAATGAAATTTATGTCACCTTTACAAAGGGAGATTCATATCCAGCTTTTAGACAGAAAGAAGGAAGGCAGAGAGCACACTGCTTTCAGCTCAAAACAATCCTTACACTAAAGTGGCGTATTTGGGGAGGTTATAAACTGATCTTCAGTGCATGATTTTGATGATTAACCAGAACTGGGAAACCCACAGACTTTTTGCGGGGGGTGGTTGTAAGGGGTGGGCTGGGTGTCTTGTGTTTCTCATGGGTCTGTCTCCAGCCTGAGAACACATTGCAGATGCTCAATGTTTGCATGCCTGGAAACACTGGGGTATTTCTATCCAGCTGGGGCTCAGAGCAGGGCCTAGGGAGCAGAAAAGACATGGGCAGAAAGCTTGGCAGAGTTCACGTCAGGAGGCCCTCTATGCATTTTTCTTCCTGCAGTGGGGAACATTTAAGATATTTAAGTAAGTAAAACATCAGAATGGTGTTCTAATCTGCTGATACTGTGTGAAGGTCCTGGAAAGGGGACAAACTAGAGCTAGAAGGACAAACGAGGCAAACACTGAGCATCTGCAATGTGTTTTGCATTCTGCCACGCACTGAGCCTGTGCTGATGAGTGAAGCCAACACAGTTACTACCCTCTTGGAACTTGCAGTCTAATGGAATATGGGGATGACAGTGGATGGTACTGACAGTCCCAGCTGGATTTATGAAGTGCATGGGAAACGTTTTCTCAAGCTCACATGGTGAGATTGAGATGTCTGTGAAATAGCCAAATGGAAAGTTACAAGGAGCCTAGAGTCATATGCAGTCCCACAAGTTTAAATATAAAAATAGAGGTTCTAAAGCTGATTTGATCTGGAGAAAATCTGCTTTCCTAATCATTTTCTGTGAGTTTCTACTCAGAAGAGAACTTTTCCTTTGAAGTTTTTTCTATCTAACTGAAAGGTAAGTAAGTTGCGTAAGTAACAGCGCTATGAAGTGGCAGAGCCCCAGGCTGAAACCTGGGCTTGTGCTGCCAGGATCTGCCCTCTGACCGCTGAGTAAAGAATAAAGGGTTTGGAGCACCAACCCTAGGCCTGAATTCCAGTCCTATGACTGGAACTGTGTTGGCTGTAACGCTCCCATTTCTCCAGAGAAGCTGATGGTTATTGCCCAACACTGCACAAGAGTCAGGAAGAGAGCTGCCATACAACTGACCGGAAATGAACCCTCACTGGGTCTCTCTCTTCTGTGAAGGAAAACTTGCCCATCAAGCCAGTTCTTTTGCATTCCTTCTGGAGGTCAAAATCCCCTCCCTTGCAAAAACCAGCTCTATTTTATTAACCTTTCTTTAATGACATTTACATATTTTACCTCACCCTCTCTAATTCAGCAAACCCTCCCTCTCACTCCATTCTGTTCTCAAAGAGTTTTCTAGTCCTTAGCAAAAATAACAGATTTGCTGTTTCAGTTCCCACAATGCACATGTGTTTATTAGGTCCTGCCTTAAAGCAAATTCAAACCTTTTCTATGATCATTTTTTCACAAGCGTCAGGGATCTAGCAAGCCAACTTCAGAATGATTCTTAACATATACCGTCCGGAGCCAGGTACCTATAAGTTGTAATATTTCAGTGCCTTCCAGGTACTCTACGTGACCTGCTAATTATCTGTCAAGATGTAGGCATCAGACACAAATCAAACAGGTGAAAAAAAAAATTGATCTAATCTCAGCTTTTTCCAGTTTCTGAGTCTCTGAATACCACATACATCAAGCTTATGTCTTGCGCTGGGACAGCACTGACTTTAATGTATTCCTCAAAGCCCACAATTCTCTGCAAAGAACTGTTTCTTCTGCTGCGGAGATTAATAAGCTAATGCACTTGTCTGAACAGTATGGAGCTGACCTGGCCCCTTCCTTTCCAGAGGGTATATTGTGGGGTCATGATATGAATGTGTCTTGAACTTCATCACAGCACTCTCTACCTACAAGGAGAAAACTCAGGCTTGGAAGGGACTCCTCACAATGCTATCTGATTCAGTTCATCCTCTCCTGTCTGAACAATTATCTAAGAAGAGAAGAGCTACCATGGCATTTAGGTTTCACTTCCCTTCCTGAATTCCAGAAAGAAGACCCAATTTTTGATAAGCAAACCAACTTCAGTTACATTTGACATACCTATTCACCAACCATTCATCCAACCAATATTTGCTAAGCACTTACTGTGGTCCAGGTCCTTTGCTAGATGCAGTATAAAAAAGAAAAAGAAAAAGAAAAATCAGGCCTAATATTATATGGTAATTAACATTAATTCCAGAGGATTTTATATGACATCAGTGGCCTTAATTTGATTGGAATATGTGTAGACAACTAATGTTATCAGTTTTAAAAGGTAGTTCACCATTTTTTTAGAAGTATGCTCTTACACTCTCACAAAGTTCTATAAGGACAGAGACATTTGTCTCATTGGGCTGTATCTCTAGCACCTTGAACAGAGTCTAGCAGGGGTAGGTGCTCAATAAAAATTTGTTGAACGAATTGATTATGCCCTTTACCCACAGAGAGGGACCAACCTTTAACCAAGTAAGTGCTATAGAAATACCTGGCACTTTCTTCTGACCAACAAACTTAGGAGTATGTCTACTTTGCAAATGTTGAAAAAGATATTGTAGATGAATTCTTAATGACACAAACAAATGTCTGTGATATTTAGCTGTGTGGATATGCAGTGTACAAAACAATGTATTCTAGTATAAGCACATTTAGCCAAAATGTAAACAGTAGCTCTTTTTGGTTGATGAACTCTTGGATAGGTTTTACTTTCCTTTTTTGCATTTTCTGTGTTTTCTAAATTCTGTACAATGAGCTTATATTACTTTCCTAACCACATTTTAAAATATTGTTATATAAGAAATACTATCATTCAGGTTTTGACATAATTTTATTTTCAGTTGGCATTTTAATTCTATTCAAGTCCTTTCATTTAGTTGTAGGTAGCATAAACTTATTAAAGGAGAGAGGAGAGGAAGACAATTCATAACAGAGGCTGGTATTTCATACCAGGTCTGGAGAGAAGAGAGGGGCTCCAAGTATCATCAGCTAACGACCAATCAGTGATTAGTGTCAAAGAGCTAATTGTGCCAGTTGTAACTCTGGGAGTCACCTAGACAGGTAGGAAAGGTGTGAGCCCAGGAAAGATGATGAGTCTGCAATAAGAAGGAATCTTCTTGCAACCAAAGAGAATTATGCCACCAAAATCCATATAATGGTAATTAGCTATATTGCAATGGAATGTAAAAACAGAATTCTCCTAAACAAGATCAGGAATGGGAAGTCTTTTATTTTTTTTTTTATTATTTTTTTTTAAATGCTATTCTTGCTCTTTCTCACCTAGGAGAAATGTTTAACTAAGATTTCAAAGCCTAGCCTGGCTGCACTGCTCCGGAGTTTGGCAGCTGTTGGACTTTGGTGTCTGTGTGCCAGTTATTTGCTCTGCCAGCAATGTGTTAGGATAATCACCCACTGAAGGATTTCAACACATTACATTTCCCCAGAAGCCTTTGTCTAACAAGGTAATTTATGACCTGTTCAGGAATCTGGTCTTTACAAAACAATAAATTCACACTTGTGCTGGACTTCAAAGCTGCCATTATGAGCCTGGTAGCAGAAGGCATCCCGCAGCTGAGAGCCAGGTCAACAGATAAGTGAGTTTTTAACGATCTCTTTCAGGCAGGCCAGAAAGGGGGCAAAGCCAATAGCCACTGCAACATTTGGCCATTCTGGTTGCAAAATTCAACACTGGAAGTGAGTCCTTTTCACTCACTCTCTACAGAAATTGGGATCAGTGGAATTTTGGAAGGGTCGGCAAGGAACCAGGTGTTCCCCATGGGAAGGTCAGTTGCTCCTGTTCCTGGTAGAGTCTTGCTCAGATGCCACAGAAGCCCACTCCCCCAGAGAAGCCCACTCCCCCAACCCTGTAACCACCCTAAACCCAAAAGTCTCTCTCTGGAAAGTAGGAGGTTGGGGAGTCGGAATAAGTGCTTTGGTGTCTCCAACTATTTCACCAAATTCTTGCAGCCAAGGGCATCTTCCACACATATGAATCCCACATAAATCCTAGACCAGGTTTTCCAGAGTGTGGTCTGTAGCCTGCTTGCATAAGAATCACCTGGGTTGCTTGTTATAAAAACACCACCCCCCCCCACACCCGCCCGTCCAGACCTGCTCTATTAACTCCCAGAAGCTAGACCTAAGAATTAGTATCTTTAACAGACAATCCAGGTGATTCTTACATATACCGAAGTTTGAAAAACTACTGGATAGGATGAATAGAAAGGCAAAACCAGGACTTGAAGCCTGAGGACTTTGGGGATGAGCAAGATCCTGAATGAAATCTAGAAGCCCCCATTTACTATCTGTGTGCCTTGGACAAGTGTCTTAAACTCTCAGAATCTTGGTTTACCCATGTGTGAAAAGAAATACCTCCATTTTTGCAGTGAGGAGTAGCTTCCGGTTCTGAAAATTGACCTGCCTGCCTCTTCAGAGTTCTCGCAGCGATTGTTTCTGTGCCTGGGCCTCCACCCACAGCTTCCATGCTGCCATTTTGAGCAGACACAGTAAGCAATGAAGCTGCTTTCTCTCAGCAGCTCCCTGTATTCCTGCCCCCATGAAAACATCTCTGTCTTCTGTTTGAAACTCCAGGTGTGTAGTGTAGCTGTACTGCTGTATTGTTTTTTCTGTTTTTTAAACAGCTGAAATCATTTTTCAAATGAAATCTTTCTTAGATCCTTAATATATTAATTAGTTTTTGTTTCTTTGTGGGGAGACAGTCTCGCTCTGTTGCCCAGGCTGGAGTGCAGTGGCACGATCACAGCTCACTGCAGCCTCAACCTCCCAGGTTCAGGCGATCCTCCTACCTCAGTCTCTGGAGTAGTTGGGACTACAGGCGTGTGCCACAACACCTGGCTAATTTTCTAATTTTTAGTAGAGATGGGGCCTCACTACATTGCCCAGACTGGTCTTGAAACCCTGGGCTCAAGTGATTCTACCACTTAGGCCTCCCAAAGTGCTGGGATTATAGGCATGAGCTACCACCCCTGGCCTAGATACTTAAAAACAAACAAACAAAACAAACAAACAAACAAACAAAACAGCAGTTCTATGTAAAGGTGGGGGAGGCTCCAACTTTGAATCCACTTATTCCCCTCCACTCTACCCTCTGAAGCCTCCCCAAAGCTTTCAAAGGTCCCTCTGTGGTGCATCATGGTCCACAGAATGGACAAAAGAAGTGTCTGTATCTGGGGATGGGGCAGAGTGGGAAACAGAGAGTAAGGTGGTCACAAGATGAACCCCAAGGTGACAGAGAAGCTGAAGGTGCCACTGTGTGTGCTGGGTGCACAGGAGGAGGAGCAAGTTTGCAGGGAGAAAGGAATGAGTTGAGTTTCTGATGAATTCAGTTTAGGTGCCATAGAGGCAACCAGGTATGGACACTTCGCAGGCTGTTGAAAATTCACACCCAGGATTATAGGCTGAGGTCCAAGCACAGATAGAGATATTCGTGCTTTCTCTTCAGTCAGTGGTTCCCACACATGGCTGCACTGTGGGATTACATGGGAGTTTTAAAATGTACAGATGCTGGGTTCTACCTCCAGAGATTCTGATGTAATTGGTTTGGATTGTGGCTGGGTACTGGCATTTTTAATCTCCCCCAGTGATTGCAGAATTCAGCTAAGTCTGGGAACCACTGTTCTTAGTACAGAATAAAAGATTTCTCTCTCATATTGAGTCAAGTTTCCTATGTAGATACAACTGTGCAGATGTAGGAAGCTTTACTTAATATCCACACTATTGGAATTACATGAAAAAGGCAGCAATCCACAAGTTAATTGCCATTATTAGTAATTAGTATTTGTTTCCCATGATTGCTGTAACAAATTATTACAAACTTGATGGCTTAAAACAACAGAAATTTATTTTCTCACAGTTCTGAAGGCCAGAATGAAATCAGTATAACTGGACTGAAATTACAGTGTCAGTAGGGCCATGCTCCTTCTGGAGGCTTTAGAAGTGAATCAGTTCCTTGCCCCTTCCAGCTTCTGGTGGCTGCCAGCATTCTTTGGCTTCCTTGTCATCACGTCTTTCCGATCTCTGCTTCTGTGATCATGTTACTGTCCCCTCTTTATCTATGTGCAAATCCCCCTCTGCCTTTGTCTTAAAATATTATATACAATTGCATTTAGGGCCCACCTGGAGGGCTCGGGATCGTCTCACCATACCAAGATCTTTAGTTTAAGTGTATCTGCAATGTCCCTTTCTTTCCTTTTCTTTTGCCACAAAAAGTAACCTTCACAGCTTCCAGGGATGAAGACCTGATATCTTTGAGGAACTCTTTTCAGTCTACCATAGACATTCCTGAAAGTTCATGTTCATCTCAGATGCAAAATGAATTTATCCCCATCTTGACATCTCCCAGAGTCTTAACCCATTAAATCACCAACTTATGTACAAAACCTCATCCAAACATTATCAGCTCAGAAGTCCCAAAACTCATCATCTAGGTCATCTAAGTTAAGCATGGTTGGAACTCTGGGTATCATTCATCCTGGGGCAAAATTTCTCTCCATGAAGTTGCCTGATCCTAAAATACAGTGGTGAGATAGGCACAGGATAACAGTTACAGATGTTCCATCTCAAAAAAGAAAAAATGAAAGGTGACCCAAGTCTCCACCTTCAAGGTCATTCTTTCTTTTTCTTGAAGGGCAGCACATGTTTTCTGCTGAGTAGTTTTATCAGCCTGTTTCCTGCTTGTAGAATTTTGAAAGTCAGACAGGCTTCCTTCATTTCCTCCTATGTTTTTCAGTCAAACCTGGCAGTGCTTCTGCTGATACAACAGTCTCAAAAACGTTGTGGGTCTCCCATGTATATCATGAGCATTCACGCCATTAGATAAGATAATTCTCCACAAGTCTTTTCTAGATAATTCCATCTCTAGGCCCAGCTTCTCCTAAGATGGTTGTGGGGATCCATGGATGCATAAGTCACACCTTAATCTCTTTAAAGGGTCCTCTCTATAAATAAATATTTTGATATTTTGGGAAGTTCTAAAGCACTAGCAAAAGTTGTCCAGCTACAACCTTGGCTTTATCTCCAGAACACAATTTCCTAAACAGTGGATCTCCAAATTGTAGCATCTTTTGCAATCTGGATAGGCTGAGAATTTCCTAAGCCATCTAATTCTGGGTAGTTTTTGCTTAACAGTTCTACCCTCAATTTATCTCTTCCCTTTCTTATTTTACTATATACAGTGAGAAAAGACCAGGCTGTACTTTCAACACTTTTCTTAGAAGTCTTCTCAGCTAAATGTCTAATTTCATCTTTTACAAGTTTCTGCCACTAACAAGGACTCCTTTCCTCCAGTTTCCAGTAACATGTTTCTGTTTTCTTCTTAGTCTTCACCAGTAACACTTTTCTTTTTTGAGACAGAGTCTCACTCTCTTCTCCAGGCTAGAGGGTAGTGGCATAATTAGAGCTCATTGCAGCCTTGACCTCCTGAGCTCAAGTGATCCTCCTGCCTCAGCTGCCCAAGTAGCTGGGACTACAGGCATGCACCACCACACTAGGCTAATTTTCCTATTTTTTGTAGAGACAGGGTTCTGCCATGTTGCCCAGGCTGATCTTGAATTCCTGGGGCTGATCAACCCCCCAAAGTGCTGGGATTAAAGGCATAAGCCATTGCACCCAGTACTAGCAATGCATTTAACCTTTATATTCCTACCAACATTCTGTTTAAGATGATATATGTATCCTCTAAGACAACACAGGCTTTCCCTAACTTGCTCCTCATTTCCTTCTGAGACCTCACCAGCAGTTCCTTAACTGTCCATGTTTCTATCCACAGCCTGTCTAAAGCAACCTGTTTTTTTCTGTCATGTGCCTCAAAATTCTTCCATCCTGTAGCCATGATCCAACTCCAAAATCACTTCTACATTTTTAAGTATTTATTACATGAGCAACTAACTTCCAGTTACCAAATTTGGCATTAAAACATGGATATCTTTGGCGGGGGGCATTCTTCAGCCCTATATATCCTCATAATTATTATTTATAATAATATTAAATTATTCTGTCTATGAGATATTGTTCTATCCATGACTAAATCAAGTTCTGGTTGTTAGCAAAACATCATTTATTCATGCAGCAGACATTTGAGTGTCACTGTACACAAAAGTTAGCTTCAGTTTCTGTGAATGATTCCAGATCATGATGACCAGGGATATTATGTTATTTACACATAATCACATAGCAAGTTTGTGGCATGTGTGATATTGGCTTAGACTACGAACTACCTACTAGGGAAAATTAATTTTCTTTCCTTTTTAAAAACCACTAAAATCTTGGGCCCACATATTTACCTTTTTGGAAAAAAAAAACTGAAGGAAGTTTATAATTTAAGATAGATACATGAAGAATGAAAATGGTTACATACCCTAGTATTCACTCACTCACTTCTAAAATGTTTGTTGGTATCTGTGTGGGATACTCTGCTGGATCCTAGGATCCAAAAAGGAATAATTCAGGTACAATCTCTGCTCCCATGCCCCAGAGCTAAATATGCTTTCACCACACCACAAAGATCTTCCTCTTGAAGAACTTCCTTCTTCTATATTAAAGCCAAAAATATCTGAGTTCCCCATCATAGCCCACATGTAACCGAGTTAAAAGAAGAGAACAAAAAGGGAGTGCCCAGAAGAACTGATGGAGTTGGAGTTCTTTAACCCCATTTGCCAATGAGGTAATAGACTCAGACAGCTGATGTAGCTTGCCCAAGGTCACACATATAATAAGTAGGGGAGCCAAAATTCGGACCCTGAAAGTGCAGCTCCATTTACTTATTTAATGCTCACACAACCCCTCAAAATGGAGACCATGACCTCCGTTTTACAAGGGAGGAACCTGGGGCTTACAGAAGGTGGACTGATAACAGAAGGCCCCACAACTGCTAAGAGCTAGGCTCTCTCAGGCTCTCAGCCTATATTCTTTCCACTGTGCCCCACTGCCTCTGAAGGACAAGGGCTCCTTAGGGCTTATCTTGCTGGTCTCTCTGGTTCTCTTGGAGGTAGATTGGACGCCCGTTTCAGACTTGCAGGGCTTGAGTGAGAAGAAGCTGGTTCATGCTGGGTTCTTTCTGTAGCATAAGCAGCTCCAGCCATCCCTTCCCGAAGAAGTGTGTGCTAGTCATGACAAAATGTCCCAAGTACAAATGCAGCGCTTGCACAACTTGGGAGTCCTTGGACAACATGACCCAACCTACTGGAGCTCACGATCAGGTAACTGGTCTTCAGGCGTAACTTTGATGCAAGAACTAGTCACCTACATGAGAGAAAGCTGGCTTACAGGAGTCAGAAAGCAGAGGGCGGCCGGGCGCGGTGGCTCACACCTGTAATCCCAGCACTTTGGGAGACCGAGGCGGGTGGATCACGAGGTCAGGAGACCGAGACCATCCTGGCTAACACAGTGAAACCCCGTGTCTACTAAAAATACAAAAAAAAATTAGCCGGGCGTGGTGGTGGGAGCCTGTACTCCCAGCTACTCCGGAGGCTGAGGCAGGAGAATGGCGTGACCCCGGGAGGCAGAGCTTGCAGTGAGGCCAGATCGCACTACTGCACTCAGGCCTGGGCAACAAAGCGGGACTCCGTCTCAAAAAAAAACAAACAAATAACAGAAAGCAGAGGGCTCAAATCTGTGGGCTCTGGAGTCAGAAGCACCTGGGTGTGAGTCCAAGCCCTGCTATTTACCAACTTGTGATGTTGGGCATCATATTCAGCCTGGCTGAGCCTCAGTTTTCTTCTCTGTAGAATAGGGATAATGATAACATCAACTCCATTGGTTCTTATAAAATTTTTTATAAAATTTAAATGAGACAATATGTGTAAAATGTTTATTTAGCACTGGGCCCAGAGTAGGCAGATCAAAAATATTATCAGTGATGATCAAGACTGGCAGCATGGCTCATGCCTATAATTTCAGCACTTTGGGAGGCAGAGACAGGAGGATCATTTGAGCCCAGGAGTTCAAGACCAGCCTGGACAACACAGCAAGACCTCATCTCTATAAAAAATACAAAAAATTATCTGGGTGTAGTTGGGCAAGGTGGCTCACATCTGTAATGCCAGCACTCTGGAAGGCGGAGGCAGGAGGATCACCTGAGGTTGGGCATTCAAGACCAGCCTGACCAACATGGAGAAACCCTGTCTCTACAGAAAATACAAAAAATTAGCTGGGCGTGGCGGCACATGCCTGTAATCTCAGCTACTCGGGAGGCTGAGGCATGAGAATCGCTTCAACCCGGGAGGCTGAGGTTGCAGTGAGCCGAGATCGCACCATTGCACTCCAGCCTGAGCAGCAAGAGCGAAACTCTGTCTCAAAAAAAAAAAAAAAAATTATCTGGGTGTAGCAGCATGGGCCTGTAGTCCCAGCTACCAAGGAGACTGAGCTGGGAGGATCAACTGATTCCAGGAGGTTGAGGCTGCAGTGAGCCGTGATTGCACCACTGCATTCCAGCTTGGGTAACAGAGTGAGACCATGTCTCAAATAATAATAATAATGGTCAACCTTGCAGATGTTATCTCAAGAACTGAGACCCATATCAGGTTATGTGATAAACTGCTAGGTTTGTTACTGTAATACTAACTAAAAAATATACAGCTCCTATTTTGTGTCAGGTGCTGTTCTATGTACTTTACAAATATTAATTCATTTAGTCTTCAAAATAACCCTCTGAGGTATGTACTCTTGTTGTTCCTATTTTACCGATGGAAAAACTGAAGTACAGAGAGAGATCAATACCTCATCTAAGGCCACACTAAGTGAAGGGAGCTAGGGACTGAACCCAGGCAGACTGGTTCCACTGTCCTTGCTTATTCCTACCACATGATTCCAGTTTTCACTGCAAAAGGGTCATTTGTGACACACCAATAGACAATTCATGCAAACTCTTTGGGCTCACAGGCAACTTCTGCGATTCTGGCTAGCTGATTTCTAAAGTTTATTTCTTCTTCAGCATTTTAAGTGGAAAACAAGGAGAAATTTCTGACTTCCCCATTTATACCTGGATGTGAGAAATTCAGACTTCAGTGTTTCCAGCTGCTGACCTCCTGCAGACTTTGGGCAAAGAAAGACACTTGCGTGTCCATGCGGTCAACACTGGCATTAACCACCTGGTTGCCAGATTAGTGAGAGTTTGTGAACAGAAATCAGGAGAGTCTGGGATTCCCACCAGCCCATCTCTTTGAACAAGCTGCAGCTGCCTCTGAGGTTGTTCTTTAGCCAGGGCATGGTTGCAAAGTTCACACTTAAAAGTCCACTTAAGAGGATTTAAAAGAAACAACAACAGAAGCAGGTGGAGTAGAAGTGACCTGGTCACCTTTTGCCCCTTGCGGCTGCTCCAGCAGCTGGGAAGAACAGGGCAAACCAGCAGTACTGAACCATAAACCTCACTGTGACTTCCAGAGGCTACCGCATTGAACAGAATGCCTACCAAGGACTTGCTCCGTAGCAAAGTAACCTGCAATTGGAGAGGGAATTGCTGCTGGAACTCAGAGTAAACATGTAGGGGGGCAAAGGTCTTAATTTGAGAAGTTGGAATTCACCAGCAAGAGTGATTTGGCCACTTTCTTGCCAAATTGAGATCCCTTTAGTGCCTAGTCTAAGCTTGTTGCTTGCGGGGTCTCAGGTTTAATGAGGTGCAGCAAGCCTTGCAGAGAATTAAAGACCAACTGCCTATGATGTTGGTTTTCTCGTTCTGTGAACAAAGCAGTTCAAGGACCTGCCCATCTTGGTTACTTTGTTCAGTCTACATCCTGGGGCTATGCCTCACGAGAAACTGAGGTCATGAAAACAATGGCTGGGGGAGGGAGACTCATGGTGGCAGATAAATACAGTGTTGCCCGATTCAAAATCAGGAATATTTAGATTTGAAAAGAAAATGTTATATCATCTATTTTGATATACACCACTAAATTCAAATGACAAATATTTTAGTACCTCTCCCTCACTCAAAAAAAAAAAACAAAAAAACAAAAAAAACTGCACGTCATTCTTTACAAAAAAAAAGTTTTGGGGTAATATTCTAAATGCTTTTAAGGAGGCATTGACTACTTTATTTATTTATTTATTTATTTAGAGACAGGTCTCCCTCTGTTACCCAGGCTAGAGTTCAGCAGCACTATCATAGCTCACTGCATCCTCAGGCTTCTGAGTTCAAACCATCCTCCCACTTCAGCCTCCTGAGTAGCTGGGATAACAGGTGCACACCACCATTCTCGGCTAAGTTTTCATTTTTTGTAGAGACAGAGTCTTGCTATGTTGCCTAGGCTACTATCACACTCTGGGCTCAAGCGATCCTCCCTCTTCAGCCTCCCATAGTGCTGGGATTACAGGCATGAGCCACCATGTCCAGCCATTGACTACTTTATATCTAGAGTTATGTATAGGGTGACTAGGCATCCCTATTTGGCTGGGACTGAGGGAAACCTATAGTGTTAAAACCAGGATAGTCCCAGGCCAACCAAAGGCAGTCATCTGATTATAAAGAAAGTAAACTCTAATGATGTAGAAGGAGTGAGATCATAGTGATGTAATAATATATTGACTTTGCTGATTACACTAAAGTTGTTCAACTGTAGTTGTTAATATCACAAATAAAGTCAAATTATATCATCCATTTCTGATACCTCCTCTAAATCAATCACTTGTAATAAAATTGCCAGCTTTAGTTTCAGAGAATCTTTCATTAACTCACATCTATTCTCTTATGTCAGGATCATGTCAGTTCATAGAATGGCAACCAAAATATCATGTTACTAACAAGAGCAAGAAAATTAGGCCATTTATCCCATTGCAAACCAAGAATGTCTTTTCACAGAAATCATAATCTACATCTGTTTTTTAAAGCTTAAATTTTGCAAAACACTATTTCTTTTCCTGAAGGTTTCTGAATTTCATCTGTTCATAAAAAGAACTATTTTGATTTCGCGGGCTTCCATCCCATTACACAGACACACACACATTTGTGCAGACTTTTGAAACCATTTTTGAAGAGAACTTGTTTAAGCAGATTTAACCTGTGATGTATTAGAAAGAGCATGGGCTTTGGAGTCAGACTAATTTGACAGAGGAAATGCCGAATTCTGCCTGGAATTCCTCCACTAAGGAAAAGAATTCTAATCCTCACCATAACCTAAATCATTTGTGATATACTCCAAAATATTTGCTTATAGTGGACGTCAGTGAAAATACTAGAGTTCTCGTTATAAAAATGTTTAAATTTTTGTCTTTTTAAAAAATTGTATCGTTGAGTAGCATCTATTGTTTAATTTGACTTTTGTCATAGGAATTTAAGCTTGTAAAAAGTTCATGAACAAACAGCCAACCCCTTTTTTACTGCGGATTAAAACAGGAACTGATTGCTAAAGATTAAATATTGGTAATAGTTCTCAACTTTATAAATTAAAAGGTTGGAGGCTCTTAAAAGACACTTATTCTCCTCTTGCCCTGCTAGAAAAGCAACATCTTCTGCAAAGTTGTCCACCCTTGTGATAAGGATGACATTAGAGATGATGTCACCAAACAAAACTAGTACCAAAGCAAATCAATACAGATTTTTCTCTCTAATCTTAACTATGCAAAGTGCTGGGAGTTGTGAGGAACCGTGACAAACTATTTTCTGGATAACTGAAAAATAAATGAATTACATTTTTTATCTTAACTCTTCATGTTGACTTCAAAGTCTAACACGCATTTTTATTTTAGTATTCTAATTTGCCCCAAATGTTACTGAGTTGGCCTTTGATTCCATATCTTATATTATCTTTGGCCAACATGTATAATAATTATAAACACTTTTTGTCAAGTAGCATAGTTGTAGGAAATGGAGCTTTGGCTGAAAGCAGGTGTACTGACTGCAGGTCAGTCCATTGGAGTTTAAGTGGCTCTTTAAAATTTTTCTTAAGTAATATTTTTGTTGTGATTTGGAACTTTGAGGGAAAGAAATGTATATTTACTGAGTGACTATATGATTCAAGCACACTCGTAGATTTTCCACTGGGAGGTATCTTAATCACACACCATCCTGAGTGACACCAACCATCAATTCCACTCTTTAATGAGAAATCTGAGCCAGAAGTAGACATTCCCCCTCTGTCAGATTTGATTCCAAAGTCTATGCTCTTTCTAATGGTCCACAAGGCAAACATGTTCCAACTTGTTCGGTCTGTAATAGGTTCCAAAAGTCTATGGGGTTGGGGGGTTGGGGGGTTGGGGGAGAATGCATGGCTTCTTATATGAAAAATCTCTTACAAGAACTGTAGAAGTTTACAATGTTGTTAGCCTCAGTTTTAGTTTTAAGATCTTTTATTGTGTATTCAAAAGGTGAGTACCACAAAGATGTCTAAAACTTAAAGTTTGCAAATCCAAGTTCTCTGTCTTCCCCATTGAATCTATTTTTATTCTTTTAGCCAAGGCTCAATTACAGAGGTGGGAACACATGGACAAACTGAAGTGTTGTCTCTGCTCAGTGACAAACATTTCATACCACACCAACCCCCAAGGGAGCTATTGAAATTTTCATTACAGATGGAAAAACTAAGGCGAATGATGCCTGATGTCACATCCTAGCTGTCTGATGCCAAAGCTCATCTTTCAAGTACAATGGGTTCCAACATCCCACATACAAGGTAGAAACTTGGAAATCAATCTAGAATTCTTCTTCTTCCTTACTTCTCACATCTACTTGTTCACTAAGTCACATTCATTCTGACTCTCAAACAGCTTGCTCCATCCCCACTGCTATTGCTTTTATTTGAGTCCTCGTGTTTTCTCACCTGGTCTTGAGCAAGAGCCTCCTCACTAAACTCTTGAATGTCTTTCATCCCCCCACCCCATCACATACACCCCATAATATACTACACTGCTGCCAGAATGAACTTTCTAAGCTCCAACCGAATTATATCCCTTGTTTAACATCTCTCAGTAGGCTAACGGAGTGGCTTGTGCTTGTAATCCCAGCACTTTGGGAGGCCAAGGGAGGATCACTTGAGCCCAGGAGTTCAAGACCAGCCTGGGCAACATAGTGAGACCTTATTTCTACGAAAACTTTTTTAAAAATTAGCTGGGTGTGGTGGTGCGAGCTTGTAGCCCCAGCTACTCCAGAGGCTGATGTGGGAGGATTGCTTGAGCCCAGCATGTTGAGGCTATGGTGAGCTGGATGACAGAGCCAGAGCCTGTCTCAAAAAAATAAAAATAAAATAAAATATTTCAATGGTTCACCATTCTCTGCTATTTGAAGTCCAAACTCTTTTCATCAAAAAAGGCCCCTCATTATCTCACCCCTAGAGTCTTTTCACTTTCTCAACTACTCCCTCATGCAACCCCGCCAACCCCCTTATAGTTCTTGATTTAACTACACAAATATGTCTTAAACCCCTGCAATGTGCCAGGCACTGCACTAGGCGTGAGGATACAGCAAGGAACATGGCAGAAATAGTCATTGGCTCCATGAGGTTATGAGTCTGAAACACACATTAGTAAGTAATTACCTCTGTGATGAATGCCACAAAATGGTAACTGCAAGGGCACATGGCCAAATGTGTCAGGGAAAGCGTGACATTGAGCCTGAGATGTGGAGAATGCCATGAGTTGGTCCAATCCAACAAAGATGAGAGGGAAACCGTAAGTAGATAAGCAGTACTTCTTCTGTGCTGCACAATACCTTTGACATACCTTCATGCAAATTCCTATGGTGCATTTGGCTGTTTATCTCTGCCACCCCCACAACACTGAAGACTTCATATGCACAGGGACAGTGCACTGGTCACAGTTTGTAACCTCATCAGTTACTATGTCTGGCACATCTGAGTGTTCAAATGTCTGTTGGTGATGATGGTGATGACACTAGGTACATTTTATGTGATATTACTATGACATATTGATAAATTTTACAACAATACCCCCAATTAGGTAATATACTTATTTTTTACAGATACAGAAACTGACGGCTAGAGAGGCTAAACAAGTTTCCAAAATTAAACAACTAGTCAAGTGATATGGAGTCAAATTCAAGTCTGGATCTAGTTAATTTCACAGCCTTTCTATTCCATTGTAGCACATTGCAGCTAACACTCACAAGGCACATAGTGATAATAATCAAGATTTGCTGGATGCTTTTCCTGCTTAAGACCAGGAAAGAAAGAAATTTTGCCTACCATTGTGTTAAAAATTTGGCTCTCAATGCCACTTGGGAGTTCAATGAGTGTCATCATATACTCAAGATATATGAGTCCATTCTCATGCTGCTATAAAGAAATACCCGAGACTGGGTAATTTATAAAGGAAAGAGGTTTAATTGACTCGCAGTTCTGCATGGCTGGGGAGGCCTCAGGAAACTTACAATCATGGTGGAATGGGAAACAGGCACATCTTACATGGCGGCAGGCAAGAGAGAGGAGTGGAAAACACCACCTATAAAACCATCAGATCCTGTGAGAACTCACTATCACAAGAACAGCATGGGAGGAGACCACCCCCATGATCCAATCACTTCCCTCTAAATCCCTCACTTGACACATGGGGATTACAATTTCAGATGAGATTTGGGTGAGGACACAGAGCCAGACCATATCACAAGGGTATTTTCATCTCTGGATGTATGGGAAGACTCCAGTTTCTTGACCTATCAGACTAGGACAAGATCAAGGTAAGTAAACCAAGTCTTCTCCAAGTAGTAGCTATTCTTTACCAAAAACCCACTTCAATTGTCAACAGCTCCTTTGTCAAATTTTGCCTTGTGTTAAAATGCTACAGAGAACAGTTGAAAATAATACAGCTCAAGAAAAGGCCATTGCACTTGGTTCCAGACAATCTGTAAACGAGCAGTCAGGACAGTGGTGAGGATATGAGTCAAACTGCAAAATGCTAAGGAGTGAGAAGAGAGTGGGCAAGTTGAAGAAACAGGGAATGTGTGTGGCAGCAATGGGGATCCTGGCAGGAAACAACAGAGAAGCTAAACTATTTTACAGTTCGAGATGCCTGAATGTGTTGAAGACCAGAGGAAAGGAGCTAGCAGAGAAGGAGACATACAAGATACAAGAAAGGCAAGTCTCAGAAGAGGTAGGAGGTAAGATCTCAGGAGAAGTGAGTAGGTAAGGGCTCAAAAACACAGGGGGAGGAACTAGCCTTGGCATGATGAATGACACTCTTACCCATAAATGGGACAAAAGAAGGAAAGGGGAGACTTATCATGGACAGGTTTTGAGATAGAGGAAATTAGAATCCCCAACATTAAAACAGAATTCCAGTTTTTCTCAATTTCTTTACTAAAGATTGCATGAAAGACTTTAGTAACTGCAAAGTCATAAGTCCTAAGAAGTGGGTTTGAGGGTACAATTTTGGGTGGAGAGAGAAAGTAGTAAATGCTATGAAGCTGCCAGTGGCCATGACTAGAATGCAAAAACATTCTATGTTACACAGAAAAAAGAACCGGATTGGATATGCTAAGGATCAGGGGCATTTGAAAGGAGAGAGGGGTACATTAGAGGGAGAATGGGTAGAAATACATAAGTTTTCTGTTTATGTCCATTGGGCCTAGGCTACATAAATGTGGAATTTTTCTTCCTTCACCCAGTACATTGAGGTGAGACACAATAAAAGCAGTTTGAAAACTATACAGGACCTTTGGTTGTTATGAAATATATGAGTGAGTAGATAGAGGGATGCATGAATAGATGGATAAATGGAAGGGTAGAGAGATGGGTAGAAAGGCAAATACAATACTGAGATAGAGAAGAAAGAATAAAAACATATTTTATTGACATTTTTCAAATTTGACTCCTGATTGAAAGACTTATCAGTGCTGCATCATTAAGTAGGTGAGGAAAGTGGGAAGTACTTCGGTCTTTTCTCTTTCTAATTTGGCCAATATCAGGAAAGAGAATTAGAGAATGGCAAGGGGAGTTTTATCTGAAAGCGTTTATTTAGAGGAAGCTAAGAGCAGGAGTTACAGTGCAAATAGTGAGGGAGAAGAACCAAAGGCTTTTTAAACCCCATAGTTGAATCAGGTAGCCTTGCCACTACAGACCATAGAAAGGGAATTGGCACAAAAACTGTGAGTAACTTCCATGAGAGACTGTAAAGGCTCCTCTTGAAGTAAAATAGAAAAGCATCATTGGCCGGATGCAGTGGCTGAGGCCTGTAATCCCAGCACTTTGGGAGGCCGAGGTAGGTGGATCATGATGTCAGGAGATCAAGACCATCCTGGCCAACATGGTGAAACCCCATCTTTACTTAAAATGCAAAAAATTAGCCGGGTGTGGCAGTGCATGCCTGTAGTCTCAGCTACTCGGGAGGCTGAGGCAGGAGAATTGCTTGAATCCAGGAGGCAGAGGCTGCAGTGAGCCGAGATCATGCCACTGCACTCCAGCCTGGGCAACAGAGCGAGACTCTGTCTCAAAAAAAAAAAAAAAAAAAAGAAGAAAAGCAAAGCATCATTTAAGTGGTTTAGCAGAACTTGACATCAAGTTGAAATTAGAGAGATGGCACCAAATAAGCCTAAGGGTTTAGTGTTTCTAACTTACTTGTTCCAGATGTTATTGACTTAAGTTTGTAATGGCTCTGTAGATGATTAACAATTACATGTCTGTCTTGCTATGTTTTACTCTTTAAATTTATATTTCTATTTTTATGGGGAATTTTATTTTTTTAAAAAAATCTGCCGGGCGTAGTGGCTCACGCCTGTGATCCTAGCACTTTGGGAGACCGAGGCGGGCGGATCATGAGATCAGGAGATCAAGACCATCCTGGCTAACATGGTGAAACCCCGTCTCTACTAAAAATACAAAAAATAAGCCAGGGGTGGTGGCGGGCACCTGTAGTCCCAGCTGCTAGGGAGGCTGAGGCAGGAGAACGGCGTGAACCCGGGAGGTGGAGCTTGCAGTGAGCCGAGATCGCGCCACTGCACTCCAGCCTGGGCGACAGAGAGAGACTCCGTCTCAAAAAAAAAAAAAAAAAAAAAAAAAAAATCCTAGTTCAGTGTGAATGAACTATTTCTCGTTAGTCAAAATGGAAGAATTTTATTTTCAGGAGAGCAAAGTCATTCTTATTTAGGATAATTAGAAAAAGGGAAAATTGTGACATAAAGTCAGTGATGAAGAAGGAAAGAATATTTTTCATGATAAAGTCTTACAAAATATCTATATGCTTATAATACCCAAATTAACAATGACAGCCTACCTTGCACCTCAGTTTGGACTTAAATATCCAGTTTCCTCACTTGGCTGCCTTACACACTTCTCAAATTTAGTATATCCAATACTGAACTCCCGATCTGCTCTTCCAAACCTGCTCTTTCTACATCTTCCCCCCTTTCTATAAATAGCACTTCACTCTTAGTTTTTCAGGCCAAATATTATGGAGCAATCCTGGACCTCATACTTTGCTCCATGTTCCTCATCTGATCCATCAAATCTTGTCCTTTCTCTTTTCAAAACATGTATCTCAGCGGGGCACAGTGACTCACACCTGTGATCTCAGCACTTTGGGGGGCCAAGGTGGGCGGAGGGCTTGAGCCCAGGAGTCCAAAACCAGCTTCGGCAATATGGCAAAACCCCATCACTACAAAAAATACGAAAATTAGCCGGGCGTGGTGGCACACACCTGTAGTCTCAGCTACTTGGGAGGCTGAGGTGGGAGGATCGATTGGGCCCTGGGAGGTTGAGGCTTCAGTGAGCTGTGATTGCGCCATTGCATTCCAGCCTGGGTGACAGAGAGAGACCTGGTTTCAAAAACAAAACAAAACAAAACAAAAAAAACTAGGTATGGTGGCTTATACCTGTAATCCCAGCACTTTGGGAGGCCAAGGCTGGCAGATCACTTGAGGGCAGGAGTTTCGGACCAGCCTGGCCAATACGGTAAAACCCCATCTACTAAAATACAAAAATTATCAACACAACAGTCAGAGTAAAACTTTTGGAGGATAAGCCATATCATGTCACTTGGCTGCTTATAATCTTCCCTTGGCTTCCCATTTTCCTTAAACTAAAAGCTTTACTGTGGCCTACAAGGACTTAGGGCCTGGCATTGGTACTTGTTGTTCTCTTTGCCTGCAATGTTCTTCACCTTGGCCTCCCCAGAGCCTCATGGCTGCTTCCTCATTCTCCTTCAAGTCTTTATTCAAATGTCACCTTCCCAGTGAGATCTTCCTTGGTTACACTATCTAAATTGCAAACTTCCCTAAATTCCATTTTCCACTCCCTGGCACTCTCTGCCCCCTTTACCTGATTTATGTTTCTCCATAGCACTTACTACCATCTGACATTTATATTTTATTTATTTATCTTGGTTACTGTTTGTGTACTCCCACCAGATTTATAAGCCACCTAAGAGCTGGAATTTTTTTCTGTTTTGTTCATTGCTGTATTCCTTGAACAATGCCGGAAGAGTAAGCAGCAGGCATTGAATAGTAAGCATTGAATAGGTCTTTGTGGGAGGAAAGAAGGAAGAAAGAGAGGAAAGAAGAAAGGGAGAAAAGGTGGGCAGGCAGGCAGGAAGGGCTTACAAATGTATTCCAATAATATCTCTGGAGTGATAAATATAAGAACAATTGTTGAAAGGTGAACTCAATAATTCCTGAACATTAAATTCGAAAAGCTTAGGGCATTAAGAGAAGTATGAGACTCAAGCAAAAAGACTGTTTAGTATGCATACCTCTGAATACACACACACACGCACACACACAATGAATTTACAAGTCTTCTACTGAAACTGAAAAGGTTTCTACAGAACAAGAAATGATCACTGGAAACCCATCATACAATTTCGCTATTACTAGTTGAAAAATGTAAGATGTCATTGAGATTGCCATTGTTGAAGATGTCATATCCGTTGTTTTAGTTTAGTGAATACGTGACTATTTAGTGGGATTTTATAGAGGTGTTTTCTCTCTTGGCTCTCTAGTCATATTTTCCCCCTTAAGTCCCAAGTTTCTTAATTCTTAATTTCAAAATTTTCTTACATTAGCAGTTATCAACAACCAGACTCCTAAACTGTAGTGGGAAAACTGTATTCTGTTCTAAGACTAAAAATAAATGTCATCTGAATTATCCAATGCTGGCACTTATGATTCTTCCATTAGTACAACTTCTAATGAGAGTTCATGCTGGGCAGGACTTCATCTCCTCTCAACCCACAAGAGAACAGATGATGCCACTATTATTTCCTTCTAATAGCCCTAAAAAATGTAAAAGAATAGCAAATCAAATTCAAAGAAAGCAACAGGAAGGAATTAATAAAGATAAGTGACAATTTATGAAATAGAAAAGACATATACAATCTAGAAGATTAGCAAAAAACAAGAGTTGTTTGTTTGAAAAGGTTAAAAAAATTGACAGGGCCAGGAGCGGTGCCTCATGCCTGTAATCCCAGCACTTTGGGAGGCCAAGGCGGGTGGATCACCTGAGGTCAGAAGTTCAAGACCAGCCTGGTCAACATGGTGAAACCCCATCTCTACTAAATATACAAAAATTGCCAGGCATGTTGGCAGGCGCCTGTAGTCCCAGCTACTCAGGAGGCTGAGGCAGGAGAATCGCTTGAACCCGGGAGGTGGAGGTTACAGTGAGCTCAGATCATGCCATTGCACTTCAGCCTGGGCAACAAGAGCAAAACTTCGTGTCACAAAAAAAAAAAAAAAAAAAAAAAAAAAAAAGGTTGACAAGCCACAGCTGAGACTGATCAAGAAAAAGAAAGACACAAATAAGTAATATGAGGAATGAAAAAAAGAGACATATGGCAGGGTGCAGTGGCTTACGCCTGTAATCCCAGCACTTTGGGAGGCTGAGGTGGGTGGATCGCTTGAGGTCAGGAGTTCGAGACCAACCTGGCCAAAATGGCAAAACCTCATCTCTACTAAAAGTACAAAAATTAGCCAGGCATGGTGGCGGGCACCTGTAAGCCCAGCTATTCAAGAGGCTGAGGCAGGAGAATCGCTTGAACCCAGGAGGCAGAGGTTGCAGTGAGCCAAGATTGCACTACTACAGTCCAGCCTGGGAGAAAGAGTGAGACTTTAAAAAAAAAAAAAAAAAAGATTAACAGAGAATGAGGATATTATAAACTCCTTTCTGTCTATATATTTTAATGATTTACATTAAATGGAGACATTCTTGGAAAAGTTGGACTCAAAAAGAAATAGAAAACTTGAATGCTCATAAAATTACAAATTGAATTAATAGTTTAAAAAATCATCCAGTATTGGGAGGCTGAGGCAGAAGAATTGCCTGAACCCAGGAGGCGGAGGTTGCAGTGAGCAGAGAGTGCCCCACTGCACTCCAGCCTGGGTGACAGAGCGAGGCTCCACCAAAAAAAAAAAAAAAAAAAAAATCATCCAATGAAGAAAACACTAGTATCTGATGGCTTCTACAGCAAGTTCTAATAAACATAAGATACAGTTATTTTTATTTTTTACCCAAACCTCCAGAGAATAGGAAAAGAGAGGACATCCCCAGCTCATAAGAAACTAGTATAGATTCTAAAACTTCACAAGGACCATAGATAAGAAAGGTAAGTCATACGCCAATTTCACACATGATATCAATGCAAAAAATCCTTAAAAAACCATCTGAGAGCAAACTCCAATAATAATTGAAGAGGATAATAATATATTATGATCAAATGGGGATTATACCAGTATATAAGCTTAACATTTAATAATTAAATTTTTAGTAAACCAGAATTAGAAGTGAAATTCCTTAATCTGTAAAGGAATATATATTAAAATCCTACAGCAAATAACATACTTAATGGTAAAATATTAAAAGCATTCCTTTTAAGATTAAGAACTAGATGAGGACGCTTACCAGGACTATTTTCATTCAACTTTGTACTGGAGGTCTTAGACGATACAGCACCAAAAAATAAATAAAAGTTATAAGAAGTGAAAAGGAAGAAATGAATCTGTCATTATTCATGTATAACATGGTTGTATAAACAGAAATTTTTAAAAATCTACAGATAAATTGTTAGAATTAACATGAATTTAGGGTGTTTCTAGATCCAAAATCAATGTATAAAAATCAACTGAGAGATATTAATAAAGATTTACATGTTTGGAGGAATATGCCAATTCAATAAATTTCCCCCAAATTTACTTATAGATTTAATGAAATCACAGTTCAAATCTCAATAGTTTGTTTTGGAATAATTCAAGATGATCATAAAATTCATGTGGAAATGCGAAAAGCTTACAAAACCTGAGACACTTTTGAAAAAGAAATCTTGGGAGGTCTTGCTATATCAGATTCTAAGACATTATAAAGCTATGACAATCAAGATATTGTGGAATTGGTGCAGAGATAAACAAATAGACCACTAGGACAAAACAGAAAGCCCTAAAACAGACTCATATATATATATATATATATAATATATATATAATATATATATTATATTATATATATATATATGAACACGTGATATTTGACAAAGGTAGCAAAGCAGAGTAGTGGGAAAAGGACACATTTTTCAATTAATGATGCTGGAAAAATTGGGAATCACTTGGGAGAAACTGAAATTAAACCCCTATCTCATATAATATGCAAATAATAATTGTGGATGGATTTTAAAACTAAATGTAAAAAACAGAGCTATAAAGATTTTAGAATATAGGAAAATATTTATGAGAAGGATTTCTTAAGACAGTAAAAAAATACTAATCTTAAATTAAAAATTGATAAATTTTACATCTAAACTATATTTACCAAAGATAGCATTTGAAAAGCAAAAAGAAATTTTTGCCATAGAATGGGTGAAGCCAATAGCCAACACATATAATTCATGAGGGCCTAGTGTTCAGAATGTATTTTTTAAAATCTTACACACCAGGAGAAAGATAACTCAAGAAAAGACTTGGCAAAAGACTTGGGCAGGGGCCTCATATAAGGGGAAATCCAAATGATTAATAAACACATGAAAGTGTAAGCAATCTCAGTTGTCGAGGAAATGCAAATTGTATGCCACTGTGACAAACCACTCCCTTCCTACTGGCACAAGTAAACAATAAGAACAATACCAAGGATTGATGAGCATAGAACTCTTATCCCTGCTGGTGAAAGTATAAACTGGAAGCAGTACATTTTGGAAGCAGACCACCATCATCTCATAAAGTTGGAGATATGCAGAGTCTTTGATCCAGCAGCTCCACTCCTGAGTTTACACCCTTTAGAATCATGGACTTATGTGCAGCAAGATACATTTTCAAGACTTCATAGCAGCATCGTTCTTAATAGCCTACAGTGGAACAACTCCATATTAGTTAAGGTGAAGCTGGCTGATTCATTTGACACGATAAAATCGTTTATTTCCTACTCCCATGTTAGGCCAATGTGGATGCTCCCAATCAGGGTGTTCTTCTGGGCAGCTCTCATCCTACCGGTGATTCAGGAACCGAGGTTTTTTCTATCTTGTGGCTTTCCAGTCTTCTACACATGGTTTCCAAGGACACCCAGAGGTCACCTCTAGTCCACACGTGGGGGAGGGGGGTGGGGAAGATAATGGAAAATCATAGGTGGGAGGTGTGTGTGGGCAGACCAGACCCCATGGTCATACCTCACTGAAAGAAGGCTGACAAAGCCATCCAGATGTGCCCAGGAACAAGAGGTGCCCGGCAGAACACAGGGATGGTGATTCACTATTAATCTCTGGCACGAGCCAAAATGCCGAGAAACAAAAGAATGGATACGTTGTGATACATGCGTACAATGGGATGTGATTTGGCAATGGAAGTGAACAAACTACACCTACACCCAACAAGGATGAAAGTAACAAAAATAATGTTGAGAAGAAGCTAGACCTGAAAGAAGACTGTGGCTACATTTCTATCTACATGTACATAAACATATACAACTCAAAAACAGACAAAACTAAGCTATATTGTTTAGAGAAGTATACAGAGATCACAAAAGAATAGGGAAAAGCAAGGGAATTGTTAGAATTAAAGTTGGGATAGTACCTCTGGGGGACGCCGGATTTGTGGTTGGGAAGGATACACCGGGGGGCTGGCAGTCTCCTATTTCTTGGCCTGATGGTGGCAGCTGTTGGGGTATTTATGCACTTTTCCTCACACATATTTTGCATCCACACACACAAATTCAAAATGCCAAATGTGTTTTTGACCTTCACATAAGAAGCCCTGCTATTTGGCACAGAGAAAACCAGTTTCCCTCTAGGTGGAATACCATCGCCCCTTGGAAAACCAAGCTTTCCTCTCTTCCCTACTGGAAACTGAGTGCCCTCCAGACCTAATTTTCTCTGATTTACCATGTTGAAGGGGAAGAAAAATCTGTGCTCCCATTTGACATAATTGCCAAACACCCAATTTTGTTCCTGTAGGTCCCTATGTCAATGCTATTATCTGCTGTTGTCTTCAACAGCAGATAATTACTATCTCTTTCCCCAGTTGATGAACGGTTTCTGCCATCATCTAGTTTTGCAGTTAACGAAATGCCATTTTGCTACTGGCGTTACTACTTCTCTCATGATCTCTTTATCTTTGTTTCCTATAGTAACTTGTAAATTCCAGTGACTCATATCTCTCTTGTTCCAGACACTTAACTTTCAAATCTGTATTTTCCACTCTCCAGTGAACAATTTGTTTTACATTCTATTGCATCTCCCTTTCATCATCCTTGAATTCTACAGCTGGGAAAAGCCTCCGTCCTGTTACCCAGCCCTGAACACCTTTGTTTTTCCATTTCACAGACTCAGGAATCCGTTCTTGGGTAGCGACTCAAACACTCAGCTTTTGAAGGTAGATAATTTGAAGTATTTCCATGTCCCCTCGCATAAAAGGCGTTTGTACTGGTGTCCTTCAGCAGAAACTTCTCTCTGCCTCCTACTGAGATATCCAAAGGGCTGGTTGGCTTCCAGCCCTGGGTCCCAGAAATGGTGGCATTTCAGTGGCAAGATTCCCACTACCTCTTGATTGTGAAATGGATTGGAATAAAATGTGCAATGAGAAGGGGAGTAACATGGGGATAAGCAGCTTCGATTCTCCTTGGCTGCCTCCTGAAAAGGTTGGCTGCATCTTCTAGGTTACCTGTCAGACATTGGAGACCCTAAGTCTCCAAGTTCTAGAAGAGCAGAGCTTGGACAGTCTTTTCCCTCTCTCTTTCTTACTGCAGGAGCAACTGCTTTTAGTCACCCTTGGGAGGAATACCTACTTGTGACAGCAGCCTGGGAGAGAAATGTTTTCGGGGTATTTTTCTTTTTCTTGTTTCTTTTTCCCTCTCCGAGTCAACTTAAGAAGGTCTCAGAGCTAGTTTTCAGGCTGTTTAGGGTTTAACACCTGTTATGTTAGTACAACTTGTAGGCACACCCTCTGATTAAATTACCTCTTTAGAGAAAAAGAAGCCAGCTGTAGAACTAACACTCATAAAACTAATGAGTAAATAAATAAGCAGACCCAAAAGTTGTGAAGCAATCCAGAAATCACCAAATCAAATACAATTTATTATTTGTCAGTTTCCACTGGTATGACTGAGGCTTGGCTATCATTTATTTTATTGAGTCTCTCCTGCAGATTAAAGCTCCCCATTCAGGACAGATGTTTTTAAAGGTTGTTCTGGGGAGGAGACTCAGGTTGCACCTAAGTGGGATTTTACGCAGAGCTTCCCTCACAGCTGACTTCCTTCCCCTCCCCTTTCTATTGTAAATTACCTTGGACAAGCCTATGGTAAAGAATGTACAGCTATTTTGATTTTTAAATAAAGTCTTTTTTTATATGGCACTTACTACCTTCAAACACAGATCAGCAAAACTAATGTAGTAGGTTACAAAAACCTAATCAATCTAGAATGATTCAGTTTATCACTTCGGGTCTTTCAAAAGATTTAAAATGTCAGAGTTGTAAAAAAAAAAAAAAAGCAAGATATTAAAAACTGTGCCAACTAAAACAAATATTTTGTTGTACTTACATATCTCAAGCATTAAAATGATATGATTTTAATGCTTCTCATGACAGCATCCTTAGTTATGCATGGGCTAATTGGAAAAACAACTTATTTTTAGGTAGGCCTATAGAAATGTTTCCCACAGAAAAACATTAAAATTTTCAACTGATAAAATGTATTGATCACATAAAGTCTCATCAATCCTATCAGATACTTGGTATTTTAACAGTGTTCTGAACCCTGAACGATTGCTTGGAGGCAAAGTAATTAGAAAAGAATTGCATACTATTCACAATATCCATATTTTGAATATTTATTTTCCATATTAGAGGGGTTTTTTTCAAAGAACTTTTCCCTACCTGAACCAGATAATTTTTAAAATGTGTTTTCTTTATAAAAGGATAAATAGGATTACTTAAATCATCTTTCATAAATTAGCTACAGTCAGGAAATGATAAATTAAGGCTGCTAGCCACCAGGCTCTCAAATTAGGCATGCATGCACACAGGCACACATTAACTGATACGTTAGCAATTTTCACCTTAAATTGTCAGGATTGTCCTGGTTAATCTCACACACTGAATAATAACGTAAAGTGCTTTGGGTTGCAGTCACTTAGTTTGTAATAATGGTTGATGCCTCGTACAAATAATGCTTTTTAGGAAGCCTCACAATTTAACAGGGAAAAAAGGTTGAAGGAGGAGTGTTTACATTTCCCCCTATGTTTGATACACCCGCCTCTCCTCAAAGTGTCTCCTCTGATCAGAATTTTAAAGCGTTCTTAAAATACATCATAAAATAAAATTTAATGTCAGTACGGCATTTGTGGACTGGGGAAGGGAATGTGTGGGTGGGGAGGTAGGTGGGGGAGGGAAAGGAGTTTAACAGCAGATCTTCCTTCAAAGAAAAAGGCAGGTTAGTGTCTTTTTCATGCTTACCCAGAGCAGCCAGCTTCTGCTCATCGGCACCCCAGAACACACAGAATCTCTCCTCCCTGATCCCAACACTGGCCAGTGTACTCATTTCCCCCAGCCTGTGTGTTAGTGCAACCAGCTCGGGGTTGTGCCCTAAATACTGGAAAGTCACAAATCACTGGTTCAAATAGACCCGCTTCTTCAAAGGAAAGAATGGGGAGTGGTGAGGGAAGGAGGAGGAGAGATGCTTAAAGGGATTTACGACCCCCTTGGGTGATGGGTTTGGCACCTGGGCCATTATGCTTCGACAAGGACTATCTGGCAAGTAACAAGAGACATTGAAACGTACGAGGGGCCGATTAGGATGGTTCAATCTTCCCTGGATTAGTCAGGCATTTGATATAAATAAGTAAACACCCAAATCACCTCCACCACAGCCCAAAATGTCTTTCTCTCACTCTCTCTTTTTTTCACAGAGTGAAAGGGACTAGAGATTAGAAAAAGAGGTCTTGTGTATTCAAAGTGCTAATTCAGAACTTCTTTCTCTAATGCACTCATGAAACATTTTAATTGTCTGACTTTGCATTCAAAAGCCTTGTTTGCAACTCCTAATTGCAGGCTGCTTTGAACAAATAATTGAAATGCATGACTTGTGGGGCCTGCTTAAACAATTATAATGTGCTTTGCCGCTACGTGCCGGTCCCCCTCCCAGCCCCATTCCTTTTTGCATAATGACAAGCAGCCAGCTTGATATTTGCAGCCAAGTTAAAACCTTGCTAATTTGCTGTGCTGCAATCTGGGGCTGTGGCAGTGGCCATACCTGCATTAGTGCTTGCAACAGCAAAAATGGCTCTAATAGTTCAACTGAATGTTAAGAAGACCTTTTCATTTTCTGCTGAGAGAATCCCACTGGGGTTTTGTTTTCAAAATACAAATCTTTCATGTGCCTGTTAGTTTTGTATCTACACACAATTTATGAAGCTATTTCCCAGAAAACTCTCCCCAACCTGATTTTAACAGAGTCCTCAACAAACAGGTTCCTTCCTTTCAGGGGGCTCAGGTTTAGAAATGAAACAAGAGTGTCCAGATCCTGGGAATGCCCCATCACTGACCACAGTGGGCGGCTGAGGACCACACACAGGGATGCTGCCTCTGAAAAGGAGTCTCGCTTTTAGAATCTAGAACACGGTGCCAGATGTGCCTTCATTCTAGCCTCCTTGTCAGGACTCAGAGGCTTGAGGAAACTAAGATTGCATGCATTCACGTTTTGAACATTTAAGGTTTTTTGTTTTTGTTTTTGTTTTAATTGCAGTAAAATACACACAACCTAAAACCTAGCATTTTAAACAGCTTTAAGTGTATAGTTCAATGGCATTAAGTGCATTCACACAGCTGTGCTGCCATCACCACTGTGCATCCATACATCTCTTTTCATTTTGCAAAACTAAAACTCCATAACCATTAAGCCATTACTGCCTATTCCCCTCTCCCATCAGCCCCTGGCAACCACCATTCTACTTTAAGTCTCTATAAATTTGACTACTCTAGATGGATTGTTTTTTGAAAAGATCAATCTTACATGTTTTAGGATTAAAAGGATAAACATTTTACTCTAAGAATAAATTATGCCTTTACTGGAATCATCTAGTTCAGTAATTCACAATGCTCCCATTATTTTGCTTATTTCTATTTGGGGTTGGCGGGGGGTGGGTGGCATTTAGCAGATTGAAGAAAGTAGATTTTAAAATTCACTGTTTTGAGGTCCCAATTCCACCTGATAAAGACCGCACTAAAGATGACTTCCTTGCCCCCAGATACCTCCCAGATGCTCTCAGTGGTCTTGGCAGGGTGGCCACAGGAGGGGGCCTCCAGTGGTCTAAGCACTGTGTTTCATATATTATTGGTTCTAAGAGCTCACAATGACCCGTGAGATAGGTATTGTCTCTTTTTTTTACAGATGGGAAGTTGAAGCTCAGAAAAACTGGGTAATTTGCCCAAAGTAACACAGCTCCTCTGTGGGGAGATTGGGATTCAAGCTGGGTCAGTGGGACTTCAAAGCTCTTTTCAAGACACTGAGCTGCACAGCAGGAAGGATCCACAGGAAGTGGTACTTCAAAGACACTTGTTGTTTGGCAGGGAGAGTGGGGATTAACACCAGCTTGTCCCAAGACACAGGTGTAACACGTGTGGGGGAGCTGAGGGAGGGGAATTTCTAGTCATTGTTATGAATACCCCGCATCCCACTAGACTAGGTTGCACCCAGCAGGTGGTATTAGAACCCTCATTGAGAACTCTGGCCCAGTGTTTCTTGGTTTTATTAATCTCCAGAGAAGAGCCCAAAGATTCTCTTCATAACCCACTTTTGAGCTAAGAAAGCCATTCATCCCAATAACAATAGCTGGCCTTTATTGAGTGATTGCCATGCACCAAGCTCTGTGTGTGTCACTTACAAATACAGGCAGCCTTGCTCTCAAGTTCACACACTTAATACTACCCTAGAAAAATTCTCTTAACATAAAATGCAAGTCAATCTGCAGAGCCCCATTCAGCTCCATGCCTTCAGTAGAGAACGTGTGTGTGTAACACTGGGCTATACTGCCCCAAGTGAGAGTTCTCCCCTATGATGGGTAGGCCACATTTGGGTCTTCCAAGTCACAGCATATGACAGAAAGCAACAGCTCTGCTTTTCTAGGCAGGTAGTCCCATCTCTCCAGGTACTCCTCACTAGAGATGGTGACTATAGCGCACACACACACACACACACACACACACACACACACACACACATACACACACTCTCATACATACACTACACACACAGACATGAATAGCCTCTTTCTTGGATGGAAACATTTGTTGTAGTCATCTTGTTGCCTAAAACATCACCTCCAATGTTTTTCTGCTCTCTAGAAGTCCAAATTAAAAACTCAAATGTGTGCTATGGAAATCAAATGATGTAGACATCTATTACAGATTTCTCCAGGAAGTATTCATTCATGGCAGAATGGTTAAGGACCACAGTCTTGGAGATAACTCAGTTTCAAATCCCATGTCTGTCGTTTATTAGCTGTGCAATTTTGAGCAAGTTACTTATCTTTTCTGCAGCTCAGCTGCTTCTGTAAAATGGGAATAACACCACTAGCACCTACCTAAAAGAGATAGTTGAAAGCATTATGGATTGCAGCACGTTGAGTGTGTAAAAATCCCTGAATAAATTAAGCACTGAATAAGTATTACCTATTCTTATCATTTTAAGTTGAAAGGTAATTAGGTACCCAAAATATTGTCAAAAATATTTCACCAGAATTTAATCAAGCCTTTGCTCTCACTTCCAGATTTCAGAACATACAAGGGGTAGAAAAACAAGATAAATGAAACTGCGCAGGGCAAACATCAGACAATTCCATAATTGTCATACATTCTACAGGACAACTAGCCAATATACTCCTACCAATTATTATCCAATAATAGTGAATCTTCCAATTACTTTAATGCTTCCACATTAAAGTAATGGTCACCACTGGCCATCACCACAAGCCTCTGCAGGGCAGGCCTCAGGCCCATTGTGTGGATAAGGAGTTGGTGTTTTGCCCACTGAAGATAGCCAGCTGCCTTGCCTTGGCCACACAGCTAATAAGGACCGAGGGAGGATCACAACATTCTTTCCCCAACACCTGTTTTTCTCAAGAGCGCTTCACCTCCACCCTCTGCCCCCCAACTACTGTGCCTCAAATACTCAGATCATTTTGATTTGGCTTTTGTAACTGCAGTTAGGAGACAGCTGAAACAGAACAAACACAGAAAAACTGAAACCCTCCTAACCTCTCGGTTCTAATTTACCTTTTGTCGATTTGAGTCACTGGCTACCATCTGCTGAACTAGCTACCTGGCTGCATCCTTGGGAGGCCACAGCTGACTCACTTTGCCACATTTGCCTGGTGAAGAAGGGCATATTCAAAGGTGAACTGGCACAGTCAGCAGCTTGCGCTTAATTATTCACTAAGACTTTCAGGACTTATTTCTTCAGGGTTAACAGAAGAACCCAAGCCTGTGAATGTAGCCCTCTGCACCCAGCATCTAGCCCAGTACCGGTCACAACCAAGTTCTTAGACGTGTTTTCGGCTAAGGATATCTTTCCATCATTTTTCACCTGCAAATATTGACCCAACTTGAAGGGACACCCACACAGTTGGGACAATTTCAGCATCAAAATGAATAATTGATGGTAATGGATTGCAGCACATTGAACGTGTAAAAATCCCTGTGTTTAAATGAGAATCAATGAAGAGAAAGCAAGCCAGCAAACAAATCCTCATTTGTTATCTTGGAGAAGGCCATTACACCAACTCCTTACTCTGGAAAGTGGTAAATAAAAGGTAAGAATTATGTTCTTTCCAGTTAGAACTCTATTTTAGGTTGACCATTAAGCCCCTGTTGATGAGGCAAGGCCTTTTTTATGGTTGAATACTGGTTACTAAATGTAGAAGGAATTGTCAGGGGTCAGAACATGCTACCCCAAAATATGACACCTTGAAAACTGAGAAAACTGCAGAAGCAGAAAGGTCATTCTCTGACTTTCTCATGTCTTTCTGTGTAAGAGGTAGCCATAAAATAACTTTCTGACCTACCTCCCTTCAAAGTAGGTCACAGGATCCTCATGTGACAGGTGTCCTTACCTATGCCAGGAGGAAAGAAATGAAGATACAGAGAGGCCAAGAAGAATCCTAACGAACAGGTCGTGCTAAGTTCCCCCCAGTTCATTACCATTAGGTCATAATGGTACTATGTCCAGCCATACTTCTACATGACTGCCGATTCTTCCTCAACCTTAACATAAAAATATACAGATTCCTCTGGGTCTTTGAGGTCTTCTTTTCTGAAGGTTCCCATGTCACATAAAACTTTAGCTAAATAAATTTGTTACTCTTTTCCCTTGTTCATTTGTCTTTTGTTATAGGGGTGTCAGCCATGAACCTTGCAATGGGTAAGGAAAAGATATTACCTTTTCTCCCCTACAGAATGATGAAATTAGAAAATTACCATTTTGCAATCCCTGAAGAACTAAGAGATTCAAGCAAGAATCCATGGATAATAGGAAAAAGGTTGATAAATAATTAGATTCAGGCCAGACGCAGTGGCTCATGCCTGTAATCCCAGCACTTTGGGAGGCTGAGGCAGGAGGATCATTTGAGCCCAGAAGTTCAAGACTAGCTTGGGCAATAAATGGAGACCTTGTCTCTACAAAAATAAATAAATAAATAAATTAATTAAAAATTAGCTGGGCATAGTGGCATGTGCCTTTGGTCCCAGCTACTCAGGAGGCTGAGGCAGGAGGATAGCTTGAGCCCAGAAGGTCGAGGCTGCAGTGAACTATTATTGCACCACTGCATTCCAGCCTGGGCAACAGAGCAAGACCCTGTCTCAAAAAATAATAAATAAATAAATAAATAAATAAAAGGATTAGATTCACATGGTATAAATGTGCTAACTCCGCTGCACGTCCCCCTTCCCAAACAGATTTCTTGCTAGTCACAAGTCACTGCTTCTATAGTGGGGCATCTGGCTGTAATGATCTAAACCCATGATTGGTCTTAGCACTTCCAAAGTGGGATAGCCAGACATTCTGTAACTCTTGATGAGATGCAATACAAAGTACACAGTACCACGTATAAAACATTTTCATAAAAAATATTCTAGGCCAGGTGCAGTGGCTCATCCCTGTAATTCTAGCACTCTGGGAGCCCAAGGCAGGTGGATCACCTAAGGTCAGGAGTTTGAGACCAGCCTGGCCAACATAGTGAAACCTCATTTCTACTAAAAATACAAAAATCAGCCAGGCGTGTTTGTGCACACCTGTAGTCTCAGCTATCCAGGAGGCTGAGGCAGGAGAATCGCTTGAACCCAGGAGGCAGAGGTTGCAGTAAGTCGAGACTGTGCCACTGCACTCCAGCCTGGGTGACAGAGTGAGACTCTGTCTCAAAAAAAAAAAAAAACAAACACACACAAAAATCTACCCAAATCTAGTCAAATTTTCAGATATTACTTCCAGGTTATAGGAGATACAGAAGGTAGAAGAACAGGAGAAATGATATCGCAAAAAGAAAAAGTCAGATGATTGAAGAATTATTCAGTTCTATGGGACAACTGACTTGTATCCTCAATAAATAAATGTCATGGAAATGGAGAGGAAAGAAAGAGATGAATTCTTGCATGGATAATCCACAAGAATTGGAATTATGAAATTCTATCATCTTCTGGAAGACGAATTTCTTCCTAGAACAGTGCCCAGAGCAAGAACGAGGCCATATTGAACACTCAATACATATCTGGGCTCTCAGTACGTATCTGTTAAAAGTAAGAATGGATAAGTAAGTGAATTAAATGTATTGATGAGACAAAGAGGCTCAGAGTGCTATGTGCTGTGCTCAGTGGGGACAGCAGGTTGGTGGCAGAGCTTGGACTGATGCTTGATCTATCAATCCCTAACCTGGTGCTTGTTCCGTAGTTCCCTGTTTATTTTTGCTTTTTCATATATAATTTAGTTCCAGATTTTAAAAAACCTTAAGAGACATAACAACCAGATGTAATGGGTGGTTCCTAGTTGGATCCTGGTTTGAATAAGCCCAGCTGAGAAACTGAACAGGAACTGGCTATAAGATAACATTAACACATCTCTGAGAATGCTGTCAGGTGAGACGTGGGTATTGTGGTTACACAGGAAGCAGTCAGTTATTGTTTTCTGGAAACGTATACTAAAATTTTTAGAGGGAAAAGTCATGATATTGGCAATTTTCTTTAAAACATTGCAACATAAAGAACTTGGTGAACCATTTCCAGTAACATGTTAGTAACTATCAAATCTAGGAAATGGAGACACGAGCACTGATTAGGTTTCTCTTTGTTCTATGTGAAATGTTCATAATGAGATGGGTGGGTAGGCAGGTAGATGGATAGATAGACACCCAGCTACCCAGCCAGAAAAATTCTGGAATTCTTTCATGTCTCAATGAAATTATCAATTTTGCCTTAGTAGGATGGGAATGATATTAAAAATTTTTTCTCAAACAGCTATTTTCTAAGAATGTTAACTTTAACATTGACTTAATTCTTATTAAGAGAAACAACTTTATTCTTCAACATCTTCAAGTCACATGCATTTACACAGCACGTGTTGTATTGAATAAAGAGCTTAGAAACGACCAAAGTGCCCCAAAACATTTGGAATGTGTTTCTCAAACAGTGTGCAGGAAATGCTATTCCTCACAATGTTTCATTAAGATAAACTAGGGGGAGAGGGTGCCAAGGCCGATTGAGTTTAGTAAATCCCCTGCTAGAGCAGTCTGTAGCTCTGTGCTGATGAAAAATCTCAGAAGACAGAAATGGGGAAGTGTGGATGCTGGGGAGGGAGATGAAGAGAGGTTGGTTGGTAATCCCAGAACTACGGGAGGCCGAGCTGTGTGGATCATTTGAGGTCAGGAGTTTGAGACCAGCCTGACCAACATAGTGAAACCCTGTCTCTCCTAAAAAATACAAAAATTAGCCAGGCGTGGTGGCGTGTGCCTGTAGTCCCAACTACTCAGGGAGCTGAGGTAGGAGAATCGCTTGAACACGGGAGGTGGAGGATGCAGTGAACTGAGATCACGGCACTGCCCGCCAGCCTGGGTGACAGAGTGAGACTCTGTCTCAAAAAAAAAAGAGAGACAGAGAGAGGTTGGTTATAGGTACAAAATAGTTAGAAGAAATAAGCTTTAATGTTTGATAGCAGACTAGGGTGACTACACTTAGCAAGAATATTAGGTACATTTCAAAGTAACTAGATGAGAGAACTTGAAATGATACCAACACAAAAATAATGATAAACACTGAGGGTGATGGATAACCCAGATATCCTGGCTTGATCATTACACATTCTATGCATGTAACAAACACATGTACCCCACACACATGTAAAATATTATGTATCAATAAAAGAGAAAACAACACATTCTAAACAATCTAGGAGAAGCTGACAGCCCTCAGTTACAGCATTTTGCACCGCATTTGAGTAGTAATTCTAAGAAGGTGCCACAGAGAGGGCTAGCAGCATGGCTTCTGGTTAACGCTGCACTGACCCAGAAGAATCCAGCTATTGGACTACTTGAGAGATGGAGAGAGACAGCTCTTCTTGCCTTCCTGCCTAGTTTACCCTGTGCACACCTCCAAATTTGCTCACAGAAGGGGAAGCATCTGCTGTGTGGTTGCAGCCATCGCACCCAACCTGCTTAGTGCAGGGTACTCCCTAAATTGTAAGATGTGATCACACATTTGAACATGAGAAAGCATTAAGGGGTTATTGGTTTACAGTTGCATGTGCTTAAGGAACTAAGTTGTACATGAAAAACACAAAAACGAAAGCAGGGAGTAGATTGTAGAATGAGCCCTGTGTGTGAAATTGGCAGACCTGTCAGTCCCAGGTTTGCCTCCAGCTGGCTACCCATTATTAACACAGGACCTAGCCTTCTAGGGCTGTGTGACCTCATCTATTGAATGTCTGTCTGTCTGTCTGTCTGTCTATCTATCTATCTATCTATCTATCTATCTATCCACCTACCTACCTATCAATCTATCTATCTATCTGTCTATCTATCTATCTATCTATCTATCTATCTATCCATCTGTCCGTCTGTCGGTCCATCCATCCATCCATCCGTCCATCCATCCGTCCGTCTATCCATCCATCCATCCATCCATCCATCCATCCATCCAGCCATCCTCTCATTCCATGAATAGTTTTTTTTGAGTGCCCAGTATGTGCCAAGTACTACACTAGGCAGTAGGCAGGCATGTCTGCCTCCAGAAGATGACAGATTTCCTAAAGCAGTGTACATTACTTCTGGATTATCTTTGTCAGGCTCCACTTCCCCTTTACCTTTTTTTTTTTTTTTTTTTGCACAAGTAATTGTGAGTAACTATAGGCACTTTTGAGAAGGGTGGCTTTCAGCTAAACCTAAAAGAAACTTCTGGGTAAATATAAATGATCAGCATAAAAACAACATAGTCGTTCTCTTGGGATTTTAAAACTGACATGGTGACAAATTGTTGATGGAGGATGGACAGCTTCCAGGGCAGAGAAAGTGAACTGGTGGCCCTGGCCAGGCCAGCCCAGCCCACAGCTGTGCTCAGTTAGGCTTGCCTGGTGTACCCACACAGCTGTTTTTCTCCTAACAGAGATTTGTTTCTCTAGACCACCGACTTTATCAAAAGTGGGAAAATCAGAATAGGATTAAGAACAAGAGATCTTTTCCAAAAAATTGTATTGACCATGCAGTGGGCTCTACCCTTTTTTGTTTTCTGTGTTTGTGTGTGTGTGTGTGTGTGTGTGTGTGTGTGTGTGTGTGTGCGCGCGCGCGCGCGCACGTTTGTTTTTGTATACCCCATCTGACCACAACAGCTGTTGGGTTTGTGGCACTTCACTCCAGACTAAAAGATAAGTTTGTCTGTACCTGGCCTCTCAAAAACGTCATTTGGAAAGTTGTTTCCTAATATGAGGGGTTGGGGGAAGGGAGCAGCGGAAGACGAGGAGAGGGTGCCCCCTTTCTGTAACTTCCCAGCTACAGCAGAGACAGACAAATCTCACACTGTAAGCCGAGACAGGCTGGGGATTATCTGGCTCACTCCTGATTTAATACATGAAGAAATGAAGCCTCAGAGAAGCCCAGAGCTTGCCCTAAGCCAGACAGCTGAACCGAAACAGGACCAACCCGCTCTCCTGACTCTGCCCTATGGTTTTTTCCCTCTCCTTTAAGATGCCTCAACCTCGAGTGAAAGTGAAACTGCAACTTCTATTAAATCATGCTTTTTAATCATCTCTGAGCACCACGACTTTTTACACGGTTTCCCCTCCTAGGTAATTATCTAAGTGAAATCTTTCATTCTGTCCTGGCATGAGGAGCCCAGAAAAATGAGCCCCCAAGAGTTGGCTCACTGGCAGCATGCCCTGCAAAGCTTCTCTGGTTTGCTAAGAAGCACTTCAGAGCCCCAAACTCATCTTTCTCATGTCACAAAAGAGTGACTGCTCCTGCAGGAATGTCACAAGTACAAAACAAAGGAACTCGGGATCATCAGTAGAGTTCAGTGTTAAGAACATGAACTTGGAACCAAACTGGAGTTGGGAAAAACTTTTCTTTGGCCCGGTTTCCTCTTCTTAACACCAAATAAACGATAGTACCTATTTCATACTGTTGTTGTTAAGTGAGATAATAAATAAGAAAATGCCCAAGGTAAGTGCCAAAAAGATGTCAGTTACTATAGTTATAAATAGGTAAACAAATGTATTATTCACTTGGACTGCTCTTAGTTCTTTTTGTTTTGGAAAGACCAGAGAATCATAATTCCCTTTCACAAGTTGTTTAGATATTGAAGTCCTAACAGAAATTTTGGATAAAGATTATTAAGAAAGCAGAAAATTTCCCAACACAAATCTTTTTTCTTTTCTTTTTTAAAATCTTACAGACAGCTTCAAGTAAAGTTCAATCCTAGTTAGTCACCTCTGAGGGGCTGTTACTCTGCTCTCCCTGTAGCATGTCATACTGGATGTGCTTATCAATGTTGCATTCTTTTTCTGCTTTCATCAGCCAACGTGGGGCACTGTGTGAAAAATGTAGCAATCACCTCTGTCCCCAACAGGTATACTAATTGTATCATTTCCATAACAAACTCATCCTTCACCCGCGTGAGTCCTTGGAATTTGTGGATAGTCCCTTCCATAGCCAGCTCTCCTCTCTGAGGGGTCTTTGTCTGGAAGGTTAAAGCCTAATGGTCCCAGAATATTGAGGGGGTGCCCAGGATAGGGGAGGACCGGATGACTTTGGAAGCATTTCGTGGTAGAACCAGGAAGTACAACCACCTAATTTAAGCATGTTTACAGCACAGTAGCATTGCAAACCACCTTAGAAATATGAACAGGAGAAACACCTGCAGCTCACAGAGGTAAGCCCTACGCTTAATTCCAGCATATGACTACCTCTGTCACTAAGAGTTGGGATTCGTCTTCATTAAACTACAAATGTATCTTTTTTGGTAAAATGATTTTTTTCTTGCCTTCCTCCAAAATACTGCACTTCTACCACCTACAGTTGAAGTCATTTTTCTGCCTGAGGGCATTGCTAGTTTTCTGGTTCTAAAAACCAAAGAGAAAGGAAGGGAAGCCTGAATGTCACTTTTCTGCACAAATTTGCAAAACTGCCGCCCAACCCCAGCCATCCCCAAGCCTCCACATGAGCAGCTACTTGCATGGCATTGCAACAAGGACCTATTGTGAAGCCCTGAGGTGAACAAACTGCTGAAAAGGGTTGTGAATTGCGGATTATTAGCATAAGTAACTTCTCAAATGAGTTTTCAGGAGGAGTCTTGGTTTCTTAGAAGGCTTAAGGCTTACTCTAAAAAGTAAATCATCACTGAAAGTTAAAAGAAGCAACAATCGTAAAAGACTAATTACCAACAATGTGAGGTCAATAAGATCACAAGTTAATTTTTAATTAATTAATCTATTTTTTGAGATGGAGTTTTGCTTTTGTCACCCAGACTGGAATGCAATGGTGCAATCTTGGCTTACTGCAACTTCCACCTCCTGGGTTCAAGTGATTCTCCTGCCTCAGCCTCCCAAGTAGCTGGGATTACAGGTGAGTGCCACCACGCCCAGCTAATTTTTGTATTTTTAGTAGAGACGAAGTTTCACCATGTTGGCCAGGCTGGTCTTGAACTCCTGACCTCATGATCTGCCCACCTCAGCCTCCCAAAGTGCTGAGATTACAGGGGTGAGCCACCAGGCCGGGCCACGAATTAATTTTTTAATCCATATCTCTATACAGCTATACCATAAAATGCTTATGGCTGTTAATATTTTCTGCATAGTGACATAATGGCTAATTTTCATTTAACTTTTATCAATCTGTATTTACTACTTTTGTCTGTAACAAATATATATTTCTTGTTGAAAAACTCAACTAAATAAAAATAAACAGATGGAAGCCTACTGAGGATCATAAAGTATGGGGCAGGCTGTGCGACTCTGGGCAGAATGCCTTGTTTTCATTGCTGCCTGCCGATGGCCCCTTCTCTTAGCTGCCCTAGGAAGAAAAACTCCATTAGCACTTGGAGGCCTAATGCGCTGAGTAGTGATCTTTATATGTTACACTAAACATGTCTGCTGTAATAGATTTCAAAATCTAACCTTCCTACCTTTACAAATTATGAATCCATGCCTACCACATTTGTTCTTTTCTTTGGCAAAGAAAACTCCCACAGGAAGTGGAAACACTCATTTTTTAACAGTGACTTTTTTATAATTAGGAATGGAGTCATGGTCTCAGTAGTGCTTTGCAGTATGTAATTCTCTGGGTTCTGTGATCTTTTCTCAAGCCACACTTCAAGTTTCTTTTTTAAGACAGTATCAGCCAATGTGCTGCATCAACTAGTGAGGGAGTAAGAAGAGAAACCTACCAGAACTGCACATTCCAGTTGGTTGTTCAGAAACAGAATAAGCAGTAGGGAAGAGATAAGCACCTGGTTTCATAAAAATTTCGAAACTGGGTTTTAGTTCCCCCTTTATATACATACTTAATTTTTAATGATGTTTCAGACCTTGGCTTAAATGTCAGTTCTACAGGAATGCCCTCCTTGACTCCTCATATTAGCTGGTCCTCCTATTATACTTTATCTTTGCACTTTGTTTTTGGGGTTATTTTATTTTATTTTATTTTGAGACAGAGTCTTGCTCTGTCGTCCAGGTTGGAATGCAGTGGCACAATCTCGGCGCGCTGCACTCTCCACCTCCCAAGTTCAAGCAATTCTACTGCCTCAGGCTCCCAAGCAGCTAGGATTACAGGCCACCACACTTGGCTAATTTTTATATTTTCAGTAGAGATGGAATTTCATCACGTTTCCCAGGCTGGTCTCAAACTCCTGACCTCAAGTGATCTGCCCACCTCAGCCTCTCAAAGTGCTGGGATTACAGGCGTGAGCTACCAAGCCCGGTCTGCATTTTGTATTTTTATGTTGGCATCTATCACTGCTATAATAAAGTAATTATGTGTGTAATTGTTTGTGTAACTGCCTGTTTCTCCCACCAGACTATGAGAGGAAAGACTATATCTGTCTTTTTGCTGTAATATTTTCAACATCTAGTTCTGAGACTAGAATATATATAGTTAAGTATTTATTGAATAAACGAAAGAAAGAGTGAAAGAAATACTCTCCAGCCCTTTGCTGTAACCTCTTTCTGCTTTTTGGTATTTGGCTTCGCATTAATTGCCTAGCAAACTCATGATAATATAAATAATTATTGTGCAACTGCTATACAGTTATTATTGGATATAAATGGTCCTTCACACTTTTCATGTGCTTTTCAATGTAGAGAAGATGAGGTGGTGGTGTTGTTACATCCATACTAGAGTTGAGGGACAAGAGGTTCAGCAAATGATTTATCCAATCAAAGTTACAAAGAGCTAGAACCACAAACTGCAAACACGTTCTACAGAACATTGACCCTCAGGAACGCAAGGCTCATCTGCTTCCATGAGCAGCAGTCCCCACCCCAAAGTCCTTCTTTGCAGAACTTCCGTTTCTGGGCCTTCTTTATTGTAGAGGTTCAAATGGGTATAATCAATAATGTTTTAATTTCATTCCAGATAAGATTTGTATTTTAATAGAGGCCCTTGAGGTAATTTTAGGTGATACAATAGTCTTTTAAAATATAGTTATAAGTTTACTTTGATGTGAATTATTGAAAAATGCAAATAGACACCTAATGTGTAATTTCACAGATGTTACTGCTTTGGATGAGGCTAAGTATAAAGAAAAGTCAATTTTTTTTAAATGTAAAAAATAGAAGAAAAAGTAGTTCATAGATCTGGTGAATATTGGAAAGGTAGTATGTAAAGAACTGAAGTTTGGGAAACACAGCTTTAACCCTAAGGATTGAAAAACTAGGAACATAGTAAGTACTCAGTAAGTGTCTATTTATCCATTTATTACAAAAAATGTGTTGAGCTCCTACTATATTTACTACGAGCTAGAGAAACGATAGTGATCAAGACAGCTAGATGGAATCCTTGCCCTAACCAAGCTACAGCCATTCACATGAAGGAACAGATAAATGAATAAATGAATTATGAGGAAGAATGGAAGGGAGGGAGGGAGGAGGAAGGGAGGTAGGGAGGAAGGGAGGGAGGGAGGAAAGAGAGAAGAAAGGAAAAGAGGTAGGAAGAAATGAAGAGAGGGAGAAGGAAGGCAGGAAGGGAGGGAAAGAGGGAGGAGAAAAGAAGAAAGGAATAGAGGGAAGAAGGAATAGAGGGAGGAAGAAAGGGAGGGAGAAGGAAAGGAGGGAGGGAAGAAGGAAGAGAGGAAGGAGAAGGGAAGGAAAAGGTGGGGAAGGGAGGGAGAAGGAAAGGAGGGAGGGAAGAAGGAAGAGAGGAAGGAGAAGGGAAGGAAAAGGTGGGGAAGGGAAGAGAAGGGAGGGAGAAAGGGAGGGAGAAAGAAAAGGAACATCCAAATACAGGAATTGTAATGAATATGTAAGAGCAAGGAGAACTAAGTTTAGAGCTAGGTATTCTCTAGTGGGTCCTCAAATTACCTGCTTATACTTTCCATGGAGAGCAGCATACACAACATTTGATTTTGCTGACTTTCCTCTGGAGATTCAACAGAGATCTTTCTCCATTTGTGTGTTTTCTTCTAGCAATATCAGGGCTCACTTGTTAGACATTTTGACTGCCATGTTATCAGGATGCCTTAGGCACACAAACGTCCCAGAAAGCCAAAGGTGCCACAGAATGACCATGAATGACACTTATCTAGATTCTAGGCCCTAGAAACTTTGAGGGATGTGGCAAGAGGGGACCCAAGGAAGCTTGGATGCTTTCCCGTCTCACCAAAGGGAGGAAATCCACATAAGCAAGAATATGCTCCAGAAGCCTTAGGAGGGTTTCTTACTTATTTTTGAGACAGAATCTTGCTACACTGCCCAGGCTGGAGTGCAGTGGTGCAATCTTGGCTCACTGCAACCTCTGCCTCCTGGGTTCAAGCAATTCTCCTGTCTCAGCCTCCCTAGTAGCTGGGACACAGACATGCACCACCACACCTGGCTAATTTTTGTACTTTTAGTAAAGACAGGGTTTCACCATGTTGGCCAGGCTGGTCTCAAACTCTTAACCTCAGGTGATCCACCCACCACAGCCTCCCAAAGTGCTGGAATTACAGGTGTAAGCCACCTCGCCCAGCCCCTTAGGAAAAGTTTCTAACATAGACTTTTGATTGTCTATTAAAAGGAAAATAAGTACCTAGACATGCATATTTGAGAAGAAAGCCCCCACAAAGCCGTCACTTCTGATTATGGATGTCAGCTCAAGTTTTTACGTTTGAATCTCTGCCACTCCACAGAAAATCCATCCTCCCTTATACCAACATTCCTTTGCAGTAAGCATTTTCCCCAGTTTACCATTGCTTCTGGATGAAGATGGATGGATCTGCATCTGGCATTCTAATTAGATTAGAGAATAATGACCAGAAAGATCTTGAGGACGCAAGGGTAATTTATTACTCATATTACTTCCACCCTATCGAAGAAGTGTTCAGACGTAAAGTGTCTAATTCCCCCAGAATTCACTTATCATACTTGGAGAACAAAACACAAGTTGGAAGCGAGGAATGCCTCCACACTTTGGCTCTGTTACAGTGGGGTCATGGGGAGCACTTAGATATTTCCAACTATTTCTGTAGACTTTCTACTTAGAGGATAATTTTACCTACAGGAAAAGAGGATGGTGGTAGTAGCTATCATGTATTGCAAGCTGTCATGTGCAGGCATATTTAATTCTCCAAATAAACCTTGTGAGGTAGATGGAATTAATTTTATTACACAGAAGGAGCAAATAGAAAATCCAGAAAATGCCGGGCACGGTGGCTCATGCCTATAATACCAGCACTTTGGGAAGCCAAAGCAGGTGGATCACCTGAGGTCAGGAGTTCGAGACCAACCTGACCAACATGGAGAAACCCCATCTCTACTAAAAATACAAAATTAGTCAGGCATGGTGGTGCATGCCTGTAATCCCAGCTACTCGAAGGCTGAGGCAGGAGAATTGTTTGAACCCGGGAGGTGGACTTTGTGGTGAGCCGAGATTGTGCCATTCCACTCTGGGCTGGGCAACAGGAGTGAAACTCCATCAAAAGAAAGAAAGAAAAGAAAAGAAAAAAGAAAATCCAGAAAATAACTTGCCCAAAGTCACAGTTGATACATAATGGACTAGGAGTTTGAACTGCAGTCTGACTCTAAATCCATGTTCTTTACTCTGCTGTCGCCCAAATGAACACTTGCTGTGAATGCTAATTAACTCACCTGACATCCAGCAACCACAGCCCAAGCATCACAGTGCCCAGTGGCAATTTGCTAGAGCTCCTTGGCATGCAATAATGGTGCCATGTAAATACAATAACTTGCATGCTATTTTATTCATTTCAGAGCCAAAGCCTGAATTAACAGGTAGAGAAACTATGGTGCTCTGAAGGCAGGGGCTGGGGCCCTAACATAAGGTTGGCACATCTTCTTCTGCCCACCGTTGCTTCTCTCCTCAGAACAGGCCCTCTAGCTCCAGCAGGTGGCACTGCCCCTGGGATTCAAGCAGATGCCCTCTGCCATCCTGAGAGCTCAATTGGCCAGTAGATTCATTTCTTTCCACTTCATTTACCTGCTGTTTGGTGTTGCAGGCAGAAGAAAGAGGTAGCTTTGATGGGATGGAAAGACCATTTGATCATCCAGTGGCTGGACCATTTTCTAGGAGGGGAATTTTGAGCAAATCACTTAGCAGCAATGTCCTAAGTTTCCTCATCTGTAAAATAGGATTGAGGCTGATACCTACGCCATGTGTAGGATTAAGTGTGAATGTGAATGAGATGCAAAATACAGGATGGACTGACACGGAGAACAGAATGGGAAGAAGAAAATTCACATTTAATTAACATCTATATCCTGTGTATATAAATATGCATGACACTTTGTACACATCGCTTCATTTATTTCTCACAAGTTTGTCCAGATGGATATTGTCACCCCCTTTTCAGATGAGGAAACAGGACACAGCAAGATTAATTGACCCAGCCAAGGTCCATAGCCAGTTTGCCACAGATGTGGATTTGAATTAAGGTGAGTTTCATTTGACTGGCACAGTCCCACACTGCCACTCCATAGCAGAAGTGGAGGTGCTGCTTTGTAAACTTGTGAGGAGGAACAGAAAGGAGGCTAGTGCGGCCAGAAGATGTGGAGCACAGGGGAGGAGGAGGTATATGAGGAGCTGGGAGAGGCAGGCAGTAACTGGACCACATGGGGCCTGCAGGCCTTGGTAAGAAGTCTGAATTTTGGCTGGACGTGGTGGCTTACACCTGTAATCCCAGCACTTTGGGAGGCTGAAGTGGGTAGATCAGGAGTTCAGGAGCAGCCTAGCCAACATGGTGAAACCCCATGTCTACTAAAAATACAAAAATCAGCCAGGTATGGTGGCATACACCTGTAATTCCAGCTACTCAAGAGGCTGAAGCAGGAGAATTGCTTGAACTCAGAGGCAGAGGTTGCAGTGAGCCAAGATTGCGCCACTGCACTCCAGTCTGGGTGACAGAGTGAGACTCCGTCTCAAAAAAAAAAAAGTCTGAATTTTATTGTAGTTTTCATGGGAATGTCTCAAAAGAATCTAGATGGAGACTCTTGCCTGTGCTGTCCACACCAGATGATTCATACAAGCTCCCTGCATGTTGACATTTGCAGTTTTTCAGTAGAATTAAGGAATTGCAGCACTATGAATTACCTAGGTCTTCATGGATAGTGACTCTATTTGCCATACTGCGTGTCTAACCCATTTCCATTTGAGCAAGAATGTGAATTCTCCCTGGCAGGAACTAGCCATCATCACTGAGAAACCACTGGGCCAAAGGCCAGAAGGTTCCTTGTTTATCACAGGCTCAGATGGTTTTGCACAAAAGGCCACTGATCCCAGGCTGTCCCCTCCACTTGTCAGAGGTTGGCACTCACAAGTACCCAAGCCCATGACAACACCCTGTGAGTTCTGATTTATACACAAGCATTTCCTCACCTCCTCCAAACCTTTCGTCCTCAGCAATGGGGAAGAGTGGGCTTCAGAAGCTTGCAGTTGTGATATAAACTGGATTTGGACTTAGATGGACTGATAATTTAGATCCTACACTTTGTGTCAAGGGAGTAAACCTGTTTGAGCTCAGTTTCCTTATCTACTGATGGTGGTAGAGAAAACAAATCTCACAGGATTGTTGTAGAATAAAAATGTGATGGCATATATGAAAGCACTCTGCACGGCGCTTGTCAGGTATTAAGTGCTCAAAAATGTGTATTTAAAAAAATTGGAATAGCTAAACCTTGCCACATAAACCTAGGGTCAAATAAGAAACTCCACCTGGGAATTTCATAAGCCATATGCATCCTATAGATCTCTGGAACAAGAGAAGAAAAGAACAAGAACACATCCAAATCCAGAAGATTTCTTTGAAATACAAACATCTTCAGTATCTAAAAAATATAAAATTTAAATATTAGAATCAGCTAAACTTGGGAGATAAAAAAATGAATAATAAATGCAGGTGGAAATTTAGAGTTTTGTTTAATGCATAAAAGGGGAATAATTAACAAATCTCAAAACATGTAAATGAGGGCATAAGAGCATTTTCAAAACACTACATCCAATTTCAGTTACATATGTGGAATTTGCTGCATTATAATAATTAGGGGTTGTTTTTTTTTTACAAAAGATTTATTTATTTTGAATAGAAGTATTAAATATTATACTAATTACTGGTTATTTTACTTTGTACCCAGGGAAAAGAAATGAATATTCATTAGCTTCTTAAGCTACTGATCCTCCACTGACTAGACAGATCCCAACATCACCACGAAGCTGCGGGTGGGTAGAAAATGCTCTCTGCAAAACTGGCCCCATGCTACAAATCACAGCCCAATCTATTCTGCTAATGTGCACATGCTATAACCCCCAAGTGAGTTCTGTTAACATTGTACTGACCAGAGCCCCCAGCTGAGTAGCCAATAAGTGAGAATAACTGTTAAATTGATCACAATAGTATTTTTCTGTCTACACAATCCAATAATCTTGAACAAGACGAGTCTTAAAATTTGAAACATAATTTTATAACATAAAACTAACATCTCCGTCAGTCTAAAACATGGCTTGTTCATTAAAAAAGAATATTTTAACATATTTCAATCATTTTCTGACTTGGCTTTTGATCTTACTCTAAGGGAAATATCCAGAACCAGGCTTAATAACTGTAATTTACAAGGTATTTTCACCATAGCTCAAAAGGCAAACACTGTGTTTTGTTTTTGTTTTTTTCCTCCAGTGAAAGGGCAAATGAATTAGGCAACGCATTCTTCAAGACGCGAGTTCAGTTAACTTTTAATCCTTGTTCGGTTTAGGACACTTCTATGTTGGAGTCCAAGAGCTGCTTGAATTTTTATTTTTATTTTTGTTTTTTTTTGTTGTTGTTGTTAAATTTTGTGAACCAATTTAGTGCTCGAGCAAGTCACTAACCCAGAGTGGGAAAGGAGCTGATGGCTCTGAGGAGAATGTGGTCTTGCAGGAGAAGCCACCATTTCCCCTCCATGGCTTGGCCCCTGATGCTGGTTTGCAGCCCCAGTGGGACATCTCTGCTGGGCAGAAGCTGTTAAATCTGTCAGATTGTGCTGGGAAAGAGTGAGCAGAGCAGGGTGCACACACTGATGTTTTCTACATGGAAAAACAGCCCTGGGTTCTGCCTCCATGTGGTAGATTATCGGGAGGGGTGGAAATATGCAAAATACAATCACTTGCTAGAGTCTGCTTTTCAGAAAGCCAGAAAGTTTTTTGGGGTTTTTTTGTGTGTGTTGTTGTTGTTGTTGTTTGTTTTGTTTTTTAACTTCCAAGAAAGTAAAAATTCCTGACAGTCTCACCCAGAGAAGAACAAAGAAGAAGGATGTGACTTCACGGGAGGTTTCAAATTCCTGGGGGTTAGGACAGAAGAGGACTCATTCAACAGATATTTATTAAGTACAAAGCATGTGCTGTACACTCTTGCCACTTGGTGTGATTCCTGACCCAGCCACATCCACATAATCTGGGAGCTTCTTAGAAATGCAACTTCAAGCGTCTACCCCTGACCTACTGAATAGCATCCGGAGGTGATATTTCCATTAAAGTTTGAGAAGAGCTGCTAAACACTGTTAGGTGCTCACCATGTGTTACAAAAATAAAAATCCAGGACACATATTTACCAAAACTTATTTACTATTTAACTTAAGATATAACTCTAACTGATTGCAAGGGACATGGCCTAGGCATGCGCAGTGACAGGAGGTCATCAGGAGCCATTTCCATAGTGACCTTGTGCACCAAGCCAAGGAGGAACCTGGCTTCAAGGCAGACAAGCATACTTGATCTACCTGATACAATTAAACCAACAGCTACCCTATTTCTAAATTCAGGTCAGAAGGGCTTCCTATGCAACAACTCTAAACGCTAGAGAAACCTAGGAAATACAGGCTGGTGTCATCTGGTATCCAGCAGGCAATGAGAGAAGGATAGAAGGAAAATTACCCAATTCATTTAGCTGGCTTATTTAGGTCCTTCACTAGTCCATGGCCCTTGCATAGGAGAACTCATGAGAGATAGATAAACACTGGGGATGTGTCCACTGATTTCATCGGACAGTTGTGTTACATTTTATCTTCATTTTCTGTTCTAATAGATGCTGGTAATATTCCTTGACAGATTGTGTGGATCCACAGATTTTCCAAAACCACATGGAAGTGATTTTAAAAATACTTTAGAAATTAACGACCTGTGAGGATTTTCTAGGGACTTATACCTGTTCTCTCTGGAGCTTCCTCCAGGACAATCTTTATCAACTTGTCTATTTCCCAGAAACCTAATTCTACATTAAAAAAATTTAATTACGAAAGCAATGAATAAATTTGTGTCTTAGAAAAAAATTCACAAACAATACAAAAATGTATAGAGTAAAAAAGTGAAAAATTGACTAGGTGTGGTGGCTCATGCCTGTAATCTCAGCAATTTGGGAGACTGAGGTGGGAGGATCACTTGAGACCAGAAGTTCAAGACCAGTTAGGCAATATAGTGAGATCCTGTCTCTACAAAATAAAAATAAATAAATAAATTAGCTGGGCGCGGTGTCACATGCTCATAGTCCTAGCTACTCAAGAGGCTGAGGTAGGAAGATCACTTGAGACCAGGGGTTCAAGGTTGCAGTGAGCTGTGATCACCACCGTATTCCAGCAGCCTGGGTGACAGGGCAAAACCATGTCTCAAAAAAAAGAAGTGAAAATTCCCCTTTACTCTCCTCTCCAAAGGTAATCACTGTTAACATTGGATTGCATTTCTTCAGGTTTTATCCTGTGAATTTACATTGTATATGCATACATCAACCTGTAGTAGTTTTATATACTTGAATGATACTATATTATTCTGCAACTTATTTTTTTAATTTTACTTCCATTTTCCCACTTAATCTGTGTAATTTTAAAATAGCTGCATAATGTTCTATATAGTAGATTTACCCTGTTTGACTTAATCATTCTCTGTTGATGGCTATTTAGATTATGTCCAGTCTATTTTTAAGGAATTATAATAAGAGTTCCAAGATACCCAGATATGAGAGTGACATATGAAAACCAAGAGGTTCCCCATGCATCATCAATAATTAATTTATATAGAGATGTCATTTTCAAAAAGCTCATTCACAGTAACAAAAGAAGAAATGTACAAGAACAATATGGGGCAAAAAATCTAATTTTATTGATTGACATGAAAGAAGACCAAATTGTTTAGATATATCCTTTGTTCCTAGATGAGACTATTTAATATTGTAAACATATTAGTTATCTCAATTATCTTTATACAAATCAAAGCAATTCCAGAGACATGCCAGTGGGATAGTTTATGCAACTTGAAAATCAGTATAGAATTCTTCTAGAATAGTGTGAGGAATAGCCAAGTAAATTTGGGGAGGAGAAAGAAAACACAGCCAAGATACCATGAGTTTTGGTGAGTGGATTTTATTTATCTCCAATATCAACACAAGTTAGGAGCCCAGAGCCACCAGTATAAGTCATGTTTTTGGAACGGACACCTGGGATTGTCAGGGGGCAGTGGGGGAGGACATAGGGAGAGAGAATTCAATTTAAGATAAATTTGCAAATCAAAAAATATTACCACTAAGAAAATCAATCAGTCAAGTCAACATATTCTTTGTGATCAATGGTCAGTTATGTAATAGTAAACTTTTAAGGGCTATTTGAAAGAAATGTGGATTCCCTCTTTGTTGGCTATTAGACACACAGATTCATAACCAAGCTTGTTGAGTTCACACATACACACCAAAAAAAAAAAAATCACTTTTTTTGCTTGGTTTGCTTGATGTGTTGACTCCTGATGGATGTGAGCACTTGAGCTTTTCTTCAGTTTAGGAAAAATTTTCTTTTACTATAGCTTTGATTATTTCCCACTATTTGTTTGTTTCTTTCTTTCTCTTTCTCTCTCTCTCTCTCCTTTTCTCCCTCCTCCCTGTCCTATTTTGTCCTCCTACTCCTCTTTCTCTCCCTCTTTCTTTTTCCTCTATTGTCCTGTAGAAGATCCAATATTGGGGATATGTCTGTTTACTTCCTTGTAGTGTCAATTGCCTGTTCATTCATCCCTCATATTTCCTCCATATCGAAGTTAGTTTTAAGATTTGTTTAGATTCTGGTTTAACTCCTTGACAATAATACTCTATAGATTTTAGCCAGTACTTTGTAACTGTATCATGTCAGGAGGCACAAAGTCTGATTCTAAGACTGATCAGTGGGTTTGAGAGATAATATTCTGATTCCTCCTTTGTAAAGTTTCCCATTGAAATTTCATCTAACGGTATTATCATTAATGATTACCTAGTCTTATTAGAGATTGAAAATGGTGACTTTCTAATTGCATTATTCCTTACATGCTTATATGAAATTTTTACATAATGAAAAACTTTCATGCATCGCCTGAGCTATTTGATAACCCCAATATATATTTCATACAGGAAATACAAGTAAATGGTTAATCTTTCCCTATAATCGACAGCTGTTAGAGTAAAGAGCTATTGTCCTACTTCATTCCAATGGTGTCTAATAAGGTGTTTTTGTTTGTTGGCTTTTGGGGCTTTTTTCATTTTTTGCATATCACAGAATCATGTGTTTTTATATATTTAATGTACTTCAATAAACAGAATTCACTAGTATTTTTGGTGCTAAAACTTTCCCATCTCTAGCCAAGGAGGTTCCTTCATGTTGGCTCTTGTGTCCCTTTGATCATGACTCATTAGTTTTTCATAGCTCCCTTGTTTTCAGGCACGAAACATCCCAGAATTGTAGATTTCTTGTCCCAGACCTGGAATAAGTTACTTCTCCAAGGAGTCTTGATTTCTTTTGATATTTAGAAACCACAATTCGGGTGCTAGATAGGCTTGTTGTCATTGGACTTCCTGGACTTTTCATATCTTCAGTGGGCAAAACTAGGAAAATGTGTATTTTTAAAAAAGAAAAAATGAGTTTATGCTGACATTTCTAATTCAAATCTAACATCACAATATTTTAATGTAATTTTTGAGGTTCTATAACTATTTCTTATATCCTACACTCAAAATCTTGGTTCTTAAGAACGTTCATATACTTAAGTACATTATCCTATTCCCTATGTATGTGCATATATATATTGAAATAAAAACATATTACCACTAGCAATGTAACAGAGTAAAATTTACAATTTCTTTACAGCACTTTTTGTCTTCAGACTATATTCCACTAAGAATGTACAGTGAAAACACTATATTACTTGAAATAACTATGTTCTCCATGAGATTATATCACCAAATTGATATGTTAGTTTCATTAATATCCATTGGTTTTTAATTTCTTAAGCTTCTTTCTTTTGTATTTGATTAATATTTAAAACATTATATGATGCTACAATTGAAAGTTATTTATAAGGCATATTCAGAGCAATCTTCTTGCTTCCATTCCTATTTCCTTTACCTGTTAATGTCCCTTCCCCATAGATTAGTCAAAAACTAATAAAAATGGTTATTTTTCAGTGGTTTTTTTTTTTTTGCAAATATATTAGTTTTGTAGTTTCTACATACATAATTATCCCATTTACAAATAATGATTTTTTTATTTCTTCTTTTCCAGCTCTGTATTTATTTTCTTTGTTTTATTGCCCTGGCTAGAACACCCACTATAATGTTGAATAGAAGTGGTGATAGAGGTATTCTGCGGTATTCTTTCTGCTGAGTGAAAGCTTTTAATATTTCGTGGTAATGTTTGCTGCAGGTATTTCATAAATAGTCTTTATCAAATTAAGGACATCTTCCATTTCTAGTTTGCTAAGGGTTTTTAATAAATGAATGAATGTTTATCAAGTGTTTTTGCTGCATCTGTTAAGATGATCATGAGATTTTTCTCCTTAAGGTAATATAATGAATTATATTAATTTTTGAATGCTAAACCAACCTTACATTCTTGGAATAACCAAATGTGGTGTGTAAGGATGGGGTTAAGTTGCAAGTAGTCAATGGTAGCTAGTCTTAGTTCTAGGTTCTAGTCTTAGCTCTAGGGAATACAAGAAATCTGGCACCAACCCTTAACCAAGATGTAGATGAAATGCACTAGCTTGTAATGTGTTGCTTAAAGTCCAAAATTTCCCAGAGGCACCTTCTACCAGCTTGTCTATATTGTTTATTGAAAATGTGCATATTGGTGCTTTACAACTGGTTTACCTCGTTATGCAGGCTGATTTTAACTATGTGACTTGTAGGATATAAAAGCCCCTCAAGTCAATTTGCGTCTTGGAATTCCTGAGACCAAAGCATCCCACATGTATTGGTTGTTGATAAATCAAAGAGGTTGCAGATTCTGTAAGACTGAAAAAGGAAATTGGAAGCTATGTCTAGAAATCTGAGATTTCTCTCATGTTTTCTTCGTGCATTCTTTTTCCTGCTGTATCGTATCCTTCACCTTCATTAAAGCTTTACGTGTTGTGTATATTCCTTTGGAATCTCATAAGTTTTTCACTTAGCCAACACTTTGTAATTGCTGCACTTAGTCATAATGTACCATACTTGTTATTTATCCTTGGATTTGGCTTGCTAATATTTTGGTTAGGATTTTTGAATCTTTACTTATGGGAAAGATTTGGCTGTCATTTTCCTTTCTTATGTTTTTATCATGCCAGGTTTTGGTATCGGATCCTTCTGGCTTTATAAAAATAGTTGGGATGTTCCTTTTTTTATTCTTTGAAATATTTTGTATAAGACTGGTTTTACTTCTTCCTTAAATATTAAGTAGAACCCACTATTGAAGACAGCTGGGCCTGGTGTTTTGTAGGTAGAAAGTTTTTCATTATAAATTTATTTAAATGTTTAGTATTATACAGGTTTTTCTATTTCTTCCTGTATACATTTTGGAAAGTTGTATTTTTCTAGGAATTTTTCTACTTCATCTAAATTTTCTAACTTCTTAGCATAAAGTTGGTGGTAATATTCCACTATTATCTTTTTAATGGTGAAAAGATTTTTTTGTAACTTGCTTATTTGTATTCTTCATATTGGTTATTTAAGCAATCTTTATTTTTTCCTTGATCAGACTCACCATGGATTTATCCATTTTCATAGGTTTTCTTAAAAGAAACTTTGGGCTGTATTGATTTCCTCATGCATTTTGTTCTTATTAATTTTTGCTCTTATGAAAACTTCTTTCCTTTTACACTATCTAGTTTTAGTTTCTGACCCTTTCTTACTTCTTGAGACAGGTGCTTAGATTACTGGCTTTCATCCTTCCTTCCTTTTTAACATCTGTTTTTAGTACTATACTTTCTAAGAAGGCTGTAGCTGCCTCTCACAAGTTTTGATATGTAGTATTTTCATTATCATTCAGTTCAGAATATTCTCTAATTTCCTGTGTGATTTCTTCTTTCTTATCATATTTAGATATGTATTGCTTAATTTCCAAACATATGATAATTGGCTCACTTTCTTTGTGGTTATTTCTTCCTAGCTTAGTACGACTATGGTCGGAGAACATACTTTATATCATTTTAATACATTGAAATGTATTCATCTTTGCTTTATGGCCAAAAGTCGTCAATTTTGGGAAATTCTCACTTGCATTTAAAAAGAATGTCTAGTCTTCAGCATTGAGTTTTGTATAATATCTCTCAATTCAGTCAAGTTTGTTAAACATGTTGCTGTAAACATCTACATTCTTAATGATTTTTGGTCTGCTTGTTCTTTCTGTTACCCAGAGATGTGTTGAGGTCAGCCACCATGATGGTGGATTTATTGGTTTCTTAGACCTGCCAATGTTCTGACAGAGTTCGTATTGTTACGTTTTCCAGGCGAGTTGAAGCTTTTATCATAAAATGCTCCTCTTCAGTTTAGGTTGGCATGCTATATTTTTTTCTCAGACTTTTAACTTTTTCATATCCTTATATTTGAGATATGCCTTGTTTTAGCAGCATGCAGTTGGGTTTGGTCTTTGTATTGAGTCTGAAAATTTTTGTATTTTAATTGGGATATTTGTTTCATTTTTCTATAATGCAATTTCTGATATATTTGGGATTAAATACACCACCTTTCTATTTTTTTCTATTTGTACCTATTCATCTCTCTTTTTCCCTTTCTTCTTGCCTTCCACTAGATTGATTTTGTTATGATTATTCCATTTTCTCCTCCTTTGGCTTGGGAAAGTTATACATTCTATTACTATTCTTTGTAGTTATAAATTATTTTTATGAATTCTTTTACTATTCTTTCAGTGGTTCTCCTGAGATTATAAAATGCATTCTTAATTTATCAAAGTCTAATACAAATCAGTATTTTCACCACTTCCTTGACTAGGCAAGGCTTTAGAACTTGTATGGTATGGCTATTACATATTTTACTTCTCTCTATACATAAATTTCATCCAATAGTATTATTGTTATAATTGTTTTATACTATCAATATCTATTTAGATTTAGTTACATGTTTACCATTTCTGTTCTTCATTCTTTGTCCATTTGCAATCTTCTATTTGGTATCATTCCTTCCTGCATGAAGAACATCTTTATTATTTCCTTTAGTATAGGCCTAAATTACCAGTTTATTTCCTGGCTGAAAATATTTTTGTTTCACCTTCTTTTTGGAGGGTCTTTTTACTGGGTATAAATGTCTAGGCACTTTCATAATAATATTCATTTATCTTCCAGGTTCTAATTTTTTTTCTTTTTTTGAGACAGAGTCTTGCTCTATTGCCCAGGCTGGAGTGGAGTGGTACAATTTTGGCTCACTGCAACGTCTGCCCCGCGGGTTCAAGCAATTCTTGTGCTTCAGCCTCCGTGTAGCTGGGACTACAGGCGCATGACACCACGCCCTGCTAATTTTTACGTTTTTTGTAGAGACAGGGTTTTGCCATGTTGGCCAGGCTGGTTTCGAACTCCTGACCTCAGGTGATACGCCCACCTCAGCCTCCTAAAGTGTTGGGATTACAGGCATGAGCCACCGCACCTGGCCTGATTTTGTTCTGTTGAGAGTCTGTCAGTGTTTTTGAAGACTATCTTTTCTTTTGCTCTTAAGTCTTTATCTTTGATTTTATTTATTTATTTGTTTTATGGAGTCTCACTCTGTCACCCAGGCTGGAGTACAATGGCGCAATCTCGACTCACTGCAACCTCCATCTCCCAGGTTCAAGCGATTCTCCTGCCTCAGCCTCCCTAGTAGCTCGGACTACAGGTGCCCATCACAATGGCTGGCTAATTTCTGTATTTTTAGTAGAGATGGGGTTTCACCATGTTGGCCAGGCTGGTCTCAAACTCCTGACCTCAAGTGATCCACCCACCTCAGCCTCCCAAACTGCTGGGATTACAAGTGTGCACCAAGCCCTGCTAATTTTTGTATTTTTAGTAGAGGCAGGGTTTTGCCATGTTGGCCAGACTGGTCTCGAATTCCTGACCCTCAGGTGATCCACCTGCCTTGACCTCCCAAAGTGGTGGGACTACAGGCATGACCCACCATCCCCGGCCCTTTCCAAATTTTTTAATCTTGCTTTTTAATTTCCTTGAATGTTCTGAGCACAGTTATTTCAAAGTCCTTGTTTTATATTCTGTTGTCTAGAGCCTCTGTTACTATTTTCTGTTATTTCCCTTGGTTTCAGTCTTGTTATCTTGCCTCCTTATGTGTCTGGTTACTTTTTAATCAAATATCAAATATTGTATGTTAAAAATTATAGTGGTAACTTCAGTTATGTGGAGACATTATCTTCCTCCAGAGAGAATTTTCATTTGCTTCTGGAAGGCATTTAGGCTAAGGGCACTTGCATTTCCAGATCACGTTAGTTGGAGATTGAGATGCTTCAAAGCAGGGCTTCCATTCTTGTCTGGTCTATTTTTATGTTATAGTCCATTATGATCCTAACTACATGCTTGGAGGTTTTAAAAGTCTGGCCTCTCTTTGTCAAATCCTAAAATCTAGTTCTTGTCCTGTGGACCCTTAAACCTCTCAAGACTCTGCTCAGTTTCCCCCTTGTCACTTGTCTCCTCTAAGCAGGACCAAAGCCTTTTAAAGGAAAGCAGGCCCCAAATTACAGGCCCCATGATTCTTCAGTGCCTTTGTGGCTTCCCGATTTTTATTTTGTCATTTCTATGTGACTTAAGGATGCAAAAGAATTTAGCTTCCTGTAATATGTTTAGCTGACTCTCCAGAATCAGAAGCCAGTTCTAATTTATTTCTATCTAAAACAGTAATATTTCAGAAATGTAAACAAATTTATGACTTTGGACACATGATTCTTTTCCATTAAACATATATATGTCATATGTATGTCTATCTGTGTATATACACATTTCCTTTTTACAAGCATGTGTAAAGAGAGAGGGACTGGGATGTGTGAAGTAAGTTTTATAAGTTAGCATTTCTCTAAAAAGTTTCCTGGTGGTCTTCTGTAGCCATTGTGGGACTGATTCCTTGTTTAAAAGTAGTAAGAGAAGAAAATTGAGTAAAGGGAATTAAGAGATCTCTCCACTCCTGCTAAGACTAGCTGTGCTGCAGGTGAGCTGCTACTGCTGTTTTAAGTTCAGGAGAAAGTAGAGGTTAGAGACTTAATGTCAAGAACTGACATTATGCTTCAAGACCAAGCCTTTAGTTTGGGTCTTGAATGCTTCCTTGACCTTCCAGTGACCATGGTTGAAACAGCGAACAGCTTTGTTTAGAACTTCAAAGACGTTTTTGGCCTTGGTGTTCCAAATACATTCTAATATTTTACAGCCTTTTCTTTTTCCTTCAGTGACTCTCTTCCTATAACTTTGTGTAAAGAGCAGAATACCAACTGTCTAAGAGAATATCTATTCCAGATTCTCAAATTGGGTATTATTTTGTGTGAAATGGGACAATTCCAAAAGAATGAGATAAACTCAAATCATAGTTGACAAAATCTACATGTGAATTTGCCATATTTAAAATGCAATACTTCCTCAAATTTGAAAAAGGACAATCCAAATCGTTTAGTGTTTATTCATTCAACAAACGTTTTATTGAGCTCCTACTCTGTGCTGGATACTCAGCATACAATGTTAAATAAGACATACTTTTGTCCCCAAGGAGTTCTATCTAGTAAAGTAGAAGGATATGAGAACACTAACTATAACAAAATATGATAATAAATACATGATGAAGATGAGTATATATTATTCTAGGGCAAGAGATAAAGGAAGATTAAATCCACCCTGGGGGAGCTAGGAAATACTTAAGCTAGTCTTATTCAAATGTAACTTCCTATTTCTTACTTTCCTTGATGTTTTCAGACTGGATTAATTACTTTTTATCCGTGTTTTCACTTTATATCTTCATCAAAATTCATCAACCGTATCAGTTATCACACTTTTGTATAGTTATCATTTTCTCCATCAAGTTGTAAGTTTCTTGAGAACATGATACAGCTCTTACTCATCTTTGTATTTCCAGTACCCAAGAACACAATATAAACTCACTGAATATTTTTTGATACATAAATGTATACATATATGAGTAAGGCATACATTAAGATTAGTGTATTAATAAAGCTATATTATTTATTAACAGAATAAATTGGATATTAGTTGTAAGTATAAAAATAGTCTTAATTGAACACATAAATGATCATCAAGGTATTAAGATTCATCCTTACTTTAACACATTTTAGATACTTTTCTGTACATCTTATAGACACATTTGCCCCTATTCAATCAAGTATTTTCATTACTTCCAATAACATTTGAAAATGTTATTTTATACTGAAATTCGTACATAATTCCTTTTGTCTCCTGCCTGAAGTTGGAGGATCGCTTGGTTATCTTTGAGGTAACACAGTCAGTCAAGGTGGCCATTATACCCCAGGAAGATGAGTTCGGATATGTTTAGAATGACTGCTTTTAGGAACTGTCCCCGAGTTGTGCTTAACTGTAAATTGGAGGGAAACTGAGCAAAGGCTCAAGGGTAAAATTCTGACATTTTAATATTATACTATATAAAATATGTCTCTAAGTATCTTAGTTGCAGCTGTAAGACCTTATTCATAAAACACATCATTTCTATGCTTCTCTTTGGAAATGAAATTGACATTCTTATACTAGTGGAAATGGTAAATGATAAGTTCTTAAATTGTTAATAGCTTCTCCAGGCTTCTGCTCTCTTGCCATGCAATTGATTTGGCTCCAAAATATAAAAATATTGTGATACGTGCTCATCAGCCTGCAATCCTAGGCTCTTCCTATCCCTGTAAACAACTTTTAGACTGGGGAATAAATGACAGGGGTCCACTTCTGGGAAGGAAGTATTTTAACATGGGAATCCACTGCACATTTTGTACCCATTTTCTTGGATATTGACAGATAATGCACCCAGATTGTGGCTGTATAAAACTTATTTTGCTAAACACAATGTCATACTTAACATATAGTAAATTCTGCCAATTGTCCTGCATTCGATGCTTGTGGGGGTGGGGGTGGGGCTGGGGAGGGAGGGGAAAAAAGCTGTGGTATGTGGCACCTGCTGGTAACTAGTAAACATCTTGAAGAGGCATTGAATGGAGGAGATAAAGATGGAGCTCAAAAAATAGCAAAAAAGGATCTTGTAACAGGAATGTAAAGGTAACAAGCTTCAAGAAATTAAATGATGAAATGCATGCAAAGCGAAAATAAGCTAAGGGACTATTTTAATGAAATAAACAAAATGTCCTTGCAAGGTTCTACAATTAATGAAGGTAGGTGACAAACTGGAGTCCACATTCCCAACCACCACTGCACAGAGAAGTAAACCATTTATATGTTGTTCCAGAATGTCCATGAGAACAATGAATTAGATGTTCAATATAAGATCTAATAAAAGTTTCTCACATCTTCATAAAGAGCCCACTGTGTGTAAAAGGAGATGCACGGTGTGATTCTCAAGTAAACCTTTGAAAACCTTCAAAGCAATATTACATGTTGTTTGTAAACACTTGGGCATGCACTAATAGTACACAAAATGCGGACAGGAAAGATAACATATCAACTCTGGAAAAGTGGTTGCCTCTAGGGAGTGGGAATTGATTGGGGAGGGGCATTAAACTGTATAACATTTTCTTTCCTTTTCAAAAATAAGGCAGATATAGCAAAAAGTAAACTTTTCACAACTACTTTGGGGTCTATTATTTTTTCTTTTTTTTTTTTTTTTTCGATGAATTCTCACTCTGTTACCCAGGATGGAATGCAGTGGTGCAATCTCGGCTCACTGCAATGTGTACCTCCTGGGTTCAAGCAATTCTCGTGCCTCAGCCTCCCCAGTAGCTAGGACTACAGACATACGCCACCACACCCAGCTAATTTTTGTATTTTTTGTAGAGATGGGGTTTCAACATGTTTCCCGGGGTAGTATTGAACTCCTGAGCTCAAATGATCTGCCTGCCTCAGCCTCTGAAAGTGCTGGGATTATAAGGTGCCAGCCACTGCACCCAGTCATGGTTTATTATTTTCTGTATGTTTGAAATTTTTCATAAAGAAAAATATTTAGACATTCACATATTGAATGTAATGAGCAATGGATTTCAACATCCTTTAAGTAAATACAAGGTCTTTCAGCCCTCTTTCATTTAAACACTGCTCAGTGCAAGCCAATGGTGAATTCTGGCTGAAAGAAATGCAATTCAGTGTAAGCAATTCAGCAAGACAGGGAGGTTGTCAAAATGACACCAAAGGGGTACCTAGCTCTCCTGTGATCTGTTCAGCTCCTGGGTTGGATTGGACCACGTTGGATGAGGGCATGAAGATCCTTTGCTTCAGGAAACCCTCCACAGATATGTGTCTCTCCAGTTGAGCATTTGATAAGCAGCAGCTCTGGGTTCAAAGTTCTATTCCCTGCCAAGTACTGTGTCTTCTGTTAAGTGCAGTAGCTTGAATATTCAACCAAGCAGACTTAGAACAGATGCCCTCAAGGGGTGTGGAACTTGACAAATACAAGTGCCTGAATATAAGGCACCCCCAGCAAGCAACGCTGAGGGTCCCAGTGGGCAGATCTTGCCTGAACTCCAGGCAGGTGGGTGGCAAAGCACCAGATTTCAATGCAGAGTCAGATCGCTACTCTTTCATTTTTATTTCAAATAAACAATTTATTCAATCATAATTGTTTGATTAGTATTTTGTGTATGAAGTTTAATAAATGCATAAAATAAGGGAGCAGTTTGGGCAACTATATTAAATATTAAACAGCAGAGCATAATAGTGCAAAGTCCTTACTGTATTCTTTATTGCTGCGTTTTTCATCGCAGCCCATCAGCAAGTGAGTAAACAAGTTCACCACAGTCTGGGTTTTGGGTTCTTTTTTTTTTTTTGGAGACAGAGTCTCTGTTGTCGAAGCTGGAGTATAGTGGCATGATCATGACTCACTGCAGCCTCGACCTCCGCAGGCTCAGGTGATTCTCCCACCTCAGCCTCCCGAGTAGCTGGGACTACAGGCGTAAGCCATTACACTCGGCTAGTTTTTATATTTTTTTGTAGAGACAAAGTTTCACCATATTGCCCAGGCTGGTCTCAACCTCCTGGACTCAAGTGATCTGCCCACCTCGGCCTCCCAAAGTGCTGGGATTACAGGCATGAGCCACTGCGCTCGGCAGTCTGGGCATTTTTAAGCAGATGTGACCAAACTGCCGCCTTGGTCATTAAAATATACTAATGTTGCTAAAAATTCCAGGAAAGCAGCTATAGTCCTGGAGATCTGAATGCATACAGTGCTCCCAGAGGCCATACCCCCACCTCACCATCAAGAAGGCAAAGGGTTGACGCTCCCCCTCAACCATCTTCTCCTCCCAATTCATTTCCAGGTATAGTCACTTTAGCTGGTTGCACATGTATATTAATGGAGCAAGGAAAACTGTCCATGGGGATTTTCCTGTCTCCTCATTCCCACCCACAATCCCCAGGAATGGCCTTCACTGTATAAGCTGGTTTTTCTAGAGAAGTCTTTTATAAGCATTCTAACAAGTGGCTTCACTTGGCCACATTGTGGATCCTAGAGGAGTCTTGAGGAAGGAGCCTACTCAGGAGCCCTAGGGTTTCTTTGTTTACTAAGTCAGAT